>NC_000002.12:66667625-67292625 GCF_000001405.40 Homo sapiens | reverse complement strand
CCAAATACTTAAGTTCATGATTCTGCTTGTGCAAAATTTTTTGTCTGATTTTTGGTGAGAGAAAAGCCAAGTTCATTATATATATGTTTGTATATACCTCCCTGAAATAATGAAATCAAATATATATTTGATATATATATTTAATCAAATATACATATTTTCCAACTTTTAAGTTCAGGGGTATATATGCAGGATGTGCAGGTTTGTTACATAGATAAATGTGTGCTATGGTGGTTTGCTGCACAGATCAACCCATCACCTAAGTATTAAGCCCAGCACCCGTTAGCTGTTCTTTCTTATGCTCTCCCTCTTCCCACTCTCCACCCTCTGACGGGTCCCAGTGTGTGTTGTTCCCCACCATGTGTCCTGTTAATTTTTCAAGTGTAAGAAATATGAAGTTATTGTAATGTTCTACCTGAAAACTTACTATTTAGTTAACATTAGTTATCAAAGTAGCAAAAATAATATATATTACTTTATATAAAAACCATATATGACCATATATATATATATATATATATATATACATAAAATTGAAATCAGGTAGTTTATCTTGGCCTTAAAGAAAAACTCTAACATATTTACTGCTTAAACATGAATGCCTTTATAAACTTTTTTCCTTTCCAATCTGTCTCCAGACTACCCACAGGTCTTTGGTTCATCTCCCTACTTAGGCTGAACTCTTCAATAACTACAAATTCATAAACACTGCAATTTATTCTGTAACAAGCTATAAATCTTCTTTTTGTTGTTTTTACATTAGAAACAGAGCTAATGTTTATTGAGCTCTTGTCCTGTGTGAGATACTTTACTTGATTTGTTTTCATTTCATCTTTATAGCAACACTCTGGGAAGTAGATATTATTATTGTTATTTTAAAGATGAGGAAACTAAACATTAGAGAATAAAATTGGTTAAGGACATACATTTAATGAATTATGTAGCTAGTGTTCAAACCTAGGGTAGTTTGATAATGAAAACTCAAATTCTAATCCCTGTCTTTTAATCTATCCTTTAAATTTGTTAATTTAGAAATCACCAATCAGAATAATCTCTTGACATATATATAATATATTCTATATAAAATATTATATGTAATTATGTAATAGGTAATGTATAGGTATCATATATAGGTATACATATAAAATACATACATATAAATGCATTATACACACATATACATTTATATTTTATGTATACATCAAGAAAATTACCCAGCACATTGCAAATGCAACATAGAATTTACATGGTCACTTACATGTTTTCTGCATTTCTACAAAAGAATCTGCAATGAAAGCTGTTAAATAGGATGCAATTTGTAAGCCTTTCATTAAATAATGATTCTCAGCTGGATTTCTGAGAAGAGAATATTAATGCAACCATATGTAACTAGCATTGCAAGAAATTAGCGTTGCTGATTTAGTCTTGAATCAATCATTTTAAGCTATGCATTAGACTCTTTGCTGATACATTTCTGTCTCAGGCAACTTAGAAATTGTGGGCTGAATGCAGCTATGCTCCGAGTATAATTTGTATGAAATATCAAGTTTCTTGGGTTTGGGTAGAGAGTGATCAAATCCATATGCAGAAAGACAAAATGGCACTACTCAAGGTCCGATTGCTAATTATTTAATACTAATCTCTAACATGTACACTCTTGGGCATGCGGTTTGGTGATAAGTCAAGTTTCAGATGCCAACCAAAAGCTGGGTCTCTGGACATGGGGGCTGAAATGAGTCATAGTGTGGGTGTGGACGTGGTGTGTTAAAATCTTCAAAGCCCTTATTTGGTTGCCAAGTTTTGAAAATACTATGAGGCATTTTTTAATTTCCTTGGAAACTGTGTTAGCAAGCCAGTTCTACAGCATTTTCTCCAAGATTGAAGCATTGAAGTATGCTATTGCCCATGCTTATTTTATTAGTCACAAGAGGTGTTTTAATAACAAAGATTCAGTCATCACCCAATGACAGTCAGGATTTTAGCTAAGAGATCATAAAAGGAGAGGAAGCAGAATTCTAAATAGAACTAGATATGACATGTCTTCTGGAGAGAAACTATGATAAGAAATGTTGCCTGGACATACAGATTTGTGGCCACTTCGATGACTAAAATGTCCAGTTTTGCTTAACTCTATGAATCATATGACATGATTGCATTTGATTATTATTTCTCTGAATTTTCTTTTATTCTATAAGTGCCTTCCTCCTCCACATTTAACTTGACTACTCTGTTATTTTTATTCTGAGGAATGCATTTAGTTAATCACTACCTCATAGAATGGTTTAACTTGTTTCTCTATTTCCTGTATTTCTTGCACACTAGTTAGATCTAGAGACTTGATTAGATTATGATTCAAATTTATAGTCAATAAGACTCCATTAGAGGTGCTGTGTCCTTCCTATTGCATAATATCCAAAGCACGTAATATTGGGTTAATCAGTGTGTAGCTTCCCAGTATTAGTCACCTGTATTAGTCCATTCTCACATTGCTATGAAGGAATTCCCAAGACTGGGTAATTTATAAAGAAAAGAGGTTTAGTTGACTCACAGTTCCACATGGCTGGGAAGGCCTCAGGAAACTTATAATCATGGCAGAAAGCACTTCTTCATAGGGTGGCAGGAGAATGAGTGCCCAGAGAAGGGGGAAGCCCCTTATAAAACCATCAGATTTCATGAGAACTGACTCACTATCATGAGAGCAGGATGGGGGAAACTGCTCCCATGATTCAATTATCTCCACCTAATCCCTCCCATGCAGGGATATGGGAACTACAATTCAAGATGAGATTTGGGCAGGGATGAAGTGAAACCATATCACCACCCATCATAAAATCTCCCATCAACCTTTCACCTAATGATTTTGGCAGCAATGCATGAAGGCTGCCTTAATCTATTACTTCATTACGGGGCACTAACATCTTTTTCAATGAATGAAATCTATACCAGCTAAAGGTGGAAGGTGAGATGGGCTACAGCTCCTGAGAAATAGCCAAGGACACTGGATGGGGATGGTACAACAGAACAGAGCAAATAACTCAAACGGGCAAGCTTATAAGGCATCATAAACATTTTCTAATATATCTCATAAACCTATTTTCCAGTGTTAGGCAATAGAAAATCTCCAGCCTCCTGGGGAGGTGGCAAAGCCTCAATACAAAGTGACTAAGCTAAAATGAAATGTCAAGGACAGAATGGACCTACCTTTCTTTTCCTTGATGTAGCTTCTAGTGGTGACCAGGTGGTTTCAGTCCATTCAAGTCTCAAGTAAAACTCCAAGTAACGAGGTGACTGTTGCATCTTTTAAAAATGAGTATTGTACACATACTTCTTCCAAGGCAAATACTTAGTCAAAACTAAACAAATTGTAGAGGCCAAATTGTCTTGTTGTTTCTCAGTTTATTTATTTCATAATAACAGCCACCAATACAGGTGGTTTGAATGTTTTCAAAAATAAACAACTACTACCAAAAATAAAACAAAACAGGTTTAGGATCTGTTTCTTGTCCATACTTCTCTCTGTCTTTCTCACTGGGTTCCTTACCTCTGCCATAGAAAAGAGAAAATGATTTGAGTAATTATCCCAAATTTATTTCAATAACTAATAACACTCTGGATGCATAAAACAGGTTAAGTCCGCAAAACTTGCTCTTTCTCAAGGAAGATAGAAATAGTGTCAACATTTCCAATTGCTCTGTTTCCTCAGCACTCCTAGCTCCCTCCCCTGTTTTATGTCCAACGGGCTCTATGTTTTTAGTATGTTTTTTTCTGTCTCCCTTCCCTAGAATTTTTTTTTATTTTTTTCTGTTTTATTCACTGCTTTTCCCCCCAGTGCCTAGAATAGTATCTGACATATAGTGGACACCTAACAAATATTTTAGGAATATTCAGGGCTGTATATGAAATGTACAAATAACATACTCCCTGCCCATTTCTTTAACTCCATATTTGTGTTAGCAAAATGTTCTCAAGTTCTCCTATTTCTATCTTGAGTGTTTAAATAGAACTGCTCAAATCTATTTCCTATGTAACTATAGGAAACCCTGCCACTGGATTGTTTTGTGGATTCCTGGTAGGTGCTTAGATGTTCCATTCATTGTCTGTCCAGTCTCTTCCCAGGCTGTACTACCCCCAAACTGCTCTATTGTTGCCACTGGCCTTCCAGGCAGCACTTCTATAGGCTATGGCTCCTCCTTCTTCCCCAAGCACAGACACAGACTCTTCTTCTATTCCCCAGGTTGTCACAGGAGTCACGTTAGGTTTCCATGGTTAAGCAGCTTTACTGAAGCTTGCAGAGATCACAAAAGCTGTGCAACACACATAGCTCTAGAGCAAGCGCTGGTCATGAAGTCTATTGGTCCTGCTCTATCCCAGGTGAGCCCTCTGGCCAATTTCCCCCTTAGACCTAGGTCTCCTGTGATTTTCTGGGGCCCATGCCCTCACCCATGCCAGAGGCTCCTTTCCTTACTTCTTTCTTTGCTATCTATACACTTAGCTCCTTCCCAAGGCCTGGCCTTAGAATGGCCATAAAATAAGTAATATCAGAGGACTGTTGAAGTTTGGAGACCATTTTACTTAGTTAATATCAGAATAACATCTCTTAAAATCTCTGCCTGTACAAAACACTTATATTTTACATTGCTGCATACTTCCCATAGCTGATGGTTTTTCTTCTAGTTTAGAGTCTAAGTCTTGCCTTTGAAAACCCAAAGAGCCCCATTAAAGAATTTTCTCAAAGCAAAATGAACCATTCCCCATTTGATATATTCTGCTGCCACTTTTAGAGTGTGACGTGGTATACTTACTTTACCTTTGGGTTACCTCTGGAGAGCAGAAACTGAGACAAAGACTTTTTTCTCTTTCAGAAGTTGTTCTAGGAAATAAGAGATAAGACTGCAAGACAGAAACAATTCAAGGGTGCATTTTTGAGCCAGCTGTCAATATGAGTAATGAGCTTGATCCCACTGGCACTTTCTAAGGAGTTGTCAGACAGACTCCAGAATTGTCCCAGAGAATGGGAGGAGAAAGCCTTTATCGATCAGCTTCTTGTGGTGACAGAATGAACTCCCAACACTTGTGACTTCCCATGTGTGAATGCCAGGCCCCTGTCACTGTGTCAGCGGACCTCTCTATGCCATATGGCTGCAGGAGGCACTGCAGGCTCTCCCTGTGCAAGACTGGCTGCCACTGCTGTGACTGGGGTACAAGGTGGGCTGGGAGCATAGAAGATGGTACCCCAAGTTGTTCAATATAAAATCTAACACTGGGCAGGGACTCAGAAATCCTGGGTTTGCAATCCTACTCTGCACCATTACTGGTTGCATGACCTTGGACCAATTCCTTTACTTCTCTGAGGCTATGTTTATTCACAAATGGAGAATGCCCCCAAATAATAAATAAATAATACAATTAAAAAATTAAAACAATTTATTTTACTATTAATTTATTTCAAAACTTAAAAATTACTAAAATAAATAATAACAAATAACATCAAAGAATTATTGAAATTTGGAGATCATTTACCTAAGATACAAAACAGAGGAATCAAACACTCAGTAGGTTCCTCAATTAGAGTAGCTACTATTATCATATAAAATTTAATTTAAAAAGATCATTGAATGACAACCTGAATTAAACTCAAGAAAATATGAACTATTTCTTTGGCAAGCAGCCTTCCTTGGAAGAGGATGCTGCTCTTTAATGGGGGAGGTGGGTTCCTACATTTGCATTTTTCTTTATGTGAGTTATGTGAGGCGTAGGTCCCCTATTGCCTGAGGAGGGTCTTGAAAACATGGACACAGATGTACCCAAAACATGGTGGCATGCTTGTGCGTCAAGATGTGTACCCACCCACCCTGTGGAATGCTGGGGACATAACACAAAGGCATGCTTTGGGCTGTAAAGGAGGGAAACAGGAGTAGTGATGTGATAATGATCCTTCCTAAAGGAGAAAAATCTATTTAGTAAAGCCAACCAAAACCAAGGCTGTAGACATTTTCACTTTAGAACAGCGTGGTTGTCAGCACTCTCTGATGGGTATTCGTGACAATTTTGGCAACAAAGGCAAGGAATTTGACTGAAGTTTCTAATTGAATTTTGAAAGATGGTTGATCCTTCCAGGAAGTAAGAAATTGATGGAAATGTCATTGAAGTTTGTCTGAACACATCCAGACACAAAGCCCATCAAGATACACCTGGGCAAATCTAGATTCCTTCCTCAAAACCTCAAAATGTTATCATGCGAGGCATCAACAGAGCTGCCAAGCCAAGGAGAAACACATCCACCAAATCCTGCAGAAAGTTTTATCTTGTCAGAAATTCCAGGGAAATTGTGAAATAAAAATAAGCACCACATATTCTTTAAGAATTATTGAGTATTAGAAATACTAAAAATTATTATCGTTTTAGTAACTAAAAAAACCCACTAATTCAAGACTCCTATAGCCTATAAATGTAAAATAAAAACAACAAAATAGAAGACTCAGCTTTTGTTAACACATTTAGGTTTGCATGAAATTACATCCTTTAGGAAAAGGACAATTGACATTGTTTTTAATGACTGGTCATAGCAAGATGCCTGTGGTCATTTCTCTCACTAGATAAAAACACTTTGTTAAAGTCTGGCTCTTTAGGTGACTCTGGAACCAACACAGTTATTTGAGATATGCTTGGGCTAGTTTATGTCATTTCTGTAATTATTTATTTTTTTCTGTAATTCTTTATTATTACTTTATTTAAGAAGGTCTGTGTCAACTAAGTGGACGCATATTAGCACTAAATATTTACAGAATATTTATTAGTTTTCAGGGTTCTCTTATGGTTGTTAATCTCATGCTGACATGTCTTGATATTTCAATTTAAATTGTCTATGTGTGTTTATGTAGATGCAATCCATGTGCATATGCATACATCTCTGGTAGAACATATAAATAGGGAAACCTCAGGAGGCCATCTTATCCACAAGATATTGTTCCAGTGGAATCTGGAAAACTCCTTTTCTGCCCCTATGCTCTTCTTCAACCAGTAACGCTCAAAATGACACCCTTGATGATTCATTGCTTTGGCTCAAGTGTTAGTCCTTTGTAACTCCCCCAGTAGAGTGATACCTACAGTCATGTCAGACATTGAGGATGTACGAGCCAGTTTTCCAGAAATGTTTAATTTGAAGGAGGTGAGCATCTTGGGAGGACACTGGGAACCCAGAGGGCAATGTTGGAGTTACCATGGAAAGATGGAAGGTGGTAAAGGACCCAGAGAGAAGAAACTGGGAGCACCTAGGAACCACTGTGCCCACAGTGGGCCCTCTGCATAACTCTAAGGGTATGTAAATTGGAAACTGTGAAACTCATGAAGATTTCATTTGTTATCCCTTCCCAACAGCAACCTTGCCCTCAATGGCATATATAAAGGCAGAAGGCAAATATCACTCTTGGGAGGATGACGACATAGAGCAGGAGGAAGTCCCCATGGCCTGACCAAGAGGGGAAATAAAAGACAGCTCTTCTGGTTCTCAGGGACTGTGGAAAGAAAGGTCAGAGGTAGGAACTAGGCTTCTGAGCTTTCTAAAACAGGCTGAAGCAGAGTGCCAGGCAAGGCATGGGCTGGCTTGCCAACACAAGAGGCTGGGTGTTCCCAGGATATTGAATGTGAAACATGTAGATTCAGCCAGCACCCAAACACCATGTGAGACCCTGAAGCAGATGGCACTCCAAAAGCTAGAGTGATACCCACCATGAGGGCCTATACCCCCACACCAATCAGGGAAAATGATGGATGGGGAAAGAAACAGCTTTCACTGGAGGCTAAACTGTTAAAATGAGAAGAAATGGGATGGAGGTACTTGAGGAATTTTAGGTCGGCCATAGAAAATAAAGATACCACCATTTTCTAGCACACTTGAATATTGTATGGGTAAATTTGTAGCAGCAATAATAATTTTCAAGAGAAATATACAATTTTGGGGGATCTTATCTATGCCATTGTTTAGGTGCTCCAATGAGGGGGAATTTTTCCCTATCCTTGTTCCAGGAGAAAATTCTAATGCTTTCCTGTCTTTCTCAATGGGTAGAAATGGTAAATCAACCTTATGTGAACTGTTTCTCTTTTTCACAAGACATTTAATTTTGTGAGATCAGATGAGAGTCTCCTGCTCATGTTGAGTATATAGTAGCTTTGGTGGCTATTTCATTATCATATCCAAATTATGAGTTTTTATTAAAAATAATTTATCTCTGCCTAGAAAATACTCCCAGGAACTTGGGAAACTCTCAGCCCTTTGGAACTGCTAATTCTGATAACCAGGCCAGTCCTACAATGGCATGTTTTGGGATTGAGGCATGCATTCTAGGTAAAAGCAAGATGTTAGCCATCTTCTGAATAGTCCTATTGATGGAGGCCTTGGGCTCCCTATCTTTAATGCCTGTGGCTTGGGCGTATGGTAGTGGGTGGCAATAAAAGTTACTTGAGATGTCACATTATACAAAATAATAACGACTTTTAAAAAAGGTGTAAATTGAAATGAAAAGTCTACAACTCTGAAGTTTTAAGACAAGCTAGGCAATATAAATAATCAAAATATCATTTGTCTTCAGTGTGAGTCCTAATTCTAAACAGCTTACACATTTTCAAGTCAGAGTTACAGGAAAAATATTGATAGCTAAATAAACAGGGTGAGTACATGATTAATGTTTTAAAATAGTAAACACTTCACATTTGTAGCATTCCTTTAACAGATTGATCTCAGAGACCTTGTTTTCATTCCTGCTTTGCAATCTGTGTTTTGTTTATTTATTCTCTTCATGTTGAATTCCTCTCTTTTAATTTACCTTTCATCTTAATTTACTCTAGGGGGCAAAGTGAAAGTGTCTAAAATAAGTGAAAAATCTAAAACAATTAGAAAATTTAAGATGTAGCAATAATCAACTCTAAGAATGTAACTGCCCTTTTTCAGCAGGATAAATTGTGGGCCATAAAAATATACTATTATTAGCTCTTTTCTTTAGACTTGTAAAGACTCCTACAGCTGCATTTTATATTTCTAACAAAGATATAAAATTATCCAGGAGAATGTAGAGGCTAAGAAGTGGTGGAATCTTTTTTTGCTTATTACCTTAGGAATGAAATAAAAATATGATAATGAGGGGCTCTGGCAGGGATTTCCCCTCACAGACCCCAATAGTCTTGTCCAAGATGTGCACATGTTGTCTGATATTGGGTGTGGAACAAAATTTGATCACAGACCTATTAGAAAAACAAATTGAGAAACATATATATTATTCCTGTAGTTTTTACAAATCAGAAAAGAAGATGTTCTAGAAGCTATTCAGAGATAATGCTTCAACCAGGTTGGATCTCACATCTGCTCCAACTGGAGATTTTAATCTACTCTTTGGGTGGAGAAGCTAAAAAGTCCATGCAAAAAGCTGTGAGGGGATTGTTAAACTCAAATGCTGAACATGAAGGCACATTCAAAAATATGTTGGCCACACTACCCTATGGGAGAAGGATAGGCATACATGATGTTGACAATTTGTTGGAGATAAGACAAGTAGATCCTGGCTACTCAAAATAATTTCCCTGGGTAGAAATTTAGATCCCTTCTACAAGCTGAGATGGGCCTGCAACACAAATATAGGTCACTGTCACTCATGGGGATTATCCAATGTAAGGATGGACCAGCTATACACAGAATGTATATCTTTCTGATTCTTCTTTTCTTCAGTGATATTCCTTCCTGGAATAATGCCAATGTATTTTTGTGTTGCTAATCACCCACCAAGACCAAAGGCTTATTTTGGGAGGTAGAAAATATCTGTTTATGATCCAGCAATTCGTTATTTTTCTATTTAGTGTCATAATTTCTCTGTAACTAAAGCTGATTTTTATTTCTTAAAAATCAAGAGCCCATAGAAAAATACAACCATGTTGGCCAGAGTCAGAGCTACCCTGAGCCTGCCACTTCCCCACAAGAGCAGTAACCACAAAGGACATTTGGGTTCCAGGCTACTCCTCACAGGAGAGTCCTTGTGATGCTTCTAGGAGGTGCTTCAGAAATAATTTTCAGGGGAAATTATCAAGAAGATAAATGATCTGACTGCACTGTGTGTTTGGATCACGGTGCCTGGGTTGCATATGTTGCTTCGACAATGTACGCATAATTTAAGATGCTAAATCCTTTGGAACTGCCGTGGTAGTATTGCAGAGATTTTTATAGGGTCAGCATTGTGTCTACAAGTAAATCAGGAACACAATTGCTTTTGTAAAGCAATGACCGAGACTGGAAGATCAGAGACAGTCAGCAAAATCAAAATAGCACTCCTCCCACCAGGGGCCTGATGTTTCAAACATTTCAAAACAGCGCCTAATATTTTGCAAATCTTTGCTTTAACTATAAATATGCTTTCTCCCTGGAGTTAAGATCAGGGAAAATCCCACAGGACCTCATAGCTACTTTAAAAAAAAAAAATACTGGACATAGAGTTGAAATTCCTTTGTTAGAAACAAAAAGAACCCACCCCCCCCCCCAAATCTTTTTATTCTCTAAGCAAGCTTTAGTTATTTCATGTAATTATGACCTTGCCAAGTTTGAATTTCAACTGGGATGATGTAGTTTATAGGGGGAAAATAGTTGTATTCATGATAGCAGGATATATTAAGACTGATAATATAGTCCATTATCTTGTTCTCTTTATGTTTTCATCATGTATTCCAAATATACTAGCATCTAGGCAACCAATATATTTCCTAGTATTTTTTTGACAAATAACAGCTTTCTGATGATTTGAACAATAATGAAACACCCACACATAATTTCTCACCATGCCATTGGTACTCTCGGTATATACATTTTAAATTAAGCGCCATGTAGCATTGCATCATTTTCTAACCTGTGAACTGTAGTGCTAAGTGGTTGAAGCAAAATCTTTCTGATTAATCAGATCTTATTTAATAAATGATATTATCTTTGACCACTCTTTTGGTGTGGAGGCTTTTTATTTGACACGAGGGCGAAAGAACCTCCTCGTGTCATCTCTGGCATATTTGCTTCTCCCTTCCAAGCCTAGCAGGGCCAGGTCTTCTGCCCTGGCATATGAGGTCTAAAACAAAATTCACAGAAATCAAACCTCAGTTCCGCCATTCCTTGATGTCCTCCCAGGTGAGCTCCTGGGCTTCATGCTCATACTTCTAAAGCAAGCAAACTTTAAGCTAATTATGTGCTAGTGTATTCTCCCTTGCTGAATTTTGGCAGGTTGCTTCTGTAAATTATGAAAAATAAATGTGAAATATGCAGATGTCTTTTGTTTGAAGCAGATGTTTGGTCCATCTTGCCAGAATCCAATCAGCTGTTCCCCTGGGGGTCTTCCCCCGACAACATTATCCCAGAGCAACTCAGGAACATGAAGGGATGATCAGAATAGCACTTCACAGGCCTTTGCAGAAGATTCTGGACTTAGAGTTCTCTGTTAAGGAGAATTAAAAATAGAAATATCCCAATCTATAGGAATCAGATTGTCTCTGGTAAAAGACACTGGATTCGGAGTGATGTTCTCTGGTGGTGTACAGTAGAATGGGATAAGGGTGGGCTCAGTGTTGCAGTGGTATTCTTGAGGAGGGCTGCCTTTAATTCTGCCATATTGACAATTTATAATAATACCTTGGGATCTTACAGTGACATTTCTGCCAGTGCAGCTCACACCAGGGTCCAGTGTGTCCTCCTACCAAAATCTCACCTTAGACAGTGGATTCTACGATTCAAAAGGAAGTGGACACATGACCACTATGTGGCTAATTGATTGAGTTTACACAGCTATACAGAATACTTCAATTGAAAGATCCCTTTATTGATATATAGCAAGATGACAGGAAAATTAAAATATTTAGGGCCAAGTATACTATATTGAAGATGAAATCTCTCTACTTGCTGATTCAGGGACTCTATCTCATGGGACCCTAGTTTTACTGTGAAATCTGGGTAAAAAGACTTATTAAGAGTAAAATATTTGCATAGGTATAACATATATGTATAAGTTTAAACAAATAATTCTGTAGGCCACATTAGTAAATGTTTTGCATTATCATAGCCATCAATCAGTTTCCACTTTCATGAAGTCTGTTAAGCAAAAATAGTTGTACGGTCCTCCAGGGTCCATGGAAAAAAAACTTTAGAGCTGGTGGATGTTGAGGTTGCAGGTGGCAGGTATCTTAAATGACTTTAACCCAGAAGGTGGAGATGGACACTCATTCCAGACTCTGCTGACCACTAGCATATGACTTTGGGCAAGTTATTTAATTGCTCATAGTCTCAGTTTCTTCATCATGATAATATCTACTATAGAGAATTTGTTTAGTGAGACAGTGTAAGTCAAGTACTTAGAGTC
Source organism: Homo sapiens (assembly GCF_000001405.40). Lineage (NCBI taxonomy): Eukaryota > Metazoa > Chordata > Mammalia > Primates > Hominidae > Homo > Homo sapiens. The sequence continues at coordinate 67,280,251 of NC_000002.12, read as the reverse complement.
TGTGCCTGACACATTATTGGGCAAAAACTTGATCACTGAGAGCTAATTCTGTAATTTTCCTGTTCACTTTCCACCACTTCTCAATGGGGATGTATTTTATGTATGTATGTGTTTACATGTATATTTATTTACTTTTACCTAATGCATGTCTTTTGTATGGCAAGGTGAACACATTTCCTTTGCATCTATTTGCAGCAGAGTTGAGGAGTCACTCCCCTGCCAACATCTGCTTCATTATAGACATCACATAGGATGCTATCTGACATTTGCAGTCTCCCTTTAATTTATGCCTTTTGAGTAATAAATTTGTTTCCTTAACTTTTACTCATGGGTCCTATCTCCAACACTGTTTCTCTCTTCTCAATCCACTTCAAAACTCCAAGTTCTTTTTTAACTGCAAAGCTTCATAGTGTTTTAAGGATCTGAGTGATATGAATATAATGAGATATTTTATACTTAGTATTTATTGAGCACCAACTGTGTGACAGGTTCTGAAAATAGTAAGTGTGAACAAGACAGACAAGGGCTCTTTTCTGATGGATCTTTCCTTCTGGTAGGGTAAATAGGGAACATCTCACTGCCTCTGTACCTGAAGCCTTTACTCATGCTTTTCAGAATCGTATACCGTGGCTTTTTTCTTAGTAACAGCATGATAGAGTACATATATGTATTTTATTTGTATGCCTTGAGGCTTGCTGTGCTATTCAGGGACATTTTTACCACGTGCATAAGACCATTACAACTGGTTAAAAGTAAAAAGTTTGATTAAATAATTGATTATTATTTTCTTCCTGACACCAAATAAAATTAATCAGTTACTATGGCAATGTATAGACACCACCCTACTGAGCATTTATTTTGCAAAGCACTTTGTTATCTATCCTAGAAAAATCTATCTTCTGAATCTATTCACCAAACCACCTAAAGGAAAAGAGCATAAGGAGAGAATTATATATATAAAAAAAGGAAAGAGATGGCCTGTAGCCTCAGGGGTGTTAATTTTAAATTGATGATATAAAATCTACAGGCTAAAAATAACAATAACTTATGATGTTAAAAATAACATTTCCACATTATTCATCTAATACCTATGTTCATAAATATGGATGGGTAATAGTGCTCATCTTATATACTATTGTTTGAGGGATTAAACGAGATAGATACGCAAGAATTTTATGAACCTAGAGAAGTGCGCAATTATTAGGTGACATATTGCCAACTGCATGAAGAACATAGGTGGGGCTTCTTATTCCTCTTTCACATAAAATAAACTGAATCGCAGACGAATCAAACAATGTATCTAAGCCTGTACAAACAATAAACCTCAGGACTTAACTGTGAGCCTAGGTCTTCTGACTCTACTATACCTAACTTTCAAATGATTTATGAATAATTAAAAAGCTACATAACAATGAAACCATATTAATGAAATATAGACATGATACATAAGTATTTGAGACATATAAAGAAGAAAAGCAGAGTTAATTAGGAAGGCTTCATGGGAGAGCCTATTCATTTTGAAGGAGGTGGGACTTGGATTAATCTGTGTATTCTATTGTATATATTGTATGTACTGTAGTCTTCCTAATTCCTCACTTGTGGCTCTATTTTAAATTTAGATTTATGATTCATAATTATTTTTTTAACTTGGAAGGTATTTGCCTTGTAGTCCAGCATTTATTCTCCCTCAAGGACCAAATCTCATGTCCTGAGAAGGTATCCCTGGCCAAGGAGTAGCCTCATGTGAAACAGAGGTGAGGTACAGCCCACAGCAGGTGTCAACAGCTTTCCCACTCACCGTTTAGAGGGGATTCCAAATAGTGATTCAGAGCTCAAAGGTACTATGAACCATGGGCAACCCCTTAAGAAATTAAAATTTCATATTCCTGGCCATTTTTAATTGCAATTTTCCTAGGAAAAATAGAAAGTTCTAAAATAGACATCATACCAATAACAATAATAATATAATATTTTTTGTAGATCTACATCCAGAGTTAAAGGGAATATATTTTAAAGACATCACTAAAGCATTTATCTAGCTTTAACTGCCTCATCAAAGAATATTATTTTTAAAAAAGAAGCCTCATAAAGATGTATGAATATATAGACCTATGATTATTCAAAAAAATTGTACAAATCAAAATAAATTTGCCAGAGCAATTTAAAATAATTAACCTTTGACAAACCTCCCTCTCTGGTAATGGAATAGTAACTATATGAATAAAAGATAAGTCATGACATTCAATGAATTACAATATTCATCCCATAAATTACTTGATATAATAGCTCTATAGTCTACATTTTTATAACACGAAAATGTCCCAAACACTAAAGAACCCATTCATTTCCAGCGTGTGATTTGCAGATGGGTTGGGTAATTTCTTTTGCTTTCTTCAGATATCCTTCAATTAAGTCTTTACTATTATTTTCCTCCCAAAATATACTTCCTGTCAGCCTGTCAACCATTTTTGCGGTACGTACACCTGGTAGCATTGAGGCTAGTGCTCACCGCCTAGAGTAGCTCAGGAAAATAAGTGAGTGCTACCCTGATTTGCGTGCTGGGTGGGGTGATTACCCGGCCAGCACTGCCACCTGGCTGATGGCCACATTTCAGAGTCCCGGTAGCCCAGGCACTTCTGCTTACTTGTGTGCCCTTTGGACAAGGGAGACAAGAACTCCCTGTTCTGTCTCCACTTCCTTGAGATAAAAGAGCAGCCGTCATCTGCTTTGCCAGGGTAAACTGAAGCCATCTTTGACCACATAAAGATGATTATAGACCCCAGAGCAAAGTATCAGTGCTACATAATGATAACTAGAAGGTGTTTGTTGGCATATACAAATCTCAGGATGGCAGGATAGATGCAAAATGCCCAAAGATTTTTGGTCCAAAATGTGTTGCAATTTTAAACAAAGAATGGAAATGTATGGCAAGAGCCTATCTCCTGAGAAATGGATGCATCCCTGGCTGCTCATTTTGCCCATTAAGTACAAGATTTGCTAATCATCTAGGGGTGACCAGATTCCTTCAACTCTTCCAAGCCATTTGCTTGGAAAGTGAACAAAATGGACCATGAAGGTGGTGCTCGTTTCTAATTCAATGTGTATGCCTCCCCAGTGTCTTTCTAATGCATTCACATCACAGCAGAATGCATCTATACTAACATATCATTTAAATTTTCATTATCTTTGCTCTCTTAATCATAGTCCGGATTCAGTTATACTATAATAAAACCAGGCACATTTACTGAGCACTTACTATGTATCAGATAATGGGTCAAGTCCTACACATATATTTAATTCTTTCCACAACTCATAAGGTAGGTTCTAGTTTCATTCCCATTTTGCATAAGGAAATGGAAGCTTAGAGTCACAGTGGTGTGCCTAATGGAATATGCTGTGCTTCCCCAGATACACCGTGCCCTCTAGCTACCCAGATTCAGGACCTTCACAGAAGGGTTATCTTCACAGATAGGGTTATCTTTTCTAACTCTGGAGTTGTAGCTGTAGATAATGGTAGTCACAATTCCATACAGAGCAGGGGCTCATTTGGATTCTCTTTCATCCCAAAGTCACAGAAGTAGGTGAGTAGGGCTCCTGCTAATTCCAGTCCTCCCACTTGGTCCTGATGCTACAGAACCACTCCTGAGCAAATGGTGCACAGTGCCCATTGCTGTGTTGTCTTTTGGACAAGGTACTTATTGGAACCAAATAGTACCTTCTATTTCTCTCTCTTTTTTTGTGAAAGATCACATGTATAAAAGAAAGGACATATGAAAAATAAGTCTTTAATTCACAGCCCAAACTATTGCTTCCTAGTTTGAGAAGCTTACTAGTATCTGGTCCATGCAGTTGGATATACTTTTATGTTTTATTTAAGAAATCCAGAGTGATTTCATTTTCTTCTTCTTTGGACCTTTTTTTTTTTTTTTTTTTCTTTTTCTTTGGAGGTCACCATTTCTGAGCTGGAAAGTTAGGACTCATTGGATGATCATGAATACATAAGAAGGTAGAAATCGGTGAAGGGCCCACTATTAACCTATCATTTAGAAATGATTTTCATGGGTCATTTATTAAGAGCCCATGGAAAGAGTTCTGCAAAGATCCCTGAAAGAAATGCAGCTCTTGCCCAGTCATCACCTTTTACGGTTGAGAAAGTTGAAGCTCAGAGAAATTATAAACTCCACCAAGTTTTGTACAGGTTAGTAGCAGAGTCTAAAGTCTGCTGTTTTACCCTTATTTTGGTGTTCCTTTAACACGTATTATTGTACATCTACTGTCCTAGGAACTGAGCAAATTACATTTGTTGTTTACCCCAAACTTTGATATTAGGAAAGAAAAAAACATGTATCTTAAAACAACGAAAGGAAGATCTGTTTCCTTTTTCATCTTTTGTGCATTTGCCCTTTTTCTAGTTTCTTAAGTTTAATGTTTCTTTTTTAGTAACCTATAGGACATTGCACTAGGCCTGAAGGAGAAAGAACATTTTGGGCTGCAGTGACAAGAAAGTGATAGTTTAATGCAAGGTTCCCCCAAAATGTTATGAGAAGCTTCTATTTTACATTTTATTTTCATTGTTGGTTTTTTGTTTTTAAAGATGGTGAGTGGGGCAAAAGTGAAATTTCCACTGAAGTGAATTTTGGTCTTTTTTACTGTGATTCATGGTAAGAAAAAGTTATATATTATAACTTAGCATATATCTAATATATATACATACAGACACATACATATATATACACACATATAGTTATAACTGAAACATGAAAAGTGTCATGAAATATACTCACGTAAGAATAAAAACAGTAAATTTAACATCAAATATGATTTTATTAATATTCAAATACTGTAAGATGTGTCACCCTTTTTATTCTACTCTATTTCATTTTTTTTTAAGGTAAACAAAGCTCAGTAAATTAACCAAAGCAATTTGGGCAAATGTTTCAATTCTCCATTTAATTTTGTTTGTAAAAATACAGAAAGGTCAGGTGACCAGTGAATTTTGGTCTGGGTTAGCCCTCTATCTCAGACTGAGAGATTTGCCATTTAAATGCTAAGGGTACAGAGGGAAATCTATCCCTAATTTATTTTTTGCCTTCAAATTTCCTGAAATCCAGTCATGTGAGTAATCTTGAGCGATAACTGAACCTCTCTGAACTTTCATCACACCTGTTAAATGAGGGGCAGGTATACATGACTCTCATGATCCCTTCCAGCTTCAAAAGTGTGTGATTCCATGGTATTTTTTTATTTGATACCTGGATACTTGTGAAAACAAAGTCCTCTCAAATGTATTCTATGCATAAACTAAGAATTTCTAGAACCACAAATGTATTCCTCTTGAAGTTACTCTAAAATGTTGACAGATGTGAAAGTGAGCATTATCGAATGCTTAGTTTTACATTTGCATTCAGATCTGTTGTTTCAATGGGGACATTTTTATAAAATAAAAATGTGTTACTGCTGTTCTTGGAATTCTCCTGGTTCCACAGCAGATTTAATTAGCTTAAGCACTGTCTTCTTCTGTGCACTTTGGTTTTGGGAGGCTTTGCCATTGTTAGCTTTGTGGTATCCCAGGGAGAGAGAGGTCCAGTTTTTCACTGGAATAATATTACGACTGTAGTGCCTCTATTTGTGTGAGAGAATTACAGTGGTAGCAATGCCAGTACCAAAGCATATTGTGCACATTCCTCAAAGGCGCAGGATGGCATTCCAGCTAAGTTTAGTAAAACTAATCTGGGTAATGGCCTGAAGTGAAACCACCTTTATTGGTTACGTAGCTCAGTTGCCAAAAAGGTGAATTGTTTTTATATTTTCTCCATATACAGCTGTGTGAATGTTTGAGTCCTTGGATTAGTAAAGCAAGCGAATCAACTGAGAGAGAGCATTCAGGGATGTGGAACTCATGTAGACTTGGTATAGAAGGTTCAGCAATCAGTGAAGGCTTAGGAAATTTTTATCCTTCCAGTCCAAAAGTAACTGAACTCAAGTTTTTGCGAAATTGATTTTCTATAGAACAAAGCCAATGTGTTCATTTACAGTGAGAAATACAACTGCCATATGGTCTGGAATATTTACATGAGCGTGACCCATGTGTACTCTCACCGTTGGCAGCCTGTGATAGAAGCCAAATGATAACCAGCAGGTTGCAGGGTGAGCTCTGAATTCCAAGAAGGGGCATCGGTTACATGGGTGGAATATTTAATGCCTTTGGGCCAAGAGAGTTCATGCGTCCATCTCAGGAAAAGGAATTGGAATGTTTGCAGCCCGTTGGCTAAGCCTCCTTTCCCTCTGGATAGCAATAGGATGCTGGGAATAATATCATCTACCCTTCAGTGCTGCTGTGAGGGATGGAGATGATGCACACCTCACGGTGTCTAGTGCATTGTAAAAAGGCTCACAAAATGATGGTTATTTTAACCTTTGTGACTGGGCTTTTGTGTCTGACCAAGCGCTTTTCTTCACTTCTGAGTGATGTTTTCTTTCTTTTTGCTATTCATGATCATAATTGTTAAAATTGTAGCAATTTGGAAAAACCAGGAAAACACCCCCAAAAAGCTATCCTACTACTACACAGAGAATAAAAAGCTCTTACTAAGATTCTGGTATAGAGTCTTCTCCAAAATGTGACTTCGGTTGAAATATAATTGTCTAATATGGAAGGACAGAACTATTTGATGCCATTAAAATTCTATATTCAATCTTTCCAAGGGATCTGACCTAGTTCATCTGCCTCAACTAAAAGTTTTCCATAATCTGATTCTGCCTTGTCTATCTCTGGCTAAGCAAAATAAATAATGAGAAATAAATTGTCTGGATTGGGTCTTCAAGTCACACTAAACCAGGTAGGTAAGTAGCAGGCCAGAAATGATCTGTGAGGGGAAAAAAAAAGGTACTGTTATTTGCAATGTAATTCCTGGTGGCTTGGACGCCAGGTCTGGAGTGCCAGGAGGGAGGTGGAGAAGGAAGTGGGGGAAGGTAGATAGAGGTGGGGAATGGAAAAGAGGACAAGGGAGGTGTTTAGCTTTCATTTGCAAGCGTGATACCCGCTGCTTTGTTTATGGATTTGATGCTATTCATATAGTCTTTGCAATATTAATTTTTAATTTATGATGCTCATTAGGAGACACTTAAAACAGAACAATTATCATTTATCTTGATATATTATTTACTAGGACTGACTGTCATGGTTAGGGGCCCATGATTAGTGAGAGGGGGTTGGAGAAGAGCTTCCAAAGGTGCTGGGGTAAAAGGATAGGAGCTTAGGAAGCAGTTGTCAGAACCCAAAGCCCAAAGTTCTGATGTCGAAGCGAAAGCCACACAATCCCTAATCAAGACTCAGGAGGCCCTCTCCAAGACAAGCCTGGAATAGTACTTAATGAACCTGCAGGATCATATTAATGAGACGCTCTCTTAGGCTACCAGCTCATCAATTATTCATCCAGCTGCATTCCTGATACTTCACTATCTTCCTCCTCTTTTTGCATTGGTGTGATTACTTTTTTTTAACCCTCCATTTCCTTACCTGGAGTGTAAACAAAGCCTTCTGTTCTACAGTTTCCTTTTCCTCTGCTCAAACACCATCTCTTCTCAATACTCATCCAGGATATCAAATATGATAATGGAAGTCTGCTACAGGGGAAGTGTAACTTCTGGGAGTGTCAGGGAATTAGGGCACCCCGACTTTTTGCCTCCTTCATACTCTGGGTTTGTCTGTACATTGCGCTGATAATCACACTGTGTTATAATTATCTATTTATGTATGATTCTTTCCCATTAGATTGTGAATTCCTAGAGAATGCCTGATATGTAACAGACAGTTACTGAATAAGGAAATGAGTCAATGCATAAATGAATGAATACGGGTGCTCAGTTATGCCTAATATTCAGCCCTGTCTATCTATAGTCAAGAAGATTGTGAGGCTGAGGCCTAAGCACTGCCTGCATGTTCCAGAGGAAGCTAAATGAAACAGAACAAAACAGAATTCTACGTTTACAATCTGGGTCATTCAGGTGAAGATGTGTCTGTAAGCTTGGTGTAGAATACTCACTAAGTCTCTGTGGTAATCAGTTCTATATATGCTTATTTTAATAATTTGTTTTAAAGAAATTACTTACCACAATCAACCATAGTTTTAGGCACAGAATTGTGTTTTATACAAGTGAGAGGAGAATTTCAGTGAGCTTTTCTGAGTGAAGACCAATGTGCTTAATGGGGAGGGAGCTTTGGAATGGGACAGCAGCTGAGCTTGTACTAAGTATATTATTTGGTTCACTTGCTCAGGGTCAATCAGGAAGCCAGTTTCCCTTCTTCAGGAAGAGAAGTGCTGGAGGTTGTGATGCTGATCAAGGTTATTACCCCATACAGATAGTGAGGCTAGAAAAAAAACAAAGACTGCAAGTGTTTGTCATTTGTCCTGGGCAGGTGGGATGATGAATGGTAGAGGTAGCACTACCTGAAAGGCAGATTGACAAGGGGAGGCAAGGCATAGATGGGTGTGAGGAACTGTCTTGACATTCCATCCCCCAGCATTATCTCCAACTGGTTATGACTACTCAAATACTAGAAAAGAGAGCAAAGATCCAAATGATTAGAATGAATAAAAGAGTTAAGAATATGGGGATATAATTGTTCAGCTTTGGCAGGCAGGCTGCAAAGCCAAAGGTGATTGGAGACTTTTGCCAAATGGATTCTTGTTAAATCTCAACTAAGTTGCAATTCTATGGGGTTGTATCTAGAGAAGCATTGTCTGGAAGTTCTCTCTATAGACCTTCATGTTGGCTCTCATCAGTCAGTCATGCTGAGAATGGGTTATAAGTGCTTGGGCTATTGCTGTCCTTACTCCTTGGGGCACCTAGCTGGGCTGGGATGGTTGAGACCCTCCAGCTGTTTGTTCTGCACCAAGAGAGGCCTTATCCATTGATCTTACATCATGGATTCTAAAATGCATGTTTTTTTTTCTCTCATTTAACATTTCTGAAATTGGAATGTGTTTCCCCATAAATATTTTACAATTGCTTTTGGCCAGGTGGCAGTGATAAGGTAGTTGTTATTGCCTGCACATGCCAAAACCTGGTCACAGCTGTTCATATTATACAAACTTCAGTTGAGTGATGTGCATTGTACTGCTCGCATTGGGTTGAGTTTCCCTTAAAGTGTCTTCAGTAAAATACACTATGATTCAGCATTGAAACAAAACAGTTATTATGTACATGGAAAGGCAGGGAAACAGAGAAGTAGGTATAAATGTGATGTTGATAAAGGAAAGTAAGTCACAGAAGTGATGAACAGACAAATACTTTGCGAGTTTTGAAGAAAGGAAGATGCTCACAAATAGATGAAACCTGTCTGAAGTGAAGCTCTTCAATTAGAGGTGGGAAAAATGGTTTTCTCTTTTTTAGGGATATATAAAGTAATGATGTGTCTTTCAGTGGATAGATTTTTAGTTTCTAATCATTTTCTGTGTATGTCATGGTATAAAATATATTGGAAACCCTGGCTTTAAGCTCTTGGATTTTTTTTTTCTCATTTGAGCTTTCTGGTAAAGAAATAATTTAAATTCAACTTAAACTTTTTAAATTATTAAAATAGCAGTATGGTTGTGTTAAAGAATAGCTACCTTGTGACTGATTTGCCATGTCTTATATACAGTATTAATTTTTACCTAATTTCAGTTTAGCTTTACATGTTAAAGATGGAATTGAACTGCTGGTCCTTGAGGCACTTTAAGCTCAGGCAATTGATATAAGTGGTGGGTACTGAGTCCAGCTTTGCCATTCCCAGAGGGAGCAATGGGAAGCTCTCAGAGGGTGAGAGTCAATAGGTTCTTTCTGTGTTATCTATAATATCTATAATATACACTATATACTGACTGTATGTGATTAAACAGGATACAATCTCTAATTTTTGGAGGTCTAATTAGAGGCTGGCCTCCAACAATCACTAGCTTCTTCATCAAAACAGAGTGGGTCATTCTGAAAATGCAATTTAAGGATATAAATTAGAAAATCAAATGATTTTAGGTACAAAGTATCTTGAGATGATTTGGTTCAATTCTTTTCTTTTAAAAATGCGTAGACTAAAGCCCCAAGAAATGAAATGGCCACCTGGCATCTCACAGCTTGTTTGTGGCAATAATTAGGCCTTCTGTGCCTGGCGGAGTGTCCTGCCACCATCACACACATGGGTCTTGTGAGGCAAATTTCCACATAAACAAAATGTATAACTTTTTGTGTATTTTAATTATGTATAAAACCTTATTAGATTCAATTCTTCTTCTAAATCTTCATGCTATTTGCACCGATGAAAATTTATTGAGATTTCGTCACTAGTTAGAGATTTAATCCTCGGCTTAAAAATACACTCCTCAGTCTTAGAAGTTTTTACTTCTGAGTTATTACGACCTTGGTAATTTTTACTGTTCATCCTTTAATCTTTCTATTTTCCCAATAGAAAAAATGTAAACTTGGAAAAAAATGCTACACTCTCTTTTGGACTTAAAAATGCATCAGCTTGACTCTAATCAGGAGGATAGAGATGGGGAAAGGAGGGAGCAAAAGTCATTTTCTCTCCTCTCTATTCCACTTCCTCCAATGGAATTGACAATATATTTTAGAGGCCTATTAAACTGATAAATACATTCTGGATGGAATGACCCATCTTACTGATTTTAGGATATGACATTTAAGGGCTTCTGAAAAAAGAGCAGAGAGGGCTTGCCAATATATCTTAGTATACAACAAATTGAGGTTGACTCTGCCTTGCTTTTTTATGTTTTGCAGCAGATGAAGCTTCAAAACTAAAATAGAAAGGAATATATTTACAGTGTGTAGTATGTGTGTGGGTATCTAAGATATAACGTGTATGTGTACACATATAGACACACATACCTATGGGCTTCATATATGACATATATTTTTCTTCCCCACTACGGATCTTAAAGGTTAAGAATACCATTGTCCAGTATGTCCACAAAAGCCTGAGTGAAGCATCACCCTTCTCTATACAGAAACTTACATTTTCTTGAGTATTTATTCTCAAAATTAACCTCACCTTGGTTGTGTAGTTTATCTAGATTAAATATCAAGTATCTTTTCAAATAAAAAATAAGAAAATAAAAAAGAATTTAAGAATAAAGAAAACAAAGAAAGAAAAGGAGAAGGAAAAAGGTACTCTCTCTTCCCTGAAATAAAATAGAAGGCGCATGATAACATCAGAGGGCCTTTCAAAGCCACGCCTAAAAGCCTGGTGCCTGGAAAGATGACACATGATGGTCAAGTACACTGAAACTCATGGCTTGAGTCACTATGAAAATAATTAATACATGTATTATAAATCTGCCTCTTGACAATCTATAGAGAAAGGTTATTAGAATGAACAATCAATTTTAGAAAAGTGATAGCATGAAAACTGCCTTTCAAAATAGAAATATTTTAATTTACTTAACCTATAACTGTTTTACAACATGAGAAACTTTGCTAGATTTTTTTCTCGGAAGTGTTTTGTTGTTGTTTTAAAAGTCTTTGAGATAATAATTCAAAGTTGTGCTGAGCTGTGGAGTGAGCACAGCAGTTGAGGTGAGGGGTGTTATGTCCAGTTCCTGACAGGGACTTACTTACTGGGTATCTTATGGAATCAGCTCCAGGGCAGGCAGTCCTGAACCTGTGTGTCCCAAAATGTATGGGGGCTGGCTAAGATCATTGCTGTAATTACCTCTAACTTCAAAATTCTGTGGTTCATTTGCTTATCTTGAGTGATGAAATCTATCTGGAACCTTTAATATAAATGAAGATAGAAAATAACCGTTAGATCATAAGAAAAAATTCTACATCCCTCCCCTGCTCAAAATGGAAATTTTTCCCATTGGAAACTATATTCTGGCTTCAATTACCATCACGTACACTTGCTAAGAAATTAAATTTGTCAACTGTTATTTCCAGTCACTAGCAGGGCATAATATTTTCAAAATGTCATTTGGGCTCATTCCTCCTCAATACAGTAAAGCATCAAAGTTGAATGTCCACTTAGGCTATCTCCTCTTCACCCTCATGTCTTAGTTATTTAAAGAACAATGCTTTTGAGTAACAGAGTTACTGTTTCCTCCTGATATTTTTTTTCTTAGAAAATTCAGTTTCCTTGGCAGCTCCTAAAGGGAAAATTCAATCATGAGATGTACCATAGAAGAGGGCACCATGCTACTTTTAATATTAGCCCTTCTTAATCTAGATAAGGTCATCTAACTTTTCTGATTTTTGCCTGGGGAGAACCAGCCCCCGCCCAACTTTATTTTTTAAACATATATCCTTTTGTCTGGTTGGCCAGTAATTGACTTTGTCCCTTTTTTCATTTATTTCCCTGTCTCCTGGTTGTATCATCTTCTCCCAGGAGTCTCAGGTTAGAAGTTTTCCCTTTTGTGAAACCATGACAGGTGCCTAATTGAATGATGAATGTCCCTTTATTACTCTGTAATTGAACTGCCAGCTTTTTGATTGGTTTGTAGAGATGCTCCCCCCAATCATCAGGCACTGCAGGGGGTTTGGTAGTTGGCAGTCTGGTCCTACACTCCATCTGTCTAATCCCATCTAGCCCCCACTTGCTTTTTTGGGGGTGGTGATAGAGGTAGAGAGTGAGGGGGATGGAAGTCATAATAAATTATGCTAATTCCACGTGGCTCTGACAATGAGAAGATCGTATTGTTCCGTGCATCTTGGGGGTAAATGCTTCAAGACATTTTGTCGTCATGGGTGCCTAGCCTGACAGGCCCAGGATGAAGATTAATGGGCCTCACCTGAGTGACAGAACAGGGGATTGTGGGGAAGACAGGGTCATTCATCATACTCTGACAGGTGTCATTCAATCCGACAGCAGCTCTACTGTCACCCAGCTAGCAGTTCCATTTTTCTGCCAGTTAAGCAAGGAGTTTAATAACATCCCCAGAATTAAAACTCATTCTTTGTAGCAGGTCTGACAGCTGAAAATAAGAAAATCAATTCTTCACATGTTATAGCACAGTTAACTGACTGGGGCTTTGGCTCTAATTTAGTCTTTGGGCTGCATTTCACGCAAAGAGCTTTTTGTAAGACATCGTCTATTAAAATTTACCCATAGTGCTAACTTTGGGGTTGTTATTATTGTGGGTGCATCAAAGACTCAGGCTTTCATACCCTGTGTCATTTTATTCAATGCATGCTGAAACACATCCCTGCAGTAACTGGGTCTCTCCTAGTTTATCCTCATTAACAATATTTGCTGCTTCTCTCTTCATTAATATTGATCCCTTCCCCAACTACCAAGAACAATAAGACAGACACTAATTTGAAACATTCGGTATCATTAAACTGTTTGGATTTCAGGTTTTAGGGATCCTGGAAGGCAGAGAAAATGGTTCAAAAATTAAGAAGGGGAGTTAAATTTTGGTGCTTTAGCTTGACCTGATGAATGATGACACTCTAGGTTGATAGGTGTGGTAGACTGCAAAACAGAGATCTGGATTCCTTTTGTCCCTCTTCTTCTCTACAGAAGTAATCTATCTCTTCATCTCCATGAATCTTATGCCTGTTGTTTTGTGGCAGAAGTAACCCTATGTAACTTTGAAGCCTGGAGCTTAGGAGATCTATACTTTCTACTTTTACTCCTTGTGGATTTGAAGCCTGGAGCTTAGGAGATCTATACTTTCTACTTTTACTCCTTGTGGAACCTAGATACCATGTAAGATGTTGGTTCACCTTGCTGTAATGAAGCTCAAACTAGCTGCATGGAAGAAAGAGAGGCTACATGGAGGTACATGAAGGCCCCAGACATATGAGTGAAACGTTTTTGGACTTTCCAGCCTATTTCAGCTGTCAGCTGGATGCAGCCACATGGCAGCCATCTTGGACATTCCAACTCTAGCTGATGCCATACAGAACAGAAGAATGGCCCTGCTGAACACTCCCTAAATTTCTGGCCCACAGAATTGTGAGCAAATAAAATTGTGGTAGTTAAAACCATTAAATTTTGAGGTAGTTTGTTATATAGCAATGAATAACTGAAGCTGAGGGTGAGATATTTGTGCCACATTATAAGGGAGCTAGGTACACAGCTGTTTTCCTGTAAACACTGGTGTGAAAATGTTTAGTTTTGGAGGCAACATTGTTTCCCTCAAAGACTCCCTATTTGAGTAACTTTGCCAACTGTTGTTGAGCCCTCCCCCATGATCACTTTCTCTTGTATATAACAGAATAGTTTTCAGTACCTTTTTTTTTTTTGGTTGATAGAAGCTGTGCCATTGGCTGAAGATAAATTGTCACATTATTTCTATCCTTCATAGTCTCCTTATCCCCATCTTATACAGCTAGGGTCAAAGAGGGCATTTTTGTAAAATAAATTCCAAAATTGGAGTATTTAATTCATGGCACAATGCTGAGCATAAAGGGATGTGAGTTACAGACATTGATGAAATAAAGCAGATTACTGGTTAGCCTCACAGGGTGCCATATAGGCACAGCACATATAGATAATTATTTTCTTGTGAATTATCTAATTTGAATTTCAGTGGCAATTAGATTAGCCAAAGACTTTGGTAAAATAATGTATTGGAACATCACAAATGAAAATTATTCTATCTCTGCTGCCTTTAAGGAGACAGGCACCATAATTATAACTCTTTAGAGTTACAAGTAATAATATCAGAAAACGCTGGGGTAAAAGTGTGATGTGAAAGACAGCTATTTGTTTAAGGAGAAAATCTTTAAAGGTACATGTTATAAGTACACAGAGGGCATGTGATAACAGTTTTGGACTTTCCAAATCCAAAAGTCATGGATATTTATTATAGCAGAAGAGCATCTGAAGTTCGGGGAGAAAAGAATTCTATAAAGGCAATAGCATCTTGAGGAACGTCTTGAGCCCGTGGTTAATTCCAGGGAATGAAACAAAAGTAAAGATCACCACAGCAACTTTTATTTTAATAATTTATACAACAGAAATTTTTCTTTCCTTAAAAACATCCTTCAAAACACACATGTGAAAGTTTAGACATTGGGTTCATGATACAATGTCTTTGAGACAAATAAGTTCTACTTGCCTGAGGAGTCTTAAAAAGAGGCCACTATGGTGCCGTGATGTTGAATGAATGGCCTCTGTTGGCCTTGCCTCGTTAAGAATTTCTGCTGGGTGCAGTGGCTCATGCCTGCAATCCCAGCACTTTGGGAGGTTGAGGTGGGAGGATCACTTGAGAAGGAATTTGAGACCAGCCTGGGCAACATAGTGAGACCCTGTCTCTACAAAAATAAAAAATAAAAATGAAAATTAGCTGGAAATGGTGGTGCATGCCTGTAGTCTTAGCTATTTGGAAGGCTGAGATGGGAGGATCCCTTGAGTCCAGAAGTTAAATGCTGCAGTGAGCTGTAATTGCTCCATGACACTCTGGCCTGAGTGATAGAGCAAGACCCTGTCTCTAAAAAAAATAAAAAATAAAAAGATAAAAAATTCTGCTCTCCTCAATTTAAAATTGACCTGCAGACTCACATGACTGTTCAGAGTCAATATCTCCTGACCCCTAAACACGTGTGCTGTAACCTAATGATTTGATTATATCTCCTTAGCATTTTCATGAATTTGTTTCCTATTTTAGGTTTTCCTACTCTATTTCAACACTGATATTACAAAGGATCCCCATCTTGATACTCCACCCTTGGAATAAATGGTGGAACACTTATGTATATATGGTGGTGGACTGTCTCTTCACTGATCCTGCAGACCAAGAATCAATTATAAAACAAATTATCAATTTGTAATAATCTTTCAGCAGCTAGAATAATCAGTTCATTTTAAAGCATCTGGGGTGATACTTTAATACAAAGCATACTGTATTCATTAATGGTTTATAAGCTAGCAGAGAGCCTGGCACATAGCAGATGCTCAAGAAATGGTTAGGAATAAATATTAACAAGCCAATCCATAATTATCAGCTGCTTGACTATAGCAATTAAGAGTTTGTGCAATATGAAAAAGTTACATTCACTGACTTCTAAAAATGTAGTTGAGACTAGGCAATTCTAATTCACTGCCCTGAATCTATGGATGTTTTTGTTTGTAACCAAGTACCAGGCTCTAACATATAAATGATTTATTGGAGGTAGAATTTTGAATTAACAGTTAGAAGAGCCTAGAAATAAACACAGGCACATATGGTTAACTGATATTTGACAAAGGTGCCAAGAATGTGCAATGGGAAAGAGATAGACTTTTCAAAAACTGAAATTGGGCAAACTGGATATCCACATGCAAAAGAATAAAACTGGACCCTTACCTTACACAATACACAAAAATGAACTTGAAACGAATTAAAGACTTAAATGTGAGTCCTGAAACCATAAAACTCCCAGAAAAAATAAGGAAAAGCCTTATTGACATTGACCTTGGCAATGATTTCTTTGATATGACAACTAAAAGCACAGAGAGCAAAAGCAAAAATTGACAAGTGGGATTACATCAAACTGAAAAGTTTCTGCACAGCAAAGCAAACAACAAAATGAGAAGATAACCTAGAGATTGGGAGAAAATATTTGCAAACCATATCCGATAAAGGGTTAATGCCCCAAATATATGAAGAACACATTAGCAAAAACCCAAATAACCCAATTAAAATAATGGGCAAAGGAACTGAATAGATGTTTCTCCACAGAAGAGGTACAGATGACCAACAGGTATATTAAAAGGTGCTCAATGTCACTAACCATCAGAGACATGCAAATCAAAATCACAGTGCGATATCCTCTCATACCAGTTAGAAGGTCTATTATAAAAAAGACGAAAAGAACAAATTTTGGTGACAGTGTGGAGAAAAGGGAACCTTTGTACACAGTTAGTGGAAATGTAGATTAATGCAGACCCTATGAAAAACAGTACAGAAATTCCTAAAAAGTAAAAAAAAAAAAAAAAAAAAAAAAAAATCGGGGTACCATACGATCCAGCAATCTCATTTCTGGGTATATATCGAAAGAAGTGAAATCAAGGTCTTGAAAAGATATCTGCCTTCCCATGTCCATCTCAGCATTATTTACAATAACCAAGACGTGGAAACAACCTAAATGTCTATCATTGGATCAAAGGATAAGGGAAACGTGGCCTATACATACAATGGAATATTATCCAACCTTAAAAGAAAGAGATACTGCCATTGGTGATGACATGGATGAATCTGGAGAATGTTATGCTAAGTGAAGTAAGTGAGACACAGGAGGATAAATACTGCACAGTCTCACTTATATGAGAAATCGAAAATAGGCAAACTCATAGAAGCAGAAAGGAGAATTATGGTTTCCAGGGCCTAGGGGAAGGGAGAAACAGAGAGGTAATGGTCAAAGGGTACAAATTTTCAGTTATGCAAGATGAGTGAGTTCTAGAGATATATTACTGTACAGAATAGTGCCTATAGTTAATAATACTATATGGTATATTTAAAAATTTGCTAAAAGGGTAGATCTTCTGTCAAGTGTTCTTATGACAATAAACAATAATAATAAAGAGGGTGGGAGGAAGCTTTTAGAGGTGATGGACATGTTTATGACATTGACTGTGGTAATGGTTACATGGGTATATACTTACCCATAAACTCAAGTTGTATACTTTAAATATGTACAGCTTTTTGTATGTCCATTATACCTCAAAAAGTGTTTTTTAAAAAATGTTGGCTGGGAGCGGTGGCTCACGCCTGTAATCCCAGAACTTTGGGAGGCCAAGATGGGCAGATCATGAGGTCAGGGGATCGAGACCATCCTGGCTAACATGGTGAAACCCCGTCTCTACTAAAAATACAAAAAAATTAGCCGGCCGTGGTGGCGGGTACCTGTAGTCCCAGCTAGTTGGGAGGCTGAGGCAAGAGAATGGCGTGAACCCAGGAGGTGGAGCTTGCAGTGAGCCGAGATCCCACCACTGCACTCCAGCCTGGGCGACAGAGCACAACAAAAAAGAAAAAGAAAAAAAATTGTCAGTAACAGGTCCGAGTGTAGTGGCTCAAGCCTATAATCACAGCACTTTGGGAGACCAAGGCGGAAGGATTGCTTGAGCCCAGGAGTTCAAGACCAGCCTAGGCAAAATAATGAGACCTCATCTCTTAAAAAAAAAAAAAAAAAAAAAAAAAGGCCGGTAACATGTGGAATGACTACACTTACATCATGTCATGGAAACCTAAATGATACATTACTTAGTGATATAGTTATCTATGTAAAATTAAAAATAAAAGCAAATAAATTATATACAAACAAAAATGAGCCAGAAGACTTGGATTCTAGTCATGTAGACTCTGCTGCATAGGAGGTAACTTTGGACAAGTCACTTCACATCTCTCAACACCAGTTTTCTTACTTATATAATTGAATTCATAATATAACCCTTTATGAGGATCACCTTGTGTGATGTGTATTAAAGCAATTAGCCGAAGCTTAGGTTAGCCCTATGCCTACCGCCCTTACCATCCTGCTTCCCTGGCAAACCAGTTGAAACTTATTTAAATATTTTTTACACTGTGACTGAAACTTCAAATGTCATATATTAAAAACAAAAACAACCTTTAAGATAGTAATCTAGGAGCTTCTGAAATGTATAAATAATGACATCAAACTTCATTTTGTTTTTAGTCCAGACAAACCTTCTGCATAAACACCTATTCCATGGCGTCTTTACGTATGGCCCCAATTTTTCTAAGTAATAGAAAACCAAAATGTATCCTTGGGTTTTGTAAATGGTAATGCACATTGTCTATGGTAGCAGAATCTGTACAAAGGAGGTCATCATTTCCTGGGAAGAGAAGATGAAGAAGTGAATTGAAGAATACAAAACAGAAGGAAAGAAAATGAAAAAGCACCCCATCATCAGATGTGAAGGTCCTAGGGAGTAGAACTCAAGAAATCTGTCAGCTTGAGCAAAACTCAGAACTTGGGGATGAAAAATATGAATGCTAAAACTACAAGTGTGCTGATAGCCTTTTTGCTGGATGGAAAAGAACAAATAATCAACCCACTACAAAGATCGAATCGTGCCGACAGCTCCAGAACGACAGCACTTACTTTGCAGTATGACATGTAGTTTCCATTCAGGGAAGCCCCAGTCAGAGGAGCAGTGTTCCAGTGGGTGGGTCTGACGTCAGGAAGGTGGATTCCATCCGACTTACAGCTGCACCAAAGGCCGACTTTGGCAGCAATTCCTGGGCTATAATTTTATAAACAGTCTTCTCTTCCCAGACTTCCAATGTGAATTTAGACCTCAGCACAGATTCTGTCTCACATCTTTATTCTGTGTCATCACATTCTAATCCGATGACAAACAGTTGGTCTGAGATTTCAGTATATTACTATATTAGTACAATTTATGTCCTGTGTGGAAGTTGATGAAGTGTAAAGACTATACTGCGGACTCGCCTGGATTCTAATCCAGCACCTAAACGGATAGTGTTGCTTTGGTGATCACAACAGCACTGTGTTATGAAATCAAATAGCTAGTTTGTGGTGCTGGCTCACTAGAAGGCACTGGCAGTGCTATTAATCACATTTTCCAAAAACTGGGCCAAAGCGCTGTGATTCTTCTTAAAATAATCATCACTATAATTTGGCATCGAGTCATGCCATGTTTTGCTTGATAAGGTTTACAGAAATATTATTTTTAAATGCATACTCTACGTTAAATAAGAAAGATATGTAGAATGCAGTGGATTCAGCTGAGTAGTCAGAAGATAACTACAGAGGTTACACGAGGCTGCCACTGCCCCATCAAGCAGACAGCGGCTTGATTCTCCCTGCTTAGAGAAAGAGGTAGTGCTAGATGGCAAACCAATTAGCCAAGTGCATTCTCATTCCAAGTTTCCTTCAGCTTATTTTTATTTTTTTTTTTTTAAGAAATTTCCACCACTTGAAAGTAGTGCAGTCTCCTGGCACATCCCAGAAGAAGTAGACCTTAAATAGATGAGCTCAAGAAGGATAGAAAGTAAATCAATTTCCATTTTCACAAGCCTGAGTCTGCTTATTTTCAGAGAGGACAAATCATGCAGAAAATAGTGCCAAATTACTCATGGTTTAATGACAATTTCGCAGAAAAGGCAACTGATCTCCACAGCTGTTATGCTCAGGACTATGTCTGGAGAGAGGTGGCTAGACCTGGATTGGGGTATCAGGGTGAGGACTTAATGCCTCAGGGACTAAAGCCTCACTCTGCTTCCTGGCTTGGCGTGGTGATGTAAACAAGATGCTCTACCTCGGGCAGCTGCCAAGTTGCTCTGCAGTACTCAATGGTATTTGTCATGTCTCCTTATGGCTGGCCTTTTTATCCTTGCTGAAACAAAAGAGATCAAACAATGTCATGTGGTATTACTTGAAGTAAATTCTTGGCCAACTCAACTATTTGCATGATAGTGTCTGGTTTATAACTTCTCTTTATTTTTGTTAGATCAACAGATATTTTTCAGGCCATGCTCCTTTTTGAAAGGGTGAGTATACGGGGAGGGATTATGTGCTAATTTTGCTGGACTATTTTAAAACTTTTAAAAGGAAGAGAAGTAGATGATTAGGCCTTTAGTCATGAGACATGACCTCAGTTTTCTCATAATGTTAAACAGGTAGATGTTGACTTATTGGGCTATTTCTTTCCTTGAACATTGCTCATTGTTGTTAGGGCTATGACATCAGCAGAGGCATGGGAACGTAGTACATTTTCTATAAGTGTGTATCAATTTCCCTATCTCATTGGGCTTGCTTTCATAAATATTTTTTAAAAATTTCTCCACCAGAGCACATCCAAAAGAAATACATGACCCGTATAGATAATTTTAAATTTTTTAGTAGCTACATCAAAAAAGTAAGAGCAGTGAAAGTAATTTTCATAACACATTTTATTTAACCCAATATATCTAAAATATCATTTCAACATAGAATATTACAAAAAATTGCTAATGATACATTTCACATTCATTTTTTCATACCATGTCTTAGAAATCCAGTCCATACAACATACCTCAATTTGAACTAGCCACATTTTAAGTGCTCAGTAGCCACGTGGGGCAGGTGGCCACTGTATTGGACAGCACAGATTGAGACTAAACATGATTACCCCAGCTGTTTTCAAAGTGTGTTTGCAATACCAGTGTAAGATTTTGCAGTATTCAGAAATAATCAAGGCTATAGAAGCCTTATATTATTTTATGTGAACACTTTCAGCGTGTCAAGGCACAAAATAAGTATGTATAAATTTGCTTGCCAGCAGGATTTCTTCTTAGTCACCTATTTAAACTACAAGGATGCCAGTAACCCATAGTGAAACCATAAATATTGGATTTATTATTCCTCCTTTCAATGGTATGACAGACATGTGTACTTAAATGGAGAGACAATTTACAATTGTGAAACATACTTTTTATTATTCCTGTCAAAATTATACTATTTTATTTTTTTTAACTAGAAAAGCCACATGATAAGTAAACTCTAGATTGAAATTCAGAAATATCACCCCTAAGATGAGAATACAGTTGACATACGGTTTGGGTGTCTGGGTCATGGTTTGATTCCACATATGGTGGTTCTTCCATGTAACAAACTGTGATCTCAGCTTGTACCACTCTAGTAAGAAGTCACTATTACTTTGATTTGATTAGCTAATCAGAATCTAAGGTTTAAGTTGAAAGGAAAAACAGGAAGATATATTTAATTCTATTATTTGTGAGATGAGAGGGCTGGACTACAATCAGGGGTTGACAAACTTTTCTGTAAAGAGCCAGGGAGTAAATATATTTTAGGTTTTGTGGGCCACACACTCTGATGCAAGATTCAGCTCTGTTGCTGCAGAGGGAAAGCAGCTACAGAACATATATAAATGCATAAGTGTGGCCAGATTTGGTCCAGTATTTGATCACCGGACGAGGTCAAGGACAATAGACGTGATCTATTTCTACTTCTCCCATCCTCCTAAGCAACGCTGGCTCACTGAATGCAGCATCCCCACTGAGTGTAAATGCAGGTCACAGTCCTTTACAACATAGTACTCCAGGCAACCACTACATGACATTTAGAATTGGCATGTTCATTGAAACTTAGTTTTTGTTATCCCTAGATGATTTATAGGACTGTATCTATTTGAGAAATTATCATTTTTACCATGGATATGCACTTTAATATTTGGAATAAAGAAAAGAGTACTATACACTATGTTTTAAATTTAATGGAGGTGAAAGGAATTTTTAGAAACTTGTGTTGTTTGAGAAAGAAGGCCTGCTACCTGCATTTGTCCTGGGATAGACTGTAAGCTATCTACTTACCTCAGGGTCAATCTGTTCTTGGCAGAAAGATGAAATCTGCTCATCACCATCCAGCCTTTAATCTGAAGAAGAGGAATAGTGATGCCATGGGATATGACATTGTTCAAGGGAGAGGTCTAGTCTCCTTACCAGCAGAGGTAACACCCATTTTGTAGGTCAATTGAAGGACCTTGCTTGAGATCCTGAGGCTCGATTTGAATGTATGGCTGTAGGAGGATAGTATTAGGCTTGGGGGCTTATGAGGAGTAAGAATAACAGACAAAGATATTCTAGAAGGCACTGGAGATAACCACCTTGTTATTAGAGAAAAAAAGGTTAACGTTGCTTCTGTTGATTTTTGGAGAATTCATAGGGTTTTTTTTTTCCTATTGAAAGTTGTAATTCTAAGGCCATAAGGTGGCTTATGCCTGTAATCCCAGCACTTTGGGAGGCCGAGGCGGGTGGATCACGAGGTCAGGAGATCGAGACCATCCTGGCTAACACAGTGAAACCCTGTCTCTACTAAAAATACAAAAAATTAGCTGGGTGTGGTGGCATGCGCCTGTAGTCCCAGCTACTTAGGAGGCTGAGGCAGGAGAAAGGCGTGAACCCAGCAGGCGGAGCTTGCAGTGAGCAGAGATTGCGCCACTGCACTCCATCCTGGGCGACAGAGTGAGACTCCATCTCAAACAAAAAAAAAAAAAAAAAGAAAATTATAGTTCTAAAACAGATTATTTATTAGCGCTTTTCTTTAAGGGCCATAGACTTCCTCTACTCATACTTTTATGCTCTGAGTCATGCCTGTGGCATAAATAATAAAGAACTGATTATTTTTCCATTACAACGAATGAGTAGGATGAGTTGGTTTAGGTATCCTATTCCATTCCAAGAATGGTTTCTTGGAATGTGGATCACTGAGAAGAAAACAACATTAACATCAGCAATGGCAAACTAACGTCATTGCAGAATCCTGGAATGTTAAAGCAGAATCATGGCAGTTAAGCCCAACATTTTACAGATGAAGAAATTGAGGTGAGAAGAAGTGAGACCTTGACTTGTTCAAGGACACTCAGCTAGTAATGACTGAGATTAGAACACAAATCTCACTCTGCATCCAGTACACTTTCTGTTTATACTCATTAGTGTTTTCATGTTTCCTATTTTCTTCTCTTTGGCAGACAGCTAGATCCTCCTTCCAATCATTCAGCGAAGGTCTTCTAGGTGCCTGGTGCTATACCAGGTTCTGTCATGTAGGTTACTGTATTTAATCTTTCTGAATCTCCACAGCATCTCCCTGCTATTATCCCCATTTTACACTTGGAGAAACAGGATCACAGAGAGATGAAGTGATGTGGCCAGGTGACATGGCCATCAGGTGACAGAATCGGAATTATAATCCAGTTCTCTGTACTCCAAATCCGAATCTACTGCACTAGATTTGGTAGGAATGTTTAGCTAACATTTGAAATAGTTGACTCACTTTTTAACTTGCAGGTGGAAAATAGAACAGCAGTTGCTTTACTGACTCTAAAACCAGCTGCTTGAATTGTGGTTGCCCCTGTCCTGTTCCCTCTGGTCTCTGTTGCAATGTTAGTTTCCTTAGTGAAGCAATGGGTGAGAAATAAACAACATAGACAAGCTGTGGGAGGTGAGGGATGCCATTAGTCTTAGGTTTGTAGGTTTAGAAAAGATCTAGAGGGCAGATACAAGAACTCCCTTCTCTTTACAGACTAGGAACTTCACACTCCAAACCATAAAGCAAGTTAGGGTTGAGTCCTAGAATAGGGGGAGAGTCAATAGGTTCTTTCTGTATTATCTGTGATACCTGTAATACATACTTGATACTGATTGCATGTGATTAAACAGGTTGCAACTTGTCTTTATTTTTTGGAGATGTAATTGGAGGCTGGCTTCCTCATCAAAACAGAATGAGTCATTGTGAAAACACAACTTAAGGATATACATTAGAAAATCTAATAATTTTAGGTACAAAGTACTTGAGATGATTTGGTTCAATTCTTTTATTTTACAAATGCATAAATGAAAGCCCAAAGAAATGAAATGGCCACCTGGCATCTCACAGCTTGTTTGTGGCAATAATTCGGCCTTCCGTGCCTGGTGGAGTGTCCTGCCACCACCACACACACAGGTCTTGTGAGGCAAATTTCCACATAAACAAAATGTAGAAATTTTCATATATTTTGTTTGTGTATAAAACATTATTAGAGCCAATTCTTCTAAATCTTTGCGCTATTTGCTCCAATGAACATTTATTGACATTTCATCACTAGTTAGAGACTTAATCCTGGGTTTAAAGGTACACTCTTCAATCTAGAAGTTTTTACTTCTAAGTAATTGTGACCTTGGTGATCTTTGCCATTCATCTTTCAATCTTGTCTAGTCCACTCTAGGAACTTGATGCTTCAAACCACAAAGCTGGTTAAGGCTGAGTCCTAGAATAATAAAGTCATAATAATATAGGTAGTCTTAGTTCTTGCTCCTATTAAGCTGTGTGGTTGCAGACAGTTTGTTCTCAATATATATGTATGGATCCAGACTGAGGGTTGTCCTTAGGGAAGTTAACTCCCCTGCACTTATGGCCTGCCCGGTAAACAAGCTGTCGGAGATTCTGTTGTTTAAGAAAAATTCTAGAGTCAGAAAAGTAAGGTGATGCTGGCATGGGACTTGATGTAGGACACTGCCAATGTGCATGGAAATGCTCACCAGGCTGCAGCTGACGTCTAAGGTGGCCAAGGGGAGGTGGCATTTGCCACAGTTCACCTCCTACCCCACTCAGTGACACTCGTGTGTCATATTAGGTCCACTCTGTCCCTGACATTTCAGAAAGACTTAAGACAGATATGTATAGTCCCCTCTGCTACAGCTGGGAAGTAATTAATGAAGAAATAACTCTCCTGTTCTACTCATTCTGGGTTTTTCTCACTTTCAGCCAAATGTTTCTTTGGCTCATGGTGGGCCTCATGTCCTCTTCCTTGAGGGGTCTGGTTCTTGGTTGCCTTACTTTTGTCAGGTTGAAGTTGCCATGACTGCCCTTTCCCTGTTCTCACAATCATGACAGCACCAAGAGGTGGTTCCCTGGCATGAGCTGGCCAACGGAACTAGGCAGTGATCATATTTTTAGGTACAGAGGTCTCCTTACTGTGTCCCCCTGGGGAAACATTCCTCACACTCCCCACGCTGCCTCCCACGAGGACCTAGAACCTCTAACCCAACAGAGCCTTAAGCGGTAGTGATGAGACACACAAATTCAACAGGTGGGTTGCTGGGAGATCATGGCCCTGTGTATTCTAGCTATTGGGGCATAGCCTCACATATTAGGTGTAGACTTTTTGCAGTGTATATCCTGGGGCGTAGCACCCTGGCACTGCAGGTTGTGAACCCTGAGCTGGCACCTTTGTGGAAACTTTCATAGGATGATCCAGTGTTTTTATCAGGTCAGCTGCTTTCAGGTGGTGCCATATGTGGCAGTGTCAATAGATCCCATATTCCCATGCTCACCTGTTCATTGTTGCATGTCCTTTACTGAACAATGACAAGCATTGATCACTAAATAAATGATACATCATTATCATGGTTAGTGCAATAAAGAAATGTGCTGCTTTGAGAGGTTATAATATAAGGCTTGGCTATATAAGAGTTTTTTAAATAGGAGAGGTTATGATATTTTTCCTTGCCAAAGAGATCAGGGAGGCTTCCCTGAGGAGGTGATAATTGAATCACCTTGTGGAGAAGGCCTAGGAGTTGTCTAGGTGCAGAGGAATGGGAATAATGGTCCAGAAAGAAGGAAAAGCCTGTGTGAGCATTGGACATTCAAGGAAATGAAAGAAGAGCTCCTGGCTGTGTATAGAGTTTAGGGAGATGTGGTATGAGAGAAGGATGGGGAGAGAGATGAGGCAGACTCCAGTCAAATGAAGGAGCTTTTATTTTATCTTAAGTGCCATGGAAAGCCATGGAAGCACAGTTGTTATGTAGACTTGGGTGCATGAAATAGGAGGGTGGGGATAAATAAATCAATTTTGTAAACCAACTTTACAAAGACTTCCCTGGCTGCTGAAAGGAGAAGGCATCAGAAGGGCCAGAGAGAAACTACAAGCAGATCTATGAGGAAGCCACAGAGTGTGCAGGTGGGAGATGATGGTATCTCGGCCCACTGGAAGCCCTCAATAAATCACGTTGCCATGGTTGTTGTAATTGCTTTTCTAAGATGTAGAGGACAGGCTCATGTTGGCTGGAAAGCATACATTTCTTTTGGATTTATTTGGCTTCTTGGCTTTTTCAGGAGTGAATGTGCACTTGTAAAGGCATAGATTTGGGAGAGACATGGAAGCACAGAATGTGTGTATCAGTGCTGTGCCACGCCAGGCTTGGCTGGTGCCTCTGCTCATGTTTAAAGGCTGTCACCTGGACCCAAGGCATTGCTTTGCTAATCTGGTGACATCCACAGCTGAGTGGTCATAGCGCAGTAAAGAATTGAGATGAAGGCGATGGAGTCATTTGGGTAAATACAGTGGCAGTGTATTAGTCCATTCTCCCACTACCATAAAGGACTGCCAGAGACTGGGCAATTTATAAAGGAAAGAGGCTTAATTGACTCACATTTCTGCATGGCTGGGGAGGCCTCAGGAAACTTACAATCATGGTGGAAGGGGAAGTAAACATGTCCTTCTTAACATGATGTCAGGAAGAAGTGCCGAGCAAAGCGGGAAAAGTCCCTTATAAAATCATCAGATCTCTTGAGAACTCACTCACAATCATGGTAACCACTCCCATGATTCAGTTACCTCCCACAGGGTCCCTCCCACAACACATGGGGACTATGGGAACTAGAATTGAAGATGAGATTTGGGTGGAGACACAGACAAACCATAACAGGCAGGAAAGGAGGAGTTAGTGCAAAGCCTCTCTATACCAATCTCTTTTTTTCTGGGGGTCTTGGAGATTAACATACCTGCCTCTCTTTAGGCATTTTACTTAGATCACAGATAGTGAATCACTGGACACACCAGGCTCTTTCTGGGTCATGAGGTCCACTCTGCCCAGAACACTGTTCCCCCACTCCACTCATTTCCTTCACTCATGCACTCACCTTTCCAACTCCATATCAGCTCTGGGTGCACTGCTCCAGGAGGCCTTCTCTGATCAGCTCACCCCACCCACGCTGGGTTGCTGCCTCTCTTCTCCTTTGTGTTCTCAGAATCTCCTCTGCTGACTCCCTTCTTCATTATCTGTCCACATTGGACCCTCTCTGGTCATATGTCACTCTCTCCCTAGGCTGTGAATTTCTTGACAGCAGGTGATAGCATCTCATTCATTTTTGTATCCTTAGAACCTAGCATGATGCCAGAAACTCAAATATAGACATGAACAAATGGTTAAAAGAAGGAGGGGATGGATATAAATGTCACTTGCATTTAGACAAAAAGCAGACAGATGAGACTTGATCAGTCAGGAGAAATGAAAACACTAGTTTGGGGTAGGCCAGTATGGTCGGTCTGGTGGTGTTGGTAACGGGACAGGCCTTTTTTGCCCCCACGTTGTGTTCTTGTCTCTTTCTGCTAGGTCCATTCTACCTTCTAATACCTCAGGCTGCACTCGTGACTTTCTTTGGTCTGATTCTAGGGTGAGGTAAATGCGAGGAGAGCTGAAGAGGCAAGTGCTGGGGGTTGGGTGAAGAGGCCAGTTTTTATGCACCATGTTGGGGTTAGCACTGGATCATAGGTAAGGCTCATGTGGTGTCTTCAGAGGGGAAATTAAATAACTTATTACCAGCTAGTTGTTTTAAAAAAACTTTATTAAAAAAACAATCCCAACTTATTTTGCTCCTCAAATTAGTGCATGTGGGTAGAATATCAGGTAATGTGAAAAGAGGAGACCATAGGTGGTGATAACACATGGGGCCTTGGTCCTCTGTCAATCTGCTTTCAATCCCCAGCTCTGCCCCTTTCTCCCTCAGGGGCTCAAACAAGCCACTTAACTTTACAGAACCTTGGTTTCTTTATCTGTAATTGGAAGGGATGCTAGTTTTTTCCTGATAGGGTTGTTGTGAGGATGAAATGAGATAATACCCGCTTAGCACAAGGCGTGGCATATGGTAAGCCTGGAAGAATGTTAGCCAAAGCTATTACGATAGATTCATTTGCATTGTGTGCCATTGTATGTTTTAAATGTTTCATTTGTTTAGGTATTTACCTATGAATCTTTCTAATGCAAAGTATCATTTTTATGCATAGATGGCTCAAATTATTCTGTATATATACTATTGAAATTCAGAAAATAAATATAAAACTGAGTTTATTTAGAATAAGAGCTTTATTTTGCTGCCATTGACTTTTCTTTTTGATTTAGGAAAAAAAAATACTATACTTTGTCTTTTGAAACTAATCAAAACTGCACTTGTTCAATTTATTCAGCTCCGAGTGGTTCTCAGTAGCATTATCTCAACTGGGAGATATAAAATCATTGTAACTTTACATTCTTCCATTTTGTCTGATATGCCTAAACTTAGCAACTCAGGGGAGTCATGTTCTTGCCAGGTAGGTAGAATGCTACTGTTTTAGCTCATGGCAGATACAGACATCTCTTTCAGGAAGAATGGAAATTGGGTAAGATAAATCACTTACTAATAATGGCATTTACAAATATCATTAGCTTTTCTGGAATGTGGTCCATTTAGGGTTCAGACTAAAGGCAGCATACTGTACTAGAGAAAGCACAAGATTAAGAATCAGGAATGCCAGTTCTAACCTTTCCTAGCTGTGTGACCTTGAGCAAGTCACTGAATCTTCCCAGGCTCACATTTTATTCTTCTATGAAATGAGGCTAAAATAATTCCCTGTTGTGAGTATTGATGGAGATTCTATTATAATTGTGAAGAAATTATGTATATCACCCACTCCTCCCAAAGGAGAGGTTTTCTCAGAAGTTCTGATATTCAAATATGTGTATATTTCAAAGGACACAGAATTGGTGATGTCAGTGACTATGAGTCTTATCTTATACCTGCCAACAACATATCAGGTGATATATATATATATATATGCCACCTGATCAATGATAATATAGATATTGGTAATACAGCTATAATGGTAACATAGATATAATATAGATATTCTATATTTATATAATCTAATCAGGAATATATGAGAGAGAAAAATGTAAACAGTTTATCAATGGACAAATATCTTTCCAATATACCAAATTTTTCAACACTGAAAATTTATTAAAAGGAAGAAACTTTTCTTTCAATGCAGACTGTAAATAATTTCCCTTTGAAGTGTGTTTGCTGAGCACAAAAAATCCCATTTTTTTGCTTTAGGGCAAGAAAATTCTTTCGTGAATGAAACTGGACCCCTATTTCTCACCATATACAAAAATCAAATCAAAATGGATTAAAGACTTAAATATAAGACCTCAAACTATGAAACTACTACATGAAAACATTGGGAAACTCTCCCGAATATTGGTCTGGACAAAAGTTTCTTGTGTAGTACCCCACAAGCATAGGCCACCAAAGCAAAAATGGACAAATTGGATCACATCAAGTTAAAAAGTGTCTGCACAGCAAAGGAAACAATCAACAAAGTGAAGAGACAACCCACAGAATAGGAGAAAATATTTGCAAACTACTCATCTGACAAGGGATTGATAACCAGAATGTATAAGGAGCTCAAATGACTCTATAGGAAAAAATCTAATAATCTCATTTTAAAATGGGCAAAAGACTCAAATAGATATTTCTCAAATGGAAAACAGACATATGAAAAGGTTCTCAACATCATTGATTATCAGAGACAAGCAAATCAAAACTACAACAACATATCATCTTACCCCAGTTAAAATGGCTTTTGTCCAAAAGACAGGCAAAAACAAATGCTGGTGAGGAAACGAAGAAAAGGTAACACTTGTACACTGTTGGTGGGAATGTAAATTAGTACAGCCACTATAGAGAGCAGTTTGGAGGTTCCTCAAAAAACTAAACATAGAGCTACCATAAAATCCAGCAATCACATTGCTGAGTATATTCCCAAAAGAAAGGAAATCAGTATATCAAAGAGATATCGGCACTTCCATGTTTATTACACCACTGTCCACAACTGCCAAGATTTGGAAGCAACTGAAGTGTTCATCGTCAGATGACTGGATAATGAAAATGTGGTATATATACACAATGGAGTACTATTTAGCCATAAAAAGAATGAGATCTTGTCATTTGCAGCAACATGAATGGAACTGGAAGTCATTATGTAAAGTGAGAAAAGTCAGGCACAGAAAAACAAACTTTGCATATTCTCACTTATTTGTAGGAGCTAAAAATCAAAATAATTAAACTCATAGAGATGGAGAATAGAAGACTGGTTACCAGAGGCTGGGAAAGGTAGTGGGGGTGGGAGAAGTAGGAGGGAAATGGGGTTGGTTAATGAGTACAAAATAAAAATAGAAACAATGAATAAGACTTAGCATTTGATAGCACAACAGGGTGACTATAGTCAATAATTTAATTATACATTTTAAAGTAACAAAAGAATGTAATTGGTTTGTAACACAAAGGATAAATGCTTGAAGCGATGGATACCCCATTTACCCTGATGGGATTATTACACATTGTATGCCTGTATCAGGGTATTTTGTATACTCCATTAATACATACATCTACTATGTACCCACAAATATTAAAAATCTTTCATAATACAATAACATTTTTACATATTTTAGTTCCTCCACTATGGTTTATATTTTCATTTCATTTTGTGATTCTGAGAAGCAATTATCCTATTACTCAGAGAAGCAGTTTTTTAGTAAGGTATCTCAAAGTCTCCCTCTCTGCTTGGAGACATGCTTCCATTATTCTTAGAAGCTCCATCTATGAGCTTTCTTTTCTTGGCCAAGGGTGTAAATAAAAAACCTAGTTGAATTTGGAATTTAGGCCCTCGCCTTAGTTGCTGTAAGAAATAGAATGAATTATTTATAACTGTGGGTGTCCAGGTTTTCATCACCACTGGCAGATGGGTGTTTTAGAGCATTCACCTTTAAGATATCCAGAATACAAGCTGTTGATCCTCTGTGGATTGTAGATTTCTAGACTTGGGCTTCTTGGTTCCTGTTGGTTTTTGTCAAGTTTTATGATCACCATTACATTAGCCCCTCTGAAATGCTGGGAAGCTGGGAGCCTCCTTCCTATTAGGAAGCCTTGCCTGACTTTCATACCAATAAAGTTGTTCTTAGACCAGAGTTCATCCTAATAAGCATCTTGAAAATTGCACCTGAACTAAGAATTATTTCCCCCTCTGTCTGCCCTAAGCCTCAGAATCTTACACAGCCTACATGCCTTGAATCTAAGACAGGGCTTATAGCATAACAACTTTTTTTATCACCTTCCATCAGGCAGCAAAGCCTCCAGGTGGATTAGGCTGAGTGTATAAGAAGCTTATAAGGTAGCAGATATCAAGCCTCAGTAAAGGTCATTCTACTAGAGCTATTCTCTTTCTGGACACAGATTTCTTCCTGGACTAGTGTAGGATGTGGAAGGGGGACTGGTATTCTGCCACAGACCCTTGGAATGCTCAAGATAAAGGATCCTCTGTGACAAATGTGCACATGGTCTAAGAACCTAGGGCTGAAAGTGGCAACATGTAAAAGGACAATGGAATACAAATGGGATAATGTTACTTGATCATCTTTCCAAGTATGACACATGAAGGATTACTAGAATGCAATGCTACTGTGATTTCTGGATACCAAATCTTTCTTTTATGCAGAAATATACATTCCTTCATCAGAAAAAATAAGTTAGACGTCCTCATTATGGTTCCATTTGAGGAAGAAAGATTTAGGACAGTTCTCTACCATCTAACCAGGGTTAATGCATAAAGCTCTTATCTAGTCAAATGTAGCCCAAAAAGTTGTTGAAGGGATGTAGAACAGATGGGCTAGAGAGGGAATTTAAAAATAAGCTTTAATAAACTCTTCCTAAGAGCCAAGATCCACATTATGGTGGCAAATTGCACAATAATATAATTGTCTTAGGGATGTAAAGACTCCATGCAGAATATTGGCTCAATGCTCTGGCTCAGTTGAGTTGAGTGATTTTGGCCATCTAGGCTGCTGATGTGTCACTTACTTGCGGGCCACTGGAGTAATATGATTAAACCAGCCACTTAGACAACCCTCCTGTAACAAACACAAGTGCCAGGATCACACTGATGCAGGGGTGTGAAGCAGAGTGCATTTCTCAAGATGCTTTAGGCCATCAGGATCTGGTGGCATAGCACTCTGTTCTCCTGGCCCCAACTTTTCCAAGAAGCCTGACCTTCTAGCAGACAACCTAAATTAATGTCAAGTACAAATGGATTCTCCATAAAAACATTTGACTAATTCATTGCCTAGATCTTAACATTTGTGGCCAAATTTCCAGTTTTCCTGCTGAATAACTTCTTGTTAGAAAATGTCAGAAAAGGGAAAGACATCATGGGCTTCTGAGTCAAACTGTTTTTCTCCCTGAGTTATGGGTCAAAGGTTTTACCAATTTCCTTTCTAGAATTTTTCCTAGGCTCCAATCGAAAAGGAGTTTAGCACCAGATGGGTGGGGCAGGGATGTGATTAGCTATTTATTTATATTTCTACAATATTGAATATACTCTTATTGATAGAGATTTCCATTTACTTTCTCTGAATAGAAATTTGGTTTTCCTAGGGTTGGGGGCTGGTGGGAGAATGTCTTTACATGGCCACACAAAACCCAACACAATCTGGTGAGCCCTTGGAGTGTCTTGCTTAAAAGGGTTCTCGTCACTGGGAGTACTCACTGAAGCCAAGCCAGTTCCCTGTGGAATGCTGGTGTCTGCTACTTACAGAGCTGGCTGTCAGGTTGGTCCTGTGTGTTTGTAATTAGCTATGATGTCTGGATGTTGATAGAGTGAATCTGGCCCATTGGTTCCCCTCCAAAGAGGGGTTTCCTGGCTAGCTCTCCTGTGTCAGAAATGCCAAGTTTGGAGTTGCCTGGAGATGCCAGAGATGCAGATTTATTTGGCTGAGCTCTGGTTGTGAAGCCAAGTGCCGAGAAAGCAGATCAGAGACCAAACCTGAATAGTAATCAGTGGGCTTCTCCAACCACTTGGCTCCTTTGCTTTCCAATGTTATGTTTAATGTTTTAGAATATATTTAGTAAACATGTCACTAGCAATTGCCAGTCCTCAGTCTTCCCTCACTCTTTTTTTTTTTTTAAATGGTCTTCCTTTTTCCTTTAGGTTAGTATGATAGGCTGGTTTTACAATGTATCTGAGTGTGTGTGTGTTTCAGGCTAGACAAATTGGAAGATTTGTTTTTACTAGCTCTTAGCTTGTTATAGCATCCACTCCTTATGAACCAGGTAAATAATATACCTTCTTCTCTTTTATCATCAGATTTGGCTTGTTCTTCTCCCCTGAGAAAGCTGGGCTTAGAGTACACATCAATTCACACAACTTGGTTTGAATTTATAGATGCATGCAAGGCGTGCTCGTTTTTCTTGCATTGAGTTCAAAAGACAATATTCCTTTGTGCTTTAGTCCATATAGGATACAACTACACTCTGCCAACTAAGAACTGAATGGTTTCTAAAGTCTTTCTCTTTAATTATTCCAACCCCAGTATGAGATGAAGTTGGGATCCTTGTTCTTCCCAGTCCTTGCCTCCTTCTTTCTCCCTATCCTTACTACTCCTCCCTACATGTGTATTTTCCTTTAGTTACTGTCTAGCTCCTTACAGATCCCTGAATATATCGAGCTGCTTCATGCTCCCTTGTCTTCATAATTGTGTGTTAGTCTCCTATGAATGTTGTGACAAATTACCATAAACTTGGAGTCTTAAGCATCAGACATTTATTCCCTCACAGTTCTGCATCCCAGAAGTCCAAAATCAACATGTAGATAGGTTTACTCTCCCTCTGGAGGCTTTAGGGAAGAATCCATTCCGTGTCTCTTCTGACTTTTGGTGGCTGCCCTCATTCTTTGGTTCATGGCCATGTTAATCCGTTTCTGCTTCCAAGGCCACATTGCCTTCTCCTCTTCTGTCAGTGTCAAATATCCCTCTGCTCCCCTCTTACAAGAACAAATGTGATTACATTTAGGGCCCACCCAGATAATCCAGGGTCATCTCCTTGTCTAAAAATTCTTAACTTAATCACATCTGCAAAACCCTTTTTCCATATGAGAGAACATTTATGGGTTCTAGAGATTAGGACTTGGATATCTTTTGGGGGTTCATTATTCAGCCTAACATCCACATGCTATTTCCTTAGCTTGGGGCATTCTGTCCACTTTTTTTACCTAGTCAGTACATCTCAGACTATCTATGATGATGGATCATTTAAGAAATTAAATTTAAATTTGTCACAGACAATTTTTCAAAATCACATGCTTGCACTTTGCAGCAATACCAAGTTACTATTATAATTTCCAAACTCTTACTCTTCTCTTGCATCAAACCAGTAACGAACAGTTCGC
The DNA here is from genome assembly GCF_000001405.40 of Homo sapiens. Classification (NCBI taxonomy): domain Eukaryota; kingdom Metazoa; phylum Chordata; class Mammalia; order Primates; family Hominidae; genus Homo; species Homo sapiens. Next base: position 67,245,495 of record NC_000002.12, on the reverse strand, counting down.
ATACTGCCACTAGTCCACAGACCACACTTTGAGTAGTACTGATCTATATGGCTCCTACTCATTTAAGCACCATCTTTTCCAGTAATCTTTTCTGGCTCTCTCTTTCTGACTTGAGTTTAATGACCCTGAATCATGTTCTCATTGTTACTAAGATTCTTTAATTTTTCTTCACTTTCTAGTTCTTAATTATTTGCTTGATCCTCTATCCTTAAGCCCCTTAAGTGTTAAGAACCATGCTTTGGTAGACTTTGAGCCTACCATGGATCTTTATATACAGCAGATGCCTAATAAGTTTTTATGGAATAAATGATTAAGATATACATGGAGTCTTAAAGTTGCATCCCAAATGAACAGAAAAAAGACTTATTTGGGGAAAATGTGAGGAAAAGATGAGACTGAAGAAACTGAAGGAACCCTAGGATGGTGTAGTAGATTACAAAAATGGTCACAAATTCTTCCTATCAAGAAGGGAAATTTATTTCTGTACCCTTTAAATCTGGGCTGGCCTGGTGATTTGATTTGACCAATAGAATGTGGCAGAAATTATAATTGACTCCTGAACTAGGCTTTCCAAGTTTTTATAGCTTTTGTTATCCTCTGCCACCATATGAACAATGCTGGTTCAGCTTCCTGGAGAATGAGAGACCTTGCAGAGGGAGGTACCATCCTTTGGCTATTCACAGCATCTTTTGGGGCCCCTAAATATATGAGTAAGCCCAGTCAAGGACAGTTGAGCCCAGATCACTCGAGTAAAACCACCTGAATGAGCCCAACACAAATTGATAATACACAGAATCATGAGCTAATTAAAGTGGTTGTTGTTTTAAGCCACTAATGAGGGTGGTTTGTTATACAGCAAAAGCTAACTGATCCAGAAAGGAATCAAAATGGGGCATGAAAGTTAATCAAGAGTTGTCTTTTGTCCTCCCCCAACGCAGAATAGGGATGGGTTTAAATTGTGACAGGGAGGACTAGAATTAGATGTTACAAAGTACTTTTCCTATGCAGAGTGTGAAACATTAAAAGACATAGATAGCAAGAGGAATAAACATAGATGTAATTTGCATCTCTGGCCATAAAACAGAAAAAGGCACTAACAGATCCACGTGGAGCTTGAACCCAAGACCTATTGTCTTTAGAGGCAGAGTCAACAGGGAAGTTGATGATTGTGCAGTTCAGCCCAACTGAAAAAAAAAATGACAATAAGTTTTCTCGAGATTTGCAAGTATCGCTGAATAGAAAGGAGGAAATAAGTTGAAAAATTCAGCTTTAGATTTTGATGACTTGAACTTGTGCTTCTCCCTCCTCATGGCTCATTTGGCCTACCTTTCATTCATCCCTTCTACAAATATTTACTGTTCCCCTCCCCTGCACTGGGCTCAGGAGTAGGTACTGAATATTTGATGATGAATAGGACAGACACAAGACCTCACAGATCTTACTGTTTGGAAGAGCAAACAACCTAATAGGCAACTATTACACTTGGAAGCTTAGGCTTTTTTGCTTTTTTCAGATACATCAAGCATACCTTTCTGCTTTTGTGATTCCCACCATCATGTGCAGCCAATCTCCATCAAGCTTCAGCATCTGTGCCTTTCAGCATGACACTTAGATCACTTTAGGACTAGTCTGAAATCAGCTGTTTGAAATTATGCATCACTAATTTATTGAAGTGGATCATGACGAATCAAGGAAAGTGGAGTCAGAGGTGTGAGAAAAGAAGCAACACATCTGGTGGAGGGTTTTATGGGCTTACAGGTGAGCCTATCCATGCCAGCCTGCAGTGTAGAATTTTAACTTCTGCTATAAAACATCTGAGGCCTAGAGATCACAAATCAGATACACTGCATCCAACGTTAAAAACATCTCGTAATTTACCACAGTAAATCAATGTTTTCCTAGAAATATTGGAACTGAAACAAGAGTTGAGTGAAAACAGAAAAATCTCTAGAGGTTTAGTTGGCTTAAAGGTATTTCTTGAAATATTGAATCCCAGGGCTAGAAAACTGCATTAGAGATATCCTTGAAAGACGTTTTTCCAAGGGATGGAAAAGTGGCTTCCGGAAGGTTGTTTATTACTTGGTAGAAGGAACCAGTTAGTTAGGTTACGGGAGGACAGTCATCTCTTAGTTACCTGGGGGCCAGTTATTCCAAAACTGTGTGTTTTGATCCTTGTGTCCATTGCTTCATACATTGGAACTGCCATCCAAAGGATTGCTGAGGAAGGTGGAGAACATGTAACTCAAAATTAACAGCATGCTAAAGATTAGCAGCATGTTAGCTATACTTGTTCTTTAGATAGCTCTATGAGGAAGTGGCTTCATCTTTCCAATACGGTGGTCCTTAATACTTGTGGATTTCATTTATACCACTATATTTGTCCATATTTACAGGAGTAGGAAATCCAGGGGAGGCAATTAGAATACAGTTTGCCATTTCCAGTATTTTTGCTTCTAGTTTTAAATTTTTAGCATAACCATTTGTCTGCCAAAAAAGGAAAAAAAATTCCCAGAAAGGTCTAGGAGAAAGACCATGGAACTGGTGGCTAGGAACGAGATTTCTACTCTGGGCTCAGAGATTCTCTAACTTTTTTATTCTCTGGTTCCTTATTTTAAAAATGGACACAAAATAGTGCCTTCTAGTCCTTGTGGTGGGGAGGAGGGTGTTAACACTAATTAACAGGAAAAAGACAATTAGAAAGTTAAAAGCACTGTGTAAATATAATATCTGAAATTTGAAACTCCTAAGATTATACTCTTTGGAAACTACTCCTACAACAGCTCTTGGTTCTGGTCCAGGGACTAGAGGAGGTTGAGAGAGTGGCCGTGAGCCCTTTTGCTCCATGTGTGAAGGTGCCTCCCCCTCGCTGCAGAACCTCTTCTTGTTTTGGCATCAGGTCTCAGCAGCTTGCCCTTCCTAGGTGGGTAGCGGTCCACTTGCTGTCTCCTGAGAAATCCTGATTGGCTCAGTTTCCTTATTCATAGGCATGGTATTAAACTTGGGAATTATAAGATAATTTCTTTCAAGTCACAATTGTCAGTTTGCACACAGCCATAGTTCAGGATTTGAAATCTCGAAATCTTTTTATTAAATGTCACCACTGTCTCAATTTCAAAATTGTAGAGGCACTTTTTTTTTTTAATAAAAGGACATTGTTGAGAATTTGAGCCCTTGAATTCCCCTAAAATTATTCTCCTTTGGTGAGAAAACCCCTACTGATTTTTATCTTGTTCTGCTCTTTAAACTACAAGGGAAAACACATGCAAATCCACATATATGCATACCAGAAACAGGAAATGCTTTGTTACCAAAATTCAAAACTAGATGAAGATCAAAAAATTTATTGAGTACTATGCTTATTACCTGGATGATGAGATAATCTGTACACCAAACCCGTGTGACATACAATTTACCTATGTAACAAACATGCACATGTATCCCTGAACCTAAAACAAAAGTTAAAAAATAAAAATAAAAAAATTACTCACAGAAAAAAAAAATTCAAAACTGATTCTATCCACCTACTTCATTAAATAAACAAATAAATACATCATTTATTTCTTAATGGCCCTAAGTGAAGTGCACTGTGCTTTTTAAAGACAGAGAATGTTAATGCAGACACCAGAAAAACTCACCTGAGAAGCCACAGAGTGTAAGGGAAAAGCTCTTGGACTCAGGGCCAGGAGGCCTCTGCTACAAACTTGTGTGTGACCACAGTAAACCGCTTAACCCTGTGGACTTGAGTAAAGGAGAGGCTGAGCTCAGTAATATTTATGAGAATTCTTCCAACTGCAGTATTGGATTTTGATACTGAAAGGAATCCTAGTGTACTATGTACTGCATTCTTTGGGTTTCTTCATCTTGTTTAGGGTCTAGGATGACTTCTTTCTTCTTTTCTTCTCTCCTCTCCTCTCCCCTTCCCTCCCTCCCTTCATCCCTCCCTCCCTTCCTTCCTTCCTTCCTCCCTTCCTCCATTCCTCCCTTCCCTCCTTCCTGCCATCATTTCCTGAGTGCCTGAGATGTGCCTGGCACTTGCTAGGAGTGGTGATATAGCAGTGATGAGGACAGGCAGGTCCCTGACTTTATGCAGCATATACTAGTGAACTGAGAGAATAAACAATGAGTCCATCAACGTCTGTTAAGACTTAGCAAGTTCTCTGCCAGCATGGCTCCAGTTGTCTTGGAAATCTGAAGGAGGTAGACCATGTAACAAAAGGCCAAGACAGATCCCTGCCTGGCATTTTAGCCTCCAATTTGTGTTGTCAGCTAGGAGAAAGTTAAGTTTAGAGGCTGAAGCCTGGAAGGCAAAGGGCAAGGCATGCTCTAATGGGTACCCATCATGCAATTCTTTGGTCTTATGGTCTCTTTTATAATCTCTATTAGAAGGGCAGCTTGGGACATTAGGTGTCCTGACCCCGTCACAGAGCAAGAGGACCCATATTTCCTGCTTGTCAGAGGAGTGCATCCACCATCCCTCCCCTCCTCTCAACCATGGAGTTCTATATGATTCCAGATAATGAACCAGAGAGACTACTTGTATTTTGAACGGCTGCAGAGTATGAACATTTCCTCATGAAAAGAGCCTTTGTCCCTTTTATCGATACTTGAAAGAGGGTGAAGATAAGATGATTCTGGATCTTGTTTGAAGAAAGCTCCCCAAAATTGATCTGAAACTTGTGATAATCATTTCCCAGATGAAACTGGCCCAGACACCACCCAACACCTCCAGGAGTCCTTACAACTCTGCTTATCTGGGTGAGATGAGTCAGCATTACACAGTTTCACTTGTTGCACAAAGGAAGGGACGGTCATAAATATCAGATGGAGGCTCCCATCCTCACTTCATAATCCAGTTGGACATGCTAGTGAAGGAAGGGCTTCTGGAAGGGCTAAATGAGTTGGTAGATGTCAACAGCTCAGCACAGCACTTGACACAAAATAAGCATGTTGTAAACTGCAAGGATTAATAGATATAATATAGATTGTAGATATTTTCCTGCTTCACTTTATGTCACAAAAAAAATGCTAAGTGAATTGCTTAAATGTTGAAACATTCTGGGAATAAACGCAATTGGGCTTTATTTTGTTTCTTTTTTCTTTAGTAGAAACTATATATTTACTTCATTTTAGGTACTACTCAGGTACTCACACCTCAACATATCATTGCTTCTTCCTCTTGTTATGGGGTCAGAAATTTATCATGAAGTTTTAATTGTTAGACAATGAGGATTTTCCAGTTATCAAAATTCTTTGGGAGAGAGAAAACTTTAGCCTCTTTAGGCCAGCACCTAATGACACAGTTGGGAAGAGCAAACCAAATAATTTCGGAAAACAACCTTTGACTACAATTCTGATCCAAGAGGATCAGAAGTGTTATCTATTGAGAGACTGCCATGTCTCAATTTAACAATATTAGGCATTCTCACCTGATTTTTCACTTAAGTCATATAATACACCTGCAAGTAAATGTGATTTCGCCCCTTTCCATACATGAGGAAAACGAACCTGGTGCTTTTTAGGTTAGGTGCTAGAATTTGCACAGGTCTGTCTAATTTTGAAGTACAATCTCTTTTCCTTACTGCCAAAGATGGGGAGAAGAGTGGAGAATAAGAAGTTCGGTTAGAATGGGAAGACTCCTAAGACAAAACTGGCTTCTTAGCATTTGCTTAGGACAAGTGTTAGAATAAATGAACTAAATTAACAATAGCAACAAAACAGGAGAATATTCTGTCTTGGTCTGCTTAGGCTACTATATTAAAATACTAGACATTGGGTGGTTTAAACAATAGACATTTATTTTCTCACAGTTCTTGGGGAGAGAGGACAGAGATCAGGGTGCTAGCATGGCAGGTTTCTGGTGAGGCCTGTCTTCCTGGCTTGCAGACACTAGATCTCTGGTGTCTCTTCTTATAAAGATACTAATCCTATCACATCAGGGCCCCACCCTTATGACCTAATTTAGCTTTAATTACCTTCTTAGGGGCACTATCTGCTAATACGGTCACACTAGGGATTAGGGCTTCAACATATGGATTTTGGAGGGACACAATTCATTCCATAGTTATGCTTCTCTCTAAGTTAATGCTTGTCTATGTCAACCTTATTTTTATATTTTCTATGCTTAACATGGGCCCCATTATAAAACTCAACTTATTTGGGATGGAATAATTAATAAATAAAAACAGTTGGAGGTCCTTCTTTCCAAAAGACTATAAAAATTGATGCTAAAGTATAATAGGGTTGTAAAAAAGAAATTTCAGCAGCTTAATTTCTTAAAAAAAGTCGTAAGAGTTTTCATTAGCTAACTTCCAAGATAGCTAGTTTTAATCTAGAATAAAAGGTTTCTTAAGGTTTCTCAATAGTGACACTATTGACTCCATGCACCAGATAATTCTTTATTGTGAGGGTTACACCGTTCATTATAGGATGTTCAGCAGCATCCCTGGCTTCTGCCCACTAGATGCCTGTAGTACCCCTGTCCCACTCCCACTGCCACCCTGTCTTGGCCTCAATCATAATAATAAAAATTGTTTCCAGACATTGCCAAATGTCCCTGGCAGGAGTAGGGATGTGACAAAGTCATTTGATCTAGATTCCAGTTTGTAGACCACAGAGTATTACGGATCTTAGAGAGGCCTCTAATTCCAAAACAGAGAATCTGCTTCAATCTCATTGGGATGCATGATCCCTTGATTCATCCCTTTTCTCCCTCTTAACTCAGTCTGTGCCTCATGTACACTCACAGATTTCCTACTCTGCCCCCATTCCCTTTTGCCACTTGTCCTTCTGCTGTTTCTGTCTCAGCAGAAGTGTCCATTTTTCTGCTCCTGCTGCCAGGCAGGTAAAGGTTAATTGAGTAAGAAACAACTTTGGCATCTTTTATACACTTCTTGGTTCTGCTACCAAGGTATTCTCTCAAGTCCCAGCTAAGCAGTGGCCAGAAGTTTGCCTCTCAACTTTATAGTGAATTCCTACTCTCAAATCCTATCATCAAACAAAGCTCATCTACAACTTTGCTTCAAAGATCAAGACTTCCTGGTTTGACTGCTGTTAACATCTGTCTTCCATTTACAGACCTTCTATTTCTTTATTTGCTCTGAAGGAAAGTCCATTCTCCTGTTCAAAGCACTCTTGGTCTTCCCTATTATTACCTTTTTCTTGCTTTGGTCCCCTCCCCGTGTGTCCTTGTTTCCCCTTGCATCTTTAGTCTCTCTCATTCTCCTTGTCTTTTCTTCTGTTTCTGAAAACTTGCTTAAGTTTTCTTTACTTTCAATTAAAAAACTAAAAAATCCTCTTCCCTAACCCAGTGGTTCTCAATTAGGAAAGATTTTACGTTCCAGTGGACATTTGGCATCATCTGGAGGCATTTTTGGTTTTCACAACTGAGGGTAGGAGTGTTACTGGCATCTTAAGAGTAGAAACCAGGGGTGCTGCAAAACATTCCATTTAAAATTACAGGTCTTCTTTTCCCCAACCCCAACAAAGACTTATCTGCTCCAGATATCAACAGTTCCTGAGGTTGAGAGTGCTCAACCCTATAATTCCCTGGAGATGCTACATCACCTCTGCTCTTTTACTTTTTAACTCATTGGAAGAATTGTGCACACCTGCAACTGTACTTGCTCACTGCTCAATCACATTCACTTACTCTTTAATCCATTGCAATCTAACTTCCTTCCATAGGTTACCAAACCATCAAATCAAGCAACCTCAGTTCAATCTTTAGCTTCTGAGCCTCTCTGCAGTCTGTGATATTACCTTCCCAGCCTGTAGCTTGGGAAATCATGGAAGGATCAAAGGTTCACGCATCCCAGTGAAGTTGAAGTAAATTGTCTATTTTGGAAATGAGAAGTCTTCCAAGATCCACAATACTTTATAGTCTGGAATCTAGACCCTAGATCAGTGGTTCTTAAATAAATTTGCTCCCCCTCTACCCCTGTCTGGGGACATGTGTCAATGTATAGAGAGAATGTTTAATGTCATGATTCGAGCAGGGGGCACTACTGGCATCTAGTGGGTAGAAGCCAGGGATGCTGCTCAATATTCTTCCATTTTCTTTCTTCTGACTTATCTTTTGGTATGCCTCCTTAGCTCTACCCTGTCTTTATCCTCCTCCAATCTGACAGGTGTTTCCATTAACTCTGTGGTCTCTTTTTACTCCTCCTCTTTGTTTTATCTATGCTGCCGGTTTGTAAACTTGGTGAAAACATTTTAATCATGCTAGATACATGGGATGCTTTTCAGGGTTCCTTGCACAAAGGATAGCTCAAAAAATATTTGTTTGCTTGAATTAGGATTAAACTACGTATATCTATGTAGAAAACAAAACAAAGCAAACTGGCCTCCAATCTCATGAAAATCCGAGAGCAAAATTTGGAGCTTTTATTTATCATGTGGCACATCTTATCTCCATTGTTATGCCATGGTAAAACAGGCCCATGGAAAGTCAGGAGAAATAGGAGTCCAGAATTTGAGTTGAGTTGCTGACACTCTTGGACTTGGGAAAACCTGTATTATTCTTGGGCATATTTCCTCATGCATAAAACAGAGGGGCTAGAGCAGATGAGCTTCAAGGTCATTTCTAATTTCAAAGTTCTATGATCCTAAATAGAAAACTCATAAAGTTGAATCCCTAGTAAATTTTTTTCTAATTCAGCAAGTTTTTCAGTAAAATGATATTCTTAAGTTGACTTAATTAATATCTTTATATTTTGATGGGTCAAACATGCAGTGTTTAAACATGTGTATACATATGAATACATACATATTAAACATTATGTACCTATATAAAATATATGTGTATGTATATATGTATCTATATGTATGTGTGTGTGTAAGCATCATGTAAATCCAGTAAAACCAGGCTTTATTTCTAAATCAAATGTTCCAGTGCAATTCTAAGTGAGTTAAAAGATGTTGATCATAAAAACATGGATTCAGCCTTAACAACTGTGTCACAGATAATGACGATGTAATGAGGGAATTTAAGCAACAATCAGAAATGATGTGGTTTTCTTCCCCCACCAAGCACATGTTAAATTAACCAGTAAGCCTTGAAGCCATGCATACCTGATGATTATTTTATGTTATCTTGTGTTTTAAAAAATGGTTCCAAAGTACTAGATTTACAGCACTGCAGAATCCCACACTGTTGCAATGCTGTCTTCAATTCAGCCACTTCATATTGAAATTTCACACACAATAATTGGCTGACCTTCACAGCTATGGCAGAAACTAATTAAAGCTGTAAGGCTGTGCTAGCATTGCTTTTGTGTGAAATGTGAAGTTTGGTGATAATGAAATATGGGGTGCAGATGTTATTGTCTTAGATAGACCGTGCCCTTGGTTCACACTAATGAAGAACAGCAATTATTAAACAAAAAGTATTTTTTACTCATTAATTATTTTGTGTTGTGAAAGTAGAAGTACAAACACAGCACCACCTCTTCTACCAGCTAATCCCCAAAGTAATTTTATGGACTTTACCAGCTGACTTCTATATCATTAGGTATCCAGTTTTCACTTTCTCCCCCTACTGCTCTTAGACCTTTGGGAGCCTTAAGCAAGGACCTGGATGGGTTCAGAGAGCAAAGGGTAAAGGGCATGCTAAAAATGGTCACCCATAAAGATTTTTAGACAGCTGGAGGATTAAATGAATGAAGCTTTTTGGAAATAACTTCACACACCAAACAGAGATGTTGGTAGAAATATGATGCCATCCACATTGTTGTCGGATGATAGGCAAAGGTCACTGCTGCTCTTGAGGTGCAAGTAGAGAAATGAAGCAGGCCTGAGCTCTGTTTCTTGGTTGTTTGGAGTCTGGGTTTCTATTAATAGGTCAGTGTGACTTGCAGGACTTCCACTGGGTCAAATATAACAAATCACAGATTTGTAACAATTAAAGGAAAACACTAAAAAGGCACATTGTATTGGCAAGTCTTCACTTTCCATGGGCGAATGATCTAGTCTGCTTCTCTTTAGTCCTCTTCTCATTGACTATATTTTAAAATTTAAGTTATTTTTTTTTCCTCATTGACTTTGGGATACTCAATTCTTATTAACTGGCTGAGGTGGGAGAGACATGAATTAAACTTAAATTGTCCAATTTCCCTATTTGGGGAAGGAGAGTGAAATGATTAAGTTTAACTGTTACTTGTGTAATTTTTACTGTCATTCATACCCCGTACCATGAGCATGCAGGTAGCGACTGCATAGGGCACTGTATCAAGGCCTTGTCTAAGAGGTGTCAGCTAGTAAAATGCAGCAATGATGAAGATGGGAAGTGGCAGAAGCAGCAGTAGGTAGGTGGGCATCAACTGGATCATGTTACTTCAGACTAGGCAGGGGAACAAAGGCTTGAGAGGAGGAAGATTTGTGGTCATGGAGATACCATGTAGGGGGAGGTTTGCCATAGAGGTTAGAGGAGGTAGCTTTGGGCTCCATTTTCTTAATGGTTGTGCCAGTTGTCAATATACCTTAGTCTCTGGGTAATGGGATACTTAGTGGGACTATGACTGAATTTGAGGAGTAATTAATATGGCTAATGATGGTTATAATGACTGTTGGCATTCTATGTCTCTTCATTTTGGGGAAAGGATAAGAACATCTTCCCTTATATGAAGGATAGCTATACATTGTTAGGTGGAAACAGACTTGCATGGTTGTTGTAAAGAAGTTCATTTGCGTGCAGATGGGTGCACATAGAAGCTCAGTGACCAAAGGGGTGGACTATGTCAGTTATTAGGCTATTGCCTCTCACTTCCTAATCTACGCTTCATTGCCCTGCTTTTGATAGTGGGACATTTCTCCCTTGCCAGCTTGCACAATGTTCCCTTTTTGCAGTAGAGGGCACTGGAGGGACACTGGAGGAGGAAAGGGCTGTTCTTTCTGGTTTCTGTGTGTTTTCTGGTTACTTCTGTAGTATAAGGTAGGCAGCATTCACAGGACACCAGCAGGGTTCAGAGGCAGCACATTTCATGAGTATCTCCCCATTAGCAGCTTTTCCCCAGCAACGCAGAGGGCAGCTTTTTAGATGTTCCACTATTATGGGAAACTGGCCTGCCATTCAGTGAGCCATGAATGATCAAGTCCTCTCCAAGGGAGACTGGGTCTCACTGAGACCTTGAAGGAGGCAGGGCTTCACTGGGTCCTCTGCCTCAAACCTAGAGGTAGTGGCTGCTCCCTCTCTGTGCTATTTCTGTAATCTTACCCCAAATAGGTAAGAATTACCTACTCCTAAGATGGCAATCCACTCTTGTAGTTAATAATCCTTTTTCACTAAGCTTTCCTTGTTCACATTGCTATGTGGCTTCTGTCTCCTGATTGGAACCTGACTGATTCAGTGACCCTCCCATCTTCACTTCAATGACTTAAAAAAGAAGTAAATTAATTTGTTTATTATCATGACTGATTGAGTTAAATATAAAAGGCTAGGCAAGAAGGTATTGGTAATAGCAGAAAGGTGACAGAATATAATTGAAGCAATTGTCAGCTTTCAGAAGAAATAGATATGAATTAAAAGATTACAACCCTATGCAATTTTCAGTGTAAAGAATAATGAAAGAATGAACAAAAACTCTTAACTTTACCATATATCAAATAAAGCAGTAAATTAGACTGAAAATATAGAAAATATAAAAATGTGGTCACATTGTTCCATGTTAAAATGTACAGAGTACCCACTTAGAGATTACAAAAGGCCTGTAGTGTTAAATCCTTTGGGCTAAGACATGAAACATCAGCTTTGGAGTGGTCTTGGCTTACAGTGTAGAGGGAAGCATTAGATCATCTCACTCTCAGGAACTGGTTTCACCCCTATTACCACTCATCCAGAATGCATCTCCAATTCACTTATTTGAGGCAGACTCCACAGCACTGCTAAATTTTATAGAAGCGAGATCCCAAACACTGCCCTCTCTTTACAGCATAATCATCATTTTCACCAGCAAATCTACCATTACACAAAATATGATCAATAATGGAGTGGATGCTGTTAAATAGAGCAGTAAAGAGACCTAGCTGGAACATTAATGAGAGGCAAGGCACAGCAATGGAAGCCAGCTCTTCCCCAAGGAGAGAAATTGCCCCCTTAGGATATCAAACCATGTTTCTCCTCAGGCTGCATGACACATGGACCTATCAATACCATGAGTAGAGCAATGTGCAGGTAGAGATCACCCATGGGAATGGCATCTAGGGACAGCAATTCAGACAAAAAGGAAAGGGTAATAACTTGTTCATTGAGAAATAAGTGAGTTACAATGCTCCTGAGCAGGTGTCTGGTCTGATGCTTCTAAGCTAGAAGTGCCCGTTTGGCTTAGAAAATATAATGTCAAACTTCTTTTCAAGCCAGATCCCTGGGGACAACTAAAACTGGGTTGCTGCAGAGAACTGCTTTTTAACCAGGGGCTGAGCAAAGTGCTGCTAATAAAACATCAGATGGTCTTTGTGGTGGTTTCTTTCAGAGTAGGCTGGCTTCTGACTGATGGGTCTTTGGTGTCTACTTGTTTTTAGCAAAATTTTCTTTTTTATCTTTTTAGAGATGGGGTCTCACTCTGAAGCCCTTGCTGAAGAGCAGTGGCATGATCATAGTTCACTGCAGCCTCAAGCAAAATTTTAATGTGAGGACCTGTTAGTGGTAGAATACCTGTTTGCCTCTATGAAGAAGTAAATGTCATTTTCAGTCAGAGATAGAGAATGATAGTGATGGTGAAGTTGGTTCTTGTGAGTGTCTCCAGGTTACTCATGAAGGGCAGTTTGCACACCTCCTACTCCCATTAGGTGCATGATTAAATTGCTACGATACTCAACTGCTATAAGGTGTACTGCTGGTAGTCTCACCAAATCAGTAGTTCCTAAACAAGGGGTGCTTTTGGGCTGCACCTTGCCTCTGGATATTCTGATTGAGTGGGCTTGTGGTGGGGAATAGGCATCCGTATTTTGATCTCAGGTGGTTTTGAGGCAGTGATTTCAGGGTACACTTAATCACACAGACTCTTCAAAGGCCAAGGTGACCCAATGTAATAAAAGTTGAAAGAGGAAAAATGGATGCTCTTTGGAGCTTTACTACAAGTTAGAATGAGACTTGGAAATTTGCAGAGGTTTTTGTTAAGCTAGGAAAAATAAAGATGAAAGAGTTTAAATCAGATGTGGTAAGACTAGCAGAGTTTTGATATATCTGGAACAGTATGAGTTCAGTATCCCAGCACCACATTATACATCTTCAGGATATACATTCTCATTGCATCCTCTGTACCCTTTGGAACACGTGTTCAATAGGCAACAGATCAGAAGCACCATCGATACAGTTCAGTCCACATAGTTTATCATCATGGCCTCTGGGTCAGGAGAGGGGACTAATGCTGATCAGAGGTGATCTATGACTTAGTGGGTAGATGGCAAAGATTCCAAGCCTGATGAAGAATTGAGAGAATGTTCTGACCACATAACTCAAGTTTGAAGCAGAAGAGCCAACTTATTATCCTTAGTGCCAAGTCAAGAAGAGTCTGATTATGGAATGTTCTTGGAGACTCTTTTATTTCTCTATAGTGTGAACTGACTTATGTTAATTTATTTACACTCTTTTATTAGAAGTCCATTAAAAACAATAGGGCAAATTTTGAAGACAGGAGACTGATATCAAGGTTCGGTCCATAGCCATGTAGCAGGACAAAGATTATTGGTCTGTGTAAGAATCACACACATGATGTTGACACCCTAGCACCACTCTCTAAAAACCATCCTATCTGACAGTCAAACTGATCCATGCAAAATACTTGTTTACTTATTATAAAGATAATGTATATCTATGTAGACTCACATGAAAATAATAATACCCATCATATACATCAAGAATATGAACAATTCTGTTGTACTTACACATCTCAAATCCTCTGGCAGGCAATCTTCAGCAGTTTAAACATCTTATACTAAATTAATTAGGTTTCCTCAGTCATGTTATTTGTATCTAGGTCAAAGTGAAGCAGGATATTTCCCTGACCCCTTTGGGGGACTCATGACACAGGTGTCTTGTTTACTCAGCCCACCACTCTCAACTCCTCGCAGGAGGGAGTGTGTGAGTGAATGAGGCAGGAACTGGAGTGCATGAGCACTGGAACCAGCTAGCTGCTTTGGTGCCAGCAGGATCAAACTGCACTCACGTGTATCTGTTGCGTTCCATCCCTTCTGGGAGGGAGCCCACAGGTGAGTGGGTGCAGGAGCTGGAACGAGTGCTTTTGGGCACTGGCAGGAGCAAAGTCTCTGCAGGCCCTATGGCAGCATCTAGGTGAGGGGTGCCTGCAACCCCCAAAGCCCCAGAGGGCATATTACTGTGCTCTTTTAGCTCTGCTGTCTGGTCTGTGGACAGCTTAAGTGTTAACAGTTCAGTAGGCCCTCTGCCTTTTCACATGAGGTGGCTGCCTTCCACCAGCAAAAGCAAAAAGCCAGTGTGACAGCCTTTTCTATCCACACTCATGGCTCCCAAGCTCTTGTCCAGCATCCAGGAAATAGGAGGTTGCACCAAACGAATTGAAGAATGGTAAATGCAGGGGATTTTATTGCTGATGAAAGTAGCTCTCAGCAGGAAGGGGAGCTGAAAAGGGAATGGAGTGGGTAGGTAATCTTCCCCTGAAGTCTGGCTGTCTCTGACCAGATTTTTCTCCAAAGTTATGCCATCATGCTCTCCCTCTGAAATCAAGCCACTTCTCTCTGACATCCAGCCATAGTCCTGATGTCCAGCTGCTGCTTCTCTCTGCTGGCTGAGTCTGAGGTCTTTACAGGCACAGGATGGGGGATGGGGTGGGCCATGGGTAGTTTAGGAAAAGGCAACATTCAAGTGGGAAAACAGGGATAGAAGTTCTCACTTTGGGCCACAGTTTTAGGGTTTTTGGCTCGAAGGTGGGGTTTTGTCGGGGACCTACCCTTTTCTGCCTAGAATTTCTCTGCCCCCTGCCTCTATCATTGTATCAAGAGGTCACTTCCTTAATTATTCAATTAAATCAGTGTATTGTTGCTTGTTAATACATGTGTGTTTGGATACATCTCAGGCCAAATATAGTTTCCAAGTGAAAAGAACTGAGAAATAGTAGAAAGCTGATTATTATATTTTCTTGATTCAATGATATTATCATTTGTAAGACATACTTTCAATTGTTTTCAAGGATACAAAAACTAAAACCCCAAGCATTAAATGTATACATTGTTTGTAAGAAATGTCTTGATTTTATAAATGTTAAAATGTAAAAACAAAAACAAAAAATCCCAAAACAGGCATCTTAAAGCTGAAGAAAGTGTAAGCTACTACATAGGCATTCTTTCCATCCCTTAACACTGAATAATAGAAAAGACTAGGGTATTGTGGGGTGCAAGGTCTTTCATGAAGTTCAGTAAATCCTACAGATGACTCAATACTGATAATATATTTAATTTTTAAAAGAAAAACATCCAGATAATTATTTAAAATACACATGTCAAAGGGAGGTCTTATCTTGACTTTATGTATTTTTATTGGAGATGGAAATTTTTGTGTGCAAATTTGCAAGACTTGTAAATGCACTTAGAGGAGTCTATGCATGAGGAATGAAGACATCTCTTAGGAAAAACTTCATCATAAGAATAAAGATCACCAAAGCACAGCTGAGCTATCAAATGGCATCAGGCTTGGGAGAGAAAAGATAGCCTCCAGTCCAGCCTGCATAGACTTGAACTTGAGTTCTAGGAAGAAGGGCTTGTCAGTAAATTATAGTAAAACAAAAATAAAGTCAGAAGGATCTCTTTTTTGTGGTAAATCTATGGAAATATAATTATGTAAGAGAGTGTAACAAGAGGGGTAGAAGATACAACAAGGTTAAAGCACATTCAAGTGTTCAATTCCAGGGCGCAAGCAGTGAACAGACTAATCTGCAGCTCAGTGAAACAAGAAACTGGGGAAGACCACACACAACATTGGTATCACAGGCAGCAGCAAAGATAGGATGCTCTTGGAGGGCATCAGTGTCATTACCTTGGCATCACTGAGGTCTTTGATGGCACCAATAGTGGAGGCTCAGCAGTGATTCCATACCACTCAAAGGCAGATGAGGAGACATTTTCAGAGACAACTAAAGCAGGAAGGGAGGATATGATAGTTAATGTTATATGTCAACTTGATTAGGCTAAGGGATTCCCAGAGGGCTGGTAGGACATTATTTTTGGGTGTGTCTGAGAAGGTGCTTCTGGAAGAGATTAGTGTTTGAATCAGTAATGAATAAGGACAATCCTCTCACACATGTGAGCAGGCATCACCCAATTCACTGGGGGCCAAATAGAGCAAAAAAGGCAGAGGAAGGGTGAATTCTGTCTCTTTTTGAGTTGGAACATCCATCTCCTACCTTTGGGCATCAAGCTACTCGTTCTGCAGCCTTCAGACTCTGCAACTTACACCAGTGGCTCCCCTGGTTCTGAGTTCTTTGGACTCAGACTGAATTATACCACTGAGTTTCCTGAGTCTCCAGCTTGCAGACAGCAGATTGTGGGGCTTCTTAGCCTCTGTAATTGTGTGAGCTAATTCCCATAATTGTCTCTATCTATGTATCTATCTATGTATCTACGTATGTATGTATGTATGTATGTATGTATGTATGTATGTATGTACCTATCTATCTATCTATCTATCTATCTATCTATCTATCTATCTATCTAATCTGTCTATCTGTCTATCTATAACCTATCTATCTATCTATCTAAGACAGCCAGGTGGGAAGGACTCGCTGGAAAAATTCCAACCTGCCTATGCACTGGGAGGAGTGTGCACCAGGGTGGAGCCACAGAAGTTCGCACCCTTTGCAGTGGGGAGGAGCTTGGCTCCTCCTCCTCCTGGGTGGTACCTGCGATTCAAGATGAGAGGCAGGAAGTCCATGGGCAGGAAACACTCTCGCTTTGCTAAGAGTCTCTGTTTCCCCCTTTTTTCCTTTTTGCACAATACTCATTTTTCCCACTCTACAAATCATCTGGGAGCCTAAATTTTCATGGCTATATGACAAGGACCCCATCTTCAGCTGAACTAAGGAAGAGGCCCACAATCTCTATCTGTAATCTAACTATATGTATATATAGGTATATATGTATAATTTTATATTATATATATTATATATCTCTTATTGGTTCTATTTCTGTTGCACAGAGAACCCTTTCTAACACAGAGGAAAATGCTAGGTGTCATATTTTAACCAAGAGTATATGTCAGACACCCACAGGACACTTCCCAAAATTGTGTATGGGGTGAAAGGGAGTAGAGACAGGGTGGGTGAGGGATGTGCCATTAATGGAAAACTAGATTTCTCTCACTTCTAGGTGGGGATATGGCTTACAAAAAACATTTTTATTCATATTTTGACTTAATTTTATCAGAATAGTCTATTAAGAAAACTCCAGGTAATGCTTGTAAGAGTATAGCAAGAACAAAGTGCACATTCTAAATGAACTAACATTTTAATAGCTCACACTAAATAATTTCATGGAATCAGCACTCTATATTTTAAAGAAACACAGAATATAATATTCAGCTATTGAACATAGATGATTTAATCCTGAATATTATAAAAAACTATATTATTTTCCTATTGTCTCTTTCTATTATTAATCAAGCAAATTAAGTCAGTCAAGTGATTCCAAATAAAATGTGACAATTTATTATACATGGCAATTTTAAAATTATAAATTAAACTCTATGTGGTAATTCTATTTCCAGAATCAAACATCTACATGTTTATGTCTTGAAGACTATCTAAATAGTTTACTTCTTAGTAGGATTTTTTAATAGTTTTTTTTTTTTTGTTATGAGTCAAAAGATACCTCAATAAAGTGATTAAACCACTTGGAAAATCATGTGCTTACACACATATTTATATAGTACTTTTTTTTCCCTTTAAATGAGATGCAACATTAACAATTCACATCTTGATAGGTAGTAACATGCATTTTGTGTCTCAAACTGGGTTTTCTTTTCCCTTTCTCTCTGGCATTTATGGTAATTTTAAAACAAGTTGGCAATAAAAATCAAGGAAACCTGCCTGAGTAAATGTGTTTATTTCATAAATGTTGCTTTTTATTTAGCATCTGAAGTGATATTTGAAGGAAGAAACTTGCTAAAATCTCAACAGGGACAGTTCATAATTTTCCAGCAGGTTGATGAGGTCTGAGATGACCTCACCTGGCCATTATATCCTTGCAATTGCTGACACTTGTATGTTGCATGGAGCATCAGGTGGCCATGAAAGACAAGGAAAATTAAAGAAAAACAGGTTTACTCCTTCTGAAAAGTTTTAATTATTTTAGAGCAAATGTGTGTTTGCCCATAGATTATGCTGTGAAATTGGCCCACAAATGAGTTAGTAAAGATGAAAATAGTATGAGAATTGAAATCCTGAGGGAAAAAGGGCTCATGTCCCCAACTAGATAACACAGACATACAAAACATGTTTGTTTTTGTGTGTGTTTGAAGTTAAGTAAACACAATGAGGCAAAACCTGTAATTTTATGTAAACTCAAAATGTACAAGAAATTGTATGCATTAAACCTGACAGTGAAGTAACAAAGTTATACTTAAAATTTATACATAAAACCCAAAAGCATTTTACATAAAATTGCTAGTCAAAGATTGGAATACTTTTCTGATGGTGGGGAATACATGGGGGGATATTTTTATGAAAATTATTTAGAAGTACCTGTGTCCAGTCTTTGGATTATAGTACTGCAAGATCCAGAAAGGCCATTTTAATTATAATGCTCAAATTCTGTCACCTTTCTGTCTCTTTTTGTTTTCTAGAGTAGAACGCCAATCTATTGACCTTCAACTTATGCTGAATGTAATCTATGTATTTTGGTTCTTGCCTGGAAAGCAACTGAGCTTGAGGATTTAAGAAACAGAGCTTAAAAGTGTTTCTTCTTTCCTGAGAATTAGAAAATAGACATTACATCTTTCAAATATCCCTTTATTAAAGAGCTAAACATACACCTTGTTTCTACCCAGTCTCTATTCTCAGACCAGGATGTTCTGATTATTTCTGCAAGTGATGCTTCAACCTTGGGGTCAATGGGGACTTTCATTGTGTTGACTGCATTGATTCTGAAAGTCTGATTAGATCAAGTAACTCCACTGAGATGTAGGCACAATGCAATCCATACTTAGACGTGTCCTCATGAAATAGGACTTTGGAAGTTTGCTAATTTTGCCAAATTGCATTTAATTCTGAATATTTTAGATATGTTGACAAAATTTAAGATTGGCAAACTTACAGCTAAAATTCCTAGGAATAATGGAAGATGTCAAAACTGTTGGTGGGCGGAAGTATTTTTCAGACAATGACCCTTGATACGTCTGTGAGTTTGTGTGTCTCACTAAACACTCACATGAATGTCAGTGCCCATGCATTCACCCATAAAGAGAAGGCTTTTTTAGTGATGGGACCATATTTGTACGTGGCACAGCTTGTAACCTTTCTTGGGCCCTATTTTCAGGGTTCCAGACCTGCTGACTGCCTTCATCAGCTTAACTAGTTCCAATACTTCATAGCTGAAATTCACAGACGCTCTTTCTTCAAGTAAATTGACAGTCTGAAAGTCAAGTAACAGTATCTTCAGAAAGCTCTATTGTGAAGCTGAATTTTGTAATTGACACCAATAACATCAGAGTATTAAATCACTCATATTTTTTATAGTGGATAAGCTAGTCTGCTTGTAAATATGTTCAAGGATAGCGTGTAGGTGGCAGAAGAGTTATGCTACAACTTTAACAGCTAATAAATCTTTATTTAAGCAGGGGACTTCTAAAATTTAATTAGGCATATGAAACCAGAGATTATTCTGAGGATAAAAATATGCCAGTTCTCACAAGAAAAGACATCTGTCTGGTGGAAAAACTTCAAGTTAAAATTTACTCTTCTGTTACTTTGTCAATAGAAAGGCTTTCTGGTAGAAGAGCAAATATCTAACTTTAAAAAAAAAAAAAAAAAGACACAGACTGCCAGGAGACCTTGGCACACCCTAGAGGGGAGGAAAAGTGAACTCTGCAAGTGTTATTTAGCTAATTCAGGTCAATGCCTCTTCTTTCTTTTCCTCTCTTCCTCCTTCCTGGGTCATGGAGAGTTAGTCAAGGATCGATGGCAGATTCAGCCGTATACAAGAAAATGATGGCAGTCAGTCATCTTGTAATTGGATAATTCCAATGCATTCCTCACCATTCTCAATCTAAAAACGTCTCCTTCTCTGTTCACAATACCAAGTATGGCTACAGTAAAGGAGTAATCCTGCTCCCAAAATATACGACTTGTATATCTAAATTGCAATGATGTCTTGAGCCCTCTCTAGGTTGCAGATGCCTCATACCTAAAATCCCTGCTAGTTAAAATGCAGACTACAGGGACTGGTTGCATTCTAATTCCAAATGCTCTAACTTGAGTTACTGTCTTCCCTTGATTCCCTTCTTGGGAGAAGGGTGGTGGTACATCATACAATTGTTATTACCTGCGAAAAAAGGGCAACATGCTTTGAATATCGCTTGTATTCTCTTAGCAAATTTTCTAGTTTTACATAGAAGTATAGAATTTGGTAGGCACTGTGAAGGAAGATATTTAAGGAATAGTCTCTACTCTTATGGAATTTGATGTAGTTCAGAAGATAAGACATACTTGAAGCATATAGTAACATTTCAATTGTATAAGGTATAGCTCAAGGCAAGAAATATGTATGCACTATAGGACTAGGACAAATCACTCCAGGATTTTTTCCATGGGCCAGCCCAGTCCTTGAGCCAATAAAGCTGTTCTTGATGTTGTTTGTTTGCTTTTTATTTCATAGGAGTCCTTTTTCTCATAACAAGATATTTTAGCAAAATCAGCTTTAGGAATGCAACTTCTGTTTTTAACTTTTGCTGCTAAAAGATGTGCAAATGAAGCAGAATGAACATCATGAAAACAAAACTAGTTAATGATGGGATGTTTTAATTTTTTTTTTTTTTTTTTTGCTACCATTAGATACGTGCCAAAGATGTTCTGTTAGTTTGCATGGTGTTTCCTCCCAATCACTTATTTTATACTAAGAAGCCAACATTGATGTTTCACTGCAAATGTCAACAAGCATCATAAATAATGAATTGAGAATTGTGCTCATATTGCCCAATTAAATCATCCTTTCTTCTGATCACATGCCATTCATGCCTTTTGTGCACTTTTCTTTATGTTATTTTAAAAGTTATTATGGTATTTTTTTAAAAAATAAGTAATGCAGATGTTCTCTTTTGTGAAAGACTTTAGATCTAGCTTTAAAAGACTACATAATCCTATTAGTGAAAATAGATGAAACTGTTATATGAGAAGACATGCAATTATTTATCTTTTCCAAAATTCTGGAAGTGGGTAATCCTGCACTAGGTGACCTCTGCAATGACTCTTGGAACTGTGTCTGAAAGGCAGTGCTGAGTGGATTGGGAATCAGATACCTGGTTTGGTCCTGCTGCCATGAACTGGGTGGGTAGACTTGAGTAAGTTTTTGTCTGATATTGGAGGTTTGGACCAGATGACCTTAAGCTTCGATTCAGCTCTAAAATCCTATGAGTTAGGCCAACTGAATCAAAAGACTAGAATGCTTAATCCAAACTTGAGTCTTGTTTCCATTAATGTGAGAAACTGAACATTTTGTTGGAATACAAGTGGTTTTGATTGTCCTGGAACTTACATTAAACTGGAGTCTGCTGTCTCCAAGACCTAGCAATAGGCTTTTATCCCACTGGGAAAAAAATGACAGAGATTTACTGAGAATGTTTAGGGGGTTTCTGAATCATTGCATGAAGCAGAACAATGCTTTTATATAGAAAGTTTTTTTTAAGTGTACTCCTTCACAAGAGGGGGAGAGTTTCATGGTTTTGCTGTCAGTTAGGGCACTTTAGGGGTTTGTGAAGTGGTGTTTACATCCAATATCAGTCTTTTCTTTTTTTAAGCAGAGTCTCACTTCGTTGCCCAGGCTGGAGTGCAGTTGCATGATCTTGGCTCACTGAAACCTCTGCCTCCTGGGTTCAAGCGATTCTCCTGCCTCAGCCTCTCAAGTAGCTGGGATTACAGGCACCTGCCACCATCCCCGGCAAATTTTTGTATTTTTAGTAGAGACGGGGTTTTGCCAAGTTGGCCAGGCTGGTCTCGAACTCCTGACCTCAGGTGATCCACTCACCTCGGCCTCCCTAAGTGCTGGAATTACAGGAGTGAGTCACTGTGCCTGGCCCATTATCAGTTTATTTTGATCCATAGCTTCCTCTCTGTGAAATGGGTACAATAACTATTTCAAAAGGTTGTGCTGAAGATTGCAAAGACAGTGAAAATACTGAATTGTTTATCAGTTATATACCGACAAATACACATCATGCCAAATCTTAGTGGCCTAACACAACTGTACCATGTTTTTCTCATGATCATGTGGGTCAGAATCTGGGGCAGGGCTCAGAGGGTCTGCTCCTCTCTGCTTTATGTGGTGTTGGCCAGAGGTGGAGTGGGTCAGTGCTTGTCATGGGACCTCCCTTTCTATGTGGTTTCATATCCTCCAGGGTCTCCCTCTCCCCATGTGGCCTCTCTGTCCAGTTGGATGGGCTGAACTTCTTAGCATGGCAACAGGGCTCCAAGAGCAAAAGCAGGCTTGGGTATGGAGTCCTAGAAAGTAATTTCTGCTACATTCTGTTAGTCAGAGCAAGTCACCAGGCTAGCCCAGTTTCAAGTGATGGAAAACAGACTTCACCTCTAAAGGAGAGGAACAGCAAATTCACTTTGTAACTGGCATGCACCGAGGAAAACTTGATTCATTGGGGGCTCTTTTTAACCATCAGTCATGGCTTGAATAAAGCCTAGCACACAGTAGGCACTTGATCAATGCATAAAAATCTCATATGTTGCAACTTTCACCAGCATTCAATCTTATTAGAGAGGTAGCGTGTGTTGACTCTGAGTTAAGGAAAGTGAGAAGGAAGGTTGTGTTACTGGCTCAAATTCATGTAGTCAAAGATTGATAAGGATTTGATTAGGACTTGAACAGAGTTTTTTCAGACTGTAAGTTCTTTGTTCTTTCTACTACAATTTGTTGTGGATATATTGCAAAGAAAATGAAATATGGAAAGTGATCAGTAAATACCATGGTCAAGGAGGCTTACGTGGCTGGCTTTGTTATTTTAGAAAACTGTACTTTGTTTATAAGCCAAATGTTGGTTGAAAATAGTGAATGCTATTTTCTTGACTTTTTTAAAAAAATATTTTCTTCAAAATTTAATTACATCTGGCACAACTTTATAACCAAGCTCTAGATATATTTATTAATAAATGCTTTCTTGGAAATATATCCAAACATTCATATAATTTCAGCTTCCAGTAAGAAGTCAACATAGAAAAGAGGTAAAACTATTGGGATTGATCTGAAATCTAGGCCTATCATGGTCTCCTGAACTCAGTCTCTGTTCATTCTTTTCCCCTTTTAAGTTCAGTATGAAAACAATGACTATGTTTAACAAGAATGCAAAATGAAGAACATAAAAAAATCAATAGTGTTAAAAATATAGAGTACTCATTGTACAAGCCATTATATCATATTTATATAATACTTAACATCAATATATGAAACTCTTTATGTAAAAGTGTCAGGCAAAGATTTTTATTCTTTGTGTTATAGTTGTTATTATTGTTGTTATTTTGATTGAGTCTCTTGTTGAACTCTGAATTCTATTTGAACCTGAAACAGTAATCAAAACTGTAGGCTATTTGATAATCCCCATGAATATAACTAAAAAGTTTTCATGAAAGCCCTATAGACAGAATCCATTGAATTTAGAATAGTTCTCATACCAGTAGAAAGAAGCAGATGTCCCAAACCAAACACACTTGGTTTAATATACTTTTACGTTAGCTTTAATGGACAGATGTTTTGACTATGACATGGCAAGACAAGGATTTGAAATGGTCGATTGAAAAGATTTTGTTCATAAAAGTAATTGCTCTTACATTACAAAGTGAAGGATTTACATGTGGAAAATGTCAGCCTGTTGCAGCATCTCATGATGGATCGTGTTACCACAAGCCATAGAGTTCACTAGAAATAAGCAACTTACTTCTGAGGGGCCCATTTAATAGGCATCACACACAGAATGGCAGGGAATGGGAGCCTCAAATCTAGAGTCATTCTGGTTATGTAGCTGATCGCTGATTACACACTTTCAGGATTATCTGTGACTTTTTTTCCCATCAGAATTTGACTTCTGTCTATATTATTTTATGAGCAAATAGCAATTTCTACATACCAGACACTATCAGAAGAGCTTTATGAATGTGAATAATCCATTTTATCCTCATAGGAACTTCTAAGAGCAGGTTAGGAAAATGATGCACAGAGAAGTTACATAACTTGCTTAAGGTCACACTTCTTGGAAATGGCAAAGACAGAATATCCCAGTCTAGCTCCAGAATCTGTGCTCTGAACTATTTAGACTCTGCTCTTTCTTTTATTGTTCAACAAGTGGTAGAAGTTATATCTAATTATTCGTGTGGTTCAGGAATTTCTTAAATGAGACTGATTTAGGTAAGTGAATCTGTTGTCCCAGGACCTCAAATGCTACCTCCCAACCTATCTAGAAGTCAGCTCACTTGCAACCTTATTCCCAAAATTAGAATTCAAAAAGTTCTTCCAGCCCATGAAATAGACACAAAGCCTTTACATGAATTCCATGCACTTTACCTGTTGGGCTCTAACTCAGACCCTACCTAATGCTTATTTTGACATATAACAGTTGAGGGGGAGAGAGACATAAAATTTGAAAAAGATATAAACATTTATACTACTATATAGCACAGTAAAAACATTATGACTGAATTATTAGGAAAAAGCTAATGTTCACCATGCTTTATTTAGAAGACAGGGAAATAGACAATGTATGTCAAAAGGTCTTTCCTCAGAAATATTTAAATTTTTAGACTGTGATTGCTCTGTAGGCTAAGCTTCTATAATGAAAGATAATATTTGTGGAATATCCTATTCTCAACAGGGCCAGATAACGAATTAAAAGAGGTATTGTTGTGGACAGAATGCTGGGTGAATTGGAGACATTCTCCCACTAACTTGCTGATAAATGATCTGAACAGGTCAGTCATTCTCTCTGTGTCTTAGACTGCTCACAGGCCTTACTCAAAGAGTTATTGTAAGGATTAAATAAAATAATGTATGTGAAAGTGTCCAATATGTAGTGTATTCTCGATAAATATTTGTTAAAAAAAAAAAGTAGCATTGCATGCAAATGTCAAAGATAAATTATTTTTGAATTATGACTTGGAAAATATTTGTGTAATTATACACACAGAGGAATGTGGCTAAAGGAACAGAAGTGATTGCCTCAGTATTCTTCAATAATTATGTTACCTTACTTTAGATTTCCCCCACCTTTTTTTTCTTCTTCTTCTTTTTTCTTTTGTCTTTTCACCTACTTTGAAGAATGTAACTATCAAAAAAACGGAATCCTGGGTAGAAATAAACCTTCTCTTTGATAAAACCCAGATGCACAGCACGAGATGCATTTCCTGTAGAGATTCATACAGGGACCAAATGGTCTGGGAATTTTTCGCTTATAATTCCACCATGTGTCCGTTTTGGCTCCACTTAGCATGTAGAGATGGAGAGTGAACCTTTGTTCATGTGTGTACTTGTGATAAGAGAATGACTGAGAAAGGATTAAGCAAGTCAGCAGCCTCATCCAAGCACAACCCCGGGCCTTAAGCAGTGACAATCAATGGAAACAGCTAACTGTGTTCTGTTGTCCAGAATAATTTTTAACATGGCAAGGGTGGAGGCAGGGGTTAGGGAGGATGAATCAAAATGATCTGGGGATTTTTAAAAATAAAAATGTATGTTTTTCTTCCTCAACCAAAATTTTAGATACTTTCTCAGGGGTGGAGGCAGGGACATGAATATTTTCTAACACCTTTTCAGCAGATTCTGATACCCATTTTTTTCCCACCCACCATGAGAACTACCAGGCTGGTATATTAATTCCACCTGTCTATGATTTGACCTCACCCCATAGCTAGCATAGTATAGCCTCAGGCCACAGTAAGCTATAGTTGGGCACTGGCTGCCTCCGTTAGGCAGGGCTGCCACCCTTGACGTCCCCATCATGGGTCAGCATATGTTTTTACACTAGGTCTACTGCCCTCCTGAATGTAATTAAATCTGTTGTTGAGTTTCCAACCTGAGCTAGAAGGGATCCTGTCCTAGTGCTACTCTTTAGTTGTTTCCATCCTGGCCCTTACCCAGCCATGGCTGTCTCTACAGGGTGAGGAGTTCTTGGGGACAAGTGGACTTGCCTGTCAAGCAGCCACCATCCCTTTTGGCCCAGTGCGTCCCAAACTTTAATGTGCTTATATGAAACACCTGAGGATCCTGCCAAAGTGTAGATTCTAATTCAGTGGGTAGGTCCAGCGTGGGTCTGAGAGTCTGAAGTTTTAACAGACCCCTGGTGCTGTGGACTACACTTTAAGCGTCAAAGCATTATATCCTGCTCCAGGTACCCAGGCTCCTGGAAGTCCCTGAGCAGAGGATGCCAAGCTTACATGGTTCTCCCTGGGTCTCTCCTGAAGACAGACTGTGATGCCAGTGTGCACTCTTCTAGACTTGAGTGGTGGCCAAGGGGGTACTTGGAGTGGAGGCCTTGTGGGCACAGGTTAGATGAGTGAGGTGTTTGAGTTACAGAATACATCCAGAGGGCAGAAGAGAAATGGGGATCATGGGATTGACTTGGTTTGGGATCAGAGGCCACACACAAACCAACTCACTCCACGTTACCATATTTTAACACAGCATTCGAAGTAGTCCAAGAATTTTAAGTTAAAAATTGTCCTTTTCAGTTGTTAATTTACATAGGAGGATAGAATTTTACTTTAACCATTTTTTAGCTTGACTATATATATTTTTAAACATAAAAACATAAAATATGTGGGCCTTCATTTCTTGCTGCAGGCCCCAAAATTGTTAAAAGTGCTACTGTTGTAGGCACTTGATTATGTAACCACCCTTTACCTCTCATCTAGGCCATTTTGAGTATAAACATCACATGACAGAAGTTCAGACTTTTTACTTGGATAGTTCTTTTGCATCTGCATGTGCTTCTTTCCTATGTTATTTGAATTCACTTGCCTCTCGTGGACCTTTTAATATGCAGCTCAGGATTTTTTGAGACCATGAATATGTATACTGGACTATGTAATACTGAATTCTTTGGGATATGGAGCAGTCACGGTTTCTTCTGGTTAAGAATGTTTGCAAATGTGACTCCACAGTTGAATAACAATGAAACCCACCCAGTTAAAAAGGCTGGCTTGCAATGTTGTTTGGCTTGTTTTTGTTGTTGTTTTTCTTAACCCATTTTCCTATTCTATTAGCATAGCATAGTTTTACAAGTCCCTGGTCAAAAGTCAAATCTTAGCTGTACCACTGATAAGCTATTGAATTCTAACTTTTCCAGGCCTCAATACATTTTTGCCTCTAAAGTAGAGATAATAATGTCATCTCATAGGGTGATAAAGAGGATGAAAGGATATAATAAACATAAAAATATTTGGAATGGTGTCTGATACATAATAATCACTCAAATAATGTTTTCTATTATTCACATTTCATCTTGTTATTGAAGCTGCCTAAATGTTCTGTCATCCCATTGATTTTTCTCTTCTTCAGAGTCCTTCATCTTCCATCATCACTTTGCTATTTAACTTTTGCTTGTTGTCTTAGTCTGTGTCTGCTGTTATAACAGAACACCACAGACTGGGTAATTTATGAAGAAAAGAAACTTATTTGGCTCATGGTTCTGGAGGCTGGGAAGTCCAAGAACATGACACCAGCTTCTGGGAAGGGTCATCCTAAGGCAGATGGCATCATATTGTGAGTGTATGTGAGACAGAGAGGGAAGTTGGCTGAACTCATCTTTTTTTTTTTTTTTTAAATCAGAAATCCACTCCTGCAATAACTAACCCAGACCTGTGATAGCAGCATTAACCCCTTCATGAAGGCAGTGCCATCATGGCCTAATCACTTCTTAAAGGCCCACCTCTTCATACTATTACAATGGCAATTAAATCTCAAAATGAGTTTTGGAGGGGGCATTCAAACCATAGCATTTATATTCCATTTTTCTTTATTAGTTTAATGTGTATGGATTTAAGAAAACTTTTCAAGAAAAACGGAAAAAGGAAATGGCTCAAAGAAAAAAGGGGTTGGAGTCACCAGATAGCAAGAGTTAGAGAAGAGAAATCACTCAATTTGCTGAGCAGGCATAGAGATTAAAGTACTGAGTATCATCTGGAAGAACTTGGTGGGAAGGCTGGCATGCTTCTCCCATTGAGGGAGGGGGCAGGGTTACTTGAATTCAGTTAAGAGCTTCCTAGGCTTATCAGGGATAGGCTTATCTCTTTGTTCCTCCCTCCCCCCACCCTCATCCTGCCATTTCACCCAACCTTGGTAAACAATCTGAACATGACTATTATAAGGCTACACCCAGACAACAGTAATTGACAAAGGGATCATTAAGGAAAAAATAGGATTAGAGTGAAGGCTTTTGAAAAAGCATTAATTTGTATCCTGCATTCTCACTCACTGACAACTCTGTTAACTAATAAGAAAGGAAAATCTCAAGTCAGTTCCTTCCTACACTGTCACCCTTGTCTTTTCTCTCATTTGCTTAAGGTATCAAGTAGAGTCAACTTCAGCTGGAAATAGTGTAGGGCTTATTCTAGGCCACAACATGGGAGCAAAACAACCAGAGATTTAGCCAAATCCTAATTTATTTACCCCATTCTGACAGAGAGAAATGTTTGTTTATTTCTGAGGCTGTGCTATGATGTGCAGTTCAAGTGCTCTGACACTTTAACGCACCATGCAAGGTTAGCAGCCTGTTCACCCTTTATTAATTTGTTGGTGAATATATTTGGATTTTCACTTCATGCCAATAAATGCAAGAAGGGATGCAGTTTTGACATTGTTTCTTTACCCTTACACTCCATGTAAACCAAAAGTTGTCTATCTGGCAGCTTAGTGGCTATATGTAAAGCCCCTGTTTACTTAATCTGAAGGTCCGTTTCATTTCTGCTTGGTTTGCAAAATAAATGAAATGAACGAGTGTGTCAGAATTAGAATTGTGAGAGTCTGAAAAAGACATTTGGGTCACTGAGTGACTAAAAGCACTCTCTGTTTACATGTTTCTTCAGTTTCTGTCGCTGCAGCTGTGTCACAGCTTATAACAACTAATCCCTTTTTATTTACATTTTACTTTATTTTGTATTAAAGGCACTATTAAGCCACGTCTTCCAAATGTGTCTGAGGTTTCATAACTATCTTAATAGTGTATACACATTACAGTTATGGCAGAGAACTTCCTCCAAGTCTGGGTTTTGTTAAGAGTGACTTTAAGAATAATAGTTTATAGGACAATTAAAACGTGTTAATCTATATTTGAAAACTTGATCTGGTTAAAAATCGGTTCCCCGTCCGCTTATATTTGCCAGTTTTCTACATCATGTAGCTGGGGTTTTCCTGAGAGGTGGAAAGAGTGGGTTGTGGGAAGAGATGGCTGGAGAAAGCCTGGGAGCTAAGCTGATTTTAGGCCTTTGGGCTGAGGTCCTGTTAACATAACCTATGTTCTGCTTCAGGGGAAAATGACGCACGGAAGGTTGGAAATGGGGTTTGAGCGAGCACACTTTTCATGCTCAACAAAGCCTAACATCATTTTACTATACGATTTGAGTTATGTGCATGCTTTTAATAAACTGATCCTCACAAAAAATAAATAGATTTGTTCTGCTTAAACTGGCATACAAAGGGCTCAGAGGAAAAAAACTCTTTAACAAACACCTCTTGGGGATTGGAAGGTAACTTCACACTCCAGCTTCACGTTGGGAACGTGTGATAACAATTTGACAGGAAGTAAGTGGATTCTGTCCCAAGCCTTGGGAATAGACTTGACCCTGAGCATAATGTGTGAGTCTGAGGCCAAGAGCTTCCCGCCCAGCAGGGGGTAGCCAAGCGCCGATGACTGGGCAGGAATTCAACCCCATAGGTTCCCATCTCTTCCCACCGCCCGTCAGCAACACAGCTCTCCCTTTCTAGAAACAGGGTTTCCCCTCCAGGCTTGGATTCTTAAATCTAAAAAGAGCCTCTCACCTGAGGCCTTCACCTGAGAGCTGGAGCCTGTGCGATGGATTATCTGGACAGGGACCCCAATGAACAGGTGGAAAAGTACATTTATCTGCCTAAGGCTTGGAATGAAAATTGGGGGTGGGGTGGGTAGAGGCAGATTTTACTCTTCTTCAGATTCTTTTCTCTGTCTCCCAGTGGGCACAGGCTGAGCCTTGCGGGGATAGAAGAGAGATAGAGAGGTTAGGCCCTGGTTCTCTGTGTAGGGTGGTATGCATGTGTGTGTGGAGGGATATGGGTGTGAGTGTGCTGTGTATATGTGTGGAAAGCGTGTGTGTAGGTGTGTTAGAAGCGTGTGTGGGTGAATATGTGTGTGGGGTGGTGGGGAGTGTGTGTGTGGGGGTGAATATGTGTGTGTGGGGTGGTGGGGAGTGTGTGTATGGGTGTGTGTGGGGGAATGTGGGTGTGTGGATGTGTGTGTGGGTAGGGAGTGTGTGTGTATGGGGTTGTGTATATGTGGGGGAAATGTGTGTATGGGTGTGTGGGTATGTATGTGTTTACGGTGAATATGTGTGTGAGGAGAGTAAGTGCATGTATGAGTATGTGTGTCTGTATGTGGGTATATGTGTGGGGTATGTGTGTGTGGGGTTTGTGTTTTGGGGGGGTGTATGTGGGTGTGTATATGTGGGTATGTATGTGGGGTGTGTGGGTGTGTATGTGTCGGGGGGAAGTATGTGGGTACGTGTGGGGGGATGTATGTGCGTATGTGTGTGGGGTGTGTGGATGTGGGTGTGTGTGTCTGTGGGTGTGTGTATATGTGGGTATGTGTGTGGGGTGTGTGTGGGAAGTGTGTGTATGTATGTAAGGTGTATGTGGGTGTGGGTGTATTTGGATGTGTATGTGTGTGGGGTTTTGGATGTGTATGGGTGTGGGGGGAGTATGTGCATGTGGAGGGGTGTGTGTGTGGTGTGCATATATGTGTTGGGGAAGTATGTATATGTATGTGTTTATGTGGGTATGTATGTGTGGGGAGTTATACGTGTGTGTGGAGGGGTGTATGTGGGTGTGTATATGTGTGTATGGGAGAAGTATATGTGGGTGTGTATGTAAGTCGGGTATGTGTGGGGAGTGTGTGTATGTATGTGGGGGTATATGTGTGTGTGGTGTGTATGTATGTTGGTGGGTGTGTATGTGTATGGAGTGTATATGTGGGTGTGTATGTGTGTGGGGTATGTGTATGTGTGTGGGGAAAGTGTGGATGTGACTGTGGGTGTGTATGTGTGTGTAGGGGGAGTGTGTGTATGATGTGTGTGTGGCTGTGTGTGTGTATGGGGGAAGTATGTGTTTATGTGGGTGTGTATGTGAGTGGAGTGTGTAGGGAGTGTGTGTATGTATGTGGGGTGTGTGTATGTGGGTGTGTATGTGTGTATCTGTGGGTGTTTATGTTTGTGGGGTGTGTGTATATGTGGGTATGTGTGTGTGTGTGTGTCTGTGGGTGTTTATGTGTGTGGGGTGTGTATGTGTGGGGGTGTATGTGGGGGGACCTGTGGGTGTGTGGGTGGTGTCAGGGGAGCCTGGATGGAGCCCCAGGACAGCCTGCTGAGGGTGGAAGCCTGGATGGCAGATGCTCAGGTCTGACTGCTGGGCTGCAGGGAAGAAAGAAATGCCAAGCTGAACTCGCAGGTAGGGAGGAGGAGAGGTGGGACAGTGACAGGTCACTAAAGAAAAAGCATTCTGAGAAAAGCCTGTGCTCCTTACGGTATGCTGCAGGGGCTGAGCCTGCGTCCCTGCTGACACCCTCTGGGAACCCCCATCGCAAGCCTCACCTTGTTGCTTCTCACTGGGGCCGTTTTCGGTTGGCGCTGCTTCTCTTTGTTCTGTTGTCCCCCAGTGCAGTGAACCCTTACATTATGGGTTTCTCTTGTAGTTCTAACCTCTAATACTCAACCATTACATCTTATCTCGTCTTCTAAATTACTCTAAAATCCAATTATAAAACCCTCTCTCCTTCAAGAGCACACAACTTGCCACATTACTGAAATGCTGGGCTGCTCTTTTGTTTTTCTAAATTAATAATAACTATACCATTTTCCGTCTGCTCTTACCATGGGACTCTTTTATATCACCACATAAAATGCATATTATGATTCTTTTTGCTTCTTTTCTGGGCTGCAAAAAAGCGAAGGATGATTTTCCAAATATTCATAAAAGATCTGTCAGTTGGTTTTTAGTGTAAAAACATTTGAAACTACAATCCTTAAAGAAGAAAGCATCTTAATATTTATCAGTTAAAATTTCACTATTGCTTTCTTTTGTATGGGCAAAATAGAAGTCTATCATTTTTAAGGTTTTAAGAGATTTGAATGAATTTTATGTGTTAGTTAAAATTTTTATGGATTGAAAACGCTTAGTTTCACTAAGATTTCAAAAGCACAAACGATTTTTAAAATCTAGGTCCCCTCGTGAGTTTCTTGAATTTACAGGAGGGCAGTGACTATTCTTAAATATAGATTCAACTTCTATAAGTTATCAAAATATTTCAGGAAGAGAGAACATGCCCAGAACATATAAGAAAAAGCTTTAACAGTATCAGGAATATCCTCAAACACTTTTTCTGACAAAAGGTTAGTCGTGGTTTTCAATGCTAGAAAATTGCTCTTAGGAAAATATGGTTAAGTTCAAATTTGATATTAGAAAAAGAAATTTGACTTGTTTTAGTATTTTATAATCACAGGCATGTAATTGAATGGTGATTGCTTTTCTTGCAAATTCTTACTTTGGTCATGTGGAAAAAGTATATTTGATATACCTAAGGCATCTGATTATGCAGTAACAAAATATGCTTGCTCTGTGATTAGTAAAAATATGTGTATGGCTAATCAGCCACTCTGCTTTCAACTTCACGAGCTTCAGCAGTGTTCAGTGGAGCTCTTCATTGTACCATCTGTATTTATGAATGATTCTTTCTCATGCTCAGATTTTAGCTGCTTAGGTTAAATATATTATAAAATGTAGGAAAGATTGGAAAAGTCCTAAATTACAAATTAAATTTCATTGAAACATTTAAATAATAACAACCTAGCTAAGTATTTTGTGTAGTTTTTGTGCCCTGAAGTTAAATCTCTATCCCCTTAAATATTAAATACAGGAGAGGCCAGTTGTTTCTTTAATAAATTAGTTATATTTAAGGGTTTTCAGAGGCCAAAGTGAAGGCCAAGGGAGAAGACAGCGTGCAACTGAAGCAGCACTACTTGCAATTTATAGGCTAAATGGATGAACCAGAAGGACATGCTAATCACCAAATAACATCATCAAATACAAAATATAGGAACATGATTATCATGAGCAACAACTCAGGGAAAAATGGACATCAGGAACAAGAAAATTATAAATGATATATAAAAAACAAAAATTATACTTTTTCATTCTTACAATATATATTACATATACAGTATCAAAACATATGCAAATACACACTATATACTGTATGTTCTTTTGAGTTGTTTTGTACAAATAGACTCTATAATCTTAATTTAATCATAGTGGACACATCCATATTATCACTTAACATTTCAACTATGCATCCCAGCATAGCTACATCTCCCTCCCTCCCTTTCTTCCTTCCCTTTCCTTCCTTCCTTTTTAAAAAATTTTCTGTGAAAACAAGAAAACTTAAAGTTATTTTCCCTTGCACTTCTAAATTTTTTAAAAATTTAATTTTTTTTGTTGTTGTTGTTTTTGAGACAGAGTCTCCCATTGTCACCTAGGCTGGAGTGCAGTGGCAAGATCTTGGCTCACTGCAGCCTCCGTCGCTGGGGTTCAACCGATTCTTGTGCCTCAACTTCCCAAGTAGCTGGGTTTATAGGCATGTGCCACCATGCCTGGCTAATTTTTGTATTTTTAGTAGAGCCAGGGTTTTGCCATGTTATCCAGTCGGTCTTGAACTCCTGGCCTCAAATGATTCCCCACCCTCAGCTTCCCAAAGTGCTAGGATTACTGATGTGAGCCACAGTTCCCAGCTGTACCTATAACTTTTAAATATTATCTTTTAGTTGCAGTGCAGGCTAAACATCACTATTAGTTTTGTTGGATTGAATCTAGCATAATTCACATATTAGTTTAAAATGTAGATGTTTTAAGAATTGACATTATCTACTTTGTTTATGTACTCAAGCATTCTACTAATATATTCTTTGAGGCTCTTCAATCTTTTATTTCCAATTTTTAGTAAATTTCTAGCTAATGAGCCAAACTTTTACCATTTGAACAAAACAGATTCAATTAACATAATTCCAATATTATGGGCAGCCCTTGTAGAATTGATTTCCTTTTTTAAGCCAAGAGTGCATCTCCTGTCATGTGTGAGTGTTGCGCAGCAAACTTAAAAAGAAACGTTTGAATTTATGTCACATTCTTTTTCATACTTTATGGGGCTTCATTTTTTTAAATTTAAATTAAGATTTTGGGGGTTTGTTGGCAGGTTAATGTATGGACTATGTGATCTCTTAAGCTCTTTAAAATAATCTATTAAGCAAATAAAAAATGACTATGTGATACATGACATTTGGAAAATAGTCTCTGGAAGATAAACCATAGTGCCCTAATTTATAAGCTACTCCTAGCAGGTCTTTGAGGCTTTGTGTCAATTTGGACACAGACCAGATCTTGGACCACAAGAGCACCATTTGGGGTGACGTATCGGTAAATTACTTTTCAGTACCCTAGAGGACCAGAAGAGTTAATGCAGCTTCCAGGAAAACAGAACACTGGGCAGTGTAACTTAGGTGGTGGGATGGCTGGATCGGATTTGTCATAAGCATGTCTCAATTGTGACTTTAGAGCTCAAGCTGTGACAGTGCATCAGGGCTTTTCCTCTCTTCTCTTCCACCCGCTATGTTTCTAGGGGACTGAGCATCAGTGCCCCTCCCTGCAGAGTTGCAGCACTGGGAGATTATTATGGTCTTAAAAGTGAAAGCCTATAATTTAAGGTCGTAACACCATCTTTAAAATGGAGATTGAAATACAGTAATATAAAATACATAAGGCGTCAACATGTAGCAAACGTCTCTTCCCATTGGATTTTTCCATTTACAGGAGGGTAGTAATACCATGTATATTTTCTCGAAATATATAGTGTGTTTTCCATATTGATTGTGCAGCTTTTTCATTTAAAGTGGAGCCAGTTCCCTGATAGACCCAAATTCCTTTCAATACCTACTAAATAAAATGTTCTGGCCCTAAAAACAGGATAAAATAAAATAAAATTTTAAAGCCTAGAAAAGAAGGCTCCAACTTTCTAAGATATCAAATATTTACTTTCTAAGATATCAAATATTTCTAGAAAATAACATCTTGATGAGTTGGTTATAAATGAACATGTGGATTGTGTTTTCCTTAATATATCAATAGGTTATCATGGCAGAAATAAGTACTAAGAGCAGAAAGGATCCCCAGTGCTAGGTCCTTCACTTTGAAAGCAAAGGAGCTCAAGACATTCAGCAAATTCAAAACATCCCCTTACCAACCTTTTAAGATTATGTTTGTATATTTATTTCTTATGACATTTCAAAGCTTTTTCATAATTCTAGGTATTGATTTGAAAATGCCAGTTTTCAGTACTAAATAATGGTGGAATAAAATTTTCTCTGAGTCAATTTTTCAACCACAAGAGGACAAACGCTGTAAGGAAAATGATTCTACTTTCACCAGGAAGGAAACGTCATGGGCCTCTGAATTGGGGGGAAAAAAAAAAATCCTTGCAGCAGTGCCTATTGGAAATTATCAGGAATAAATATCTTTTTTTTTTCTTGAAATAAAGTTCAAGGTAACACTTAAATGAATAATTATTTACCATCTTGTTAAATGCAGGCGTGTATGGCGGGCACCATCTATTAGTATAAAAGCTTTTTCTGCTTAGAATGGCTCATTAGCTTTTTTGTAGGCTGTACTGGTTTTAACATTCAAATTCAAAATCTCCTCTGATTTTGCTGTTCCATTTCTGGCAGCCGGCCAGTGGCAGATATGCATAATATTTCACTGTTAGACCTTGCAAACATTATATCCTGCTGTGCTAAAGAAAACATTGTGTTTCTTACCACATGAAAATAATCCATCACTTTTCAATCAGCACACAAAAAAAGCTCTACCTGTTTTTTCCATCAGACTCAAGAAAAATTAATGGCCCCAATGTGAAAGGTGGACCCTCCATACATGATCCATTAAAGTACAAACTAATCAAAATATATCTAGCATCTGATTTGCTAAGCAAGATGGAACAAAAGAGGTGTGATGAAAAAAAATAGATCCTTCTAAGACCCATACAACCTTGTTCTATCAGTATTAACCTTATTTATTTTAAATGTGGGAGGACATAAATAAAAAACCATGAAATGAATCTGTTGAATTCAATCAATTCAAATAGACACTGTATTTATCTGGAAGAGATGGCTAAAGATACTTCGTGTGGACTGGAAGAAATTTTTATAATAAAAATGTTTTTTAAAAAGTAAAGAAAGATTATAAATCCCCTAGTGAGCCACTAGGCAACCTAATATATTAAAGTAAAATTTTCTTTGGGAGTAAAAAAATCAGTATTTTGTCAACTTGTTCATGCCTTTAAAAATAATTTCATGCCTTTTGCAATGCTGATGTTGTAGCTAGTTTTGAGTGAGACATGAGGACTTTCCTTTCCAGAGCCCTACAACTTTTGTAACAATATTCTAATCCGAGAGATAGCAGCCATATCAAAGGAGTGCCAATTAAAAAACAATCCATTTTATGACTTTTAAACACATTTGTTGGAGTTGCTTGGCCTTCTTTGCTACTGCCTGGTTCTGGGAAATTGGTTTCAATTTTTCTCTCCCTTTCTCTCTCATTTTCTCTCCCTTGCCTCCCCTCACTTATTCTCACTTTTTTGTGGCATGACCTGTGTCATATAGTTTAATGAATGTAATAAAAAATGCAGACAATGGAATGTAATGCTAATACTAAGAAGGTATCTATACTAGTAAATAATTTTACACAAAAGTATATTTTTACAACCTCAGGTTTAGAATTCTACACTGTGTTTTAACTAGTATTCCAGTTTCTGTCTTCTTTTTGTTTTTCCATCTCAAATCCATGTTGAAACAGTCTTTACATTGGTCTTTCTAAAGCATAACTGTATTTATATCCCCTCATATCACAATCTCCCTTTAGGTGATGTCCATTGAGTGAGAGAATAGAGTTTCAGAGTTGGAAGGCTCAAATATAATCATTTCACATATGAGCAAACAAGCTTAGGGATTTTAAGAGATTTGTCCAAAGACACGCGGTTTGTGAACGATAGCTCTGGAATCTTCAGGAGCCCCAGTCCAGCACTTTCTCCACTACATAACTGGTTCTCTTCTAGAGTAGTGCTTCTCAGACTTTAACTGGCATGCAGATGGTCTGAGGATCTTGTGAAAATGTAGAATCTGATTCAGTAGGTCTGGGGTTGGGCAGAAAATCTGCATTTCTAAGAAGGTCCTAGGGCATGCCCATGCTGGTTTGGAGACCACACTGAGTCGCAAGGACCTAAGAACTCTTGCAAATTCTTACACTGGTTTTCAAGGTGCTTTGAAGTGTAGTCCTGTGTCCCGCTGTCCTGTATGAACACTCCAATATAGTTATGCAGAGTACTTCCTCGCTTATTGAATACCTTTCGAGTATTCTGACTTTGACCTTTTTATTTATTCATCCTCCCACCTCTCTCTGCTTCTTTGCAATTGCATGTCTACACTTTCTTTCAATAGCAAAGTTATTTCCCATCTTCTCCATAAAGACTTTCTCATTACCAAACATAAAATTATCTTTGTGTCCTCTGATTATCTCTATTACCCCTTAAAAGCTTAATAAGTCAATAGCTAGTTATCAAATAAAAGAACAAAACACATGTATAAGAGAATAAAATAGCAGCAGTGAATGAAGTGCATTAAGTTGTAGAAGGCAAGAGAAACAAATTCCTGAGCTCTGCAGAAAACCTCAGAATTAATAAAAAAGGTTTCCTCCTTTTCTTTTACTACATCTTGTGCTAAAAATACTTCTGGGTTAATTGCAGAAAATGAAGCTTAGAAGACTGTGAATTGTCATAGGCCAAGGATCATCAAAATTTTTTGTAAAGAACCAGATAGTATATCATCTTGTCAACTGCACGGCTTCTATGGTAACTACTCAACTCTGCCATTATGGTAGGAAAGCAGCCATTGGTAATATGTAAACAAATGGATGTGGTAGTGTTCAATAATACTTTATTTACAACAAGAGGCAGCAGCCAGATTGGCCTGCCTGTAGTAGTTTACCAATTACTATCACAGATGATAACCAAATCTATTTTAAATAAGGAAAGAGAAGGACTTATTGAATCCACAGTTGTTAATTGTAGCTTAACTAACTCTATAATGGGGAGCAAATCTTAAGAATTGGGCCAGGGCAGAGAAGAGATGCACTGGGCAACGCAAGAAATCCCAGAGATTTTTCAATGAAATAATCTTTTATGGAGCCCAATCCAAATCATGTTTATAACACACCCAAACCCAATTTTCAAAATCCTACTACCTTGACATAAAGGTGTGACACATGGGTCATATAATTGGCAGCACCCTGTTAGAAATGCAGAATCTCAGGCCTCATCCTTACACATTACCATTAGTGCAATCTGAATCTCACCAAGATCCTCAGATGATTCTTTTGCACTTTACAGTTTGAAATCCCAAAATGAGGTGTGTCAATGATCTGCATCAGAATCCTATGGGAGCTGGGAAAAATGTCAGTTTTGGTCCAATCCCAGACCTACTTAATCAGTGTCACTGGGGATGGTACCCCAAGTTTAATAAATATAAATCCACGTTGGAACTCTAAAACTATTGATTGTGAACTAAAAGATTGACACTAGTTGCTTCCATTCTATCCTTTCTGGCTTCATTTTTTGGCAGCTGTACTTGTTTTGTTAATCTCTTTCCTATTCCATTTTTAAAATTAAATTTTTTTTTACTGATACATAGTATTTATACATATATATGAGGTATATGTGATATTTTATTACATGCGTAGAATATATAATGATAAATTATGGTATTTGGGGTATCCATCACCTCAATATTCATTTCTATGTGTTAGGAACATTTCAAGTCCTCTCTCTTAGGTATTTTGAAATATACAATACATTGTTGTTAACTATAGTGACCCTACTCTGCTGTCACTGTTCCCTTTTCCAGCTCTGAATTATTTGCTTTTCTTAACATAAGAGTAACCTTTATTTTTTCTTAAGTAAGTTTTGGTCAGCATGAATATATGTCCATAAAATGATATGAAGACTATTTTATTACCTTACCAGATGGTACCAAGGTTCCTCTTGTGGAGATGATTAAGTGTGTTTGGGAGAAGCTTTTGATAAGCCACTTGGAGTATAGCAGTCAAAGGCATGCTCAAATAATAACATGGTGATTAAAATGTTTTCTAAAAGTGGGAAGACCTATTAATTAACTACATGACCTTCTGTTTTTGCCTGGGAGTATACAGGTTTGGGGTGGAGGTGAATTGCTTTGGAAACTTGTTCTACGTTTTCTTCCATAAAATGATGGTTCAGTAGAAAAAAAAAATCTCAATTGTATTAAGGAAAACAGGACTTTGGAGTGTGGCAAGTGTCATGTGGTTGTAAGATATGTGATACAAACTATCCTGATTCTCCTGCAACGTCTTCATCAAAGTCTCCACTGCTTACTATGACTGCTTTCTTATAGGGCTCTGCTGGAGTGAGGAAGCTGACTGAGGGAAGAACCAGAAGGCTGCCAAAATGTAAGTCATGGTGGATATGATAGACAAAACGGCCGGAGAATAAGAGGAAAGCTGACATCAAATAAATATCAATACCTGACGAGAAGATTAGGGCCACCCTAATAATGTGTTATTAATTTGCACATTTTAAGAGAGAGTTTACAAATCCCTCTTTGCATCAAAATCATCAGTCCTTGGCCCTATTCCCATATATTCTCATTCAATTGGTCTGGAGTGAGACCCAGACATTCAATACTTTTTCAAGATCAGGCGAATCTGAAAGGTGCAGCCAAGATTAAGAACTAAAGTGGGGAATCTAAAATAATCCAAACAGTGCATGTTACAACTGATAAAGTAGAAAAGTAAGTACAGATACAATTCCTTTCTCTTTTTTGTCTCTTTTCTTTCTTTCATCACACAAATCATTTTTAACTATTGTTCTGATAGTTTTTATTAATAAGCACTCAATAAATGTGCTGCATTCCTAACAAAGATAGAAAAATAACATGAACCTAATCAATTAGTATAGATTTACCTAAAATATTATAATCGATGGCTTCTTGATTATTAAAGAATATTCATAAATAATATAAATTTAGTAGTAATATAAATATATGCACATCTGGCTTGACAGTTAGATGAATATATGTTGGTCTACATTATGTTTAAATAGCCTTTCTTTACCAAGTTAGTAAATTTCTCACAAACCGTTTTTTGAGAGTCATTTTATTTTATTGTAGGTGTTGAGAGCTTGGGATATTTTGAAAGAAATAGTACATTTAAAATGTAGACATTTATTCAATGAATATTCTTAAACTGCTCTGTAATAACTCAACATGGTAAAGGCTACAGAGAAATGGGAAGGAAATTCAGGTGAGGTTGAGAAGACCAAAGGTAAGCTGTATAAAGAAAAAAATCATTGGTAATAAAGAATTCATTATAAAGAATTCATTAATAGATTGACTCATGGAAATCAGCACTGAGTCAGCAAATCTGCAGCTAGGATTGACTGACTGCTATGCCAAGGGGTTGGGCTGAGAATAGTAGGGGGGGTACTAAGTTGGATACTCCAGAAAATCTCTCCTCATAGCTCTTCTAGCATTGGAGAGAAAATCAGAAAAATAATCTAAGGCCTTAATTTAGTACAATACTACTAGCTGGTTATTCGAAACATCCCAAATGGTCAAAGAGTTTACAACAAGCGTCTTTACATAGCTATGTTTTTAGTGCTATAGTTGTTTACTTGAGAAAAGTCTTCCTAATATTCTGATTGTGTCTATACTGACATAATGGCATTGGTTTATTGAACCCATCTCTTTACATTGATAGCCTTTAATAGAAAAACATATATCTATGTATATATTCACCAAAGATTAATACAGTGTATTGTAACCAGTCCCATTAGAACAGATAACTATGCTCAAAAAATTTCAAGAAAGCGATTTATTTATTTTAACAGTTTCATAACAGTTTCATTGAAATATAATTGACATTCACTAAACTGTATGTATTTAAAGTGTGCAATTTGGTTTTTGACATGATATACACCCATGAAACTAACTGCAATCAAGATAACAAACATATTCATCATTCCCAAGAGTTTCCTCATGCTCCTTTATAGCCACTCTTGCACTCCACTGCCCTGAAGAAATCTCTGCACTGTTTTCTGCCATCACAGATATCAGTTTTTGTCTAACTAAGATACATCTTTGTTATTGCATGGATCAATCATTCATTCTTTTCTCATTCTGAGTAGTATTTCATTAGATGTACAATAATTTGTTTATCTGTTCCCTTGTTAAGAAGGAACATTTTGGCTTTTTATTTTTGGTGATTGCCGATAAAGCTACTATGAATATTTGTGTCAAAGTCTTTGTATGGACGCCTGCTCTCATTTCTTGGGTTAATGCAGAGGAGTGGAATGCTGGATTGCCTAGTAGTTGCATGTTTAACTTTTTAAGAAAGTGCAGAACTATTTTCCAAAAATGTTGTAGCATCTTACTCTTGCGCTCCACTCCCCTGCAGAAATCTCGGCACTGTTGGTAAAATGTAGCGCACCACTTGCCGTGTTTGAGAGTTTGTTTCTCCACATCCTCAACAATATTTCATATGGTCAGTGTTTTTAATGTTGGCCATTATAATAAGTGTATATATATATATATATTAGTGGAACTTCAGGTGAATGATTTTAAAGACTTCCTTGCTAGGAAATAGGAAAATATGAAAATGCATTCAGTCCTCTTTTTCTTTCTGCACTGTCTTAGATATTTCAGGTTCAGTGTCTATTCCAAAACCCTTCTCTCTGCTCTGCCATGGCCAAAAGAGTTCATTCACCTTTCCCCTTTGACTCTTGCAGACAATTGTGTGCCTTTAAAGGAAATAACAACAAGAATTAGGAGCGCCCTGGAGGCAAGGTAAAATTTGGCCTGTGTAATCAATCATATCTGCTTCACTGAACCATAATGACTCTGTGTACAGGAAGCCATCTTCAGTGGGGCAGACTTGTTTCTATGAAATCCTTAATATTTTGTGGGAGAGAAAGTGGTTTTATATTTAGCTTTTAACATGCTCAGTCATAACTACTTTTCTTGGGCATAAGTGAGTTGTATTGGTGTGCAGTTATGGTAATATGTCAAAAAAATACAGATAAGTACGTCAGTAGAACAGCTGGCCTATTTTAAAAATAGTGTCTTTAATAATTCAAGCTAAGAAATAGGATCAATTGTGTAATATCCAACATCACAATAACCATTTACAAATAGTGAATTGTGGCGGCTCCCCTCGGTTTCCTCCAGAATTATTTCCCTCAAATCAAGTAAAGTCAAAGATTTGGAGATAGATATATGACCTTGAGGAACAATTTCCAGGAAACACAAAACAAACAATATACTAGTGTCCGCAACTAGAGAAAAAAGCTGTAATGCTGTAAGGAGTCACCAAACTACAATGGTAGCCAATAAAAGTATTACAAATGCCAAGCAGGTGAAGCTTTGTAGCGGAAGTCACTTTATCATCTAGTTCTTTAGTTTCTGTTTTCATTGAAGTTCAGACATGCAGCAAGTATTTTATTTAACTACTGAGGGGGTGATATTAAGTCTGTATAATATGTGACTTTCTTTGCACACATTTCCCATAAGTCATTCCAAACTACTTTCATACAACATAAAGGAGAAATTGGGAAAATCTTCAGTCAACCACCACCCCTTAGAAAATGATCCCTGAATTAGAATGTCCA
Organism: Homo sapiens; assembly: GCF_000001405.40. Taxonomy (NCBI): domain Eukaryota; kingdom Metazoa; phylum Chordata; class Mammalia; order Primates; family Hominidae; genus Homo; species Homo sapiens. The sequence continues at coordinate 67,202,294 of NC_000002.12, read as the reverse complement.
TGTTATATACTGAACATTATGACCTCTAAGAGGAAATATATGAGTATCTAATCTTGAGGAAGATTATGGTCTTGATGATGAAACTGATGAGGATGAAGAAGTTATTGATGATGATGACAATACTACTACTAATGATCATGGCACCTAACATTTTCAGGGTGCCTTCTCTGGGCCAGCTTTGCATACATTATCTCATTTAATCTATGCAATGCCCTGTCAGATTGGTCATATTATTATCTCCCTTTTACAGGAAAGTTCAGTGAAATAAATTACATAGGCAATATAGCACTTTGTAAGCTCTCTCCATTTTAGTCTTGTCTCTCTGTTACCACAAAAATTAATGGGACTTAGTTCCAATAATTGTTATTAGCAGAAAAATTGGAGGACAGACAGTGTGCAATTTGGTTGGAGAAAGAGCTCGATAGCTCTTCACCTGGATAACAATCAGTTAATGGATGTAGATATCAGGAATAAGGGAGAAAGCTCTTCAAGCAGCAGATCATTATGCAGCAGCTCAGCATGTTTATTAATCATTGTGCACAATTAAAATGCCATTTCATCCCTCTAATTAAAACAAGTAGTTCCCTGAGGCTAGCACCTGAACTAATGAAGCCTGGTTGCCTAAGGATCTCACTCAGGGAAGGGAATTAAACAATGGAGGAAGCAGTATGTTTACCAGCTTGCCCAGACAACGTCAAACTGTATATGACATCATGAGCGAGTGGACCAGTTGAGACTGTAATTTTAAAGAGCCAGAGATGCTTCTTTTTCTGAGTAAAAGCTGGATTTCAATATTGAAAATTTTCTAAGTTTGTAATTGTTTGGTATCAATATACCTGAATTAGAATGTCCATGTTATATAGTGAAAATCATGACCTCTAAGAGGACGAGTATGAGTATCTAATCTTAAGCAAGCTGAAAATGTTAGGTGCCATGATCATTAGTAACAGTATTGTCATCATCATCATCATCAATAACTTGTTCGCCCTCATCATCAAGACCAATTGTATTGGTTGGTATATTGATACAGACCAATTGTATTGGTTGGTATATTGATACCAACCAATTGTATACTTTACAATAAATTCTAAATTTTCTTTCTTCTTGGTATGTGGAATGGGGATTTTGAGGGATTCTCTATTGGCATCTAGGTATTTGGGAGGCTGAAGGGATTTTTGAAATTGGTTGACTCTAGAAATAAAAGGGTATAGATAGGTTATGGAGACACAATTTAAAATAGAGGGTAGATAAATGGGCTAGATGAAAGAATACGTAGGATTCAATCCCAGTATTGCCACTTGAACTGAATGACCCTGAACAAAGTCCTTAGAAAATAGGAGGACTGAACTAGGTAATCATCAAGTTTTCTTCTAGTTCCAAAATTCTATGGTTTTGTGGTAATAAGAGATTTCATTGTATCCCAATTCCCTTGCAAGTTTGGCTGAATCAAGTCTTGCTTATTCTTTCCTTCTAATTCCTGTTCAGCTCACCAGCATATCTTTAGTGTTTGATATTATACTTGGCATATAGAAGTCACTCAGTTAAATATACATGGAAAATATCAATCAGGTTAAACCTATAGATCTCAGTAATACACAGGTTTCAGTGCCTTGCTTCAAATATTTAGGAGCAACCCTACATATGATTCTGCATTATTTACCTGAGAAGTGGCAAACCTGAGGGTTATGAAAGCTGCTTTCATTTCAGCCCATCTGTGAACTCAGTTTTGTACAATTCTGTACTTGAAAGCTATGGTCTAATGTTGCCTCCACTTGTACTAGGCAAGAAGCCATGGCTCATTCTTCCCCTTTTCTACCTGTCATCCCTTTAGTCCCCTTGATTCCCTGATATCACAGAAAAATAGTCATGCCTAGAAGTTTGAGGAACTTAGGAGCATTGGTTTTGTTTTGTTTTTTGTTGTTGTTTTTTTTTTGGAGACGGAGTCTTACACTGTGGCCCAGGCTGGAGTGCAGTGGCATGATCTCGGCTCACTGCAATCTCCACCTCCCATGTTCAAGCAATTCTCCTGCCTCAGCCTCCCAAGTAGCTGGGACTACAGGCACACACCACCACACCCAGCTCATTTTTTGTATTTTAGTAGAGACGGGGTTTTACTGTATTGCCCAGGCTGGTCTTGAAGTGCTGAGCTTGGGCAATCCACCTGCCTCGGCCTCCCAAAGTGCTAGGATTACAGGCATGAGCCACTGAGCTCAGCTGGAGCACTGGTTCTTAACTTATTTTTTTATGGGTCACAGAGTTTCATGAAAATCTGATAAATTTCATGAAATCTTTCCTCAGAAAAATGTGTAGCATGATTTTGCAAACAACTGTGGGTTAGAAGCTCATCTGTGGAGCTCAGATTAAGTTAAGAACTCTTATTTTAAAGGGTTATGTAAGAATTTCCAACAGTCCTTTAGGAGGCCTATGTTTCTCCCCGCTTCTTACCTCCCTCCAGCATGTAAAGAAAGATGGCCAGCTAATAGAAGAGTAGGGTTTTTTTTTTTTTTTTTTTTTTTGGTAGAGACAGAACTAGTAGCACGTGCATGTCAATGGCAAGTCATTCTTTATAGTGTTGCCAGTAGGCTCCAGAATAAGGTATAATGATTTCAGTTATTTCCCCTTCTCCCTTCTTTCTTTATAACCAGGCATCTGGCTTTGACATATTTATTTTAAACAAGTGAAAAGACAACAATGAGGTGGTAATAATCACACTAGTAAAAAATAGGCCAAGTATAGAAAAATATTAGGGTCTTCATTTTCTCACACTGTTCATCCTATTCTTCGGGCAAGGAATATGTTGGTAACTGGAAATTACAAGCTCAAGTTATCCGATTTATGAATCTAAGAATTTATTCTTTCTGTTTTGGGGCCATTGTTCATATGTTGAACCTAAATCTTTCTTTCCAAACTGAAGCTCAGTTTCTCTTGTATATCATAGTACGAAATGGAACTTGGTCAATAAGACATCCAGAAACTAGCAGAAATCAGCCAATAACTCAGATTAAGTGGCATGATAATTGGGTTTCCTAAGCATTTTTTGGTATTAAAACAAGTTAATCAACCATAAAACACAAACTCTTCGGAATCCAAGGTCTTATTCAATTAACTTCTGGCCTGAAACACTTAAGTGTTTTTTCTTTCTTTCTTTCAAATCATTATGTCATATTTTGCCAAGAGAGAAAGGATTGTCTGGAGTGAGAAATTCCAAAGATGGAATAAGAGCCAATCCTTTTAAACTGTATCATTTTATCCATGATTATTATTTTTAGTAAAAATAAAAACAAAAGTTTTCTTCTTGCCCAGAAAGGAGATGAAATCTTAAACTTACAAGTTGAAACAGAAGGACTGAAGTTTTATACTTTTTTGTTTGAAGTGACCCTTGTATTGTTATTGTTATATTTACTCAAAACATTGGATAAACTAGAAATTTGGGAGGCAAAATAACTATTAATATAATACCATCAACACATGATTTTCTTCCTAGATGCTTTAAGTTGATTTACAACTGCTTAAAATCTTTTCTTGGTATGAAGGTCATAAATTAATGGTTAAAATAGGCAAGTGTAAACCTTTACTAGTCCTCAAATCACAGCTTTAGCTTAAGCTTTCCTGGATGTGAGCCTATAAGTAAGTTGCCAAACTACTGTGGTAAAGAGAGAAAAGGAGGCTTTTTCCCCCTTTTTGTCAGACAAAACTGGGTTAAAATCCCATATACCATATATTTAGCTATCTGACTCTGGGTAAATTATTTAATCTCTATGAGCCATGGTTTTCAGCTGTAAAGCAGTAGGAAAAACATTCTTCTGATAAGGTTCATGGTAGGCACGCTGGTTTAAAAAATAAGTTATTTCCCTATTCCTTGAATTGTTATTACACCTGGATGGTGTCACTATGACTACAAAGGTAGCAGAAAAAATGCAATGACTCTATGAGATAGTTACAAGATCAGGAAAGGCAGTGGGTCAAAATTTTGGTAGACAACTCGAGAGTTAGGACATAGTACAATCTGCATTGCTTAACAATGAGGCTATGTTTAGTCAATTTTGATGTTGTACAAACATCATAGTGTATACTTACTGTATACTTACAGAAACCTAGATTGTATAACCTCCTACACACCTAGGCATATAGCCTGTTGCTCCTAGGCTACAAAGCTGTAAAACATGTTCCTATACTGAATACTGTAGGCAATTGTAGCACAATGGTAAGTATTTGTGTATCTAAACATAGAAAAAGTAATGCATTGCATGGGGACTCTATGACGGCTATGACATCATTAGGCAAAAGGAATTTTTCAGCTTCATTATAATCTTACGAAACCATTATTGTATATGAGGTTCATTGTTGACCAAAACACCATTATGTGGGGCATGACTATAACTGGCTTCCAGATGTGAGAATGGGCCACTGGGCAAGAATACTCTTTGGTGTCTATGGTCAGGTTGACAACGAGAAATCTAGGGGGTTGAGTATGGTTGGTTAAGTCTCAGAGCATAATGTGGCCAGCCAGGGAAGGAATAAAGGAGTCAAACATTCATTCATTCATTTACTCAAAACTAAATACTGAGAACCTGCACTATTTCTGGTAGTGGAGTAGTTTATTGTCTAGCTGGGGAGAGAGAAAACATACACACATAAATTATAATGCACTATGATAAGTGTTAGAGATATTAACAAAGTCTTTTGAGAACAGAGAAAACAGAACAATTAACATTTGAGAAGCTGAGAAAGGTTCTTGGCTCACTAAATGTTCATGCAATGAGGGAGGAATATTTAATCTGGGTGTTAAAGGATGAGTAAAAGTTTGCCAAAGGGAAGATGCAGTAAAAGAAAATTGTAGTTTGAGGGAAATAGAATGGATGTAGCTTGAAATTATAATGGTCTGATGTATAAAGGGAATGATGCCAAATTCAATAGACAGTCAAGAAGGTTGGATAAAGAGGGAGGTGAGCTCAGATTGGGAACATTTTTGGAACATTTTTATATGCTGATTCTGCTTATATTGTGTAGGTAAATGGAGAGCTATCAGAGGTTTACTGAAGTGTTGGATGACATGATAAGTTTGGTTTTAAAGGAAGATGACTCCAACAGCAGGTTGAGGATGGGCTATACTGAGAACAATCAAGTCACAGAGATATTAGGAAGCTCACTGATTTAATAAATACTGTAGTCATTTTTGGAGGAGTGAGGAACAATCGCATCAAACACATCTAAAAATATTTTGAATTTTGCCCTATTTCTAGCTTACGAAGTATTCTTATACCCACTACTTCATTTATTCTCTAAATAGTTCTGTGAAGTAAACATTATTATTAGTAGTATTTATATTTTACAGATGAAGACCATGAAAATTAGAGAAAATAAAAGACAACCATCTTCCAGTTACTAAGTGAGATGCTGGGATTAGATTAACTCAGGTATTTGATCTACAAGATCATTGATTTTTTTTCTAACATACAGTTGCTCCGAATCCAATTGAATTTTCCAGTTGAGCATGAAAATTATATTGTTGCAAAAACGCTGCAATAATTTACCTTCTTGAATCAACATACTTGCGTATTTCCCTTCCATTCTGATTCTGGACTTACCCATATGACTTACCTTGTTAAGTGAAGTGGGACAGTAGCAAACATGGCCAAATTGGAGACCTGAAAAGTATCTGTGCATTGGGGCTTGCCCTTTCTTGATACATTTTGGAACCCTCAACCTACCATGTGAAGAATCATGGGCTTGCCTGTTATATAATGAGACATGTGGCCAGATTATCCCTGTTGCTCCACCTGAATTCAAGCCAACCACAAGGCATGTGCATGAGGCTGTTCTAGATCATCCAGCCCTAGGTGAGCCAACCCAGCCCAGAATCACCCAGGTGATGCAGAATTTGTTTATTGTTTTAAGCCATTATGTTTGGGAATTATAATGCAGCAAATACCAATGAATAGTCTGTATTCTGCAAGTGCCTTTTATACCTACAGATATTTGAACAAAACAACAACAAAAATGTATTGGAAATATCCAAAGGTTTTATTTCTACCAGCCTGAGCAGTGATTTTTGAACTTGGCCACATGAGAATTACCTAGACACTTGTTTAAAAACTCAGATTCTTTAGATCACTCTAGACCCCCTAACTCAGTATTTGTGGGGCAAGAGCTTGGAAGGCTATGTTTTAAACAAGTTTCACAGTGATTCTTACATTTACTAAAATTTGAATTTAACTATTCAAAAGATATTATTTTCCTCACCCAAATATTCTTTCATGAATGTCTTTTACTAGTTTGGTAAGTTACCTGGAAATTAACTTTTAAACCATGATTAAAGAATAGTAGGGGGGAGGAGCCAAGATGGCCGAATAGGAACAGCTCCAGGTCTACAGCTCCCAGCGTGAGCGATGCAAGAGACGGGTGATTTCTGCATTTTCAACTGAGGTACCGGGTTCATCTCACTGGGAAGTGCCAGACAGTCGGTGCAGGACAGTGGGTGCAGCGCATCGTGCGTGAGCCGAAGCAGGGCAAGGCATTGCCTCACCCGGGAAGCACAAGGGGTCAGGGAATTCCCTTTCCTAGTCAAAGAAAGTGGTGACAGACAGCACCTGGAAAATCAGGTCACTCCCACCCTAATACTGCGCTTTTCCAACTGGCTTAGAAAATGGCACACCAGGAGATTATATCCTGCACGTGGCTCAGAGGGTCCTATGCCCACAGAGTCTCGCTCATTGCTAACACAGCAGTCCAAGATCAAACTGCAAGGAGGCAGCGAGGCTGGGGGAGGGGCGCCTGCCATTGCCGAGTTAGTTGTTTGATTGATTAGGTAAACAAAGCAGCCGGGAAGCTCGAACTGGGTGGAGCCCACCACAGCTCAAGGAGGCCTGCCTGCCTCTGTAGGCTCCACCTCTGGGGGCAGGGCACAGAAAAACAAAAAGACAGCAGTAACCTCTGCAGACTTAAATGTCCTTCTCTGACAGCTTTGAAGAGAGTAGTGGTTCTCCCAGCATGCAGCTTGAGATCTGAGAACCAGCAGACTACCTCCTCAAGTGGGTCCCTGACCCCTGAGCAGCCTAACTGGGAGGCATCCCCCAGTAGGGGCAGACTGACACCGCACACGGCCAGGTGCTCCTCTGAGACAAAACATCCAGAGGAACAATCAGGCAGCAGCATCTGTGGTTCATCAATATCCACTGTTCTGCAGCCACTGCTGCTGATACCCAGGCAAACAGGGTCTGGAGTGGACCTCTAGAAACTCCAACAGAACTGCAGCTGAGGGTCCTGTCTGTTAGAAGGGAAACTAACAAACAGAAAGGACATCCACACCAAAAACCCATCTGTACGTCACCATCATCAAAGACCAAAGGTAGATAAAACCACAAGATGGGAAAAAAACAGAGCAGAAAAACTGGAAACTCAAAAATCAGAGTGCCTCTCCTCCTCCAAAAGATTGCAGCTCCTCACCAGCAATGGAACAAAGCTGGAGGGAGAATGACTTTGACGAGTTGAGAGAACAAGGCTTCAGACGATCAAACTACTCTGAGCTACAGGAGGAAATTCAAACCAATGGCAAAGAAGTTAAAAGCTTTGAAAAAAAAATTAGATGAATGGATAACTAGAGTAACTCATGCAGAGAAGTCCTTAAAGGACCTGATGGAGCTGAAAACCAAGGCAAGAGAGCTATGTGATGAATGCAGAAGCCTCAGTAGCCGATGCGATCAACTGGAAGAAAGGGTATCAGTGATGGAAGATGAAATGAATGAAATGAAGCAAGAAGAGAAGTTTGGAGAAAAAAGAATAAAAAGAAACGAACAAAGCCTCCAAGAAATATGGGACTATGTGAAATGACCAAATCTACGCCTGATTGGTGTACCTGAAAGTGACAGAGAGAATGGAACCAAGTTGGAAAACACTCTGCAGGATACTATCCAGGAGAACTTCCCCAACCTAGCAAGGCAGGCCAACATTCAAATTCAGGAAATACAGAGAATGCCACAAAGATACTCCTCGAGAAGAGCAACTCCAAGACACATAATTGTCAGATGCACCAAAGTTGAAATGAAGGAAAAAATGTTAAGGGCAGCCAGATAGAAAGGTCGGGTTACCCACAAAGGGAAGCCCATCAGACTAACAGCTGATCTCTCGGCAGAAACTCTACAAGCCAGAAGAGAGTGGGGCCAATATTCAACATTCTTAAAGAAAGGAATTTTCAACCCAGAATCTCATATCCAGCCAAACTAAGCTTCATAAGTGAAGGAGAAATAAAATCCTTTACAGACAAGCAAATGCTGAGAGATTTTGTCACCACCAGGCCTGCCCTAAAAGAGCTCCTGAAGGAAGCACTAAACATGGAAAGGAACAACTGGTACCAGCCGCTGCAAAAACATGCCAAATTGTAAAGACCATCAAGGCTAGGAAGAAACTGCATCAACTAACAAGCAAAATCACCAGCTAACATCATAATGACAGGATCAAATTCACACATAACAATATTAACTTTAAATGTGAATGGACTAAATGCTCCAATTAAAAGACACAGACTGGCAAATTGGATAAAGAGTCAAGACCCATCAGTGTGCTGTATTCAGGAAACCCATCTCACATGCAGAGACAGACATAGGCTCAAAATAAGGGGATGGAGGAAGAGCTACCAAGCAAATGGAAAACAAAAAAAGACAGGGGTTGCAATCCTAGTCTCTGATAAAACAGACTTTAAACCAACAAAGATCAAAAGAGACAAAGAAGGCCATTACATAATGGTAAAGGGATCAATTCAATAAGAAGAACTAACTATCCTAAATATATATGCACCCAATACAGGAGCACCCAGATTCATAAAGCAAGTCCTGAGTGACCTACAAAGAGACTTAGACTCCAACACAATAATAATGGGAGACTTTAACACCCCACTGTCAACATTAGACAGATCAACAAGACAGAAAGTTAGCAAGGATACCCAGGAATTGAACTCAGCCCTGCACCAAGCGGACCTAATAGACATCTACAGAACTCTCCACCCCAAATCAACAGAATATACATTCTTTTCAGCACCACACCTACTCCAAAATTGACCACATAGTTGTTGGAAGTAAAGCACTCCTCAGCAAATGTAAAAGAACAGAAATTATAACAAAGTGTCTCTCAGACCACAGTGCAATCAACTAGAACTCAGGATTAAGAAACTCACCCAAAACTGCTCAACTGCATGGAAACTGAACAACCTGCTCCTGAATGACTACTGGGTAAATAATGAAATGAAAGAAGGAATAAAGATGTTCTTTGAAACCAACGAGAACAAAGCCACAACATACCAGAATCTCTGGGACACATTCAAAGCAGTGTGTAGAGGGAAATTTATAGCACTAAATGCCCACAAGAGAAAGCAGGAAAGATCTAAAACTGACACCCTAACATCACAATTAAAAGAGCTAGAAAAGCAAGAGCAAACACATTCAAAAGCTAGCAGAAAGCAAGAAATAACTAAGATCAGAGCAGAACTAAAGGAAATAGAGACACGAAAACCCTTCAAAAGATTAATGAATCCAGGAGCTGGTTTTTCTAAAAGATCAACAAATTTGATAGACCATTAGCAAGACTAATAAAGAAGAAAAGAGAGAAGAATCAAATAGATGCAATAAAAAATGATAAAGGGGATATCACCACTGATCCCACAGAAATACAAACTACCATCAGAGAATACTATAAACACCTCTATGCAAATAAACTAGAAAATCTAGAAGAAATGGGTAAATTCCTTGACACATACATCCTCCCAAGACTAAATCAGGAAGAAGTTGAATCTCTGAATACACCAATAACAGGCTCTGAAATTGAGGCAATAATTAATAGCTTACCAACCAAAGAAAGTCCAGGACCAGATGGATTCACAGCCGAATTCTACCAGAGGTACAAGGAGGAGCTGGTACCATTCCTTCTGAAACTATTCCAATCAATAGAAAAAGAGGGAATCCTCCCTAACTCATTTTATGAGGCCAGCATCATCCTGATACCAAAGCCTGGCAGAGACACAACCAAACCAAAAAAGAGAATTTTAGACCAATATCCTTGATGAACATCAATGCAAAAACCCTCAATAAAATACTGGCAAACCGAATCCAGCAGCACATCAAAAAGCTTATCCACCATGATCAAGTGGGCTTCATCCCTGGGATGCAAGGCTGGTTCAACATACACAAATCAATAAACGTAATCCAGCATATATACAGAACCAAAGACAAAAACCACATGATTATCTCAATGGATGCAGAAAAGGCCTTTGACAAAATTCAACAACCCTTCCTGCTACAAACTCTCAATAAATTAGGTATTGATGGAACGTATCTCAAAATAATAAGAGCTATCTATGACAAACCCACAGCCAATATCATACTGAATGGGCAAAAACTGGAAGCATTCCCTTTCAAAACAGGCACAAGACAGGGATACCCTCTCTCACCACTCCTATTCAACATAGTGTTGGAAGTTCTGGCCAGGGCAATCAGGCAGGAGAAGGAAATATAGGGCATTCAATTAGGAAAAGAGAAAGTCAAATTGTCCCTGTTTGCAGATGACATGATTATATATCTAGAAAACCCCATCGTCTCAGCCCAAAATCTCCTCAAGCTGATAAGCAACTTCAGCAAAGTCTCAGGATACAAAATCAATGTACAAAAATCACAAGCATTCTTATACACCAATAACAGACAAACAGCCAAATCATGAGTGAACTCCCATTCACAATTGCTTCAAAGAGGATAAAATACCTAGGAAGCCAACTTACAAGGGATGTGAAGGACCTCTTCAAGGAGAACTACAAACCACTGCTCAATGAAAGAAAAGAGGATACAAACAAATGGAAGAACATTCCATGTTCATGGGTAGGAAGAATCAATATCATGAAAATGGCCATACTGCCCAATGTAATTTATAGATTCAATGGCATCCCCATCAAGCTACCAATGACTTTCTTCACAGAACTGGAAAAAACTACTTCAAAGTTCATATGGAACCAAAAAAGAGCCTGCATCACCAAGTCAATCCTAAGCCAAAAGAACAAAGCTGGAGGCATCATGCTACCTGACTTCAAACTATACTACAAGGCTACAGTAACCAAAACAGCATGGTACTGGTACCAAAACAGAGATATAGACCAATGGAACAGAACAGAGCCCTCAGAAATAATGCCGCTTATCTACAACTATCTGATCTTTGACAAACATGACAAAAACAAGCAATGGGGAAAGGATTCCCTATTTAATAAATGGTGCTGGGAAAACTGGCTAGCCATATGTAGAAAGCTGAAACTGGATCCCTTCCTTACACCTTATACAAAAATTAATTCAAGATGGATTAAAGACTTAAATGTTAGACCTAAAACCATAAAAATCCTAGAAGAAAACCTAGGCATTACCATTCAGGACATAGGCATGGGCAAGGACTTCATGTCTAAAACACCAAAAGCAATGGCAACAAAAGCCAAAACTGACAAATGGGATCTCATTAAACTAAAGAGCTTCTGCACAGCAAAAGAAACTACCATCAGAGTGAACAGGCAACCTACAGAATGGGAGAAAATTTTTGCAACCTACTCATCTGACAAAGGGCTAATATCCAGAATCTACAATGAACTCAAACAAATTTACAAGAAAAAAAAAACAACCCCATCAAAAAGTGGGCGAAGGATATGAACAGACACTTCTCAAAAGAAGACATTTATGCAGCCAAAAAACACGTGAAAAAATGCTCATCATCACTGCCCATCTGAGAAATGCAAATCAAAATCACAATGAGATACCATCTCACACCAGTTAGAATGGTGATCATTAAAATGTCAGGAAACAACAGGTGCTGGAGAGGATGTGGAGAAATAGGAACACTTTTACACTGTTGGTGGGACTGTAAACTAGTTCAACCATTATGGAAGTCATTGTGGTGATTCATCAGGGATCTAGAACTAGAAATACCATTTGACCCACCCATCCCATTACTGGGTGTATACCCAAAGGATTATAAATCATGCTGCTATAAAGACACATGCACATGATTGTTTATTGCAGTACTATTCACAATAGCAAAGACTTGGAACCAACCTAAATGTCCAACAGCAATAGACTGGATTAAGAAAATGTGGCACATATACACCATGGAATACTATGCAGCCATAAAAAATGATGAGTTCATGTCCTTTGTAGGGACATGGATGAAGCTGGAAACTATCATTCTCAGCAAACTATCACAAGGACAAAAAACCAAACACTGCATGTTCTCACTCATAGGTGGGAATTGAACAATGAGAACACATGGACACAGGAAGGGGAACATCACACACCGGGGACTGTTGTGGGGTGGAGGGAGTGGGGAGGGATAGCATTAGGAGATATACCTAATGCTAAATGACGAGTTAATGGGTGCAGCATACCAGCATGGCACATGTATACATATGTAACAAACATGCACGTGGTGCACATGTACCCTAGAACTTAAAGTGTAATAATAATAAAATTACAAAAAAACTAAAAAGTTAAAAAAAATGAGCTGTCAAGCTACCACAAGATGTGGATGAATCTTAAATGCACATTGCTAAGTGCAAGAAGACAGTCCTAAAAGGCTGCAGATTACATGATTCCAACTACATGACATTCTAGAAAAGACAAAACTGGAGAGATGAGAAATAGATCCATGGATCCCAGGAATCCAGGAAATGGGCAAGAGACCTGAATAGATGAAGAATAGGTTTTTTTTTTGTTTGTTGTTGTTGTTGTTGTTGTTGTTTTTTAGGGCAGTGAAACTATTCTGTATGATACTGTAATGGTGACTATAAGATATTGAACATCTGTTAAAACCCATAAAAACATACAACATAGAGAATAAACCTTAATGTATGCAAAAAAAAAAATAAAAAAAAAGAATAGTAGGATGGGCACAGTGACTCATGCCTGTAATCCCAGCACTTTGGAAGGCTGAGGTGGGAGGATCACTTGAAGCCAGGAGTTCCAGACTAGCATAGGCAACATGGCAAGACTCATCTTTACAAAAATTAAAAAAAATAAAAAATAGCCAGGTGTGGTGGCACACACCTGTAGCCTGTCGTCCCAGCTTCTCAGGAGGATCGCTTAAGTCCAGGAATTTGCGACTGAAGTGAGCTATGATCGTGTCACTGCATTCCAGCTTAGGTGACAGAGTAAGACCCTGTCTCAAAACAAACAAACCAAAAAATAAAACCACTAAACAGTAACAACACAAAGTTTGTTTGTTTGTTTTTCTCACAGTGTTATTCTCTGTAGCCTCTATAGATTTATAGCATAAGAAGAACCCAAAACTTAGATAGGGACTAAAATCACATGATATGATACTAAAAATTGGCAAAGATGTATAAGTTAAATATTTACTTTTATACCGAGGCTATGCTACTAGTGAAAAAAAGATGATATGGGGAAGAATTAAAGAGGAATGTGATAGGTAGAGATACTCTGCAAGAGAGGAACAGGAGGCTTAGTCACTGGGGAGTGTACAGTCTCTCAAAGGAAAGTGAAGTTGAAGAAAAACAAAGAGGGAAAGGAGCAACAAGAAAAATAGGACAGACTTGCTGAGGTATGACCCTAACATAGTTTAAGATTAATATCTACTGTAGATGTCTCGAGTTTCTTTCATGGATTTATACAGTAACACAGAGACAAGATTCATGAGGCATAAAAGAACACTACAATGCCTGTGTAAGTACTGGTGTCTCCTAACCAACGGAAAGGGGAGCTGAGAGCCAACTCCCAGTGAATGAGGGGGTCTGGTTACACTATGAGCTCAATTAAGAGAAAATCAACCGGCTCATTATTATATACAAGGACATTCATTCTTCCGAGTGAGGAGAATGATTACAACTTGAATAGGAAAGCCACAAACCACTAATCAGGGTATCTCAGGTTTGACCTATTCAAGTATATTCCAAATTACCCAATTAGCTGGATTGCCAATAAGTTTCTTGTAGCAGTTATATTGGCACTGATGATACTATTATCAGTTGTTTTAATCAAGCCTTTGAAAACAAAAATGATGGGCTGAATATAGTCATAACAAGGACTGGGAAATTAGAGCCACCAGGTCACTGCTGTTGGGTTACTCCACATTCTGCTCTGGCAACTGTTCTTAAAGGATGGTGTGAGCTTTATTTGGTTTGGTTTTTGTATCTCTCCTCCCTCCCCCCATCCCTGACACCCAAGCTCAGGCTTTGTCCCCAGTTCCTAATGTCCTAGCTTCTCTTGATGGGCTACTATAGCTACCTGAGTGACCTGCACTTTGTTCTTTTCCTGATTCTGAGTCCACTGGCCTTCTTGAGCCATATCTTGGTAACCTGGATTCTTAGCCATCTTTTTTTTTTTTTGCTACACCTTAAGGTTGAGCTGGGCCTATATTCCCTAAATCATAGAGGATGAAAAATTAGAAACCTGCCCACCCTCACCCACCCCTCCACCCCCACTGGCTTTCCTGATTATTACAGAGTGAGGAAGTACTTTGTATTTGTTGGCCAGCAATGATTTGAGGGAAGGAACTGCTCATTCTTGTAGCTCCAGAATACATGCCTGGCAAATAGTACATACTTAACAATTGTTTGATGAATGAACCAGTAAATAAATGGGGAAAAAATGAAGTTTGAGATCATAATTCAACAGGAACCCTGTCAGTCTTGTTTATTCTTAATAGAACCTAAAATGATGTCTAGAATGACATTTATGCTCAAGAAATATTTTTTGAAGGAATGAATGGCTATGAACAGTATTTCTTTGCTATTTCTGGTGGAAATCATGGAAAGTATTGAGTTCCATATTTGGATTAAGGTCAGCATGGAGACAAGGGAACAGCCACAAGCTGCAGGGCAGGGAATAAGAATTCGGCAATATTTCACTAGAATCTCAGAAACCTTAAAATTGTAAGCCAACTAGATGTCAGGGTAATCTTGGGGAGGTCATTGGCCTTTCTATAGCCTATGGAAAGGGGATTGGAATCAATCCTGTCAAGGGGACTGGGTTACCCAATTAGAGTACTGTCATAACAAAGTACAATGCTGTGGGAACAAGAAGGCCGAATGATTGTTTGGGCAAGTTGAAGAAAAGGTCAAAGAGAAGACTACACTTAGGCAGGTCTTTTTAAGCATTGTTGGCAACTGTGCATGCAGAAGTTCAAGAAATGATTTGTCTTGGTTTGGGTTTCCATAGAAGCAGACCCTGAGACAAGCACTCAAGTATGAGTGATTTCTTTGGAAGGTAGTCCCAGGAAGTGCTGACACGAAAGTGGGGAAGTGACTCAGGAAGGAAAGAAGAACATGAAGTTGTGGTATCAAGTCAGTTACCTGACAGCAACTGGAGGTCGAGACCTCCAGAAAACTCTGGTAGGCAATGGAGGACGCTTATCAATTATTCTAACTAAAGTACCAAAAAATGGAGCCAATCATCCACCAACTCCTTGCCTTGGTTGAAGACATGCACTCTTCCCTTGTCTTGCAAGTAGATCAAGCATGCTTCCTGGGCAAAAAAGATCCCTGGGCAGAGCATCACTCAGTACACTATAGCTCCTGATTAAAATGCAATAAAACTAAAATCGATACAGCACCAGCATACCTTGATACCATTTTGCCTTTGCAACTTATTCCAGTCTTCCTCCTCATGCCTTCATCCTGAGCTCTATAATAACAAAAGATAGTTAAGGAAGGCATTGTCCCTTTTGTTGTTGCTCAACCAAGACGTGAAGCAGAGTTGGATTACTTCCACAGAGCAGGGAGGTTGAATTTCATTTTGCTAGGCCAACAGGCAAGTTTCCATGAAGAAACATCCTCCCTGACACGCCCCCAACCCTTCTCCCACCCTGCACCTGCATAGAAGAAAAGAGTGATCATTTCCCTAGACCCCTGGGTAATTGATTCTCTTTGGTGTCCTCTAACATTTCTGAAACTACTTCCATATCCTGGACTCTAATCTAACTGCTTGACTTTCTGGAAGCAATGTCATTTCATTGTGAAATACTTAAGGGCAATGCTTGAATTTTTTTTGGTTTCTACTGTTGCAACTGGGAAATAAGGAGTGCTTAAAAATGTTATTTTGGATGGACGAATGGATAATTAATGAATGAGTGAAGAAGTAAGTGAATGACTGCCCCCTGTCCCCTGTGATATTCTGGTGACTGGCTTGGGGATGAGTTTGCTTCGCCATCCTGATCCTTGTTCATTGTTTCAAGTTATTCACTATCTCTTCCCAAACCCACTAGGGTGTTACTGCTTAGGACACCAGCTTTTGCAGAACTGCGTCTCAAACCCCAGCTTTCACTCTTCTTCCCACATCTCACCTTCTCTTCATTTGCTTTCCCTGCCCTTTGGTATGCAGGCCCTTGCAAGAAGGTAAGACATTCATTAATAATAAGTTCCAGTTAAATTTTATTAAAACCTTCTTTTGAGGGATATTTTTATTTTAAAAGATGATGCCAGGATGATCCTAAAAGATGCCGTTTCTGAGTTTGCAAAGTGCTTAGGATATATATTCTGGAGCTGGTCCCCTTGCTATGCCCTAATTCTGCCATACAATCACCTTCCTCTCTCTCCTGTGGACAGAGATTGGGCATGGGGATGTGGCTTTCCTGCCCCATCAACTGTAAATAAATTATATTCCTCTGTGACCATTGCCTATCTTATTTCCCAACAAGAAGACAAGATGTGGTTTGGGGATTTCAACTTCCGAGTTCAGCTATGAGGCCTATGGACTGAATCTTAAGCTTTTTCTTGACATCAGATATCTCTACGTATATGACAATTCCTGCCACAGAACTCTACTATCAAAAAAGCCCCACAACCCCTGAGGTAAATCCCTGAAGAAAGGATGTGGGTGGGGAACTGGGAAGGTGTGATTCTAACCAAGGGTACCATATGAGTATCAGAGAGTAGTCCCAAAATGAGTAAAAATGACCCTAAAGTTCTGGATACATATGTGAAAAGAAAATGGGGGAGGAAAAATAAGACCAAGGTCTCTGGCAAGAAAAGTCTCTGGAATCAGAGGATTTAGGTTTACAAGAGTCAAAAGGAGGCCACACCTGAGCGTCTTGAGGATGGCACATTGGTGGATAATGACCACATAAACTAAATTAATTTTTTCTTACAAAAACAAAAAGAACTTGAGTAGTGACAGATGGTGGCATGGAGGGGGCTTAGGGTTATAGGAGGGAGAAGAGTTGCAAAATTAGCAAGGAAACAGGTTTTTCCTTAAAAGATGACAGTGATCTGTCTTGATTTTGGTGGATCACTTTATGCAAGGCCTCACAAAATCTTACTTGCAAAATTAATTCAAATTAGATATGAGCACGGTCATATGTATTGAAACCTAGCTTGTAGTGATAAATGGAACAGGGCAACAGTAAATGACAATATATCATGGAGAAAGGAGATTTTTTTAGTGCAGAGCTTGGAGGCCTGGTATTTTGTCTTGTCTTATTTAACATCTTCATTAATGATCTGCAGGAGGAAGTAAACAATAATGTAATAATAAAATCTGCACATCAAAATTGAAAAGCAAACCCTGATGAGGTCTGAAAAGTAATGCAAAAGAATCTTAAGGCGTCAGAAATTGGATCAGAAAATAAAATGAAAGCTGAATGGAAAGGAAAAAGATACATGCATATATACACATAATCTTAGCTTAAAAGATTATGTACACAATCTTATTGTATAGTAATTATATAATTAATTATATTACATATTTATTACATATATTAGTATAGTATATATATAAAATCTTCTAAAAATTACAGTAAACAAAGATATTCTTTTTGAAGAAAATCTAGAAAGCAATACATGTCTCAATATTGGAAAAGATTTTACAAGAGCGTGGGGCAAAAAGTGCCTCAAGAGGGCACATGGCTAGTGTGGCCACACAGAGCAATAAAATATCCATTTGGTGGGAATCTTGGGAAATCCAAGTTTTCCCTGTTCCAGCACTTCCAGACTCTCATGTTTCTCTACTGAACATGCACACAAATGCATGTGCACTTCCTGCAAGAAAAGAAAAAGTTTTTTTTTTTTTTTTTTTTTTTTTTTGCAGTTGGGCATATTCTAATCAACATGAATTTTTGCCAGTTATTACTACTGTTAGAAAAAAAAATTGTTATTATGTCTATACAAGATAGAGTCTTTAGAAGTAATGTCTAAAGAATTTAATTCAAGAAAGAAAGGGCCCAAATTAAATTTCTCAAATGAACTGAATGCTATCCAATATACCACATTTTTATTAATCTCTCCCTTTTATGTAGGCCAATCTTCCTCAAACATTTTGATCTCATGTCACCTTTACACTTAAAATTATTGAGGATCCTAAAGAGCTTTGATTTCTATCGACTACAGCTATCAATATTTACCATATCAGAAATTAAAACAGAAAATTTAAAATATTATTTTTTATGAAGTAACATGAAACAGTATACCATAACATACTGTATTTTATGAAAAAATATTTTTTTAAACAAAATAATTAGGAAATGGCATTGTTTTACATTTTGACAAACCTTTTTCACATTTGGCTTAATAGAAGATAGCTAGACTCTCATATCAGCTTCTGCATTCAATCTGCCAGACATGTTTTGTGGTTGAAATAGATGAAGAAAATCCAGCTTCACATAGACATGTAGTTGGAAGAGGAAAAACAATGCAGACCCAAATCCTATTTTACCTCCAACTGCATGAGAATAACCTTTGACAGCATGGATAAGTCTTAAGTGCTTGGGGTTTGTAGTGAGATTCTAAAACACCTTCAGATCTAACATCTACAGTCTAATAAAGGCACCATTCTAAGAGGTCAGACTGGACAGTACTTTTAAAAATAAGAAATAACTAGAAAAAAGTTATTGGGCTTACCAGATTACCAGCTGGTATGAAATTGAGTATATTTTACAAATTTACTTATATTATTACCAATAGGAGCTCAAGTAAACCATTTGCAATGCTGAATTCCTGATTTACATTAACACTGATATGGAGGTGACAAAACCTGAAGGTTACGCAAGGATAATATCTGGAACATAAACCACCAAAACTCGGAAATTGGGTTATGTTACTGAAGGAAGTCCAAGGTCAAACAATAACACTATTCTGTAGAACAATAAGCTCAGAGAAATTCTTTAAAAGGGTTCCAAGTCAGACCATTGGATCACCTTTCAGCCTGAATTGGCCAATCAGTTTGGCAAATATTTTTACTGTGCTGATCACTAGTTTGAATGACTTGACCAAATAGTTGTTTTGGCATTCTCTAAAATATTACCAAAGGATTTGACATGCAATTCTGGTTATGTAACTACCTTGCTTGCTCAGATTTCTTCAAAGCCTTCGCTTTGTGGTGTGCTCCAAAAATCACATAGGAGGATTTTAAATGCAGAATTCCAATACCTATCCCCAGTCTACTGAACTAGAGTTTTGAGGCAAGTGGGTTCTGAGAATATACACTTTTAAGTTTTTCCACAAGTGAGTCTTTTGGTACTCAATTTATAGACAGAAATCTAATATTTGTAGGATCACCTACAAGGTTCTTCATGATGGGTCTCCAAAGTTCCCAGTTTAATTTGATGTCACTCAGCTCACATGATACCCACACATTCTCCAAATGTGCCTCATTTTCTCATATCTTTTTGCCTTTTACCCTGTTCCTTCCTTAGCAGTAGTCTTTGTCTTAAGTCTTAGGTGTATTTGGCCAACTTTTATTCCTTTTTCAAGAGTCAGGTCCATATCACCACTTCTGTAAAGCCCTCCCTGATTTACCAAGGAACGTGCTCTCTTATGTTTGTGCCTTGCATCTCAACTACTGCATTGTAAGATTTATCCCATTATAGAATAAGGTCCATTTACTTGATTACATCTCTGTTAGCTCCTTGGGGGCATAAATTATATTTTTTCACTCATATATCCCAAACACTTAGCTCATTACTGGAACACTGTATATGCTAAGTTTTTCTGAAAATAAATGATTGATTGATTTGAAAATAAATGATTTTTAAGAATGATTGAGATTAGCTCTGGGTATAAAATCTCTCTTTGGGAAGAAATGAGACATACATTTGGTGGCAAGTGTCTTTTGAAAAAAAACCTCTTCAGTAACAACTGTGTTTTATTCTAATACATTAGTGATAAATATTAAAGGACAGCCATAGTTCCTAGGAAATATAATGAGAAGGGGAAAATTCTGACAGCACATTTCAACTTTAGTCTTTTCCTTAAAAGGTTTTTTAAAAAAATCACTTTATTGAGATATGATTGACATATAAAAAGCTGCACATATGTAACATATACATTTTGATGAATTTGGGACAATTATATACCGTGAAACCATCACCAACTTCAAGGCCATAAACATGTCCATCATCTCTCAAAGTTTCCTCTTACCCTTTTTATTATTGTTGTTGTTGTTGTTTTTCTTTTAGTAAATTTTTCTTAGTTGTCGGCAGAAAATTAAAAACAGAAGGAATGCTACACACACACACACACACACACACACACACACACTAAGAGGTCATTGTATATAAAACTAGCTAATGTAAATCAACCTTGTACAAATAACATGAGATGGGAAAAGGGGAGCCGCCACACCCCTTCAAGGCAGGACATCTCATTAGTATGCAAAGGAATAAACAATGGATTCCAAAATCAAAGTCAAAACAGTAATAAATCAGAGCGATAAGGTGAAAAATGATGGGATAAGTAGCAGTAGTGGCTATTAGCATGTACACCTGCTGATAAGACAAAGCAATCCAGGAAGGTGCTTGGGAAAAATTCCAATGCTGAGACCAAGAGCAAAGATGTTACTTTGAAATGGTCAAGGGATGAAGTAGAGTTCGGGATCCTTTGAATGTTTTCATAAGGTCAGAATGGAAAACCTAGATGACCCAGAACCCTTGTAAATGACAAATGAGCTCCCAGTAGTCTTGTTAAGGGGCAAGTTGATTAGTACTTTCTGAAGTTTTCTAATAATACAGGCCCATTGTTTGACTACTTCTCGGTTATGTTGACATTTTGTGACCTAGGATAGTTAAGATGATAGTTAGAATTGTATCCAGAGAAATAAAGCACTCTTAACATTTCAGAAAATTCTAGATGTGTGACCAAACAGGTCAGTTTCACTCACACCTACTTGCCATACTAGTATCAATGGATGGATCAAGATAGGAGTATGTGAGGCCTCCAAAAGCGTCATATTTTCTAACTCCAGTGCTGCCTGTTGATGTTGGTTTGACTCTTTTCAGAGGGATTCACTGTTTTCATTTTTCACCCTCAAGCTACCAGCAACCACAGAAAACTCATTCCTGGAGCCTCCTGATCAGAACAATAAAAACATTGTACATGAACCTTGTATATTAAGGTTTCACAAATCAATCGGACTCATTATGACTTTTTAAGAAGATAATTCAACAATTAATCTGATGTTAAAAAGAATCAGTGTGTTTAGTAAAATGCAGATTGTTGTCTGAATAAATATTGTGATGTTATTTAATACCCAACCTTATTGGTAAAGAATAGGCTAGCCCCAAAATGATTCAAATATTTGTGAAATATTCCATTTTTGAATACTCCCACACCAAAATCAAATTTAAAAATGAAACAATGTAATAATGGGGAACCTCCTAAATAACACAGGTAAATATCTTTACAGTTCATATTGTGTAGGTGAAAACTCTCCTTTTAATTCTCGCAGTAAATATATACATGGAAATAAAATGTTTAGCATATACCAAGGAATAACAATAGCTTACATTTATTAAGGCCTACCTATGTGCCAAGCACAATGGTATTCTTATCATTCCCAGATGCACAAGAAGGTGCAGGCAAAGGCACTGCAAGGGTAGCAGTATGTCCAAGTCCAGAGAGAGAAAGTAGAATCCAATCTACTTTCAAATAACTTGGAAATATGATTTTCCCGTAAATGCTATTTCTTTGGGTGTTACTTCTTTCATATAAGAGTCAGGCTAGGGCCTGTGTCTGATTTCTATATCAGTCATTCTTCTCGCCAGCTGTTTACCAGTCACTATTGATGCCTTTTATTTTTTTCCGTCCTGAACAGAGAATTTCAAAATTTTCTGAGCTAGATTAATTTCTTTCAAATCTTTGCTTTACTTGTCTGGCTGCTCTGAGAGCAAAAATAATTTGATCTTGGCCTCACCCCCTTGCCCTTCACTGCCACTTTTTGATCCTTTAGCCCTTTCACACTGCCCAGTCTGCAACAACTACAACACCACCACAACAAACTAGATCATAATGCATTATTTAGTTACAGGAAATTTTCATGTAACAAAACATAAACAAGTATGTAATGAACAGTCTCTTCTTTGTAGTGATTAAACTTAGCTGTCAGGGATTTATTTCCTACATGTTAACCACAGTGCTAGAAAATAAAGTACAGGAGTGGAACATAAATATCAAAAAATTACTTAATGAATACTGTGAGGAGGTTAAGACATCAGCTGAATCAGTAGAAATCATTGCTGATTGCAAATCATTAGACTGATCCTCAGCTGAGCAAATTATTCTATAAACCATAACTCACAATGGGGAGTATGTGCAACAGCCCAACTCCTGCATTTACACGCTGAGGGTGCTTAGGGTTCAGAGGTGCATATATCGCCTGATGAATGTCTACCTATGGGTAAGCAATGCACATGGCATGTGTATGTGTGTGCGTATGTGTGTATTTGTGTATGTACTACATCTACTTACAAATATTATACTTATCCCTTTACTAAAAGAACCATTACATGGCTCATTGAAAACAAAGTTGAATATCTTAAACAACATTTTCAAATTGCTGACAGCAGATTTCTGCTTTCCTAGTTGATATTTAATTTTAAAAGTAAGACTTCAGAGCCTTAAGTATGCACTTAAGAAGTCTAGCAGTCAGTCAATAAGAGAATTGCTCACCTAAATAAATCAGGGTGAGAAGGGAAAAGTCTCCCTTTTATTTTTAATATGAAAATTCTGATTCTATTTGAGCTTCACCCATGTTATGGCTCCTCTATCAGGGTTCAGCTCTTTGCAGGGAAGGAATATGTTCTTTGCTACTCCCAAGAAGTGAATGGAAAGAAAAGAACCCTAAGAACCGAAGAATGTGTATCTCACATCTAGATCTGTGGCTCATGAGAAGTAAGAATGACGTGAGGCATGTATCGTGTATTTCCCCTGGACCTTAGATGATCCCTAATTTTTGGACTTTTTCAATTCCCCAGGCATCTGTGATCATAATGTTAGGACCAAAGGGTGACGTGTGTAACAGGAGAGAGGAGTTATCATCGGACCAAATATATCCGTGAATGTACAATGGCATTTAATTAAAACAAACAAACCCTTAAAAAACAATCTTAAATTCCTCCTTGGAAGGAGAGTTGCACAAAGGCCACCACCATGTATGTTAGTTTCCATTGGGTAGATGGAAGACATATGCTATCTATATTTTTTGGAGTTAGACACATCTAGTGATGTTCAAACAGGAACTTGGAAAAGGCCAAGTAGGGGTACTTGCCTATAAGAACACTATGATGTAGATACTGTTATTACTTCTATTTCTTAGGGAAATAAATTAACCTAGCAAATGGGTAGAGCTGGGCTTGGCAAATTGCAGTTTGATATTTACATAAGCAACAAACTATCCTGCCTCCCAAAATGTGTGACTCTGATTCTTTAAAGGGTGGAATGAGCAGATAGGCAGGAGATACAGTTGTATCCCTTTGTTAGTGTAAGGCTTTGTTAGTGATCAATCTTCCCTCACTTTCTACTTTATACTTATAGTCACAGTATTATTATCTCCTGCATATGCCATACTCTCCTACCCCATTTGGTTAATTTCATTAGTGTTTATAATGATTTCACAGCACAGGTTGCATATATTGGGAAAATGTATGCACTTAGTTGTCACTGGGCAAGAAACTTAGCTGATGGAGGTAAGATGATGAAGTGCCAGAAGAAAAGGAAGTGGACTAATATGAAAAGAAAGATTTCCTACCTAGGAAACAGGAGATCAAAGGATAGAACAAGAACCAGAGGTACGTTCTTAAATAAGCAGAACAGGTATGAAGCCTCCCAAAAGTGGGGAGCAGTATGTTCCCATTACAATGTCAAAGGATGATCTATCTGATAATCTATGTGGCATCTATTAATTTAACAACAACGATGATGATGATAATATACTGAAGTCCAAGAGGTATTAGTCTATCCTCTTCCCTTGAGATAAATACACCCTTTTAAACCAATTTGAATCAATTATATGTACATTACATCTCCACAGAAAAGAAGACAACCACAGAATATCCTAAGTAACTGCACATATCAACGTAACTTATATTCATACAGAAATGAAGACTTGCTAAAGCAACATTCTTGAAAAGATGTCTGGGGATGTTGCACTGCTAAACCTACCTGTCCCTGAGTAACTATATTGTGTCCCAGAGTTCCCTCTGATTGAATTCCACTGACTCAGAGTGGCAATTGTTTTGATAACATACCCTTGATCGGCTTCCTTCCTTTTCTCACTTTCCTTTTGCACTGGTGTCTCCTGTGATCACTTCCAAAATAAACTACTTACACTCAATTCTTGTCCTCAGGTCTGCTGCTGGGGAAACCAAACCACAGTAACTTCAGAAATATATACTTGGAATATGTCATGTATTAATGGGTAAAGACACCGTGGATATGAAGGAAATCACCTATGGGAGAATATTAAGAAGAGAAGAAGGTAAAGAATCTTCCTTGGGGAACATCTACATTTAAAAGTCAGGGAGAAGATATATCAGCAGGAGCGTCAGAGGGGGTTGTGGACAAAGTATTTACAAAAATTAAGATGTGAAGACCACTAGAATTTGCTTAAATGTTGATGGAAAAAGATATCATAGCAAACAGGAGTGTGAAAATATAGGTAAGTGAAAAGAGGAAAACAGGAATAGTCATTGGTGTAAGATTCCCAAGGGATTAAGATAAAATTGAATCCAGATCCTGAATGGTGGGATAAACTTTGCAAAATATTTGGTAGGTTGGTTCATAGAAAGCAGAGGAAGTTCTTCTCTGATATGATAATTCTATATTTGGAAACAACAAGATAATGGATTGTCTTTCTTCCTACTTTTAATGTTCGAGTATTGGCATGAACAAAACTCAGAACAAAATGAATTTCACTTATTTCCAAGTGGGCTACTCTATCATTTTACCATCTCACACCAGTTAGAATGGCAATCATTAAAAAGTCAGGAAACAACAGGTGCTGGAGAGGATGTGGAGAAATAGGAACACTTTTACACTGTTGGTGGGACTGTAAACTAGTTCAACCATTGTGGAAGTCAGTGTGGCAATTCCTCAGGGATCTAGAACTAGAAATACCATTTGACCCAGCCATCCCATTACTGGGTATATACCCAAAGGACTATAAATCATGCTGCTATAAAGACACATGCACACGTATGTTTATTGCGGCATTATTCACAATAGCAAAGACTTGGAACCAACCCAAATGTCCAACAATGATAGACTGGATTAAGAAAATGTGGCACATATACACCATGGAATACTATGCAGCCATAAAAAATGATGAGTTCATGTCCTTTGTAGGGACACGGATGAAATTGGAAATCATCATTCTCAGTAAACTATCGCAAGAACAAAAAAACCAAACACCGTATATTCTCACTCATAGGTGGGAACTGAACAATGAGATCACATGGACACAGGAAGGGGAACATCACACTCTGGGGACTGTTGTCGGGGGGTGGGGAGGTGGGAGGGATAGCATTGGGAGATATACCTAATGCTAGATGACGAGTTAGTGGGTGCAGCACACCAGCATGGCACATGTATACGTATGTAACTAACCTGCACAATGTGCACATGTACCCTAAAACTTAAAGTATAATAATAAAAAAATAAATTAATTAAAAAAAAACACATCACATAGACATGGAGTTTGAGGAGAAGATTTGTTCTATTCAATATTAAGTTAGGCTTCCTTCCTGTATTCATCAAATTGAACTGGATGGAATACGAGTCCCTAATCCAACACCTCCAACTGGAGAAATAGTCTGCTGATTCTCACAGATCTCATGTCCTGCTTAGTGTAGATAATTTTCATATGGATTATAATGAATAATATGAATTTAAACAATTCACTAGAAGCCTAAAACATTTTGTTTGAAGCTCTTCTTTGTCCAGCTAAAAATAACTTCTGGTCTACAAGGCTACCATCATAATTGAGTTCTACATCTCCAGTCACAAGTAGAACCAAAATTACAGTCAACGTACAATAATTCTTTATCTCTTGGTTCCAGATTTTCCTCAATTATTTATATCTCTCTATTATGGTCTCATATTCCTTTCTGTTACAGAGTTTCAGTCTATGTTGAGTCAAGCAATTTTAGGGCTGCTTAAACTCTGGTTCATTAGCCATGGTCCACTAGCATCCATGTCATGGCACTAGGGTTTAATATGGTTAATAGGATCCTGGCTGGATGAGGAAGTATATTGAAAATTAAACTTTAAATTAAACATAAAACACTAAAAATTATTAGAAGCATTAAAAAATAAATGTTTCCATATATGGGTTAGAAAATCTGACTTTATTTTGATCCTAGGGGCTGCTGGCTGTAGTGAAATGTATAAAAAGGAGAGTGTGATCCTAGTTTCTGTCTCTAACTATGAGTTACTTGTGATTAACTTCAAATATTCTCTCCATAAGAAGAGGCCCAGAAGAAGAAGATGAGCTTCAGTTATTCTAGCACAACTGCTGTGATATTTGTAAATATTCAAAACCTATAATAAAATGTATAAAAGGAAACTCCATTTGAAATGATTTGAAATCTCACATGGAAATCTATTTTTTTTAAATCAGAGCTTAGTAAGAGAAAATAACAGAACATTGTAATAATTGAATTACAAAAACAACTGAATTTTGGAAAATTTATTTTCTCTCATGTGATGTGTGTGTATGTGTGTGTGTGTGTGTGTGTATCTATTTAGCAATGGCGTTATTCTATCAAATGGGATTAGATTCATTTTTGACTCCTGCTAAGCACCCTGTCCCCCCAACCCCAAGATTATGAAAGCGGAAGGGAAGGGGGAGATAGGAAATATGACTTATTTAAACTGTATAAAAATGCTGAAATAAAATGAACATTCAAAACTCATGTGATTGAATTTAATCTTTCTTTTGTTCAACACATTCACTGAGGAAATCTGCCTCCAAATGGTTGATACTGTAGAATATGATGACTCCAGTAACCTCTCCTAGACTCTACGTTTGCTATAGAAGACTATTGTGGCTGATGATAGATGATGAAATTTACCCTCATGGTTTGCAGGGAGTCTAGTGCCAATAATTTAAGACTTTCCATGATACATCACTACCTTCATATTCTAAGCAATCACAACCTATTTTTATCCACCTGCTGTTTTATGGCTTAGAAATCACTTTATTTGTGATGTTAGTAATTTATTATAAAAAAGATTTTCAAATTACATATTTGCATTGAGTTAGGGAAGGAATTAAAATGCTTTGCTCCACCCTTCTTGGTAAATAAATATAATCTTTTCAATAGTTTGAAGGTTCTCAAGGAAATGAGACTCTTGGTCGGTCAGTTTTAGAGTTTTTTATTCATGAACAAAATCTGTGGGAGCATGTTCAAGTTTTAGGCAAGAGAAGCCCAGAAATCAGCTCTTAAGTTAGTAGAGAAGGGTAGTTACTACATATTTGGAGGAATTTTATCATTTAGAATATGTTGTGAGTGGTTCTTTCAAAATATTGTCTACTAGCAGCCATTGAAATAATATTTCTCTTACTTCAGACATCTGATGGCTACCTTTATAAATTCTGCCTATGAGAGTCTGTTATACCTGTATCATTATTTGCCTAATTTTTCTTCAAATAAACTCACTTTTCACTTCAATAAATTTACATAAGGGAAATTTTATATCACAACTATAAATTAAAACCATGTTTAAAACCATAAGTAGAAGGTAATTAAAAAATAAAATCATTGTTATTAATTGTAGATAGATACTATTCCTATTAAAGGATAAATCATAAAAATAGACATTCAGATGGTTGGAGAGGCCTTCAGTATATACTGGTATTAAATGAATGCTTTCTCCTTGAGAAATCAGAAGGGTTGAAAGATAATTATAACATTATAACTTTATGTTATTTAGCATTGAAACCAACACCGCTAGTAGTATACCTCCCACACTTTGCAAACAATGCATTAAAACAGTAACTTGCAGCTAAATCAATTGGCACTGTCCTATACACATTTTACCACAATTTGATGAGATCTAAAAGTGTTATTGTTTCCTTTTCTTCAATACCTCAGTGATGGCTGGTTTCAGCTGAATGGTATCTTAAATTTTATTTGAATCATTCTACCACCAATAATATAGAGCTGCTTATAGTTAAACTATATGTTGCTAATAAGTTGCTCTCCATCCTCTCTTAGTTTAAACTCCTTGTCATTTTTGTCAGCTGTATGCCCAGTTTCCAGGTATAATTAAATTTGTGTGCGAACATGTAGCTTTTTATACCAATGACATTTATTTCATAAAAGATATAGATGGACCAGTTCACATCTTTTAAAATCACTGCTATTTATTTAGGGTATTCATGGTAAAATTATTTTACCTTTTCTGTATTTTTGAAATGTTTCCTAATAAAACATTGGAAAAAACAACTTATAGTATGTGACAACCAAAACCATGCACTTTCCAATTTGTTCTCAAGTTAGTGGTTAAAAGAAAATGTAATACAGTCTAGCTAAATAAAAATATTACCAAATTTTCTTCACGTAGGTTTGGGTTCTTAGAGTCTTGGTCTAAGGAAGGTCTCAAAACCCAAGTAAGGTCCCAATAAATATGTAGGTAAGGTCCCAAATATATGTATATATTTGGTTTATTTTTTCCACTCATAGCTAAAAGTTAGTAACTTCAAACATTAAGCCTTCTTTTTTCATTTCTGATTTGTTACATTTTTATTTTAACAAAAGGTTTCTGAACTTTAGCATTGGGAAGGTACAAAAGGTAATATTCAGATATAAGGAGAATATATATTTGAACTATTGTATAAGTATCAACAATCCATTCCTTTCTGTTCATTGGGTCTCAGTTTTGCTTGATTTGGCTTCTCAAGATTTGCTTGATTTGAAGTATGTTAATCTTTCTGAAATTACTTGGTGAACTTTTACCCTTAATTTCCAGGAGTAAATATTCACTCAAACACATATATTCAACTGTGTATACAGGGAGCATTTAAAAATCTTTGTAGTGACTTTTAACATGTTTGCAGTGAAATCTCCAGCATCATAGTATGCAGCAAGCAGTTTTCTGAATACAGAATAATACATATGACAGTTCCACAGTGTGAGTGGTCCTCATTACCTTTCAACAAATAATAGCAAATCACCAAATAAAAATTAATGATTTTAATGAAGAATGTTTGAAACTTGCTATTACTAGAGAAAGGCAGATACACAGACTAATGCAAATGATAACATCTTCTGAAATATGACTACATTGGGTCTTTACTCTCAATTGATATACAAGCTGTAATAAAGTTTTTACTGTTATTCAATATCAGCAATGGCATTAACAATATAATTTGAGTTGCTTGGTGGAGAAGCCAAAACAAAGATTATATAGTATTGTGTTTTGATTTTAAGTTTTAAGATCTTAACTCTGTTTAACCTGTTTGCATCAAGACCCCCAAAGTGAAAAAAGGAATTGATTAAAGGAAAAGAATCAGTATGTGAAATACACTCATATTCATTTTTTTAACTCTCATAACAGCTCTTCAACAAATAAAATCTGAATTATTTGCAATAGCACAAGCATAAAATATTCTGACAAATATTTTGTGTGCCAAAATACCCTGTTTGGGCAGGCAGTCCAATCTTTTAAAATCTATTTCACATCTTCTTCCTTGCAATTATTAATTACAATTATTATGGGTTAAAAAAGTCACAGTGCCTGATCCTTCTAATATGCAGTATATTAAATCAGCACTGCATAGTGTATATAAATAAAGATTATACATGTTTTCTGGGACAACATGTCCTTCCTCACTCTTGAAGTTTCTGACAGTTGACCCCTAGTGTAAACCAATTCACTCCCCAGTTGGCACATCCCAGAACACATTGTATTTGTCTATAACTAAGCCATATAGCTCCAGAATTTTTATCTTTAGTTGAGGAAGTCTGGACCATAGGTCTATAGGTCACCTACCTAAACATGTTAAATTTGTTTACCCCAATTATTCTTACCCCCAGTCTAGTTCGACATGCGTAAATAACTTGATACTCATTAAGTCAAAGGGATTTTGAAGCAAATAAATAACAACATAGCTTACTATGTGCACTGCTAAATGCTATTGGTAACCTTTAAAACTCATTATCTATATGATGACAATATTGTAAGGTATTCCAGAATTGCTTACAACCTTTTATAATGAAAGTTGGTTGTTACCAAGCAACAATATTAAAGTGTAGAGGGAAAATGAGGACATTTGGAATATCAGGAAGCATTACCAT
Source organism: Homo sapiens (assembly GCF_000001405.40). NCBI lineage: Eukaryota > Metazoa > Chordata > Mammalia > Primates > Hominidae > Homo > Homo sapiens. The sequence goes on along the minus strand of NC_000002.12, from coordinate 67,171,760 downwards.
AGTATTATAGAGGCTTAGAACTGAAAGGAATGTAAGAGAAAAAATAATGCCTAGCACTTCATCTTTTTATCCAATCAACAAACCTTTGTTAAGCTCCTACGGTATGCCAGATGCTGATGGTAAAAAGATAGAGAAGGTACACTCCATGCATGAGCAAGGGCCAAGAGGGAGAATGTGACACACAAGGACACAAGTCAATAGATTGGTAGGAGCTTGGAGAGGACAGAAGGCACAAATCTGGGTGAGAACAGGAAGAAATTCCCTCTGAGGTTTATTTCTTTCTTTCTTGTAATCACCTCTGAATGGCACCTGCATTTCACTTAGTTCTCCTATGGCTGTAAGTGTTTGATGATGGCATTGAATGGGAGTATGCTGCTTCTAGTAAAAGAAAGTAAATATTTCTTCTCATGAAATAATTCACACTAAAACTTATGTATTTAACATTCTCAGTAGACAATTCTCAAGCAAGAAGATGTCAAGGATGAAAGTACTTGTACTCCCTTTATTTAAATAGATGATTGTTCAGAGTTAGATTAGTTGCTGTCCTTGATCCTGGTCGCATGTTAGATTCACCTGTATATCTTTAAAAAATACACTGCTTGGTTTCCACCCCAGATGATCTGATTTAATGGCCTGAGATAGGTTAAGGGAATCAGTATTTTTATAGAGCTCCCCAGTTGATTTTGCCCTGCCAAGAGTTGAGTGTTTGGTTTAGATTAGAGGCCTTTTTCAATCAGGTCTATCTGAGATCTGAATAAATCCCTAAACTTTCAAGCACCATATTAATAGGACTCACTACTTACTTACTAAGGTTCATAACAGCCTGGATTAACCTCCTCTGCTTTCTCTGGAGCCCCAGAAGCATTGGGCTTCTGCCTGCTTCATTTTCATTTCCTTGAACAGCTAGTCATAACCTTTTAGCGCAGTAGTGTGCTTCTCTTATTCTGGGGCAAGTTTCTTCATCTAGTTCTTAATATGCCTTTTTGCTGGAAACTGACTTAAATTTTCTCCTCTTCTTTTTTTGAAAATAATGTTATTTTTATTATAAAATATGTATTTTTATAGAAAATTAGTAAAGCATTAAAATAAAAACAAAGGTTACTCTCAATACCATTCCAAGAAACAGTACTTCTCAGGGTATGTGTACATATCTATATCTATATCTATATATCTATGTATACACACACACATTGTATTTACAAACAGTATCCTATAGTATCAAAATCTTTTATAACCAATACTTCACATGAAAAATTTTACCTTGAAGAATTTCAATATTTATAAGTAATTTTATGATCATAACTGTAAATGGCTGCTTGTTCTATTGAACATGCTATCCTTTCTAAAAAAGCAGTTTCCTTTTTTGGGCATTTAGGTTGGCACCATTTTTTTTTTCACTTCCAAATGTCCAAATTTGGATTTTATTTTTTAAATGCCAACTTAGAATCTTTGGGGACTTTAAACCACACACAATGATTTTAGTATTTTATAAGTTTAGTCTTCTATATCATCCTCTTGTTTGCATCCTCTTTTAAAAAAAGCTTTTTTCTTGCATTCTTTTCTTTCTTGCTTACCCTTTGGCCATCAGAGATGAGAGTGAGGTGGGCTGGGAGTTAGCCTTATGGCAAACTCCCCTCTTGCTGCTGGTCCTACCCTTTGCCTCCAGCTCTCCTTATTCCAGGAAACATTGGGGATGTTCTGCCTGGAGCTCTTCCTTATCTTTCCTGGGCCACAAGCTCCTTCACAAAGGGGTCAGAACAGGATTTACTTCAATGTGGTCTCTGAATCACAGACATTCTCGGAAGTTCCTGCTGTGTGTACCAGTATCTCTAGAGTTTATTGCTGATGTAGGTTTTCCTTTCTAGGTCTATCACATCAGGTGCGAGAAGTGAGATTCCAGACTCAGACATAAACAAGCACTAATTAACCCCTAGCATTTACCCGTCTTATGTCTTCATGAACTAATTTAACTCTCTCCATCTCAGTTTTCTCATTTATGATAAGGAAGAGTAATTGTACTCCACTCATCACATTAGCATAAGAATTAAGCAAGACAGTACTCGTAGGTGCATAGTACAATATCTGACACGAAGTGCTTCATAAATGTTAGCTTGATGATGATGATGAAGAAGACAAGAATTTCAATGAAAGTCTCAGGTTACCATTGTGCTCAGAAGCATTTCGTGAAAGATGAGTAAAAAGGAATCTGATTCTTTTATTGGAAGCACATTGTTTTGAATTAAAGTGAACAGAGGTTAAATTACAAAATAATAAGTTACTGAAAGCAGACTTTTTATTGTCTTAAAGTTGAATCACTCTGTACTTATGAAGTTGTTCTTACTTAATAGTTAAATATGTTTCTAACACTTGTAACCCCAAAACTCATGCCACAGCTTAGACCCTGTTATGGGCTGAATTGTGCCACCTGTCCAAATTCACATGTTGAAATCCTAACTCTTGGTGCCTCAGAATGTGACTGTATTTAGAGATAGGATCTGTAAGAAGGTAATTAATGTTAAAAGAAGTCATTAATATAGGCCCTAATCCTATATGATTGGTATCCTTATAAAAAGAGGAGATTAGGGGCTGGGCATGGTGGCTCACGCCTGTAATCCTAGCACTTTGGGCCAAGGTGGGTGGATCACCTGAGGTTAGGAGTTTGAGACCAGCCTGACCAACACAGCAAAACCCTGTCTCTACAAAAAATACAAAAATTAGATGCGCATGGTGGTGGGTACCTGTAATCCCAGCTACTTGGGAAGCTGAGGCAGGAGAATTGCTTGAACCCGGGAGGTGAGGTTGCAGTGAGCCGAGATCATGCCACTGCAGTCCAGCGTGGGTGATAGAGTGAGACTCTGTCTCAAAAAAATAAGCAACAACAAAAAAACCAAAAAAAAAAAAAAAAAAAGAGGAGATTAAGACACAGATACACACAGAGGAAAGAGCATGTGAAGACGACACAGATACACACAGAGGGAAGACCATGTGAAGATACCAGAGGAATATGGCCAGCTACAAGTCAAGGGGAGAGAGCTTAGAAGAAACCAACCCTGCTCACACCTTGATAATGTCCACCTCATAGTGATATACTTCCAGCCTGCAGACTATCGAAAAATAAATTTATGTCATTAAAGCCACTCAGTGTGTGGTACTTTATGCAGCCCTAGCAAACAAATAGAGACAAAATCTATTTTTTTGCCCTCTGTAGTGTTTAAAAATGTTTTAGTTAGTCTGGCTTTTAAAAACACATCATCATTATGCTGCTTTTCAGCAAAATAGTCTTAGTTCTTATAAACATTTTTCCATAAATCCTATTTGAGTATTTTGAAAGAAACTGCAAAGTTGAAGAGAGTTATTTCAATCTGGATATTACTTTTCTTTTAAAAAATAATTTTTTTCTTGTGTTTAAGTCTTTGCTTTCCCTGGTCTTCCTGTACTATTTCCAAGAGATTCATATGCTGAAAGTTTACTCCAATATTTTTGTCAGTTTATCTTTTCTTCTTATTAGCCTAGAGAAAGGTCTTCTAAAGTGCACAAAATATATGTATGAGTAGACTTCCTTTTCTTCGTGGTCTTTTCTAAGGGCTTGTTTTTTCTCTTACATCTACAGTGATAACATATCTGAGTGCTCAATAAATGTTACTTGTTTGAGTCAATGTTTAGAAGAGAATCAGTGAGTGGATTGTAGTTACACAAAGCCAAAAGTTGAACTTTTGTATGTTGCTTGAACTTAACTTAGCAGCCTCTGGAAAATAAACTAGGCTTACTTATTTTTCCACATTTTCACCTAACAAGGAGGAGTCAAAAACACTTTTTTTCTTCTTATAAAAGCAGGAACCCTGAAGAGGGTTTTTTTTTTTTTTTCTTCTTGAGACAAGCTCTCACTTTGTCACCCATGCTGAAGTGCAGTGGCACATTCACGGTTCACTGCAGTGTCCACCTCCCAGGCTCAAGTGATCCTCCATCCTCAGCCTCCCAAGTAGCTGGGATGACAGGTGCATGCCAGCACACCCAGCTAATTTATGATTTTTTTGTAGATTTGGGTTTCTCCATATGTTGTCCAGGCTAGTCTCAAACTCCTGGCCTCAGGTGATCCTCCTGTCTTGGCCTCCCAAAGCATTGGGAATTACAGGTGTGAGCCACTGCACCCAGCCCCTTTGAAGAGATTTTTAAAAATGATACACTATAGTAGCTATCTAGAATTTGGAATATGGAGAGTGTCCATTGGTGTAAAATTTTACTGGTTGAGAGATTTAACACATATGAGAGGCTAGTGTCAAGAACAGAAAAATGTGTGGCTATAATAAAATAATGCCTCTCATCTGAATTATCATCATTGACTCTCAAAATCAGGGAGGAGTTATTCTTGAGACTTTTATGCTTAATAATTCTCCCCTTAGAATCAGTAAATAGAAGCATAGATTATATTACATATTATTTCAAGAGCTGATTTCATCAACTTTTCAAGATTTTAAGAAATATAACTGGGCCATTATGGATGAATTCTTATCTACAAAATTTGAAAGAACTTCATTGACAGTGATTCTACAATCATCTGTAGATAAATTTTCATTTCATGTCTGATAAATTTTCATTTCATGTCTGCATTTGAATTAGGGGGAGAAGAACTGGGAAACATCTATATTGCAATATTTACAATTGACAGTGTTAATTGTTAACAATGGAGAATGGAGTCTTTATTTTAATTTTTATTTTAAATTCACAGGTACAAGTCCAGGTTTGCTACATAGGTAAACTTGTGTCATGGGAGTTTGTGGTACAGATTATTTCGTCACCCAAGTATTAAGCCTAGTATCCATTAGCTATTTTTCCTGATCCTCTCCCTCCTCTCACCCTCCACCCTCTGATAAGCCTCAGTGTGTGCTATTCCCTTCTGTGTTCAAGTGTTTTCGTCATTTAGTCCCACTTATAAGTGAGAATATGTAGTATTTGGTTTTCTGTACCTGTGTTAGTTTGCTAAGAATAATGGCCTCCAGCTCCATCCATGTCCTTGCAAAGGACATGATCTCATTCTTTTTCATGGCTGCATAGTACTCCATGGTGTAAATGTACCACATTTTCTTTATCCAGTCTATCACTGATGGGCGTTTAGGTTGATTCCATGGCTTTGCTGTTGAGTATAGTGCTGCAGTGAACATATGCATGTATATGTCTTCATAATTGGATGATTTAAACTCCTTTGGATATATACCCAGTAATGGGATTGTTGGGTTGAATGGTATTTCTGTCTTTAGGTCTTTGAGGAATCACCACATTGTCTTCTACAGTGGCTGAACTAATTTACACTCCCACCAACAGTGTATATCCTTTTTCTCCACAACCTTGCCAGCATCTCTTATTTTCGACTTTAATAGTAGCCAGAGAATGGAGTCTTAATGGAATCTTAACAATGTTAGAAAAAGAAATACATTTAGGAGCAGTTGGTCCCATACTTTTTCTATTCAGAAGGACTCATTTCCTGAATATGGAATATGGTATTTTATTCTTCTATCCTGTCTCCCAAACCCAAGATAATTATTCTTGATTTGCTTTATGGCATGACAACATTTCTGAATAAAAGTTATTACCCCAGTTTTAACTACAGTTTCTTATCAATACCATACATCCTTCCCCATTAATTTTATTCTTAGCACTCTGGGCTCTGCTGTTGCTATATATTTGTACATTATCAAGATTCGACATGCTGGTCAACTTCTCTATCACTGCAAAGCTTACCGGGTTCTGGAATGCTATCAATGCCATGTTCACTAGGTGTCTTTCCTATAGTGTAAATTCAGTCATCAAATTTAGTTGTAGTCACTTCCTGGAGGAGGGAGGCATTTAAACTGTGTGGGTCCAAAGCTGGTAATGACTTCACAATTATAGAGGAACCACAGACCATGGTGTTCCATGTAAATGATCACAGCAGGTCAACATGACCTTTCAAATGGGAGCCTACACTTAAAAGATGTATGACAAGACTTTGTAACTATGTCATTTTAACTTATGTCTCTTGACACTGGAATTCTCTTTGTTAACCTTACCAGCAAGGCTCCTCTTCAAAGGAACACTATGAAATTTTTAAATTCTAACCACATATTGATTCATCTAATTTCATACTTGAATAGTCATAATTTATCAAATTTAGAGAGTTCTGATGTTTAGTTTATGTGGTTTGTTTTATAGCTGGGTTCTTTTTCTCTTTCTGAATGGGGTATCCCACTAAAATCTCAGTTAATATGTTCCAACACTGCCACAGGAAGCTCTGTGTGCAACAGCTTTGGACGGTTTCGATTTAATCAAGAGGAAGATGAAAGTGGGTGTCCATTTCTTTCAACTCCTCGGCTCTTTCACCATCCATCATAGTCAATGTGTGGTTACTCAGGACACAGCATTAATGATAGCTGTCAAAATAATAGTCTGTGGGTTAGAGGTCAAGAAAAATATGTAAAAGACTTCAGGGTGAACCAGATGATAAAGTAGCTCATTTAGTCATTTAAATGCTAGCCTAGCATGGCCTTGGTGAGATCAGGGGTTAGTGGAAGGAAGAAGAATAAATGGGGACATCTCCAAGTAGTTTACTCTTGTTAAAAGGGGAAAAAAAGATGATAACAGCATTACCAAACAAGCACACTAGAGGCAATTTTCTTAATTATAGTGCTGAGCCAGCAGTGCACACAGAGTGGGCTTGCTCTTGGCATGAAAGCTTTTACTTTCAAATAATATTAACCCTTCTTGGTACTGCAAGTCTTAATTAAGATAATTCCTGGAAGTGCTGCCAATGTCAGCAGTTTTACGTTTCCATTGGTGTTTATAAGCCATTTGTAAAAGAAGTGGGCTGGGGTCCTGGCACAGTGTCCAAAGTGAGTTACTTTATCAGAGGAACTTTTTCAGTGAATCTAAAGAAAAAGCCTACAACATTTTGTTTTATTCCATTGGTCACCTAATACCACATTATACAAATTCCTGAGAGAGGGAGAGAGGGAGAGGGACAGACAGAGAGATCACTTTGGTCCTATGAAATGATCTGAGACAGCAAAAATCATGTCACACGATACATATCGAAAATGCATGTTTTTGCTTTTAAATATAGGCTGCTGCCTTAGTTTGGGTTGCTGTAACAAAAACACCAATGACTTGGTGGCTTAAACAATAAACATTTATTTCTTACAGTTTCAGAAGCTGGGAAGTTTAAGATCAAGGCGCCAGCAGATTTGGTGTCTGGTGAGAGCCCTCTTCCTTGCTTGTAGACATCCACCTTCTAACAATATTCTCATATGGCCTAGAGAGACTACCTGTTACCTGTTTCTTCTTACAAGGGCACTAAGCCCATTTCTACTTTCATGACCTAATCACTGCCTAAAGGCTCCACCTACAAATATCACATTGAGCAACAGGCTTCAACATATAAATTTTGACACATTCAGTCCATAACAGCCACAAATTGGCATTGATAGCCTTGTAGCTCAATTGTTGGATATTGTTAATTAGAATGCATTCTTTTGTATAGTAGATGAAAGTAGTACAGCAATTGCTTGCAGTAATTATACACTGTAAGAATCACTGAAATATCATTTTTATGTTTGAAAAACACTGGCTTAATGTAATTTTTAAATGAATTCTTACATTTGTATACCACTACAGGGTTCTAAGAAGGAGCCTTTGAAATTGTCCAGATAATAGCATAGTTAATTTATGGTCACTTGAGGATTTACTTTTGAAAAGAGATCGGTGGTATATAATATCCATCTGTCCAAATTATGTTTCTCTAATTTGTCTAGGTGGAAATGTGAAATGTGGCCTGAGAGAACCCATGGTTCACTAAAATGGTAGGCACATCAAGAATCAAGCAGAGAAAAAAAATTAAATATTAGTTGAGAAATTTCAGTTTCTGAGTATTCTACATCAGGGATCTATAATCAACAACTCTGTGGACGATGGCTAAGTCCTCATGATACTGACTCTGGAAGTTAGAGGGAAAAATTTTTCTCATGGGCTAATTTACAGAGGCTAGACTCATTCTGTTTATAAATTTTTATTATCTTATACAGATTACATGTTACACTATTTTAAGCACAAGTTTTTCAAACATTAGTTTGAGTCATTTTCAAGCCTCAAATATATTAGCAAACCTTTATTTATAGTTTATCTTTTGAGATTATGAGATGAGATATATCAATTATTTTTTTTAAATTGTTTTATGTAAGCAAGATGCCTACTATAAAACAATGCATTTTCCAACTTTATAAAAATGTTTTCATTTTTGTTAACTGTTCTTACAGGATGGTTTGACTCAGTTATTGTCCCATGAGTGTTCTTTTAAGAGTTTCTTCTTTCAAGAGTTTATTTATCGCCACTGACTCTCTAGAACTTTTTTGACAATGACATCAGAACTATTAGGGAACTGCATTGGCCCTTAATTGTATAATGTGTCCAGAAGCCAGCAATGGCTAAAGATCTTGGTAACTGATAGTGATGAAAACTTTTCTTTCAACTTAAATATGCTCACAAGAAACAAACAACAATAAAATTTAAAAAACACAAATAATAGTTTCCTTATAGTTTTTAAGACTATGCTATTTAACGATATTCGAGAAAAACTTTGGTAGTGTAGTTTACATTTCATAAGTGAGAAAAAATCAATAGTAGATTTGCTCTTTTTGAAATCCAAACAGAATAAACAGTGTACTTGGTAACCACACTTAGCCATATCTTTTGAAGTTCCATCATTAACACTTCTACTTTTTTTTCATTCCTTATTAAAGTGTGGAGTATTATAGTATCGTACAACATCAAAATTCTAAAGGAAAAAAACCCTATATTCTCTTAGAGGTGAGAAAAAGGGACTTAATTGGATGTGATTATCATTATCATTTTTTAAATGAATACCATAGTAATGGGTTAAGTATAAAAACAATACCAGGTGTCTCCAAAGATGATGATGATCTAAGTTAATCTAGGACCTAAGTGGTCTATTTGAGCAACAGCAAAAATAATACCTTATTTCCATTTTATAAGTTATAAAGTGATTTAAATCACTTGGACAGAGTATTTCATTGGAATTTAATAATGGGGGATAAAATTTTAATGAGATGGGATGCCATATAAGAATTAGGGCATAGGAAATGACTTAGAAATGTTAAAAATGTGCAGCTAATAATTAATTTGTAGTTAGTCATAAAAGTAATCTATTTCTCATTTATTCTTCTATTCATTTATTCAGTAAGAAGTTATAGAAATGCTATTTTTTAAAATTATACTTTAAGTTCTGGGATACATGTGCAGAATGTGCAGGTTTGTTACATAGGTATACATGTGCCATGGTGGTTTGCTGCACCCATCAACCCATCATCTACATTAGGTATTTCTCCTAATGTTATCCCTCCCCTGGCCCTCCATCTGCAGACAGGCTCCAATGTGTGATGTTCCCCTCGCTGTGTCCATGTGTTCTCATTGTTCAACTCCCACTTATGAGTGAGAATATGCAGTGTTTGGTTTTCTGTTCCTGTGTTAGTTTGCTGAGAATGATGGTTTCCAGCTTCATCCATGTCCCTGCAAAGGACATGAACTCATCCTTTTTTTATTGCTGCATAGTATTCCATGGTGTATATGTGCCACAAGAAATGCTATTATGTTTTTAACTTTTATATATTTGATGAAAATTGCTCCATGTTTATAATTAACAGGATCTCAAATGTTTCTAAAGTCCTTATTAAGATGGAAAAGAAGAATTAAAGATTATATCAATCAAAAATGTGGATAACAGATCAAAGTTAATCTATTTATTAAAGATCTGTTCTTTAGCAATAACCTCTCTGAATCAAAGTTTCTTCCTGTGTAAAATGAAATGAAACCAGCTAATCTTTACTATCAACTTAGGTTGTATTTGTCAACTATGAGATAAGCTGGACTTGCTGGCAGGTGGGCAGCTTTTCTGAAACTTGCTAATTCTCCATTTTGCTGACCAAATCCTATCTCAACATGTCTACTGCTCCATGAAGCTGTAAGGATAGCCACAATCTCCAACCTTAGAACAAGATTCCGAAACCTTGACAGGAACTGTACCTTGACCTAAGTGGTCTTGCTCTTCCAAAACATAGTTTGCCAGACTGATAAGCTTTGATTTATCCTGACTTAGCTAAGGAAATTTTCTTTTCCAACCAAAGTGTTCCTGGGAGATACTGCAAGTCTCTGTTTAAATGCAGACACCTTCTCTTCTGGCTTCATGTTAGTCAGGACTTTCTTGTTACCCTGTGGACCACAGATACATCATATTGGAGACAGTGAGAGAGTGAACGCAATGCTGTTTTAAAGGATGGCACATCAGTAAGTGTGCATTGACTATAGGGCATGTGCTTAGTGACCTGAGGTGATATGGGAGAGCAGACATTAACCATAGGCCTCAAGAATGAGATTAAATAAGCAGATACTAAATAGGCAGCCACAGCAAATATCCTCTCTCCTCATACTTCCTATCTGCCCGCTTGACATGAAGATAAGGAGAACCTGACCTGATTCCCACCCCCTGCCTCGCCAGCCTCACCCCCTCCCCTAGACATGATCTATTGCCACTAGTGACTCCTACATCACAAAACAGTACGACTGGAAGGGACAATGGAAATGGCATTTTATAGAAGCTGGAGAAGGGCACTGATTTGACCGGGGCAAAAAGTTAGTTTCTGGAAAATCACTATGAAACTGAGGTCTCCTTTCTAGTTCAGTCCCAGCCATTCATACTCAGCCTCTCTGACAACAGGGAACTTCCAGAAAATTCTGTAATTCCTCATACCCTGTATTAGATTTGTAGGAATGCTGGAACAAAGTACCATGAACTGTGTGGCTTATAAAAGCAAAAACGTCTTTTCTCACAGTTTTGGAGGCTAGAAGTCCAAAACCAAGGTGTTAACAGAAGCATACTCCCTCTGAAGGCTGTAGGTGGAATCCTTCCTCGCCTCTTCCTAGCTTTTGGTGGTGGCTGGCAACTCTTGGCATTCCTTGCCTTGCAGCTACATGGTTCCAGTCTTTTTCATTGCTGTCACATGGACTTCTCCCCTGGGTGTCTGTCTTCACGTCATCTTTCCTATTCTTATAAAAATGTCAGAGTAGCCTAACGGCCCACCCTATTCCAGCATGACCTCATCTTAACCAATTACATCTGCAATGACCCTTTTGCCAAATAAGGTAGCATTTGGAGGTACTGGAGGCTAGGAATTCAACATCATGGTTGGGGGTATTCACACAATTCAACTCATAACATATCCCCTAGCATGCAGGCCGAGGCCTACAGAGATGCTGGGAAGAATGGAGAGTCCAGTACAGTGAGTTCTTCTGGGTATCCCTGCTTCTTCCCCTGGTTCTCTTTGACATTCAGCTTGTGTTCCATTAACTAAAAATAGCAGGAGCTTTGCAACCAAGAAAATAGGAGGGATGCTCGTGTCTGTTCCTCTCTTCTCTCTTCCCAAAGCAGCCTATAGTCTCTGAGTGGAGAAACCATGGCCCTCCCTTTCCTGTAGTCTTTGCTCACTGATTCCTGTCTCTCCATCAAAAAACATAAACCTCGCTCTCCTGGCCTGGATCACAGTCATTACTCACTGACCAGGAAGAGAACATCACAATGGCTAATGGAAACTCTCCTCAGCACAAACGATGCAGTTCTCTAATTTGTTTAGCTAAACTACATTAGTCATACTGAAAGTTTTATTATCAGAGTCAAATACAGGAAGCTAGAGCGGACATGCTGTATTTTAAAAAATTAAAGCATTTTTAAAAATAAGCTTGGCATATTGATTAGCTAATTTTCTAAACAAGAGGCTCATTCCTTTTAATCCTTGGCATTACTGTAAATTCTATTTCCGCCTATGGGTCATAATGTTCCAAAGAGGATTTAAAACAACAACAACAATACACACATATTTCATGTTAGGTTCTGCTTTAAGATCACCTTTGCTGAGATGTTACTGAATTGGGTGAGAGAGTTGTGGCCCTGGATTTCTGCAGGACCTTGCCATTGTGAATTTGGAAGAATGAACTGTGATTCTTTGCATGAATTGACAGAAAAACTTTATACTCATATATATGATTTTGTATGTTGTCTAAAGCAAACAACTATGGCCAGTTCTGTCATTTCTATAGAGGTCACTTTGTTGGACCTGGTTTTTATTTCTTATAGCCTTTTGCAGGAGTGGGCCCTTAAACACCTCTTTCTCTAATTTTACTACTTATTGTTGTTACTGTTGTTTGTTTATAACAGATAACGAAACACATGGCCTTTGTCAAGAACTCAGTCAATGCTCTGGGTAATTCATACTATTATTTTGTGTGAGACATATTACATATTACTACCAGTGTATTATCTTATAGTGAGACCACTTGAAATCTTTCCTTCTAAATAAGCCTGTTTGTTCACAGGCTTCATTTTACCAGATTCACTGTTAATGTTTTCAATGCCTAGCATCATGCGCTTATCATAGTAAGTCTCAAAAATCGATTCCTTAATAGTGAAGAACAAGCAGGCACACTTCTTAGTCAACATTAAAAATTTACTGAATTTCTTTTTCTTGTTTCTAAATTAGGCCACTTCTACAATAAAGGTTTTACTACACTCCTATATTGATTAAAAGTTCTCATATAACTGTAACAGAGGAAAAGCCTATGACTTGAAAATTCTCAGATAAACCATCTTACAGGTGAATGTTTTAGGTTCAGTGAATTCAGCATATGCTAAACAGGAAGGAATTAAATTGAAAGAAAATAGTGGAAAGGTTTATGTATTTTCTTCCAAAGTTTAACTAAAGTAATTAAATTAGGAAACCAATCATTTTATGTGTGCTCCTGGAGTTTATTTGGGATAAGCAATTTATTTAGTAGATTCTGCATTGCCAAGTTAATTTTTTATGACATTTGCAAATGGACCAGACAGTGTAACATTACCTCCTTCTCCTTGCAAAAAGAAAAAAGAAAAATAAAGCAGTACCAAAAATAAATGTCCTAGGCATAGTTCTCACATCATTCAAATTACCCAATTCAATGTTTTAAGCCAATCTAATGGCTTTGCCCATCCCTATCACCACCCTCCCACACTGGAAATATGCCTCCAATAAGATGTTTTCATGATGAATGAGCTAATGTTTATGAAGCACTTAGAGATCCTTGGGCAAGACACTTTCTAATTACAAAGTATAGTTCTCATTATTAAATGGAAGCTATTTTCCACCTGTGTTTTTTGTTATCCATGCTATTTCCATGCCATACCCTCCTGATGGTTTCCATTGCAAAGTGAAATCAGCTTCTTACAAATAAGGGTGGGGGTGCATGAGAGCTTAATAATTTTAAGTCACAGTGCATTGCACATGCCCAGAAAAGCCTAGATCACTTCCAAATTCAAGGACTAATAAAAATTGGAAGCACTCCAGTAATTTTAAATTGCTCTGCACATTGAAGAGTGATTTAAAATCATTGGAGTGATTCAATTTTTTTTATATATGCACTTCAATTTAGAAGTGAGTCAGACAGACAGCATCATAGTGTAGGATAGAAGTCCAAGACACTGAATTAATGTTTAAAAAGTTAGGAATTAGACCAAAACATCACTGGAGGAAGTAAGAGCAAACAATCACCAGAGTGGATTGGGCCATTAAGTTGAAGGACCATGGTGAATTTCTGAACACATTTTCCAAGGCTGTCCTCACTTTGTCCATGGCCATCTTTTTTTTTTCTTCTGAACTAATGATATTTATAGTCCTTATTGCTAATTTATAAATCCACTATATATTTGTTTTAATATTGCTCAGGTTTATATTTCAGTATTGTCATTGATTTTTGTCTGATCATTTAATTTTCATGTGGGTGAGTCTTTATGTAGAAATATAACATGAGTCACAAAGGTAATCAGCATATGTAACTTAAAATTTTCTAGAGCCACAATTAAAAGAGAAAAATGAAAAATGTGAAATTAATTTTCCTAATATATTTTATTTAACCTAATATAGCCAAATATTATTTCAATATTTAGTTAGTATACATTACTTAGATCTTTCACATTTTCACATTTTTTTCTTTGTACTAAGTCTTCAAAAGCTGTTTTATATTTTAAACTTACAGCAGACCTTCATTTGGAGTAGTTGCATTTTAAATGCTTGATAACAACATGTGGCTAGTGCTACAGTAGATAGTGTGGCAAAAGAATATAAACACCTTGAAGGTATGAACTATGTTTTCTGCTTCATTTTATATTTCAGATTTGCATTTCCCATTGCCTTTACCAGCTCACTTAACTTGTGACTATAGTAGTCAACAGTGCACACTTATTAGCATAAAAAACCAAACAAAGCAAAACCAAACAAGCCAGTGATCATTCTTCAGGCCACATGCAGTTTGCAGCACATACTCTACCTGAGCTGCATATGGGATTGAAACAGAAAGCCGACATACGGAGTTTCTTGAAGGCCTAAGGCTGAATTTCAGCATCTATGCGTTTATGCATAAAATTCAAATATGGCAGTGGGAAATACCTCTCTGTTAACTATGACAAACAGAAGAAAAAACACACAGGAATAATTTTTGGTAGTCAAATTGAGCAAGAGTTTATTCACAGCTACAAATAGAGGAGCATCATTTTCCCAAAAAAGACTCTGGTCAGTGATTGGTTTCCATCTCAAGTCTCTGCTGGAAAAGGCATTTTATGCTCCGGGGACAGATTTTTCAGATCCTCCCAGGCCAGAACATGAGGATATGAGTAAATGCAAAAAAGATGGTGCCACACAGTGGATGCATTGTTGGGAAAGCAAATGATTTTACACGACTCAGAGCAAAGAAAGGATGTATAAGGCCACGAATGACAGTTTGATGGATAAAGATGAATGGCCAAAGAGAAACTGTCACTTAAAATTCTTCCTTTGAACATTCTTTCATTGAGGAATTTCATAGAACTACACTGAATTTTTCTCTCCTTTTTCAGTCTTTTGTTTGCCTTATTCTAAAAACAATGTATGTACCTTATTTTGAAAATGCCAAAAGTAAAAAAGAATAACAAAAGGTTACCTTTATTTCCACCACCCAGAAGAAATCATTGTTACTTTGACTTATTTATTTCTAGTGTTTCTTTTATGGATTTTCTATAGTTAAGATAGTATTGTGCCTTCTTGATTTTACACTTTAATTTGAATATTTTCCTGTATTATGAAAAGCCTCTTAGACCACAACTGACTGTCATATCAATAACATTTTTTTCCATTACAACTGATGCTGTAATGAGCATCTTTGTACTTAAATTCTTTACGGCATTTCAAGTTGTTTGCTTAACATAGATTACAAAGGGAATTACTGGGTCAAGAATTCTGGACTTTTGTAAGGGTTTTGAAATTATATTGCCAAGCTATCTTCAAAAAGGCTACATTTTCTTTCTGATAGATATTTCTATCATGTTTGGCACACAAAACTGTATCTTTACACTCTATTTCTAGTTTGTTCCCAAACCACTGTCTTAACTCCCATTATGCAGTTTGGTTCATAGCAGTCTGTAAGTCCATAACACCAGGTTGTCAACAACCTGGTGTAATAGTCCCATTCAAGCAGCAGTCTGCATTTAGCACCTATTCAAACTATTTGTGAACAGACAGAAAAGGGAAGAGGGCCTTTGGAAATATTTGCCTTTATTAAAATGTATTACTGCTTTAATTTCCTTAGATGTATTAGTGGAAAATATGTTCTTCCTATATATTCTAAGGAAGGACCATTTGATATGCCTCACTTCTGTTGCCTGGTAAACTAGTTATCTTTCAAGATTTGTAACAACCTACATTTACTGAGACTTTCCAGATATAAACACTTTACATTTTGGAATTTGTCATTTCACCCTCACAATAACTATGAGGAAGACACCACTATCAGTCCCCTTTTACTGTTTAGGGGTCTGAGCCTTTGATATTAGAAATAGGTAACTTACTCAATTTATATGACTATGAAATAGCAGACTCAAGATTTAAACCCAGAATCCAGAGAGTCTATTTTGAGAATTGCCTGTTCTTCACTGCTACCACTATGCAGCCCAGAATGCATACCTCTTTTATGAAAATTTTCTAAACCATCTTCATGTGGACTTTTCCCCTTCCTCGTTAATATTCCCTCCAGTCCTATACTTTCTCTTTCCTTTGCACCTCTAACTCTTCTTTGCACATATCTGTTTATTAGCTAACTGTAAGCTTCTTGAGGGCAAGTTGGTACCTGCTCATCATCATATCTCTGCTGCCTAACAATGCCAGGCATCACATAGGAGCTCAAGAAATATCCGTTGAATAAATGGTGTGAACAAAACATCTTGGAAGAGAGTCCTAACATCTTGCAATACTATTCTTGACATCTTGCAATACTATTCTTTTAAAAGTATGGAATTTTTCCAGAGTACATGGCCTCGTTCTTATAAGCACAATTTAAAATAAGAACCCAAAGAAAAGGGACTGAACTGTTTAGTATTATGAGAACTTTAGGCTAGTAAAATGTCATTTAGGCTACTCTGGGTTATATTTGGCCTGTAACGCAGAACCAAATATTCAGGCAATAATCTTTAAAGATTTCCAAACTATTGTAAACCAACAGCCTATTTTTTTTAAACAAGTCTAAATTGATGTATAATAACATAGAGCTGTGAAGCTTCATGGTTTCAGTTGTTTTACTTTGATATTTTTTTCTCAAAGTACAGCTCAGCAGCTCTGAACCCACAAAAGCCAATACAAAAAAGGGGTTTGCATAGAATCTTTGGAAACTGATAATGTGTAGTATGCACAGCTTTATTCAGCAACTCAAGGGGGCAAATATATCCATTATTGCAATCTATCACATTAAGAAAAATAATGGCTCCTCAGGCAGTTGGAATAAAATGTTTAAAAACTAAATAGCAAGGAAACCATTTAATGACTCTTCTGTATGTTTATGACTTCTGTGCATTTACAACTTCTGTGTGTTTTTTTTAAAGAAGGATGGATGTGTTCTTTGTAGAGAAAAGAAGTTGTGTAAAACCCCAAATGCTCAGGTTAAGACCCAGAGATGATAAAATGTCTTCCTCACAGAACATTCCTACATTAAAAAAATGGTTTTAACCACAATGACTGAGAAACAAACCATTATACAGTTTTGGATGGAATGATACATCTTTAGTAATGTACCTATTTTACTCTTGTATTTAATATATATAAAAAAGGACCACTTTGAGATTTTTAATACATTGTCTTTGATTTTTATGTCTGTTTCATAAGAACTATTAGCACTAGTATTTATCTTTATTTTTATTTATTTTAATGTTTGTGGGTACATAAAAAGTGTATCTATTTATGGGTTATATAAGATGTTTTGATACAGGTATGAAATGTGAAATTAGCACATCAGGGAGAATTGGGTATCCATCACTCCAAGCATTTATCAATTGAGATGCAAACAATCTAATTATACTCTTTATTTAAAAATGTACAGTTATTATTGACTATAATTCTTCAGTTGTGCTGTCAATAGTAGGTCTTATTCATTCTTTCTTATTATTTTGTTTCTTACCCATTAACTACTCCCACCTCTCCTCCAGCCCCCTACTACACTTCCCAGCCTCTGGTAACCATCCTTATTCTATGAGTTCAATTCTTTTGATTTTTAGATCCCACAAATAAGTGAGAACATGTGATGTTCGTCTTTCTGTGTCTGGCTTATTTCACTTAACATAATGATCTCCAGTTCCATCCATGTTGTTGCAAAAGACTGTATCTCATTGTTTTTTTATGGCTGATACACATATCCACATGGTGAATATGTACCATATGTTCCTTATCCATTTGTATGTTGAGGGGGGACACTTAGGTTGATTCCAAATCTTGGCTATTGTGAACAGTGCTGCAACAAACATAAGAGTGCAGATATCTCTTTGATATACACTGATTTCCTATCTTTTGGGTATATACCCAGTAGTGGGATTGCTGGATCATACGATAACTCAATTTTTAGTTTTCTGAGAAACTCCCAAACTGTTCTGCATAGTGGTTGCACTAATTTACATTCCCACTAACAGTGTACAAGGGTTGCCTTTTCTCCACATCCTCACCAGCATTTCTTATTACCTGTGTTTTGGATATAAGCCATTTTAACTAGGATGAGATGATAAGCAGTTTTGATTTACATTTCTCTGATTATCAATAACATTGAGCACCTTTCCAAATGCCTGTTTGCCATTTGTATGTCTTCTTTGTAGAGATGTCTATTAAAATTTTTGCCCATCTTTTGATCAGATTATAAGATTTTTTTTTCCCATATAGTTGTTTGAGGTCATATATTCTGGTTGTTTATCCCTTGCCACGTGGGTAGTTTGCAAATATATTCTTCCATTCTGTGGGTTGCCTCTTTACTTTGTTGACTGTATCCTTTGCGTGCAGCAGCTTTTTAACTTGATGTTATCCCATTTGTCCATTTTCGCTTTGGTTGCCTGTGCTTGTGGGGTATGACTCAATACATTTTTGTCCAGACCAGTGTCCTGAAAATTCTCCCCAATGTTTTCCTGTAGTAATTTCAAGGTTTGAGGCTTTAGATTTGTCTTTAATCCTTTTTTGATTTTTGTATATGGTGAGAGATAAGGGTCTAGTTTCATTCTTCTACAAATGGATATCCAGTTTTCTAAGCACCATTTATTGAAAAGACTGCCTTTTCTCCAGTGTATGTTTTTGGCACTTTTGTCAAAAATGAGATTACTGCAGGTGTGTGGGTTTGTTTCTGGTTTCTCTATTCTGTTCCATTGGTCTATGCGTCTGTTTTATTGCAAGTACCATGCTGTTTTGGTTACTGTAGCTCTGTAGTATAATTTGAAGTCAGGTAATGTGATTCCTCTAGTTTCGTTCTTTTTGCTTAGGAGAGCTTTGGCTATTCTGGGTCTTTTGTGGTTCCATATAAATTTTAGTATTTTTTTTTTCTATTTCTGTGAAGAATGTTATTGGTATTTTGAGAGCGATTGCATTGAATCTGTAGATTGTTTTGGGTAGTATGAACATTTTAACAATAATGATTCTTCCAATCCATGAACATGGAATATTTTTCCATTTTTTGGTGTCCTCTTCAATTTCTTTCATCACTGTTTTATAGTTTTCATTATACAGATCTTTCACTTCTTTGGTTAACTCCTAGGTATTTAATT
This sequence comes from Homo sapiens, assembly GCF_000001405.40. Lineage (NCBI taxonomy): Eukaryota > Metazoa > Chordata > Mammalia > Primates > Hominidae > Homo > Homo sapiens. The sequence continues at coordinate 67,152,601 of NC_000002.12, read as the reverse complement.
TGATGTGTGGCTACTGTAAATGGGATTACATTTTTTTCTTTCTTTTTCACATTGTTCACTGTTGGCATATAGGTATGTTACTGATTTGTGTATGTTAATTTTTTATCCTGCAACTTTACTAAATTTGTTAATCAGTTCTCATCACTTTCTTGTGGAGCTTAGGTTTTCCAAACATAAGATTATATCATCTGCAAGCAGGGATAATTTGACTTCTTCCTTTCCAATTTGGATGTCCTTTATATCTTTCTCTTCTATGATCGCTCTAGCTAGAACTTCCAGTACTATGTTGATTAACAGTGGTGGCAGGGTCATCCTTGTCATTTTCCTGATCTTAGAGGAAAGGCTTTCAGTTTTTCACCCATTCAGTATGATACTAGCTGTGGGTCTGTCATCTATGGCTTTTATTATTTTGAGGTATATTCCTTCTAGACCCAATTTTTTGAGGGTTTATCATGAAGTGATAGTGAATCTTATCAAATGCTTTTTCAGCATCAATTGCAATGATCATATGGTTTTTATCCTTCATTCTGTTGATATGATGTATCACATTGGTTAATTTCTGAATGTTGAACCATCCTTGCATCGCAAGGATAAATCCCACTTTGTCATGATGAATGATCTAATGTATTGTTGAATTTGGTTTGCCAGTATTTTGTTAAAGACTTTTGCATCAGTATTTATCAGAGATATTGGCTTATTGTTTTCTTTTTTTGATGTGTCTTTGTCAGTTATTGTATCGGGGTAATACTGGCCTCATAGAATGAGTTTGGAAGTATTCCCTCCTCCTGTATTTTTCAGAATAGTTTGGGTAGATTTGGTATTAGTTCTTTTCTCTGAATATTTTGTAGAATTCAGCAGTGAAGCCAATCAGGTCCTGGGCTTTTCTTTATTGGGAGCCTTTTTATTATTGTTTCGATCTTGTTACCTGTTATTGGTCTGTTCAAGTTTTGGATTTCTTCCTGGTTCAATCTTGGTAGGTCGCACGTAACTAGAAATTTGTCCATTTCTTCTAGATTTTCCAATTTATTGGCATATACTTGCTTATAGTTGGCACTAATGATTCTTTGAATTTCTGCAGTGTCAGTTATAATGTCTCCTTTTTCATTTCTGATTTTATTTGAATCTTCTTTTTTTCTTAGTCTGGCTACATGTTTGTCAATTTTAACTTCAAAAAACCAACTTTTTGTTTCATTGATCTTTTGTATTTTTTCATTTAAATTTCATTTATTTCTGCTCTCATTTTTATTATTCCTTTTCTTCTACTAATTTTGGGTTTGGTTTGCTCTTGCTTTTCTAGTTCTTTAAGATGCATCATTAGATTGTTTATTTAAAGTTTTTCCTCTTTTTTGGTGTAGACACCTATAGCTACAAATTTACCTCTTAGTACTGCTTTTGCAGTATCCCTTTGGTTTTGGTATGTTGTGTTTCCATTATAATTTGTTTCAAGACATTTTTCAATTTCCTTAATTTCTTCATTGACCCAATGGTCATTCAGGAGCATACTGTTAAATTTCCACGCATTTTATAGTTTCTAAAATCCCTCTTGTTACTAATTTCTAGTTTTATTCCATTGTGGTCAGAGAAGATGCTGGACACTATTTAAATTTTTAAAAATGTTTTATGACTTGTTTTGTGACCTAACATATGATCTATTCTTGAGAATGATCCATGTGCTGAGGAAGAGAATGTGTATTCTGCAGCACTTGGATGAAATGTTCTTTAAATATCTACTAGATCTATTTGGTTTATAGTGCAGATTAAGTCTGATGTTTCTTTGTTGATTTTCTTTCTGGAAAATCTGCTTAGTGCTGAAAGTGGGGTGTTGAAGTTTCCAGTATTATTGTATTAGGGCCTGCCTCTCACTTTAGCTCAATAATATTTCCTTTATACGTCTGGGTACTCCAGTGTTGGGTGCACATATCTTTTTGTTGTTGTTGTTGTTGTTTGTTTTGTTTTGTTTTTTGAGATGGAGTATTGCTCTGTCACCCAGGCTGGAGTGCAGTGGCGCAATCTCTGCTCACTGCAAGCTCCGCCTCCCAGGTTCATTCTCCTGCCTCAGCCTCCTGATTAGCTGGGACTACAGGCACCTGCCACCACGCCCAGCTAATTTTTTTTTTTTTTTTTTTTTTTGTATTTTTAGTAGTGATGGGATACCGTTTTAGCCAGGATGGTCTCCATCTCCTGACCTTGTGATCCACCCGCCTCGGCCTCCCAAAGTGTTGGGATTACAGGCATGAGCCACCGCGCCTGACCTGGGTGCACATATCTTTAAAACTGTCACATCCTCTTGCTGAATTGTTCCCTTTATCTTTATATAGTGACACTGTTTGTCAATTCTTATAGTTTTTGTCTTGAAATCTATTTTGTCTGATATAAGTATAATGACTCCTGCTCTTTTTTGGTTTCCACTAGCATATTTTTTCCATCCCTTTATTTTCAGTCTATGTGTGTCTTTATAGGTAAAATGTATTACTTGTAGTCAACAGATTAATGGCTCTTAACTTTTTCATCCATTTGGCTAGGACTTCCAGTACTAGCTGATTGCAGACTTTAGCCCATTTACATTCAACGTTATTATTAATAAGTAAGGACTTACTCCTGCCATTTAAAAATTTGTTTTCTGATTGTTTTGTGGTCTTCTCTTCCTTCCTTTCTTTCATTCCTGTCTTCCTCTAGTGAAGGTTATTTTCTCTGCTGACATGATTTAGTTTCTTGCTTTTTACTTTTTTTAATCCATTGTATGTTTTTTGGTTTGAGGTTACCATGAAGCTTGCAAATACTACCTTATAAACCATTATTTTAACCTGATAACAACTTAACACTATTTTCATAAACAAACAAACAAGCTAAAAGAAAACTAATAAAAACTCCCTTAACTTCATCTCTGCACTTTTTAGCTTTTGGTTTCTATTTATATCTTAATGTACTATGTTTTTCAAAGTTATTAAGTTGTAGTTATTATTTTTGATTTGGTTGGTTCATCATTTAGTCTTTCTACTGAGGATACTGTAGTTTGCACATCACAGTTACAATGTTATAATATTCAGTGTTTTTCTGTGTACTTACTATTACCAGTAAGTTTTGTATCTTCATATGATTTATTGTTCATTAACATCCTTTTCTGTTGGATTGAAGTACTCCCTTTAGCATTTCTTATAGGACAGGTCTGGTACTGATGAAATTCCTCAACTTTTGTTTGTCTGGGAAAGTCTTTATTTCTCCTTTTTGCTTAAAGGATATTTTCACCAGATATGCTATTCTACGGTAGAAGTTATTCTCCTTCATCACTTTAAATATGTCATGCTACTCTCTCCTGGCCTGTAAGGTTTCTGCTGAAAAGTCTGCTGCCAGACATTGGAGCTCCATTGCATGTTATTTGTTTCTTTCATCTTGCTGCTTTTAGTACTCTTTCTTAGTCTTTGACCTTTGGGAGTTTGATTATTAAATGACTTGAGGTAGTCTTCTTTGGGTTAAATCTGTTTGGTGTTCTATAACCTTCGTGTACTTGGATATTGGTATCTCTCTCTAGGTTTGGAAATTCTCTGTTATTATCCCTTTGAATAAACTTTCTACCTCTCTTTCTCTACCTCTTCTTTAAGGCCAGTAACTCTTAGATATGACCTTTTGAGGCTATTTTCTATATCCCGTAGGCATGCTCCATTGCTTTTTATTCTTTTTTTTTTTGTCTCCTCTGACTGTGTATTTTCAAATAGCTGTTTTCAAGCTCACTATTTCTTTTTTCTGCTCAGTTCATTAAAGCAATGCTATTAAAGGACTCTGATACAGTCTTCAATATACCAATTATCTTTTTCAGCTCCAGAATTTCTGCTTGATTCTTTTTTATAATTTCAACCTCTTTAAATGTATCTGATAGAATTCTGAGTTTTCTCAGTGTTATCTTGAATTTCTTCGCATTTCCTCAAAAAAGCTATTTTGAATTCTCTGTCCGAAAGGTCACATATCTCTGTTTCAAGCAAGGTTTGCAAGCACTCAAGTTCAGACCACTAGGATGGGCAGTTCTCCTCTGGCTAGGGTTGGTTTAAATGCTCCCTCTGTGGGTGGGCATCATCTGAGTTTGGTCTGGTTTTCCTTTCTGCACTAACAGGGCAGAACTGAGTTCTGTGCCTCACAATTGCTGTGTTTTCCCTCTCTCAACACCCATAGATGCTCTCCACACCAGTCCATGGCTGCCGTGGTGTCAATGATTCAGGACTGTTTTTTTAATCTCTTCAATTCCTCTTCCAGAGACATGAAGTTAAAACCAGGTACTATGAGTGCTCACTTAATATTTGGTTCTTACGAAGGTATTTTTTCTATGTAGATAGTTGTAAACTTGGTGTCTTGCTGGGGGTGGTGGCGGGAACAATTGGTGAAACTTTCGATTCCACTATTTTGCTCTGCGTCTCTTCAGCACTAGTGTTTATACTTAGTACCTTTTCTTTATACTAAAGCCTTTCAATACCCAGGTGAAAATAATACAGGAAAAATGTATTTGAACATGAAAACAACTATTTAAAGGTATGGTTAGGAATTTTGTGCATATATTGCTATACATATACATTGTATGTACATACATGTACATTCTTATATATATTTTATATTTATATATTTTGTGTGCATATATACATATGTGTGTGTAATCAACACACTTATAAGTGTACTTATAAGTGTTCAAAGTCATTTTCCCATGTACAGTTTCCCCTTCTCTTTTATATCTCTATTGTGTCCTATACTTTGTTTTTAGAGGCATACTGTTTGCAAAGTTTACTTAGACAAAGAAAAAAGTTTTTCTCATACTTTTTCATGAAATGATATTATACTTGCAATAAGAGGCACCAACTTTAGTAGAAACCTGAAATATGTTTCTAATAACTCATCATAGTTATGCTCCATATGACAATAATGAAATTTGAATGCTTGTGGTGGCTTTAGGTGGTGGCTGTGCAGAGATGGAGAGTGCTGGGTCAGTCCTAGATAAAGGTCAATGGCCAGCAGGTACAATCTGTGACTAAATAGCCACATTCAGAAGAAAAAGTGCCAACTGGTATTGAAAGTTTATGAAGTGCCACCAAGAAGATGTTCTGAAAATTGTTGTTTAATGAAAGATTGAAATGAACAGATAAAGAAGTTGGTTAGATTACAGGAAACTGGCTTCAGGTACTTCATAAAAGTTTTTCCTAATGATTTTCTCTTGTTTATGCACTATATCTATCTAATTGTCACCTTTGTGTTGGATTAAGTGTACCACTCATGTTAAAGTTGAGTCTCAGGATAAAAATCTCTCCAAATCAACCATGTATTTGAGTTCTGCTTTGGAACCATCAGAAGTCTAGTTCAATTCAGCTCTTGTTAGTGTGGAGTCAGGGTGCTGGTTTTCAATAGAAACTAGGATCACATCCTGATGCAGGGTGTGTGGGGTTATCCTGGAACAGCAGGAGAGCATGATCCAGGATGGAAAACCATGCATGGGAACCACAGTGGAGCAGATGGCTTCTATGTAGCAATCACTGCTTTGCTGGGATTGTCAGATAAACCAGAGATGGCTCAGACTTGGTCTTTCCCTAAGGAGGCATTGCTTATAGATGGTAAATATTTCACCAGCATTCAGCTGCTAAGGTGGGGTCAGGAAGGTCAACTGGAGCTTTGAGAATTTCTAGCTCAGACCTGAAGCTATCTCAGGGAATTCAATAGTAAGGGGTAAGGTGGAGCAGCAAAGAAAAGAACCAAAAGGAAGTGTTCTGGATCCTCCATTCCTACTTCAACTAGGGCAACCCCATATCATATTTCACTTAAACAAATAAATTTACCTTAAAAACTACATTAAGTACCTCTGCTTTCGATGATTATTTATGTGAACACCGAGGTAGGGGCACATATTTTGCTGATAATAAAAATGATCATTGTTGATTAAACTGCTTTGAGGCATTAGCAGGTTTGTTATAGGAAAAATCAAGACAGAACAACACATCCTGTGGTGTCTGGACAGAGCTGACCCTGTGCAACACAGACCTCAATGGACCCTGATATCTTCTTGGTAAGTAGCTGTGGCACAATGGAGGTTAAAATGTGGTGGTAGCACAGGTTGCAGAGGGAGTCAGTAGTCATTGAGTATCACAGTTGTTGAGGAAGTCCTAGTACTGAAAAGCATGCAATGAGGCCTGGCTACAATCCAAACATGCTGGATAGTGCTGGTTGCTCATATTCAGGGGGGTCTAACCATCTTATAACACTGGGCTAGATAAAGGATATATGGATTTCTGTAGCACAGTGATAGGCTCAGGCACTGGAATTCAGGCAAACTCAAATTCCAACTGCTTATGTTTGGAAAGTATTGATTCAGCTTCCCTGAATCAATTGGTAATGTGAAGCTAGGTAATAAAATAGGCTAAGAAATTATATAAGAATACAGTATGTATTTCTGCACTCAGGGATACAGAAAACTCTGTTCAATAACCTCTAAAAGAAGATAGGATTGTGGCATCATAAGATAGGAGTTTTACCTCTGTTATGTCAGCTTAGTCTCAGATATCAAGTTCATGGGCTTTGAGTCATCCAGGGATGTCTAGTACTTGAGTGTTGGATCACCAACCTACTGTGAAACAGCGCTTCCAAATCTTACACAGCACAACTGGGTGGAGGTTTTTGTTGACATTCTCCAGTGGCATGCATTGGTCTTGAATAGGGTGATCAGTGTCTTGACAGAGTGAACAGAAAAAGCCAAAATCATTGCAGACAAAGTCTTAGTTTAGGTGTTAGAAAGATGATCGTTTCACACTTTGCTATTAAGTGTATAGTGAAAAGCATGAAAAACACATTCTCTACTGTTCGTGGATAATTTTCCTGTTCAAGTTTTTAATTTAAAAAATTTTTCATAAACATCTTAAACTGATTTTAGATATCTTTATGACTAGAAAGATCATAAAATCACAGAGGTTTCAAGCTCCCCTTTTGGCTTAGATCTTAAACAGAACCTGGGTTTCATCTAGGTAATGTAAGAATGCATGAGGTATCTGAAATAGCCAAACTCATAGAAGCAGGGAGTAGAATGGGGGTTTCCAGGGCTGGGAGGAGGGAGAAACAGAAAGTTGCTATTCAATGGGAATAACATGTCAGTTATGCAAGATAGATAAGTTCTAGAGATCTGCTGTACATCATACCTATAGTTAACAGTATTGTATTGTACACTTAAACATTTGTTAAAAGTATAGATCACATGTTAAATATTCTTCCTAAAATAAATGAATGAATAAATAAGCAAGTAAACAAATAGAAAAAGAAAAAATGAATTCAGTGACAATTAACTGAATGGGAAGAGGTAGAAGTTTTGGATAATTCCCACAAAATCTCTCAAAGAACTCTAAGAAACCAAGCAAAGACATGGTTCAGTGGCTATGAATAATTTATCCTCTTGAGTCACAAGCTGTACCTGTTTTTTGGCTAAAATAAGTTATTCTTTGTAAATGAATAAAAAATATTACAGTGAGCTAGCTGGGAGTGGGCAGATTTTGGTAAAATAATGTCATGTTCAACATAATGCAGAAAATGGAAACAAAGAAATACAGTAGTATATTTACTTTGTACCACATAATTCAGTAATAACGTTAAGAGTATGACCAATAATCTCTTACCAGCAATAAATAGTTACATTTTGTGAGCTGAAAAAGTACAGCCAGACAGCAAGTGGGAAGTTAGTACTGAACCCGTATCAAGGACGTTCTAAAATCTAGTGTGAGGCAGGTGTTGAGGTCAGTGAAAGGACTATATTTGGGCATCAGAAGATGCAAACATGGGTTCTTTGCAGGAACACCTTAGCCAATTCTGTCACTTTACTTTCTGCTTCCATAGGATTATAATGATTTAATTTCCCTCATGCATAGCAACTGTTGTCCAAAGGCACTGCTTTTGTTCTGCAACACTGCTTAGCTTCCAACACTCATATTCACACTTCTTCCAGGATCATCAAGTTAAGAAACTTTTGATGAGGCCACAAGGATCACAGCCATGTTTCAAATATGTCCTAACATGTACATTAAATATTGTTGCATATTTCTTGTCACTTTCCAAGTCCCTAAGGCTTTGGTGATATCTTCTCTTCATTTATCTCATATTACAAAAGAACTGCCTCTCAAATACCACCATAATTATTGACTTCCATAATGACCACTTTAATTGAAATCATTTGGGATTTCCCAAAGGTAGTCATTCAAGAGCCATATAAATAAATGACCTATTAGCAGATTTAGAATGCTACACATTATTAACAAAGTGAATTCCTCTTTCATCTGTCTACCACCCCAAGGATAATAGCATTTCAACAGGAACAAATCTGTTTCTCTTCAAGATTCCATCAACTAACACTTAGGCTTACCTACTATAGACCTTACTAATACACACCTCCTGCCAGGGTTATTAGTAATTCAGAGAGTTTGTACATGAGCTTGGTTATCATTCACAATAAAAAGATTAATTATTCTTAGAAGTGGAGGTTGTTAATGAACCCTAAAATTTTCATCTAAATCCCTTATTTCACAGACACCCTAATGAATTGGCAGGCCTTGTGATCCTAAGTGGGATGTTATAAAAACATTCACTCTTTGCTAAGGAGGATTTAGAACCAATTGCCTTAAAATACTTTTAACCAGAACTTTGCTAACAAGACTCATAATGAACTATTTTTGTGTTCCATTTAAATGGAGATGCAATTTCTAATTATTCATCCTCTCAACATATTTATTGAAGGCTTTGTTATATGTAAAGCATTATTTATTCTGGATTCCAAGATCAGGTTTTTTTTTTTTTTAACAAAGAAATAATTCTAGCATATGTCCTACTATACCGGTACAACTTTATTTATATTATCTCTCACTGAGTGGAGAAATTAAGTTAATTTATTTTCTCAAAGTATTTCAGCAAGAATACTGAAACAGAAAGTGATTACTGTGAATTAGTAACAAAAATAACACAATTAACCACCACTCCTAATGACCAAAATGCTCCACCTTGGGTTAACTGCAATTTTACTTTATTTGGCTACTGAGAACCTGAAGGATTTTGTGGGCTAATTGCAGGTCTTGAAGTAACTAAAGAAATGAAAAAGACACACTGGAGTAAGTAGGTGCTCATGTAAGCTACTCATATCTCTTACCTCTTTCTTTCAGAAATACAGATGTGGTTATAGTATTGTATTACACCACTCATTATTTAATTCAGGGATAATTTACCTTATCAGGTTCTTCAGTGCTGGATTGTCTATAGGCAAAATTCCTGCTGCTTTTTATATGGGTAAGACAAACTACAGAGCTTAGGTGAGGTCTTAAACTTCATAACATAAATGAACAAACTATCTTTTAGATATTTACTGATACTATATGATAGGTTATTCAGATTCCTATTTAAGAGCATATTAACTTATTTTGTTTTTGAGTATATGTTCAGCTGAACTGACCAGTCACTAAGAGTTTTGCATGGAATGTATATTTACCACCACCACTTCCTATGCAATAAATAATTAGCCAAGTCTAGCCAATATGACCAATGTCGTCAAAAGGGTACCCAAATGCACTGAAATATTTGTCTACAGAATGATCTGCCATTCAAAGATCCTAAAGTTTCAGGCATGTTTGCTGACAGAATAGAACATAAAACTTTAAAAAAAGGCTGTTTTCTGTGATGTGTCAGCATAAACTCATTATTTTATTTCAAAAATTTTCCTGAATTTAATACTTATTAATTTTACACACGAGATTGGAATTGTATTCCTTGTCCCACCTGTGAGTATTTTTTAAACAGTAGCAGATAACAGCTCTTTCCAGATATAAAAGGGAAATTTTAAATGTACATTACTTTATTGTACTCCTTGATGTTTATCTTTCTCTAGTGCTTGCTGCTCCTGTGGTTGCTGATTATTCTTATTAAATACATAGATTTATGCTTAGGTGTTTTGGCAGTGTGAACAATGAGCAAAGGACTGATTTACCTTCAAATGATAATTTGTTATGAGTTGCACAGAACATTATATTCAAGCTAATTTTATATAAGCCCAAGCTTTTCAAATTTCTTGTAGTCCTAATATTCACTGTGTTTTTATCAGGAGAAAAGGAGAGTGCTAAAATGAAATTTCTTAAAATTGAAAATATGAGTCTTCCTAAGACCTTCTTCTTGGGAGAAAGATGCAGACATTACTCAAGCCAACAGATAATCTTCGTTTACAAATTGGATCAGGAAATGTCTGTCCCATTCCAAAAAGAAACACTTAAGAGATAGAAGGATGATTATGCAAAAATTCACATGAAACTTTTTTCTAAATGTTTGATTATGTGCCAGAGGAGAACAGCATTAGAAGGGTCAACTCAGCAACAGAGTAAGAACATTTACTTTTTACAGCAAACACCACATTTAAAAGCACATTCTACTCAGAGGGTCCAGTGCCTCCAACTCAAGTTAAAAGAGGTTGGCTTAAGAAAATGGTGGCTGCCTAAGTCTCTCTCTGTGTATACATGATCTTAAATAACAAACAAGATCAACAGGATCTTGCTTAATAAAACCACACAGGATCCATGCCTTCAGCATTACTACTAGAAATTGAGAATATCATAAACTTTATATTGCCTGGAAGTAGAGAAATACATACTACAATGCATCAGAGCTTCCTTTGCCTCTACAAGCCTTTGGTTGAAGAGAACAGGGAGGAGGGGAATCCTTTGTGACTACATATGAAAAAGTAGATAGGATTCAATGTCATCAACGAAGCATAGGCAAAATCTACCTCAGAAAGAGAAAGACCAATACTGAGCACAGACCTGGGCCTGAGTGGTTCACTGCATCATTTACAGAAAAGGGGCTTGAATGTGAGGAGGAGCAGAGGTTGAAGCCTAAAAGAAGTATTGTTTCTAGGAGATATAGACATAAAAGGTGTGACCCTTGAGATATGGCAGTGAAAAGAAAGAATGAAGTGGGAGAAAAATTAAGGATGCTGCTGAAACGACAGAGAACCTTAAGCAGCAATTTATAATGTACATATAACAGTTATGGATATTTTTGACTCAAATAAAAATAGAAACACTGATAGAAGGATATTTTAACGTTCCATTCTTCATGTAAAACACATCAACTGTATTAAAATATGAGTAAAGATGTAGCAGAACTAAACAAAATAAGTAAGGTAGATTTTTTGGAAATATATCAAACACTATGCCATAATAATTGAGAATGGGGATTCTTGTTAAGTGCATACAAAATATTTACAACCATTGATCATATAAGTTGCTCAGAAAATTTCATGAATTTCAAAATATTTTTAAAATTAACATTCCTGATTCAATGAAATAAAGCTAAAAATAAAACTAAAACCCATTCTGCTTGGAAATTTAAAAAAACCTTTACTCTTAAGTGAAAGAAGAAATACAAACAAAAATTAGAATACTAAAAAATAATGATATGAAATACTATACATTTGAATCTAAGTGATAAATTTAAAGCAGCTACCAGGAAACCATTTATAGTTTTAAACACCAATATCAGTAAAAACTTAAAAATAAAAATAAATGAATTCAATTTCCAACTTAAAAATCTAGAAAAAGAAAAACAAAGTAAACAGGAAGAAGCACAAGGAAAGAATCAATAAAAAGAAAACAAATTAATGAAGTAGAACATAGTAAAACAGTAGATCAATTTGATAAACCAAAGTCCTGTTTCTTTGAGAAAAAGTATTTGAAACACACACACAAGCCACTATTTAATCAAGAAATAAGGAGATAAAGCATAAATATACATAATAAGAAATTACAAGGAATAAATAACTATTGATTCAGAGTAAATATTTTTTAAAACTGTAAGAAATTACTTTTCACTCCACACAAGTAATTTGAAAATCTAGATGAAATGTATGATTTCCAAGCAAAATAGAGTTCACCAAAACAAACCTACTGAGAGATCTTTTAAAAGAAAGAAGTTGACAGGGAACCACTCTACAAAAATGACTATCCCCAAATAGTTCATAATTATTTCAAGTACTTAGTAATTAACTAGTTCAAATGCTATATAAAATGTCTGGAAGCATAAAAAATAAACTTAAACATTGAAATTCTTTATATGACGCTAGTATAACATTAATACATAGACTTGATATTAATAGAAAAAAAAAGAAAATTACAAACCAACACCACTCATCAACATTAAAACAAAGATTCTAAGTAAATATTAACAAATAGAAAAGTATCCAAAAAAAAGGTCATGACCAAGTGTTATTTGTATCAAGAATGTAAATTTTGATCATGGAAAATCTGAATATCAATCACCATTTTACTAAGTCTAAGGAAAAAAATTGTCTTTTTTCATAGAAGCTGAAAAAGCATTTGACAAATTCAATACCAATTCTTAATTTAAAAAGCCCTTGAAAAAGGATAAATGGCTACCTGATAAAAACATATGCTACAATTATAAAGCCAGCATGTTACTTAACAGGAAAGCAGAAGAATTTCCACTGAGATCAGGAAAAAGCCAATATGTCCACTGTGCCCATTACATTTCATGTTATTCTGAAATCATTAGTCATTGTAATTAGACAAGACTAAACAATTAGAGACACACAAATTGATAAAGAAGTGAAACAGTCTTTATTTGCTGATGAAGTGATAGTATATATACCTGCTGGAAAACCCTAAATAATCAATGGTAAAACTAACTTAAAGTAATTCATCACTGTAGCAGGCTATAAATTCACAGGCAAAAATCATTAGTCTTCATATATACCAATTGATGTGGTTTGGCTCTGTGTCCCCACCCAAATCTCATCTCGAATTGTAATCCCTATATTTGGAGGGAGTGCCTGGTGGGAGGTGATTAGATCATGGGGGAGGTTTCTCCCATGCTGTTCTCGTGATAGTGAAGGACTTCTCACAAGATCTGATGGTTTAAATGTGGCAGTTTACCCTGATCTCTCTCTCTCTCTTTCTTTCTCTCTCTCTCTCTCTCTCTCTCTCACCACCTTGTGAAGAGGGTACTTGTTTCTCCTTTCGCCATGACTATAAGTTTCCTGAGGCCTCCCTGGCCATGCAGAACTGTGAGTCTATTAAACCTCTTTCCTTTATAAATTACTCAGTCTCAGGCAGTTCTTCATAGCAGTGTGAAAACGGACTAATACACCAATAATAACTAGTTTTAGAAGATACAATGGAAGAATAAAAATCTAGTATGTTGTCAGCAACAACAATACAAATGCTAAAGCATAAACTTAACAAAATAATGTGAAAAACATTGAAGAAAATTATAAAACACACCTGAAAGACAGAAAAGTACACATTACAAATGGAAAGGACGTCTCAACATCAGTAAGATGTCACTTTCTCCCAATATATGAATTGAATGTGTTCTCAAACCAACAAGCTTTACTTCTAGAGCTAGAAAAATTGATGCTATTTTATGCAAAAAGTGATGATATAAAAATATTGAGGAAAATAATAAATATGAAAAGCTTTTTGAGGAAAGGGTAGGTGCTAGTCCTGACGAACATTAAAATGCATTACACAACCTCTATAATTGAAGCAGTGTGGTACTGATACCTGAATAGACAGATCAACAGACTAGAAGAGAACCACCAGACATAGACGCAAGTTCATACAGAAATTTACTATGTGATAAAGTGGTATCTCAAATCAGGAACAAAACTGGACTTTTTTCTTTATCTTTTACGCGTAGGCATTAATGATTACACTATTATTTGGAAAGCATTTATTTTATCATGAAGGAAATGGTAATGTCCGTATCAATATTTTAACTCTATCACTAATTTAATCCAAGACAAAAGCTCCTTGCAAACCATCAGAGATTGCTCTAAAGAGGCCAGGTGCTTCCTGAATACAAATGAGTGTTGTATTGAAACCAAGAATTTATTTAGAGAATAGGGATAAAATTATTAATAATTAACTACTTAAGACTTTCTCTTCTGGGGCAGCTATTGGGCCCAGTCTTTTGTTTCCGGTTGGGATAGTAATAGGGAAAGCCTGATGAAAGTCTAGGTTGGTTAACACATTTTGAATGTCAAACTCATATTTTTCCATAAGAAGGACCATTTTATTAAAAATAAGAAAACAAAAACTGGACATTTTGATAAATGATTTTGAGACAACTAGACACCCACTTGGAAAAAAAATTAAAAGTAGTAAACTAACTCCTGAAACCACAGAAAACAACGAACTCCAAATGAGTCAGAAATTTAAATGTAAAAATGTATAAATATTAGATTAAAGCATCAGTAAGTGCCTTTGTAACTTAGTTTTACGGTAAAGCTTTTGAACTATCATTCAAAAATGAGAAGCAATAAAAGACTGACACATTTTGCTACATAAAAATAATCAAACCATTTGCAAGTAATGGCCTAAACACAAATGGCAAATTCAGAAACAATATTCACAAGATATCTTGAAGTGCTGATGTTTTAACAGGCAGGGAACTTTTTAATATGAAGGAAAAAAGGCTATGTTCAAAATGAGCAAAGTATCTACACAGATATTTTTTAAATGTGAAAATGACCCTCAAATCTACTAAAAGTTGTTCATTTATAAAAGAGAAATTCAAGTTTAAGTATATTGAATACTATTAAATTTAAATTTACATTAAAATATACTAAATATTAGGTCTCACTGGTTAGATAGGCAAAAACACAAAAGATTAACAATATACTGTTGACACACCTGTTGGAAAATGGACATTCTCTTTCATTGTTGGCTGCAATCCAAAACATGACTCTTTTAAAAGGGAATCTGACAATATCTAACAAAACTACAAAGTCATTTGGCCCATAAATTCCACTTCTAGCAATTTAGACTAAAGATACACCTCTAACAAGTATCACTTGTAATTAGAAACTATTGGCAATTACTAAATTGCCTGAGCAAGGAAGATTGAATAAATTATGGAACATACACATGGTAAAGTACTATCTAACTGTAAAAAGGAATGAGGAAAATTTCTATGAACTGATAGAAACTGATTTTCGATACTTATTATTAAGAGGAGAAGACCAAAGTGCAAAGAAGTATCTACAGCATGCTACCCTTTATGGGAGAAAGGAGAAATAAGAAAACATGATTATTTTTATATTAAAAAAGGATAAACCAGAAACTTCTAAAACTAATTTTTTATGGAAATGAGTTCATGTTGGAATTTATAGGGAAGAGGGTAATTTTTTCCTAAGTACAGTGTTTTTGTGTAATTTTGACTTTTGTAATGACATAAATACTCTGGAGATTCAAAAAATAAAACTAACAAGGCTAGGGGTTGGGGGAAAACCTAAAACTCAATGCAAAGATAAACAAAAGAATTCAACTTATTTCAAACAGAATAGCTATACTTAAAGAAAAAAAATACAAGTGACTTTTGAATGCAGTTTTGACTATGTATCCTTAGTCTTCAAAGAAAGAAAAAAAAACTGCAGACAAATCTTTACCTCTTGGTAATAGGGATGTTTGTTGCAGTGGTATCTTAACCAAGGAATCAAAATTAACATCATTAGTAAAGGGCACACGGACATCATGTTCCTTCTGATATAATAATCTGGTATGAAAGCATTGCTTATGTAGTATGTCTGCTAAAATACATAACCTGAACATAATAAGGAAATAGCAAAAAAAAAATTATGAGAATTCTTATAAAACATCAGCCTGTGTTTCTTCAATGATTTCAAAGATGTGAAATACAAAGTAAGTCTGATGAACTGTTACAGATTAAAGGATACTAAAGAGATCTTGGATTGCATCTTGTACTGGGGGAAAATTGTTATAAAGGACATTACTAAAACAATTTATTTGAAATATACAGTGTAGAGTAGATAATAGCATTAAATCAGTGTTAAATTTTCTGAATTTAAAACTTGTTTCTAGGAATAAACACTAAAGTGTTAGGGGTCAGAAGATACATTGTATGCAGCTACACCTATGCTGTTCAGAAAAAATATGTAAATATCTATAGAAAGAATGATAAAGCAATGTTGTAAAGTGTTAACTTGGAATCTGGGTAAAGAATATTCAGAAGTTTCTTCTACTGTTCTTACAATTTTTCTGTGAGTTCGAAATTATTTTGGAAAAATAGTTCAAAAAAGAAGCATAGAAAATTGTGTTTGGTACTACCTTCTAAGGAAGTACTTTTTATGGTATCATTACAAGTGGTTAATATTAATACTGACTGGATGAGGAGAAGTATAAACTTTTCAAGATCATCAAGAAAAAATGCCTCTTCTGTAATACAGGTGTTTTAAAACAATGGATTTCTACATGATCCTTTATCCTCTTCCCAGCTTAGTACTGTTTCCTGTAAAATGGGATTGTGCACAGTTCACCTATCAGTTATGCTGAGGTATTCTTTTGTAAATTTCCATATGTATAACATTAAGTTGTTAAATAATTTGAAAGGTATATTAAAAATTATATATCTAGAAATCTCTCCACTTGCAATTTAAAAAGCAAAAGATATTCTCTTAGAAAACCTTGAAAATATAGAAAAACATATAAAAAGGAAAGGAAAAATTATTGTGATAATCTAATGAAGAAGAGAGTTAAAAGGTTTTGAGCTTTCTTGGATGAAGGATCAAAATCATTTGCAAAAAAAAACGGAAGGGAGAACAAGAGTAAATGAAAATGTTGATTTATTGATGAAAATAAATCCACTGCATTCTCAAAATAGTAAATTTGCATTGGAATTCACTAAATTTTCCTTCCAGAAAGTGATCTCTCTTATAAAGAATGAAAAACAATTTGCTGATATTCAGTCTCATTAGGTAGACAAATCGATAACTACATAAAGCCTGAGTAGCTTGTTGGCACAAACTTGCATGACCTTATTTTCACTTAAATGTATCAAGATTTGTCCTGGCATTTAAGAAGAAACACTTTTAAGTTGTCAACCAAAAAATCTATACAAACAGGTGAATAATTGAATTATTCACTTTTTATGCATATAGTGGTAGAAGGGTGGGGGAGAAAAGAAAAAAGAGGGAAGAAAATAGACTAGAATTTTCCAGGGAACCTTCAAAGCTGAAGAAGACTGCGACTGAGAAAAAAACACAGCACTATGTAAAGATCTAAAATGTGCCTCATCTTAAATCAGGCCTCCAGCCAATTGTGGATTTAAGTGTGGGACAGCCAGGCCACTTTCTGGTGAGTTCCTTTCCTGTCAGAATTTCTCCCTAGTGTTCATGCTTTTAATGCCATGAGCAGAATTGGAGGGGGACGGGCCTTTCCTGCCCAGGGCCTCCTAAGTGGTACATCTGTCACGGATCATGTTATAGAATAGGAATGTTTGTTTTTGCTCCTATTCATTTCAACTGGCAGGCAGTTATTATTAGAATGAAAAATTAAGCTATTATGCCACAGAAGTCTTGCTGGCTCTATCAAACTTATGGAGTTAATACAGCAAAATTATCTTTTATAGCTGATAAAAACAGCTGTATATAGGCTGCTGGCCTGTTGTTACACAGGAAGAAACACAAAATGGCAGCCAACGTGGGATGCCCCACGCCAAGATGGAGGCATCAGTGGCCATTGCTTTTGGAGCAACATGTGGACACAGATGTCGTAAGCAATAATGGTCTATTCTGAGAGAGGGTTTTATTTTTATTAGTCTTCCTGTAGGACGGAAACAAAATTATACCTTCAAGTTTTCTAAAAGTAACTCTATATGCCTTAAGTAGCATTATTATTTATAGTCTTGCCTTTTTTCTGTTATTTAGTGAATGTTTCGATTAACATTTCCGAGATAAAAATATTCATGTAGCAATTAGAGCTCTTCAGAAACCAATGAATTGCAACTATGGCCACTTCCTATTTATAAACCACTCTTCTAATATCTTTAGGAGCTGCTCATCTCTTGTAAAAGATTTGAATCATAAAAAATGCAAAGCACAATAAGTACTGATGTGGTGCTTTTCATTCCAAGAGCATTGTAGTGATAACTCATTCAGGCCACCTCTGTAAAGATCACATTAATGGTGGTACCCACTAAACCAGAACAGCATTGCATCCCTGGGGTGGTGGGGGGAAGGTTAGGTCTCCAGGGCATGCTTGACTGAACTAGCACATTAACACCTGGGCATTTTTCAAACCAAATTCTTGAATCTTTTCTTACCATGTGTAGAAATACCCAAAATGTCAACAAGAATAATATTTTAATCCTATCCTAAAGACTTATGTTACAAGTGTCATAGATTCTCCTAATACCCATGTGTGTTTATACATAAATACACATATATGAATATATATATACACACATATATATGTATGATGATTTTTATTTGTTGTGTTTGTTGATTTTTTGGGATGTTTTATTTTCTTTCTAGGAGTCATAACAATGATCTTATTTTAACATAGCTTCCCTTGTTTGACAGAAACTTGCTTAGACTTTGGAAAGAGGATCTAATTTCTAATTTTGTCGAGTTGGTGTATATTAATGGCAATTTTTGATCTTACTATTGATGTTAGAATTAAAGGGTAGATACATTAATGCAATTACTAAGACTAGATCCTGATGTAATATCTAACTGGTCTACCATTTTTTCTTCTTAAAGGTGTAGTAGGTTTGTCTAAAAATAACATTCTTGAGGTGCAGACTCATGGGGAAGTGGAGAAGTTGTTTTGTTTTGCTTTTTTTTTTTTTTCTTCAAAGATAAAACTTACCAGAGGAAATGAAGCAAATGCACTGGTATTAGTGGCAGTGAAAAGACCTTTTAATAAGAGTAATAGGTATCAGTTATGAAGGTTTTTTATGTGGCATGCTCCATTCTTCACATTCCACACATACTGATTTATTTCATGCCCATTTCACAGATAAGGAAACTAAGGCATTTGTTAAATGAATTGCTTGAGGTCTTACAAATATTAAGCGACCAATCAGAATTCACATTCAAGCAGCCTGGCTCTAGAGACCTCATCCCTACACATCACATGAAATTGCTCTCCCACCACTAGGGAATGTTTGTAATTACAAACAACTTCTCCATTCAGTGTGGAAAAACATTATGGAATAAGTAGAAATTGGAGAGTCATTTGTGTGACTTCCGAAATTTTTACTTAGCCTAGGAAATTTCAATTAAGTGTTGTAATTTTGGTTTTAGAAAGTTGATATTTTTAAAACTGACATAACATTACTCATAAATAGGTAATTATTTTATTTGAAATGATGCATGATTTGATTAAATCTAACTTCTTTTTCATTGAGTATTGATTACCATGAATGAGAAAAATATCTCAACAAGATATTTACATAAAATAAGAATGGCATGTTCACACTACATGATGATAGTAATAAACAATAGATCTATTAATTTGTTTTAAGTAAAATATAGAAGCAGTTAAAATGAAAGTGGCATAACTATATTTAACATTGTGTGTGCTCCTGAAATGTGATCATGCTAAAAACTATGAAAATATATAATCTGGAATAGACATGGTTTCTGTTTTCTAAGCAACTAATATGTACATACATAGATATAGAGACTGCATGTCAACATAAATTGAAAATTAGGTCAATACCGAAAACAAAAACAACAAATTCAAGAACTTAAATTTATATAAAAATAGGTTGGAAGACCTGGAGAATAGGAGAAAATTGCTGCAATCTATCCATCTGACAAAGGGCTAATATCCAGAATCTACAAGGAACTTAAACAAATTTACAAGAAAAAAACAACCCCATCAAAAAGTGGGTAAAGTATATGAACAGACACTTCCCAAAAGAAGACATTTATGCAGCCAACAAACATATGAAAAAAAAGCTCATCATCACTAGTCACTAGAGAAATGCAAATCAAAACCACAATGAGATAACATCTCACACCAGTGAGAATAGCGATCATTAAAAGTCAGGAAACAACAGATGCTGGAGAGGATGTGGAGAAATAGGAATGCTTTTACACTGTTGGTGGCAGTATAAATTAGTTCAACCATTGTGGAAGACAGTGTGCCAATTACTCAAGGATGTAGAACCAGAAATACCATTTGACCCAGCAATCCCATTACTGGGTATATACCCAAAGGATGATAAATCATTCTACTACAAAGACACATGCACACGAATGCTTTTTGCAGCACTATTTACAATAGCAAAGTCTTGGAACCAACCCAGATGCCCACCAATGATGACTGGCTAAAGAAAATGTGGCACATATACACCATGGAATACTATGCAGCCATAAAAAAAGAATGAGTTCATGCCCTTTGCAGGGACATGGATGAAGCTGGAAACCATCATTCTCAGCAAACTAACACAGGAACAGAAAACCAAACACCACATGTTCTCACTCATAAGTAGGAGTTGAACAATGAGAACACATGGACCCAGGGAGGGAAACATCACACACCGGGGCCTGTTGGGGGGTGGGGGGAAAGGGGAGGGAGAACATTAGGACAAAAACCTAGTGCATGCGGGGCTTAAAACCTAAATGGCAGGTTGATAGGTGCAGGAAACTACCATGACACATGTATACCTATGTAACAAACCTGCATGTTCAGCACATGTATCCCGGAACTTTAAGTAAAATTTAAAAAAAATTATAAATAGACCAGGCACGGTGGCTCACGCCTGTAATCCCAGCACTTTGGGAGGCCAAGGCGGGCGGATCACGAGGTCAGGAGATCGAGACCATCCTGGCTAACACGGTGAAACCCCGTCTCTACTAAAAATACAAAAAGTTAGCCGGGCCTGGTGGTGGGTGCCTGTAGTCCCAGCTACTCAGGAGGCTGAGGCAGGAGAATGGCGTGAACCCAGGAGACGGAGCTTGCAGTGAGGCAAGACTGGGCCACTGCACTGCAGCCTGGGTGACAGAGCAAGACTCCGTCTCAAAAAATAAATAAATAAATAATAAATAAATAAATAAATAAATAAATAGAAGGGAAGGCTTACTCTCAGATACACACACACAAAATAGGTTGGAAGAAGTACCAAAACTTAAGCACTAAAGGGTATATTGTACAAAATGGTTCTGTCTTCAAAGACAAAAATCAACTCTCTGACTTTAGTTTGAAAGGCAATTCAATTTAGTTTAAAAAGCCAAACTTTATTTATAAGCTTCCAACACTAAGACTTGGTGCAACCAAATTTTCTACTTGCCAACTTTATTTTGCATTTATTCTGTATATATTCATAAGTGTATATATATATGCATATCTGTGCATAGGCATGTGTACACAGAGCCACTGTTGTGGTCGGGACATTCATACCATCCAGTAATCTTGGCTAATACCCAGCATTAACGGAAAGTGATTTAAGCAAATGGGGGCTAACATGAGAAAAGATCGTGCTTATAGGGAAATTTTAACACAGCTCTTTGGTTGCTCTATGGAAATGTGTGGCTTTGTTTCCATGCAGACTGTACTGAAAGATCCCATATTGTCAGCAGCACTTGTATATACTTTGGAAGTTTTGTCCAAGTTTCATAAATCTTGTCATATATCAAGTTATTCTAAATATGGCCAAAGTAAATAATCTGCAGCCAGAAGAGTGAAAGGTCATTTGTGCCCTAATTGCAGAACAATGTCCTCTCTCAGTCAATGCCACGGCTCTCCTTTCATTAATCAGGCCTTTGGTGAGTAACATCTATTCATGTTAGAGTTTTCTCTGAACAAGTTTCAGAATATAAACCAGTCTGGAATTGAGATATTTAATTGTTTGGGTGATAGTCAAAAAACTCTCATGTAGCTTTTTTTTCTTTTTTAATAATTGTAATATTGAGAAACAAGATAAACTTAAGAGGAACGTCAATCTCAGCAATTTGGAAACACTCATAAATCCTCTCACCCCTGTTACCCCTGGCTAAACATGATTCAGCTTCATTCTCTAGTTTGATGTTCTCCCCCACCCTCCATTTTCAGCTATTAATCTCATTGAGCTTCTCTGTCTTGACATTAAACTACTCAAAATTTAACAAAACATTACTCAGACTCCAGAGACACGGATTCTTCATGCTTTTGTGTGAAAGCTGCTTTTATCTAGACATTCCTTTACAAGCATGTAAAACCAAGATAGAACTGTGACCTCCTGTTGGATAGCTTTAGGGGTCTGATATTCAGCAGTTCTTGTAGGGCTTCCATCCAAACACTGGTTTGGCGTTTCAACTTTACCTCCTTCTTGTACCTGAGATATAATTAGTGTTACCTACATCTCAGGTAGGGTACTTGCCTTTTTCTCTGATGGCAGCCACCTTCTTATTACCCCCATCCAGTAATTTGTCTGAGGGCAGAACCTGTGTCTCCCTTTTGCTATTTTCTGTTTCATTAATTCCCAAGGAGAGCATATGCACTGTCTTACTGTGTTTAAACAAAATTCACTTAAGTGATAAGATACTGAGAGTAAAGACTGATGCAAAGGGTTGTCCTACTCTTGGCAAAGCAAACAAACAGATAAGCAAAAAACTAGACCTGAGGTTCTATACGTAGCCATCCATCCATCCATCCATTCATCCAATAGGTATTAGGTGCCTACCATGCATCAGTACTGATACAATGATGACTAGGACAGAATCCCTGTTTTCCTAGGGCTTATATTCCAGTGGGGAATGACAGGTAGTACATATATACAAATAACATAGTTTCTATTACTGAGAACCACAGACAAACTAACAAGAGCATTGCCATGGAGAGAAAGGTTCTGGAGAGTAGGAGTTTAATATTAAATAGAATGCCTGGGAAGTCCACCCTGAGAACATGATATTTGAGTTGAATCATAAGAAACAGCTAGCTGTAGGAGGGCAAGGGGACATTGTAGTCAGAGCGGGCATCTGGTGCAAAGGCATGGAATCAGGAAATCGTTTGGAGTATCAGAGAAAATGGTCTAAAAGCCATATAGTCTTTGGAGTGGCCAGTTTGGGCTTTTTATTAGTTGGGACCTTTGGAGGGGAACCTGTGGGCATATGTGTGTTTTGAAAGAGACACCTGCATCCTTTGACCTCTAGCTCTGAATCTTAGAGTGGTCATGGCTCAGTGGAGCCAGGTGCCTGCACATTGGATTTTTCTGATTATTTCCCCTGCATCTCACTCAGGAACTGATCATCAAGAAAACTAAAATCAAAATTGAACATCTCCAAGATACAATCTAATCTATGAGTTAGAAGTAAATGGCTCATTTGTCTCACAGAGCGAAAGACCAATATAAATGATGGGGAAAAATCGACCTGGTTTCCTGGGAACTGTTTTGTTCCAATCTTTTCCATTCCATTTCATCCTATCCCATCCCTTTCCCCAATTCTCTGCCCTTGAATAATGTCTTTTTGTTGCAACTTGCTGCCTTATTTCTAATTAAATGCTGCTTTTAATTTTAAACAGTTTCTACTGATATGAAATGGTTGAATTCATAAAATTAAGTTTATTATTTTCTGTTGGGGTCTCTGACACGCCTAGATTTGTTCCTTAATTTGGGAATACATGAACTACACCTATTGACTCAATCTTTGATAGAAATTGATGAAATATTGTGACTTTAAAAAAAATTATCATTGCTTCCTTCATCCTGTTGTTGGGGGCGTCTCCAGAATGTTGGATCCTAGGCTACAGAGAGAGGGGTGAACATAGTGTGATCCCACCTTCGCAGCTCCCACAGTGTATGGGGAACAAAAACAAAGAAAGTAGCAGAAAGAGGCAGAAGTGAGGTCCTAGGGCAACCAAGAGTCAATTCATTTGCTCTGGAAAAAGGCCAAGGCAAGTCAGGAAGAAGTTGGAGAGTGGCTAGAGTTAGGCACGTAGTCTCCAGCTCCCCTGACATTGCCAGTTCGGCTCACTACAAGGAGGGCAGCAGCAGATCCAATCTCACCTCTCCAGCTTCTGGGAAGAAGACACTACTCTCTCAGGTATTTACCTTAAATCTTAATCAGTCACATAATTGCTGCTCCAGCTTTCTTGAACCATTGAGTGAGCTATGGCTGCAGTTGCTGAATTATTATTTTCAACAGAACCAGTCACAATGCTTTATAATTTCATTGTCCTTCAACATGAAGCCTAGTTCCAGATTATGACGCAAATTCATATTGCAAGTTTTATTATCTTTGCTCTCTCACTAATCAGTCAAGGTCAGGTGAGGAAAGATTCTCAAGATTTAGTTGATGTCTGTGATGGCAACTAAAACATAGGTGCTGGAAAATGAAGAGGCAATTACAGACAAGGTTTCTACAGGCCCAAGGTGGAGAAAATGCCAGGAGTTTATATTTAAATCCTTCTCACTCAATACCTGTTTTCACCTGAGGCATGAGAGAAGATTTCATCTGGTTAATGTAGACCGTGGTAATAATCTAAATATCACAGTGTTAATACTTTTGAACCAAGAGAATGAAGATAATGATATCAACACATTTGGGGCCTGTAGCTTTGCTACCTCCCCCTCCTTCACACACAAACAGATGAAAAAAAAGTTATTTTTAAAGCGTTTTTCTTCCCAAATATTTTATTACATTCAATATATTAGTAGCTAGTACAAGTAGTGAATAACAAAACCTGTTTGGTTTTTGTTGGTGGTAGTTTTTTTTTTTTTTTTTTAGACAGAGTTTCGCTCTCGTCGCCCAGGCTGGAGTGCAATGATGCGATCTCGGTTCACTGCAACTTCAGTCTCCCAGGATTCAAATGATTCTCCTGCCTCAGCCTCCCAAGTACCTGGGATTACAGGCGTGCACCACCACACCCAGCTAATTTTATATTTTTTAGTAGAGAGGGGGTTTAGGCTGGAGTGCAACGGTGCGATCTCGGCTCACTGCAACCTCTGTCTTCTGGGATTCAAATGATTCTCCTGCCTCAGCCTCCCAAGTACCTGGGATTATAGGTGTGCACCAGCACACCCAGCTAATTTTGTACTTTTAGTACAGATGGGATTTCACTATGCTGGTCAGGTTGGTCTTGAACTCCTGACCTCAAGTGATCCACCGACCTCGGCCTCCCAAAGTGCTGGGATTACAGGCATGAGCCATTGTGCCTGGCCAACCAAACCTGTTTTTGTGTATAGATGCAGCCACAGAAAGTAAACATCACAGAATATTTGTAAATAAAATAGTAGGCTAAAAAATATATTTGCAGTATCTGTCTTTTTACTCAGGAATTCTAGTTAGTTACAAGAATGTACCCCTCAACAAGGGGAATTGGGAGTATGTGGAATAGATTTAGCTATAAGTGCACTTATAGAAACACTATCAACAATAGGAAAAAATGAAAATCTAAATGTTCAGTAAAAGGGGATTGGCTAATTAATTTCCATATGGCCACAAAATGGGAAACTATGAAATAATTGTAATAATTTACCATGGAAAGATATTCATGATCTATATTGAAAGAAAAACCAAGCAGACTGAGGAAAAGTATGTATAGATTGAACTATATTGAACTATGTCTTTGTAGGTCAAAAATGATTGGATATCTGTAATTTATTACCAAACTAAGGTATCATCTCATTTTTGTAAATAGTAAAAACAAAACATCTGTGTGAATATATGTGCTTGTGTGTACAGTCTCTGAAAATATATTTGCCAAGGTTTGCAGTGGTTGTCTTCAAGATAATAGGTTTAAAAAGCCTATTAAGAAGTTTATTAATAGTAGCAGTTATTATTATTTTCATTATTATTGTAATCTCTTTTTACTCATCCATATTTTCAGGCTTTTCTTTAAGAAGAATATAGTCTTTTATAATGAGGAATACAAAATACACTTCATTTTGTAAAAAAGAAATGAGCAATTTGATCCACAAACTTGTGTGGATGTTATTTCATTCAGTGGTGAAAGCTCCTTTGGCTATTGTCTTTATTCAGCCTTGATTCCTCTTCTTTTTACTGTAGTGAAAGACCATTTCTCTTATCCTAGAATAGACATTCTAAAGAATAGCCAGCAAAATGTGAGCAAAAAAGAAAAGAGTGCATGCTTTGTTCCCCATTAACTGACCGACAACTAACCAGAGCATTCTCTGTTCCCATGCAAAAGATGTCTACATCAGAAATTTAGTGAACACACACACACACACACACACACACACTAGCACCTACGTACATCAGTTAAGTTCATGTTTCGAGTCATTTTTAGGTAGTTGCTGCTTGGCATAGTGCACGGAACTACACTCTCTGTTAGGAACAACAAACTGAGGACAAAAGATAATCTATTTCTATTTCAAATTAGTGCAGAACTGAGCTCAGTGCCCATGTGCCATGGCGCTCCTTGCTTTCATCATCTTCTTTTTTTTTTTGCATCTTCTTTTTTTCAGGTTAGTTCCATGACTTGACTAAATGGGGGCTTGGCTATCTTGACAGAGTCTCATTCCAGCCCTGTTCACATGCTCGGTGGTTGTGGAAATACAGACTCCAAGTCATTCAACACTTTTAGCACCTTCCTGAGACCATTTACTCTCTGTGAGTACTGTAGACATCAATACATATTTAGCCCAATCTCCTACTGTATTTACACCTACTGTTATCATCACTGACAAATGTAAAATGATGATCATCACAATCATGGCCTAGAGAAAGTGCAAGATCTTCAATCAGCAAAGAAAAATTAGATTATCTGCCCTTGACTGTTCTTCCTAACAAAATAATAAATTCATATTACAGAAAATTTTTCTTAAGAAAATTTTTCTTAAGCAAAACATGAACTCAAATTTTTTTAGCGTAATTTAGATGACAATTCCCTTTCAATCACATGGGCTATTTGGGCCTTGCATA
This sequence comes from Homo sapiens, assembly GCF_000001405.40. Taxonomy (NCBI): domain Eukaryota; kingdom Metazoa; phylum Chordata; class Mammalia; order Primates; family Hominidae; genus Homo; species Homo sapiens. The sequence continues at coordinate 67,125,933 of NC_000002.12, read as the reverse complement.
AATTAGTCAGCAGAACTCAATTATTTTGCTGATTTCCACAAGAAATCCTTTCCCATCTAGCATTTCAAAATTAGAGTTATCTTTACTGAAGATACATTCACATTGTACCAGTGTACCTCCCTATTTTCCCTAAATCGCACCTGACATCTCTGTTTTCCCTCTTCCAGTGGTTCTCAAGTTTTTGTGTATATTGCCTGTGACGTCCATTACATGCAGATCAGGAAGCTTCATGTCTTGAGATTTTGATCTAATAGGTATGGGAGGAGGCTGAAGAATCTGGACTTTTATCAGGCACCCCAGAGATTATGATGTATTGTCACATTGAGAAAATAATGCTTACAGTCATTTCTTTACCAAACAGCCAAATAAGTTTTTTCTTCCATCTTTTACTCATCCTCCACAAAATGCCCAGCGCTTCTGAGTCTTTTAAAACACCAGTTATCCCTCCACACACCCGATATTAAATATCATTTTATTATAAAGGGCAATTTCATGATCAACCTTGGTTATCTCAGAGTTTCCTTGGGACCTTAGTCACTATTCCAAAAACTTTAAATCATAAACCCCTGCCCAAGAGAATAATTGAGCTTCTTTTATGAAGATAAAACCTCAATCAGAATATTAACAAATGCTCCAATTCAATGAGTAATTAATGTATTTGGACTTTTTTAACCTCAAGAACTAATTTTAATGAGGTCCACTAATAACTGTGACTAGATTAAGCCTTAGAGACCAGAGATTTTCAGTGTATATGTGTGTGTATCTATCTATATACACACATAAATGCATATATGTCTATATACACACATAAATGCATATATGTCTATATATACACACATATATTTATCTATATATATACACACATGTGGATATATACATATACATATATATATACACACACACACACAGACATTCTCATCAGTAGTTAGTCCAACAGACAAAAAGATAATATCAGATAGCTAAACTCACTAAGATTTTAAAAATGCAATTCAGGATATAATAGTTGTATCAATTTTTCTCCCCGAAACTACTGCTTAATGAAGAATTTTGCTTTATGGGTACAAATGCAGAAAATGGAGTCTACCTGCTTCCACCTGAGAGCTAAAGAACCTTCTCTTTGATCAAGCTGAGTTCCAGAGTTCCAAGTTTCCCAGGATTCAGAGATCCCTGGCCCAGCTGTGATATGCAGTCTCAAAACACAAAACATCTGGAGAGATGATATGAACAGTTCATCTTTCCCTATTTATATTTGAAGGCTAAGGCAATGTTTATGGAATAAAGAATTTGTTTAAATGAATGTCTGAACATTATGAATTCCTTGTTATACTTTATCTGGCTTCACAATTGATGTAGTGAACCAAGATCTCTCTATACATATACTCACATGCATACACATACACATAGGCTTATAGTCATAAAGCTATATAGTCATATATACATGTATCTATATATCAAAAAAGAGATTGTTATTTTTCTTTATGTACCTAGGGAAATCCCTGAACCTATTAAGGCCACTATATTCATTTCTCTAAAGTCTAAAAGCAGACTGGAAGGATGGAATATGAGTATAACACGAAAGTAATATTTTTCACAAAGTCATGGCTATTAAGAACCTTATAGTCTTTGAGTGGAGTGTATAATTTGAAATTAAAGTTTCATAACTGAGTATCCTTCTTTTTAGAAGAAAAATGTTCTCATAAATCTGTTACCCAAAATGCTTTTGAAAGAAAATTTACCATTTTCTTCAACTTTAAAATCATACTTGCAAGGGAAGCTCTGTGCAGAGATGTTTGGCATAAATATGAATGACAATATATAAAAACTATTACCACACTACTAAAAAATGTTGGGCAGCTTTGACCTGGTTATTTGATTGAACTTTCTGAATCTGATTTGTCAACTGAAGACAAGTAAAAGTTTTTTTACAAATTCTATCCTTAGCCTCTCAATTAATCTCAAATATTTGTTCAGAGAAATAATTGAAAATTCTGACTGTATCCTGACTGAAATGTGGATCACTGGGGGCCTCAAAGCTTCAGTGTGTTTAGTTCCCTATGGTTTTGAGGCACATGCCCTATGTGAACCTTTTGAAGGACAGAAAAATTCATAACTGACTAGCAATTGGTTAACTTTAGTTAAAAAGTGAAACACCTACTCTAGTGGTGCAAAAGATGTCTGCAAAGGGCAAAATCTTCAGCTTTGAAAGGCATTCAGCAATGTCAATAGACTAGCACTTGAGAGTCACCTAAAATTTATTTGTATTACTTTTCACCCAATTTTAAAGAAGAATATTTCTAAGATAAAAGCTTAAAACTTTTTAATTAAAAAAAAAAAACTAAACTCAGTACTCCTAAGCCTTCATAGATATATACTTCAGTATCTTGCATGACATTGAAAGCTCTAATAACCAAATTCTTTCCTGACTCCTAATTATGTGTCCTTGTTCTTCTGTTTAAAGTAACATTTTGTGTCTATTTGTGTATATGCATGTGTACACATTTGTGTGAGTTCACAAATGATTACTCTGATGAATGTTAATTTATATCAATCTAACCAAAATAAAATTAGAGAAATCTTATTTTGTTTTTTCATTTAAAGTTTTAAATTAGAAAAATCTAATTTTTTTAAAGTTTTATTTTTAATATTAATATGAATATGTTTGTGCATTAACTTATAGATTTGTGTTTAATTTTGCTTCAGTGATTTTTGCCACCTAAGGGCCTAGAACAACATTGTAGGCACTCAACATATTCATGTAATATAAATTAATTAGTAGGAAAAAATGAAGGCTACACTTTATAAAAATATTTTTATTTTACAAGTTTTGGTTTTCCTCTAGGAAACTGAATTAGTATAATAATTTGATGTTTTAATAGCTCTATTTATACCTACAAGTAACAAAAGTTTGTCTTGACAACAGAAGTGCAAATACTTTTACAAATATGTTACCCCTATGTTTTGTTAAGCACTTAAGTGGCTGATAACATTATTAGATACACTGCGTTATTATATATTTACCCCAATTAATTATTATTTCTTGAATTAAGTACTTAAAAATCTATGTGAATAATGACAAAATCTTTCATCATTTTGTGGTCTCTCACATTCTGCTCTCAGAATCATGGCCAGAAACAGAAGTCTCAAATCAGGTTTCCTTCTCAGCCACAGAAAATTCAGAGATTGACTTTCTCTTGGCTATTAGCAAGTCCATCCTGCCATGGTATCTCTCTGATGCCCTCAATGAGGCATTTTTAGTACTTTTTCCCAGCATTTCCATTCTTCTACATAAGTTTTGTAACTAGTCCATGATAGAGTAGCAGAGATTGCATCTACCTATCCATCTGGAGCAATAAAGAATGGTCAAAATAAATAGTAGAATAGTTTCAAGATGTTAGATATCAGTAAAAAAGATCAATCACCCCTGAGTGATGAGAAACATAAAAGGTGAGCCCTATAATTGCCCAGCTAAATGCCTTGAGTTTCCAAGCTGTGATGCAGAAAAAAGAAACTGAGGCAGAACCTTATCTCCGAGTTAAGGAAATAGAGCTGAGAGTCCAGGGAGAGCAGCTAGAGTTCACAGAAGAAAATCCTGGGAAGGGGGAATCTGCAAATAAAGGGAACTCCCGAGAGCTGCAGAGGACCCTCCTCAAGTACTCAGTTGAGTAATCATAAGCACATGTCTGAGGAAGCTACCCAAGGCTGGCAAAGAATACCTGAAAAGGGTTAAAATAACCAGTGCCTAACCTGGCACTGTTATTTTCATACACACGGGGCCAGGATTAGTAACTCTTCCCATCAGCAAGATTGGAAAAATTCATGGGTCATTTGGAAGAGTGCTGAGAAAGGTCTTGTCTCCGTAGAGAAAAATAATTATCTCTGTAATGATCACTGTCCTGTTTCTGCCTAACAAATCTTATATACGAATACCAAAAGGATCAAACTGCTTCTAAGTAATTTAAGTATGCCCCAGAATAGAGCTCAAGAATATTATTAAAGGTTCAAAATTATCCAACACCCAACAAGGCAATGCTTATACAATGGCTGGCATCCAATCAAAACTTACCAGGCATAGAAAAAAGCAGGAAAATCTCACCACTCCTATTCAACACAGTGTTGGAAGTTCTGGCCAGGGCAATCAGGCAGGAGAAAGAAATAAAGGGTATTCAATTAGGAAAAGAGGAAGTCAAATTGTCCCTGTTTGCAGATGACATGATTGTATATCTAGAAAACCCCATCATCTCAGCCCCAAATCTCCTTAAGCTGATAAGCAACTTAAGGAAAGTCTCAGGATACAAAATCAATGTGCAAAAATCACAAGCATTCTTATACACCAATAACAGACGAACAGAGAGCCAAATCATGAGTGAACTCCCATTCACAATGGCTTCAAAGAGAATAAAATACCTAGGAAGCCAACTTACAAGGGATGTGAAGGACCTCTTCAAGGAAAACTACAAACCACTGCTCAAGGAAATAAAAGAGGACACATACAAATGAAAGAACATTCCATGCTCATGGATAGGCAGAATCAATATCGTGAAAATGGCCATAGAATGGCAATCATTAAAAAGTCAGGAAACAACAGGTGCTGGAGAGGATGTGGAGAAATAGGAACACTTTTACATTGTTGGTGGGACTGTAAACTAGTTCAACCATTGTGGAAGACAGTGTGGCGATTCATCAGGGATCTAGAACTAGAAATACCATTTGACCCAGCCATCCCATTACTGGGTATATACCCAAAGGATTATAAATCATGCTGCTATAAAGAGATGCACACGTATGTTTATTGCAGCACTATTCACAATAGCAAAGACTTGGAACCAACCCAAATATCCATCAATGATAGATTGGATTAAGAAAATGTGGCACATATACACCATGGAATACTATGTAGCCATAAAAATGATGAATTCATGTCCTTTTAGGGACATGGATGAAGCTGGAAACCATCATTCTCAGCAAACTAGGGCAAGGACTAAAAACCAAACACCGTATGCTCTCACTAATAGGTGGGAATTGAACAACGAGAACACTTGGACACAGGAAGGGGAACATCACACACCTGGGCCTATTGTGGGGTGGGGGGGATGGGGGAGGGATAGCATTAGGAGAAATTCCTAATGTAAACGACGAGTTAATGGGTGCAGCAAACCAACATGGCACATGTATACATATGTAACAAACCTGCACGTTGTGCACAGGTACCCTAGAACTTAAAGTACAATAATAAAAAAAAAAGAAAGAAAAAAGCGGGAAAATCCAACCTAATAAATGCCTAAAGTAGAACAGAAAAAAGGTCTGAAATCAATAGTCTCAACTTAAACACACACACACACACACACACACACACACACACACACACACACACACAGAAAAAGAAAGTCAAATTCAACCCAACATAAGCAGAAAATAGGAACAGGAAATAGTAAAGTTTAGAGCAGGAGTCAATGAAATACAAAACAGGAAAACAGATGGGAAAATTAATGAAACCCAAAGCTGGCTCTTTGAGAACATCAATAATATTGATAAATCTCTAGTCAGACTGATTAGGAGATAAGTTATAAATTAACAACATCCAGAATGAGAGAGGTGAGGTGACATCACTACAGATATTATAGATATTGAAAGGGTAACAAGGAAATGTTTTGAACAACTTTATGCCAATAAATGTGACATATAGATGAAACTGGAAAATTCTTTAAGGCCACAAACAATCAAAGATTTTCTAAGAAGAAATAAATTGCCTTATTAATATACATCATTAAAGGAACTGAATTTATAATGTAAAACCTTCCACAAAGAAATTTTCAATTTCAGATGGTTTCACAGGTGAAATCTATCAAATATTTAAGGAAGATACAACACCAATTCTTCATACATTCTTCCAGAAAGTTAAAGAAATGAAATACTTTTCAACCCATTATAGGAGGCTACTTTTATCCTAATATCACAGCTGTAAAAATACATTACAGAAAAAAACAGATATCACTTATGAACAAAGATGCAAATATTCTAAACAAAATTATAGCACATCAAATCCAATGATATACAAAATTATTATTTTTGTTTTCTTTTAAAAAACTGTTATTTTAGGTTCAGTGGTACATGTACAGGTTTGTTATATAGGTAAACTTGTGTCTCAGAGGTTTATTGTACAGATTATTTTGTCACACAGGTACTAAGCTTATTATTACCCAAGAGTTATTTCCTCTGCTACTCTCCCTCCTCCCACCCTCCATCCTCAAGTAAGCTTTAGTGTCTATTGTTCCCTCCTTTGTGTCTATGTGTACTCAATGTTTAGCTCCCATTTGTAAGTGAGAACATGTGGTATTTGGTTTTATGATCCTATATTAGTTCACCTATGGCCTCCAGCTCCTTCCATGCTGCGGCAAAGGACATGATCTCATTCTTTTTATGGCTGTGTAGTATTTCATGGTGTATATGTGCCACATTTTCTTTATCCAGTCCACTATTGATGGGCATTTTGGTTAATTCCATGTCTTTGCTATCGTGAATAGTGGTGTGATGAACATACACATGCATGTATCTTTATGGTAGAAAAATTTATAGTTCTTTTGATATATGCCCAATAATGAGATTGTTGGGTTCAATGATAGATCTGTTTTAACATCCTTGAGAAATCGCCAAACGGATTTCCATAATGGTGGAGCTAATTTAAATTCCCACCAGCAGTGTATAGGCATTCCCTTTTCTCTGAAATCTTACCAGCATCTGTTACTTTTTGACATTTTAATAACAGCCATTCTGACTGGTGTGATATGGTATCTCATTGTGATTTTTATTTGCATTTCTCTACTAATCAGTGATATTGAGCTTTTTTTTCCCCAAATTCTTGTTGACTGCATGCATGTCTTCTTTTGAAAAGTGTCTTTTCACATCCTTTTCTCACTTTTTAATGAGGTTGTTTGTTTTTTCTTGTTAATATGTTTAAGTTCCTTATGGATGTGGGATATTAGACCTTTGTCGGATGCATAGTTTGCAAACATTTTCTCCCATACTGTAGATTGTCTGTTTACTCTGTTGAGTTTCTTTTGCAGTTTTCTTTAGTTTAATTAGATTCTATTTGTCAGTTTTTGCTTTTGTTGTAATTGTTTTTGATGTCTCTGTCAGGAAATCTTTGCCAGTTCCTATGTCCAGAATGATATTGCCTAGGTTGTCTTCCAGGGTTTTTATAGTTTTGGGTTTAACATTTAAGTCCTTAATTCATCTTGAGTTAATTTTTGTATGTGGTATAAGGAAAGGGCCCAGTTTCAATCTCCCTTATATGGCTAGCCAGTTATCCCAGCATCATTTATTGAATAGAGAGAGTACTTTCCCCATTGTTGGTTTCTGTCAGCTTTGTTGAAGATCAGATGGCTGTAGGTATGTAGCATTATTTCTGAGCTCTCTAACTTGTTCCATTAGTCTATGTGTCTGTTTTTGTACCAGTACCATGCTGTTTGGTTTACTGTAGTCCCTGCAGTATAGTTTGAAGTCTGGTAGCATGATGCAGCCTGCTTTGTTCCTTTTGCTTAGAATCACCTTTGCTATTCAAGCTATTTTTTGGTTCCATATGAATTTTAAAATAGTTTTTTTCTAGTTCTGTAAAGAACGTCATTGGTAGTTTGATAGGAATGGAATTGCATCTATATATTGCTTTGGGCAGTATGGCCATTTTAATGATATTCTTTCTATCTATGAGCATGGAATGTTTTTCCATTTGGGCTATCTCTGATTTCTTTGAGCAGTGTTTTGTAGTTCTTTTTGTAGAGATCTTTCACCTCCCTGGTTAGCTATATTCCTAGGTATTTTATTCTTTCTGTGGCAATTGTGAATGGGATTGTGTTCCTGATTTAGCAGCTCTCAGCTTGGCTGTTACAGGTGTATAGGAATGCTAATGATTACTGTACTATGATTTTGTATCCAAAAACTTTGTTGAAGTTATTTATCAGCTGAAGGAGCTTTGAGGCCAAGATTATGGGGTTTTCTAGACATGGAATCAGGTCAGGGATAGTTTGACTTCTTCTCTTCCTATTTGGATGCATTTTATACCTTTCTCTTGCCTCGTTGCCCTGACCAGGACTTCCAAAATTATGTTGAATAGAAGTGGTGAGAAAGGGAATCCTTGCCTTGTGCCAGTTTTCAAGGGGAATGCTTCCAGCTCCTGGTCATTCAGTATGATGTTGGCTGTGGGTTTGTCAGAGATGGCTCTTATTATATTGAGGTATGTTCCTAGTTGAGAGTTTTTAATGTGAAGGCATGTTGAATTTCATCAAAACCCCTTTCTAATATAAAAAGTTATAATACATATGACCAAGTGTAATTTATTCTAGCATTTGAGAGTGGTTGTATATTGCAAACTTAAATTCAATATATTAACAAAGTGAAATACAGGGATAAGCCATATACTTATCTCAATAGACAAAAAATAAAGCCATTGACAAAAACATCTAACATCCATTTCTGATAAAATTTCTTAGCAAAATAAAGATGAAATGAAACTTTCTTAACTTGATAAAAGATATCTCAATAAAAAGGCTACAGCAAACATCATGTGTAATAATTAAAAGACCTAAATGTTTTTGCCCTAATATTAAAAACAAGAGGACTACCATTTTCACCCCTATTGTTCAATATTGCACTGGAGTATTTGGCTTTTTTTTCATATCTTAACAGTATTTTTGAAATTATTCATTTCTTAAGTTCAGTTTATCAATTTGCTTTTTGTAGGTTGCAATTTATATGCCATGTCTTTAAAATTTTGCCTAAATCAAAGTCAGTATTTTCTTATTTTTCCCCAAAGCTATATAGTTTTCATTTTTATATTTAAAAATATAGGCCTATAATCCATTTTCAGTTCAATTCTGTTTGTAGTAAGAAGCAAGGATTGAGGTTAATTTTTCTTGCAAATATATATGCAATTGTTCTACCATAATTTGTTGAAATGACTATTATTTTACCACTTTGCACCTTTTTAAAAATAAGTGTGACTGCGCTTCTAGACTTTATCCTGTTTCATTGTTGTCTATCATGATGTCAATACTACAATTATCATGTAACTTTATAAATGAGTCTGTAAAATCGACTATTTCTTCTTTGTTCAACATTTCTTTGGCTATTTTATCTCCTTTACATTTCCACATGAATTTTAGAATCTACTTGTGAATTTTTCAAAACCTGTGCTGAGAATTTGACTGAGATTGCACTGAAGATTTATTCAGAAATACTTGATATCACGATAATACTGAGTCTTTTTAACCATGAACATGGTATATCTCTACTGTTATTTAAGTCTTACTTAATTTCTGTCAGCAATATTTTATGGTTTTCAGTGTTCCGATATTTCATACCTTTTATCAGTTGTATGCTTAAATATTTCATATTTTTATGCTATTGTAGATGGCATTGTTTTTAATTTCAATTTCTGATTGTTTATTGACAGTGCATAGACATACAAGAAAAACATACTTTTGTATACTGATCTTGTATTGTGCAATGTGGGTAAACTCATTTATTTGTTCTGTTAGTCTTTTATTAGATTTCATCAAGTTTTCCACATAAATGTTATCTGAAAAAAAATTTTTATTTCTTCCTATCCAATATGGATGTCCTTTATTTCTTTTCCTTGCCTTTCCACACTGTCTAGACCCTTCAGCTCTCCAGTACAACACTGAATGGAAGTGGTGAGCAATGATATCCTTGTCTTGTTCCTAATGTTAGAAGAAAAGTATTCAGCCTTTCACCACTAAATATGACATTAGCTATAAGTCTTTCATAGATTCATATCTCAAGTTGAGGAAGTTCTCTTTTATTTCTATATATTGCAGATTTTTATCATGGAAAATATTGGATTTTGTCAAATGCCCTTCCTGCATCTATTGAGATGGTAATATGGTTTTTTTTAGTTTTTTTTTGTTTGTTTGAAACTAGTAAATTCTAGTAACTGATTTTTGAATATTAGACAACCTTACATTCCTCAGATAAACTCTGTTTGGTCATGTTTGACAGTTTCTTAAAAAGTTAAACAAACAACTACCATATAATCTAGTGACTCCACTTTTAGGTCTTTACCCAAGTGAAATGAATGTATATGTCAATACAAATCATATTTCTGACAACAGACTTCTATCTAGACTATAATAAAAACTGTCAAATTCAATGGTAAGAAAACAAACACCACTAAAAGACTAAGTAAAATATCTGAGTAGACACTTCACTGAAGAAGATGGCAATGAAGTATGTGAAAAGATTCTTAACCATTAAGAAAGTACAAATTAAGACCACAACAAGATAATACTTGTATTAGTCAATTTTCACATTGCTGATAAAGACGTACCTGAGACTGGGAAGAAAAAGAGGTTTAATTGGACTTACAGTTCCACATGGCTGAGGAGACTTCAGAATCATGGCGGGAGGTGAAAGGCACTTCTTACATGGTGGTGGCAAGAGAAAATGAGGAAAAAGAAAAGCGGAAACTCCTGATAAACCCATCAGATCTTGTGAGACTTATTCACTATCATGAGAATAGCATGGGAAATACCAGGCCCCATGATGCAATTACCTCTCCCTGGATCCCTCCCACAACATGTGGGAATTCTGGGAGATACAGTTCAAGTTGGGATTTGGGTGGGGACACAACCAAACCATACCATTACTACACACTATTAGAATGGCAAAAAAAAAAAAAAAAAAAAAAGAAAGAAAGAAAAAAGAAAGGAAAACATGCAATACCAAATGCTGAGGAGGATGTGAAGCCACAGGATATTTCATATATCACTGGTGGAAATATAAAATCTACAATCAGTAAGAAAAAGAATCTGGCAAGTTTTTAATAAAGTTATACCTATGTTTATCATATTTCCTATTCCTAATTATTTACCCTGGAGAAAAAAATAACTTACATTCATGAAAACCTGAATGTGAATGCTTAGCAGTAATTGCCCCAAACTGAAAACAACTCATATATTTTTTAACTGGTGAACAGACAAAGACACGTTGCTGTATCCATCCAATGGGATACTAACTACTCAGCAATAAAAAAGAACAAAATATTGTTTCACACAACACTATGAATGAATTTCAAATTCATGCTGCTTAGTAAAATAACTGAAAACCAAAATGTTACATATTGTATAATGTAATTTATATGACATTCTGAAAAAGGCAAAACTACTGTGAAATTACTGAGCAGTGGTGCCAGGAATTGGGTGTTGGAGGAGATGTTGATTTTAAAGAAGCTGGAGAACTTCTGGGTTGGTGATGATAGAACTGTTCTATATCATTGTGGTGGATAAAACTTTATACATTTATCAAACCTATAGGGTTGTCACACTTGTTTCCAAATGGCTGCACCATTTTACATTCCCACCAGCACCGTGCAAGCCTTCCATTTTTCCACATCTTCACCAAGACTTCTTATCTCACTTCTTTTTTGTTAATGAAGCATATTGCAATTTATCAGTTATCAGTGCAATGTGTTCAGCACATCTATTTGCGTGTCAAATGTATCATTTTAATATTTCCTTTCACATGCAATATACATGTATTCACAAAATGTTGAGGCTGCCCCCAAGCATTTCTATTATTTCTCTTTTCCTTTTATTTTCCTTTTTTCTTCTCTGCTTCATCTACAGTGGCTTTATCTTCCTATGTGCTCTTCAATTTGACTGTAAAGAAGGCTCTGTAAAGGGAGGGCAGTGTACTGCACATTAGCTCTTGTACCTTCACAATGCTTGGCACATAACTTTTTATTATCTGACTTCTTGATCATTGCCATCTTAGTGGGTGTGAAGTAATAGCGCATTGTAATTTTTATTTGCATTTTCCTGATGACTAATAACATTGAGAATCTTTCTATGTGCTTATTGGCCATTAGTACATAATGAGAGGTGTGTGTTCTTGAGTAACTAATAATAAAACTTATTCTTCTTCTTATAAACGTACTGTAACAACTCCCTATCATGACATTAAGGTTCTAGTAAGAACACTAAATATTCCCTCTGATGGCCATGATCTTTCAAAAAGTTATTGGGAGACATTCGAGATGAATAAATATATGGGGAAACTATACATAAAAACTACAAATCACACCAACTTGGAAAAAGACTTCAAGTGACAGTATAGGAGATGGAGAAAACAAAATCCTTAGCATTCATTACTTGTTATATTAATAACCTGGGAAGGATTTCTTATTGAAGACACTTTATTCAAATGTTGACTGTAACTCCTTGGAATAGTACTTACTTGCTTTATCAGTGTATGCGGAATAGCTGGGCTCTCAATTTTTGTTGAGGTCTGAAGAGAATTATTATGTAGATAAAAGTTCATGGAAGTGTGCTTTATTTTGACTAAAAGCTTATCTGCATGTCATGCATTTTCTAATAATGTCTCCTCTTGAAGGTAGGTTTTACCTCAAGGCAGTATTTAGAAGCTATATTGTCAGCTTTTAATAGAATAAATCAATAAACCATTCAAATCATTTAATATTCTCAGACTTATCAATGCAGACCAAAAGGTGGGAGGAAAATAACACTGACAATGTTTATGATCAACTTTTTTCACCTTAATATAAACATAAAGTCCGAGACACATAGGGGGAAGTTCTAATATGGAGGTTCTAATATGCACAGGTTATATGTCTAATGTTATGACATGTTTTTTATCGTTTAAATTTAAATACATTTTTAAATGTCATTATACTCAGACCCATAAAGTAGAAGTTCTTAATTTCCAAACATATGGGAATTTCAAGCTATCTATTTTATTATATTACTATTATCTTTTCATGGAGATGAGGTCTCACTACGTTACCCAGGCTGGTCTCAAACCCCTGCGCTCAAGTGATCCTCCTGCCTTGGCCTCCCAAAGTGCTGGGATTACAGGCATAAGCCACCACGCCTAAAAAGTTGTCTTTTTATTAATGATTTCTGGCACTATACCATATGTGGTGTCAAACCTCTGAAATGTATTAATTTTTACTTTATGGCCCAGTGTATGGTCTATTTTTGCAAATGTTTTATGTGTACTTAAAAACAATATTTATTCCTCAGTTGTTGAAGGGAGTGGTTTTCTATATATCAATGTTTCTTAAACTATCTGCAGTAAAGAACAAGATTTTTTTAAATTTTAAATTTATCATAGACAAAAACTTCGTAAAATACAATAAAAATAAATTACTAACAAATAGAATGGAAAAAGTAAAAAAGTATAGGCTTAGATTTCTTATTATTAGATCCAAAAACATAAAATTGCTCTCATTAAATGTCTATTAAGGTTTCTTTCACATATTTTGTTGTGGAAAAAATAATTTGTGGATCCGCACTAATCTGGTGCGTGAACCACCCTTTGAACAGCATTACTCTGCATTTCTGTTGAGTCTGATTTGGTAATTGTGTTGTTTATATCCACTAGATCCTCATTAATATTTTGTCATATTCTGTCAATTCCTGAAAGAGGTGTTTTAAAATCTTCTAATCTGATCATGGGTATGTTTATAAACTCCTTTCATTCTGTACGATTGTGTATCATATAAGTTCCAGCTGTTCTTAGGTACATAAATATTTAGAATTGCTTCTATTTCTGATATATTAAAATTTATCTTTACATAGTGAACGCTTTGTCTATAATAATGCTATTTCCTTTAAATCTACTTTGTCTGTTATTGATATATCTACAGTAGCATTCTTTTGGTCAGCCTTTTATATATACCTATATTTAGGTGTGTGTGTATATATATATATATTATATATAGTCTTATAATAAATATATACATATACCTGTATATATAATGTGTATGTGTTTCCCTTATGTTTTAGAAGTAAATTTTCTTAACTGCAAAAACTATTTTTAATACAATGCAATCTATTACTCTATATTTTAACTTCAGCGTGTACTCCTTCTATGTCTAACATATGATGTGTTTTCTATTTGTCCTGTTATGTTTCTTTTTTCCCCTTTATTCCTTTGGATAAATTTTTTTATTTTTTTTAACTTTTTTAATTTTTTTATTTTTATTTTTGAGATGGAGTCTCGCTCTGTCACCCAGGCTGGAGTGCAATGGCACAATCTCGGCTCACTGCAGCCTCTGCCTCCTGGGTTCAAGCGATTCTCCTGCCTCAGCCTCCTGAGTAGCTGGGATTACAGGTACCCGCCACCACACCCAGCTAATTTTTTGTATTTTTAGTAGAGACAGGGTTTCACCATGTTAGCCAGGATCCTTTAGATAAATTTTATCTCCTTGTTTCCTCCTATTTATTTTCAGATCATATACTGTTTTAGTATTCTTTTGGTCATTATCCCAGAAAGTACATTGTGCATTAATAACATTAAACTTATTCCAGTCTAATTTTAATCAATAAATTTACCCTTTTCCCAGACCAGGCAAAGAATTTAGAATAACGTAAGTTGCCACCTCTGCTAATATGATTATGCATTTTAATTATCTGTCTGTAACTCTTTTTCTCTCTGTAACTAGCTATCACAAGATATTGTTTGTGATATAGTTTGGCTCTGTGTCCCCAGGCAAATCTCATCTCGAACTGTAACCCCCACGTGTTGAGGGAGGTACCTGGTGGGAGGTGATTGGTTCATGGGGCAGTTTCCTCCATAATGTTCCATGACAGTGAGAGAGTTCTCACAAGATAGTTTAAAAGTTTGGCACTTCAAGTTTCCAGAGGCCTCTCCAGCTATGTGGAACTGTGAGTTAATTAAACCTTTTTTCTTTATAAATTACCCAGTCTCAGGCAGTTCTTTATGGCAGTGTGAAAACGGACTAATACAGTTTGTAAAGTCAAAACTTATTTTGACTTATTTCATTTTCTCCTTATTCATGTCTGTATTTATGACCTTCCTTCTATTTCCCTCTAGCACAATTTTCCTTTTACTTGAAGAACACCCATTGGAATTTATTAATTGTAGGTCAGCAATAGTGAACTCATTTGTGTGTGTATGTGTGTTTGTATTTCATCTTCACGCTTAAAGACTAATACAAGTGTGTTTATTTTTTCCTCAACATATTGAAGATGATATTGTGCTGTTGTCATTTGACTTTTATTGCTGCTGTTAAATTGTCCACTGTTAATTTGGTTGGTGAACTTTTGCAGATGTATTTTTCTCCTCCTACTTGCTTTTAACATTTTCACTTTGGTTCTACTGTTTTACTATGATGTATTTTTCTGTAAATTTTTTTCTATTTGCCCTGAGATCTATTGGGATTCTTGAACTGTGAATTGATTTTTTATAATTAGTCCTGGAAAGTTCTTAACCACACTTTTTTTCAATAGCCTTCTCTTTCATTCTCTCTTATGGTCTTATGGGAATTGGATCATACTTCACCTGATCTTCTGTATTTTCCATTTATCTGTGTCTCTGTATTTTCATCTTGATATTTTCTTTTCACCTCTTTAGTTCCACTAATTTTTTATTTAATAGCTTCTAATCTATTGACGTTTTTAAGGTTTAATATTTATCTATGTTCCTTTTAAAAATACACTGTGTCAGTCAGGTGAGGTGGCTCCCGCCTGTAATCCCAGCACTTTGGGAGGCCGAGGAAGGCGGATCACGAGGTCAGGAGTTTGAGACCAGCCTGACCAACATGGTGAAACCCTGTCTCTACTAAAAATACAAAAATTAGCCGGGTGTGGTGGCATGCGCCTATAATCCCAGCTACTCAGGAGGCTGAGGCAGGAGAATGGCTTGAACCTGGGAGGCGGCGGTTGCAGTGAGCCGAGATCGTGCCACTGCAATCCAGCCTGGGCAACAGGGTGAGACTCCGTCTCAAAAAAAAAATACACTTCAGTAATTTCTGTTTTCAACACACACTTCTGGTAAAGCCAAGGCTAAAAATATTGGACCTGAGTAGCTTTTTCTATTTGTTTCTGTCTCTGTGTCTGTGTGTATATCTTTGTTTCCTTTTTTGTCCTTTTTTACAGTCTTTATCATTTTTTTCTGTACTCAATTAAAAGCTAAAGGCTTGGCCATTTCTTATTAATAAGAAGTAAATTATTACTATTCACCCCTCCTCCCAGCTCAAACATTTGTGACAGCAAATGAATCCTACTTAACACATTTTTCTTCTGTCATTGTTTCTTCCTAACTTTCCTTCTTTCTTTTCTTACTTCCCTCCTTCATTAGAATTCTATTAGGCAGGCTCAAGACAGAAGAGAAGGCAGCATGATGGTGACCAAGGTGCATACAAGGAGGCCATTAAAGCAAGAAAGCAGTTAGTACAATCAGAAGTTTACCACATGATATCAAATATACTAGGAGTCAGGGTTCTCACTCAGAGATGAGAAATACAAAAATAAAAATGGGAAAGCTAGAATAAATCCTGTAGTTTAGTAATAAAATTGAAGAAGTATAAATATATATAGTATGTATGTTTATTATATATAATTTATATATTAGTGTAATGTATACACATAGTATACATTTTAACTTCTTAGCTTTATTCTAGTCTCTCGCTATATAATATTCATATATAATATATGTTATAAATTATATAAATATATAATTATATAGTTTATATATAAATATATATTTGTTACCATATATAATATGTATATTTGTTACTGTCCACTAAGAGAGACTAAGAGCAGTGACATCCCAGTAGCAATAAACATGTGTATCATACAGCTATTGGTTTCTATTTGATATTCTCCACTAAAGGAACCAGGGCTGCTTGGAAAATGGCTGATTTCAGGGCATCAGTGGGGAAAAACAAGATGAACTAAAATAATCTCCTGTGCCAGAAGGTAAGAAAGTGCTTAAAAAATGAGCTTGTAGGAGTTCTCACTAGACAAATCTGGGACAATTTAATAATTAAAAGAAATATTTATAGTAACAGATTATAACCATGGTAATAAAATAGGAACCCACAAGTTTACATTCCTATAAATGAATACATCATTCTACTTTAAAATAAAAAGTCAACTAATAAATGAGATCAATAGTATTATTTTAATTTTACAGCTGAGGAAACGGAAGCAAAATGAGGCTTGGTGAGGTTAATTGTTTTTCCCACTGTCACAGAACTAGTAAGTGATATATTCAGGACATCAACCCAAATCTGCCTGACTCTAGAGTCCAAGTTCTTAACCACTACATTTAGTCTCTCATGTCTGATCTTCTGACTTTCAGACCAAGTCTAGACCTCCTGGCCTTATTATTATTATTATTTTTAGACAGAGTCTCGCTCTGTTGCCCAGGCTGGAGTGCAGTGGCATGATCTCAGCTTCACTGCAACCTCCTCCTCCCAGGTTCAAGCGATTCTCCTGCCTCAGCCTTCTGAGTAGCTGGGATTACAAGTGCCCACCACCATGCCCAGCTACTTTTTATATTTTTGGTAGAGACAGAGTTTCACTGTTAGTTAGGCTGGTCTCAAACACCTGACCTTGTGATTCACCCACCTTGGCCTCCCAAAGTGCTAGGATTACAGGTGTGAGCCACTGCACCCGGCCCTCCTGGCCTTATGGTTGGCTTTCTCTGAGGGTTGGCAACCAGCCCAGTAGTTATAATTACATAATGGAACTGGGAGTCCCGTGGCTATCATCACAAATGAATCTACCTTTCATCTTTTCCTGAAACCTTCCTTAGCATCCTACTCTGCTCCAGCTTCCCCACTTCTAACAGAAATGCTGTAGATGAACATTCATACTTACAACATTTCCCTGGTTTGGTTTTTGCCTTTAGGAGTTGGAATTACTACTGATGTGATTTTGTTTTAAAGAGCTCAGTTAAACAAAACCTTCTTGTGAGAGGACCCAGTTAGCAGAAAGGAAATCCCTGTGCAACTCTCCCTTGCCTCTGAAAGAGTAGAACCAGCCAGCAGTTCAGACAACAGAGCATATTTTGCAATAAACCTTAAGCTAGCTGTTATAGGACACCAGATGCCAGCCAAACTCAACCTCTTCCCAGGTCTCCCATGCTAGAACTTTCCTTTCTAATCATAGTAAAAGGTTTGCAGGCACAGTAAAATTCAAAATAAAATCAGACTTGTTAAAAGCAGGTTTGCTCTTGAAATAGGGCAAATTAGTTATAGTCTGAGTTTTTAATACCATTTGACTGATTGGCTAAGACTTGGCTTCCACAGAACATAATAGCACTGAGATTTAAGAAAAGGACCTTTCAATTTGACCACACAGTCCTTATAACCACCAATTGACATATGGCCACATGTCCTTCTTCATGCCACAACTTGGCAATAGTCTGTGTTTTGTGCCCTGAAATACTGAAATTCTAAGCCAAATTCATGAGAGAATTAGTCATGGACTTCGCTTCTCTTTGACTTCACATGGCAAAGGTAAATCTGTGAATGCTTATAATCACAATTATGGGTTTGGCACATAATATTAATGATGCAGTATCTTATGCCTAGTTTCATAACATTACAAGGTAGAGTTAGCCAACAGCCACTAGGACTGGATTAAGGATCTGTGGGGTACTGGCACATGTAGTAATTTACCAGCTTTCCCTTCCATTCCCCTGACATAACAGATTATCTTTGAGGAAAAAATTATTATTCACTGTGAAATCAAACACAACTACAATTCAAGTGTAAACCACAAATCAAATATATGCTTCCATGGAATGTCCAATTTGAACATGAGAGATAAATAAATTAGAATGTGGAGTTTCCTTATGGAGTAAATATAAACCTTTGACTTTTAATCTGGACTTGAATATTAGAAAGTGGCTACTTTAAATAAGTGTGATTAGTAAATTAAGGTGATATTCTTTCGTCAGTCCTGATGGGCAGGTTGCAGATAAGAGACCCAGATGATGATTTCTATCTCTTTGGTGTATGTTTATCTCCTGAGAGGATGCTGTCATATACCAAGTAGGAATCCTTACTCTGCAAGTGTTTCTTATCTGTAAGAACAGCAATGCTCTTCCTTAATTAGGTGTTTTAGCCCCATTTTCATCACAGCTGCCACCACAATCATCTTCATCATTAACATCAATTAATACTGAGTGCTCATTGAATGATAAATACTAGGTTAAATAAAGGATACCACATGTGGAGTAAAGTCCAGCAAAAATTCAAACGTAGTATCAGAGAATCAGAATCAGAAAACTATGAAATTTTAAGATCCCTCCTTTTCCCAAAACACCCTTTATGAAACCTGTGACCTAAATCTTTGTTACAATTTGCTTGTGTCTTCATCTAGACCTCATGGGAAGTCTGCCATTCCGCTGCCAATATATTTGAGGATTCTTAATGGATGTCTGTACAGACAAAGAAGGAATGCTTCCCCTTACCCTCTGAAGATACCCTGAAAATGAACTGACAAAAGGTGGATTAATAGGAGAAGGCGGCATACAAATTTACTTTAATATGCATAGAACAGTGGAGTCCCAGAAGAATGGTTACCCTATAACCCAATGGGCTACTGATACTGATATACCCTTCGTCATAGGGGGGAAAGGAGATGGGGGAATGTGGTAACTTGAAGAATAGTAAATGATTTTTAGGGGGGAAATAAATGGGCCTAATGCTTAGACAATGGTTAGTAAATAATTTTCTTTAACAATTGAATAGGACAAAAAGCAGACAATGGTTTGGGACAAAGTCTGTCTGAGCTCTAGGTGTGATGTATATTTTTCAGTCTCTTCATCTGTAATAAGCTTTAATCTTCTCTGGATAATGGAATTCCAGGGACGGCAATTATGTTCCTCTTTTGGAGGCGTAGTTTCTAAGTAGGTAAGGGAGCTTTATAGAATAGTTTCATCCTGTGCTTTTGGAGAGGTAGAAGATTGAGAGAAGGCATATGGGGAAGGTCAGAGAGACCTTGGGGCTTCATGATGTCAAAGGGCAAATTTCACGGTTATGTTTTCTGAGCACCAACAGGACTTATGTCTCCTAGTCATTTCTGGCTCTGATTCTTTTCACCTCCTGCATACTGTCCCTTGTAGTGTATCGTATTGCGCCTTGGTAGACCCTGCTCCAAGTTTAGATCTTTATTTCCTCCAAAATTACTCAAGATCAAAACCGATTGTTATCAAGGGTAGAAGTTAGGTGAGCAGGGATGGGGAGTTAAGGAGATATTTAGCACATCAAAACAGAAAATAACAAAAACTTAAAATTGAATATGATGAGGCTTTCAAATCCTTAAAAGTCTCTTGACAATATCTTCCATGAGGAGAGTCTTGTGGACCCTTTCTTCTCAGGTCCCAGCCTCCTGTAGCTTCTGGCTTTCTACTCCTCTCTTAGCTCACCTTATCTGACTTCTAACCCTTCCTTCTAACTGCCCCTTCCATCTCTGGCTGCCAAACATTCAAACTTTATATCGTCTCATACTGAGTAAGTTATTTGTTATTCTCCTACATGTTCTGGACTATGTGTTTGGCATATTTTAAATAACCAAAAGACCAAGAGATGATGATTCTGCTAAGCAACAAAAGCTATCTGTTCTAAGAGATCATTTTAATATGAGATTCTAATCATTGAATATAAATTTGTATGCACATCTACATAAATATACACACACACTTTCCCCAGCATGTGCACGTGCATGCACACACAAATTTTCATTCCAAACGCAATAGGACATCTTTAGATTGGCCTGGCTCTCACTTCAAAACAACTGCTAAGTTTTACAAACCTCCCAAAAGACAGAATAATCCATTATGCAAATCATGTATTTAAATATACATTTAAAAAATATAGAGAGAGTTTAATGGATAGATGGAGGGGGTGGTTTATATTTCATATCCGACACCAAACTTCCCCTCAGATTGTCTAGTTTCCTCACTCCCCAGCATCTTAATTCCTATGGCAGCTATCACTTCCTGTCTCTTTTGTCCTCACAGCCTCTTCTGTCTTATTTCCCTTCAGGTTTCGTCTCCTTCCTATATCTGCTCTTCTTTTCTTCCCTTACTAGGATCTTCTTTTCTAAGTGTTTCCATCCTTTTTATGCTGTTCAGTAGAAGGTTTCTTCAATATGATTCACCACAAATCACCTTGCTCAGCGTAACAAAAGACTTGTATTTTTTTAAGCTAGTGGCAAGGGGTTATAAATTCTGGCAATACTTTTTAGATTTTACATTTGTAACAGGAGAATGCATCATAATTTCAAATGTTCATGCCATTTGATCCAGCATTAACTCTTAGTAATTTATCCTTAAATATACCTTCACACAAGATGTTTGTATAAAGTGATGTAATCACCCAATGGGTTCATTTTGCCCACTGCCCAGATAGGGCCAATTTATCAAAACAGGGGAATTGCAATAGAGAAAGACTTTACTACAAGTAAAGCCAGCTAAACAGGAGACCAAAGTTTTATTATTACTCAGATTGGCCTCCTCCAAAATACAGAAGCTAGGATTTTTTCAAGGATAGTTTGGTGGGCAGGGGGCTAGGGAAAGTGTGCTGCTGACTGGTTGGGGCTACAATCATAGGGATGTGGAAAATGATGCACTGAGTCCACTTCTGGGTGGAGGTCACAGAGGAGTTGCTGGTCTAGGTGGGGCCATCTAATTGTCAGAAATACAAAAGCCTGAAAAGACATCTCAAAAGGCAAATCTTAGGTTCTGACAATTAGAGAAGTTGAAAATCTTGTGACCTCTGGAATAATGGCTGGTGATCATTTAACTACACCTACATCTTAGCAGAATTCAGGCCCCTCTCATCCTCCTAGTGTTGGCCTTTCATTAATCTGACAAAGGCAGTTTAGTTTTGGAAAGGGCTATTAGCAATTAAATTTTGAGCTAAGTTTCTCCCAAAGTTAGCTTGGCCCCATCCAGGAATGATCAAGGGCAGTTTGGAGGTTAAAGGCAAGATGCAGTTGGATAGGACATCTCTCTTTCACTGTCATAATTTTCTTACTGCTATAATTTTTGCAAAGGTGGTTTTGGTTATTTATTGTAGCCTTATTTCTAGCAGATAAAGATGGGAGAAAAACATGAAAGCCCA
Organism: Homo sapiens; assembly: GCF_000001405.40. Taxonomy (NCBI): domain Eukaryota; kingdom Metazoa; phylum Chordata; class Mammalia; order Primates; family Hominidae; genus Homo; species Homo sapiens. The sequence continues at coordinate 67,104,017 of NC_000002.12, read as the reverse complement.
TTAATAAGGGGCAGTTTAAGTAAATAATGCAGAGTCAATAAAACATACTCTGGATGTCATGCAGATGTCATAAAAAATTTCAGGAAAAAAGTTAGGGAAAAAATTTGGTACATAAATGAAAAGATTTCCAAGGTATATTATTAAACAAGAAATCTAGGCACAAGAGAGTTTAAATAGCATGCCACCACTGAAAATGTATATTTTTTTCTTTATATACAAAAAAGTTTTCTAGAAGAGCAAGCAAGAAATTACTAACAATTGGTTAATGATGTAAACTTGTTGGAACCTGTTTGGGGTGGATCTAATTCGTATGTATTAAACTCCATGCCCTAAAAACAGAGAAAATACCTTTTAGTTTCCTCCATGGAAAAAATGGACTACAGGATAGCATTTGAGAATAGTAAAAATTAATACATCTAAACTATTTTTATGAAGCAAACATATCATGTTAAAGCCTTAAAATGCATAAAAAGAACAGTGCAGATCAACCTCTCTTGGAAATATTAACATAAATCCCAAGTAATATATAATTAGAAAGACTAACAGTTCATGCAGAGAATTCATCTTCCTGACCAAGTAGAGTTTATTCCAGTGATGCAACAATAATGTTCCACATTAATAGATTAAAAGGGAAAATATCATCAAATCTCTGTAGGTGCTGACAAGGCAAAATTTTATATCAAGTCTTGATTTAGAAAATAAACTGAGATAAAAAAAGAAATATACAAACATTTTATATAAAATAGGAAAGATTAACATTTTGTAACAAAATGGAAATTGGTGTACATGTATTTCAATGAAGGTCAATGCCATGTCACATTAGATGTATTACCAGTAAAATCCAGAACACCACCAAGATGTTAAATATCACCAGCATTATTTATTACCATTTTGGAGGCACTAGCCATAGTAATAAAGCAGGAAAAAAATAGGTAAACATTATTCAGATGGGGAAACACAAGGCAGAATCACCATTATTTTTAGATGTTATGATTGTGCACATGGAAAACCCCAAAGACTTAACAGAATGATGTATTCCAAACAATGAGATAATACAGAAATGTGGATGAGTAAAAAAAAAATTCCAAATCTACCACCTTCCTATACAGCAAAAACAACAAATTACAAGATATGGAAGAAAACATATCCAAATTACAAAAAAAAGCCATAAAATATTTAAGGAAAAAACAAGACAAACAGAATCTATAATCTATAAAAGAAAAAATTTAAAATCATACTATGGATCAAAAGGGAGACTTGAACAAAAGGAACAAATAGAATCTTTGTGAAGAGAAAGATTAAATATCATAAAGACACCATTTCTCCTAAAACTAAAATTACACTTAAGATAAAATAAAAATAACTGATGTTTAAAAGTAAATGCACTGAGTTTATTATCCATATGGAAAAAGAAACAAGAATGAATAACCAAGAAATTTCAAAATTAAAAGGAATTAAGAGAACTAGCTCTAATAGATACATCATATTACAAATGCACACACATACACACATATATATATTTAAAAGAATAAATGTCCAACTAATAGAGGGACAGATTAATGGAATAGAATAGAGAGTGTAGACACAGACCTGGTACATGTTAAAATTAAGTATATATTAAAAAGTTGGCATTAGTAGATTAGCAGAGAAAAGATGGATTTATTTAATAATTTATATTAATGCCCCTGATAAGCCATATGGTAAAATTGGATCTCTAACTTATACCATATTCCAAAATAAATGCCAAATGGATCAAAGATTTTATCATGAAAATGAACAGAGAACTAAGAGAGAGAAACATGGAAGTTTTAAAAATTTTTTCAAAGTGGAAAATGCCTTTATAACTATGTCACAAAACCCAGAAACTATCAAAGGAAACCTGAGAAAATATACTTTCAAAATCTACTTGTCTAAAAAAAGACACCACAATTAAGATCAAATATCAAATGAAACTGGGAAAATGCACCTAAAATACATGTCACAGGGAATATGATAAATTCTTATAAAGATCTCCTATGATTTAGTTTTTAAAAGCCAATAGAAAAACTAGGCAAGGAGCATGAACAGATAGTTCTCAACAAAGGAGAAACAATTATCTTCAAAAATATGTAAGGAAAGCTCTTTCATAAACAGTGAAACATAAAATTTAAACCCTCAGATGGCATTTATTTTTCACCTACAAGTTTGACAAAGATCAAACAAGCTGATTACATGCTGTACCTATTTGGTGAAAGTGGCATTCTCCTACAAACTTGGTAGAAGTATATATTGGTACAATATCTATAGAAGACAATCTATCATTATCTATCAAAATCAAAAATGTTTATTTGCTTGACCCTGTAATTTTACTTCTGGGAACTTACCCTGAAGACACACACATATATAGGTACAATAATGTATGTATAGGAGTGACTGGTATTGCATTGTCATTGACAAAAATACAAAAACAAAAAGTAAAAGAAACAATCAAAATCTCCATTAATAAAGGATTATCTGTGAATAAACCTTGATTCATAAAAGATTAATTAAGGTTATATAAATTATGGCAAATTCAAATGATACAAAACTCTTCAAGTGCAAAAAGGCATGAGTCAATTACATGCACTAAAATGAACAGATTTTGAGAAAGGAATAAGTGAAAAAAAGGTACAAAAACTGAGTATGTTTATAAAATACAGAGCATGTTACATAAAAGTGTATAGTTATACATTGAGAATGTGTGTGGAAATACATAAGAAACTGGTAAGAGTTCTCCTTGCCCCTGGAGAGGAGAACCAGGAAACTCACTTTTCACTATTTTGGGTTCTTGGAATTACCTATCATTTGCATGTTTTACCTATTTATAAATACAGTTAAAAAGAATTACCAGATGGAAAAGTGAGTCAGCTGTGGCCTGACTTGGTTGTTATAAAAGCAATCTATTCATGCCATTGTTGCCTCAGTTGAGTTATTTTGTATTTGGGAACATTTCATCCTTGTTTTAAATATATTTTTAAAATATTACATTACAATCCAACATTATACAATTTTATATATTATATATACAAACAAAAATTAGGCATAAATCAGTTATGATAATTAAAACTGGTAAAAATTGTAAAATCCTTTGAAGACCTCTAGAATTTTCTAAAGTAGAGACTTTGGTGTCACTGAAATAAATTTCATGAAGGACAATCATGTAAGAACTCAACAACTCTTTGCCAAAAGCTTTTGTCTGATAATTCAAGCAAAGCTGTTTATTTAACTTTCAGCATAAAACCAGAGTAGTTTTCAATATGCCTTGAAATCCCACTGAGTCAAAGATGCTAAACAGGTCAAGACTTCCAGGCTTTCACCCATGCCACATGCAGACACTGCTCACTGAAAGTGATGTTAAAGATTATGAGAAAACTTAGACTCCAGTTGAAACCATACTACTGAAGAATTAGTAATTAATTTTTTGGAAAATATTTGCTATTGTGGGGAAAGTGTGTCATATGGTTTGGATCCATGTTCCCACCCAAATCTCAGGTTGAATTATAATCCCAAATGTTGGAAGTGGGGCATGGTGGGAAGTGATTGAATCATGGAGGTGGTTTCTCATGAATAGTTTAGCACCATCCCCCCTTAGTACTGGATAGTGATAGAGTTCTCACGAGATCTGGTTGTTTAAAAGTGTATAGCGCCTCTTCCCTCTGTCTCTTGTTGCTCTAGCCATGTGACCTGCCTGCTTCCCCTTTGCCTTCTACCATGACTGATAATTTCCTGAGGCATCCCCAGAAGGTGAGCAGATGGGAGCATCACGCTTCCTGTACAGCCTGTGGAATTGTGAACCAATTAAACCTCTTTTCTTTATGAATTACTCAGTCTCAGGTATTTCTTTATAGCAATTTAAAAACGGACTAATACAGCATGTGTTTAGGGTAAGTTATTGTACACTACACAATAATGTATTAGTGTGTTTTTTCTTCTAAAGTTAGTTATTACTTTAATGATGTATCATGTATACGTTTATTACCAAGATTTAGTCTTTTCACTATGTATAAAAACTTCAAACCATCAGGTTGTCCATGGGAAATACACATAATCTTATCTGTGAATTTTTCTATCCCCAGAAGCCTGCACAAAGAAGGCAGTGCTCTTCCATGGGTCACTCCTGATCTACTTGTAAGTCTTTTTCTTCTGCTGAATGCAGGTTGCTGGGTTGCTATGCACCTTCTGTATCTTTGGGGAAGGACCATGATCTCTAATTCTCTAAGCAAACATTGGCCTTATCCACTTCATCATTGAATGAATCCTTTCTCTTTCTCCTTGCATTTTCTTCTCAGCTCCTGGACTCACCCCATCTTCTGACCCACACCCACTGCTCTCATGTTGGCTCAGAGGTGGAAAATAGACCTCAAAACCTTAACAAGTAAAATCTTCAGAAAACCAGACTACACGCTCCAACATTGTGAATAAAATGAAAAGGTGTTAGTGAGAGCTGTGCTACAGATGCAGTCAGACCAAGACGGTGCCAGCCAGGAGCAAAAGTGAATATGAAGAGGAAGAGAAATTGTGAAATACCTACACACATAGAGAAGGATTTCCCCTCAGTTTATTTCTTTACTCAATAATAATGTACTATCAGGTATTATCTGCTATTTTAACTCTTCCAGGAGTCCTAAAACTCACTCCCACTTCTAACAGAAACTTGTGGGAAAAGGATGTCAACTTAGATCAGTTTTCCTTTATTTAGTTTCTGAATTTCTCCATTAAGTTCAACTACATAAAAAAGTCAAGCATTTTTGCTTTGATTGATGCCAGAGGCCTCAAATTCTGTATAACAATAACTTCCTTTTTAATGGTGTTCAGTGTCCTAAGATAACAAATCCCTTTTTAAGAAAATACTTAATGCAAAAGTGTCCCATGTTACCAGGAATTAAGAATCTTTTAAAATATGTGATATTTATCTTCACTGAGACCTACTGAGCATTTATTTCCTGTTTAAAATGCCACACACGAGAAAAAACTTTAAAAAATGATGGTGGCGTACAGATGGGGTTTTGGTGTGGATGTCCTTTCTGTTTGTTAGTTTTCCTTCTAACAGTCAGGACCCTCAGCTGCAGATCTGTTGAAGTTTGCTGGAGGTCCACTCCAGACCCTGTTTGCGTGGGTATCAGCAGCGGAGGCTGCAGAACAGTGAATATTGCTGAACAGCAAATGTTGCTGCCTGATCGTTCCTCTGGAAGTTTTGTCTCAGAGGGGTACCCGGCAGTGTAAGCTGTCAGTCTGCCCCTATTGGGGAGGGGTGCCTTCCAGTTAAGCTACTCTGGGGTCAAATGCAAATCAAAACCACAATGAGATACCATCTCACACCAGTTAGAATGGCAATCATTAAAAAGTCAGGAAACAACAGGTGCTGAAGAGGATGTGGAAAAATAGGAACACTTTTACACTGTTGGTGGGACTGTAAACTAGTTCAACCATTGTGGAAGACAGTGTGGTGATTCCTCAGGGATCTAAAACTAGAAATACCATTTGACCCAGCCATCCCATTACTGGGTATATACCCAAGGGATTATAAATCATGCTGCTATAAAGACACATGAACACATATGTTTATTGTGGCACTATTCACAATAACAACACTTGGAACTAACCCAAATGTCCAACAATGATAGACTGGATTAAGAAAATGTGGCACATATACACCATGGAATACTATGCAGCCATAAAAAATGATGAGTTCATGTCCTTTGTAGGGACATGGATGAAGCTGGAAACTATCATTCTCAGCAAACTATTGGAAAGACAAAAAACCAAACACCGCATGTTCTCACTAATAGGTGGGAACTGAACAATGAGAACACTTGGACACAGAAAGGGGAACATCACACACCAGGGCCTGTTGTGGGGTGGGGGCAGGGGGAGGGATAGCATTAGGAGATATACCTAATGTAAATGACCAGTTAATGGGTGCAGCACACCAACATGACACATGTATACATACGTAACAAACCTGCACGTTGTGCACATGTACCCTAGAACTTAGTGTAATAAAAATATATATATATATATAAACTTTAAAAAAGTATTTATAAGCCTAGACATTTCCCAATATCTCAATGTTTGATATGATATAGACTAGCATAAAAACATTTGTCTAATGCTGTTTTCATTTGATTTTTGGACCCCATCTTTTTATGAAGATGCCCTAAGTGGTCTCTTGAAGGTAGACGAAATTGATATTATTAGTTACCTTTTCCACTCTAGAGTGGTTAAAATCCGCAAAAGGGAAAACTAGAAAGTCTCTCCTGAACTTCAGACCTGGCTATCCACTATCTACAAGGTATTTCCACCCGGTTGTGCCCCCGGGACTGTGACTCCCCAGGCCTTGCTCTGAAGGAAGCTGCTTCTGTCACCTCCTTTGCAAGAAGTGGCAACCATCTTGTTACTTAGACCAGAAACTCTGGTCTCATTTTTGACTCTTTCCTCTCTTTTCTATTAAATAAAAAAAAATCAGTCTTGTTTAAAACATTACAACATACACACACACACACACACACACACACACACACACACACACACCCTCTGTCTCTTCCCAATGAGATGTTCATGATCAGACCATCAACTCTCAGCCCAATTAGCCACTTAGTTGCCCTTTCAAACTCTGGTCTTATCTTCTCTAAATTATTTTTGTGTTTAATAGTCATCTTTCTCTCTTTGAATTCATGCTTGCAAAAAAAAATAATAACTTTTCTACATTCCAAATCAGATCATGTAATTTCCCCACTCAAAATCTCTAATGCAACACATTGGCTTCTAGAGCTAAGGCAAAATCCTAGCAGGCTGAAGTCAAATGCTTCTATCTTCAGCCTCACATTTTATGCCTCTGAGTTCCAGTCACATTTTACTACTTTAAGTCCCTTGAAATATTCCAAACATTCTCCCCTGCCTCTGACCCTTTGCATATGCAGTTATTCCTGTTCAACTGTTTGTTACTCAATGTTCAGGTCTTAGCATGGATCCCACATCTTCCAAAAGGCTTTGCCAGATCCTCTCCATTACCACACCTCTGAGAATACTGGGTCAATGAGGCAATGTTCCACTGATAGACTCCTGTAACCACCTATGTCACATGAAGTATCATCTGTATTTCAAATTTCCTCTTTTTTACTCTGAACGCCTCAGTAAATGAACAATTTGAACAGAGAATATAGCTCTGAACCCAACAGAATTCCCACCACAAAGTAGTTATACCATAAGTATTTGCTAGATGATTAAGTGAATGAGTGAATGAATGAATGAACCTCAATGTCTCATAACCTCTAGTTGAAATCAATATCCTAAAACAAGTTCATGTCCCAAACAAGGACCTGAATGCCCCAGCCAGTTAGAAGCCCAGAGGAATTACAACCTCCTTCTCAATGACAGCACCAATCTTGGCAGTCACCATACTGAGGAAAATATTTGTTCCCTGCTGCAAAGGAGTACATGGACAGTAAAAGCCAAGGACATGAAAGCTCCATAATGGAATCTTCCCTAATATCTCTGGAAATGCAATCCCACAAATTTGTGTGCAGTGATGAAAAAGCAATAAGCACATTTCCCTAGCAGAAGGACTGTTTACAACAAAAGACATGAATGGATGAACAGGTATCCTTCCCTTCTTCCCTCCCTTCCTCCCTTCCTGGTTCAAGCACACACATATAAACTCACAAACATACACTTACACATGACCATTTGCAGCCTCTGGTTGTAGAGGAGTAGGACAAACACAAAAACAGGTAATATTTTACAAATACCTAAGGTGAGCTCTCAGTTCCATTAAATATTTATCAGCCAGCGCCTGTCCACCGAGTACTTTGTTATACTTATTTTTTTTTTTTTTTGGTCTGGAGTTAAACTGATGACCTTAGCCAAAGATAAAAAGGATTTATAATGCAGATATATACAACACAGCATCCCAGAAACACCTATCCTCAACTCACCCTATTGACGTCAGATTAGAAAGGTGCTGCTAGGCTCAGACGTATTCTGAGCATCTGTCCGGTTCGCTTGGCATCACAGAAAAGAAAAAGATAGGAACAGATTTGGCAACTGTGGTATAAATTATTTGGTCTTAAGGGCTGATACACCCCTAAAGAGAAAAGGAATTAACCCCAGGCCAGGCTGACTGGGGGAAGATCAAGTTTACTGACACTGCTCATTGGAGGAGGGACTGGGAAGGACATGGAGGGTGTGTGGCTCCTCATTTTCTTAGGGCAGCTAAAGCCCCTAAATGTGGCACTGATAATAAGATGATATATTGTCAATGATGTGTGTGGCTTTCCTTTCCTTCCCCCAGTTATTAAAGCTGTATTCAGTTGGAGACACATAGTAATTTGCTGAAAATCATGATTTGCTAAGAAACTGTCACAAAACCCCAGGAGCCCATTATATTAGTAGAAGTGACAAGAAAATAAATATTTTTGACAAGGGAGTGTTCCTATCTAGAAAAGATGGTTGCAACGTCGATGGTTATTCAGGGAATCAAACTTATTTAAACACACTGTCTCTGATACTTAATAAATGTTATCGAGTGGCTTTTTGCAGCTAATAAAACTCGGTTTACATTCCACCCCGTGCCCACTCTGATTCGCCTCCCTGGGCTCACTTAAAGTGCATTAAGAAGCAGCAAGCCAGACCAGGACGATTTGCTGCAAAACTTTTAAATAATTCATTTGTGCACCACTGCTTTCAGACTGTTTTTACAAATGCTGTAATGAGACAAGCTGTGAACTGTTTTACATGGGAAAAAAGGCAGCAAAGTCACTGTAAGGCACTTCCCATGCCTTATTTCCCTGAGATTCAAGACTAAACAACAGAAACATTTGTGCTATTTACCTAGTCCCCATACATACGGCATCAACTAGGTCCCATTTATGCTTCTTCGTTAACTAGAATTAAAGGCATGCCATATTGGAGAGACTTAATTCCTGAGTTAATTTATAAAATTGATATAAGTCCAATCCAATTCCCAAAAAGCTATTTTGGGAGAGGAACTTCACAGTTATTTTAAAATTTCTCTGAATTAACAACTGAGCAAAAATATCCACCAAATGTAAAATTTTTAAATGATGTGCACTTGAACTGTAAGATAATGAAGCATATTATAAAGCAATGGCATTTAAGAGTGTGGCACTAACCACAGAACACATAGGCAATCAGTGAAACAGCCTGAAAAGTCTAGAAACAGGTGAAGAATATTTACATCTTCAAAACACAATAGACGCAGAAGTACAAACCAGTGAGAGAGAAATTTTTTTTAAAGATGATTCAACATTTGGTTACTTATCTCATAAGAAACTGTATTCACAGAATTTGCCAATTTAAATTCCAAAGAGAGGCAGGGCGCAGTGGCTCGCATCTGTAATCCCAGCACTTTAGGAGGCTGAGACAGTCCTATCAATTGAGGTCAGGAGTTCGAGACCAGCCTGACCAACATGGTGAAACCCCAACTCTACCAAAATTACAGAAATTAGCCAGATGTGATGGTGCACACCGGTGGTCCCAGCTACTCAGGAGGCTGAGGCAGGAGAATCACTTGAACTGGGGAGGCAGAGGTTACAGTAAGCCTAGATTACGCTGCTGTACTCCAGCCTGGGCAATAGAGTGAGTGAGATTCATCTCAAAAAATAAATAAAATAAATAATAAATAAATTCCAAAGAGAGGAATGCCTTGTGTCATAAGCAAAATCACAGAAGTTCTAAAAAAATTAAGTGAACATATATGTAATCTTGGAGAGGGGAAGATCATTCTAAGCATAACAACAAAGAGATAAACCACAAATGAAGAGATTATATTATTGAGAAATATAAAAACAAACACCCGTACATAAAAACAGTGTCAACAAAATTAAAAGGTAAATAACAAGTTATTTATTATTTCTTAAAGGGTAAATAATTTAAAAAAATATTTTAAAATCATAGAACATAGTGTCTCATGGATTTCTTGCACATCAAAAATAACATTTTTTTAAATGAGTACAAGATGGCACATGTATACATATGTAACAAACCTGCACGTTGTGCACATGTACCCTAAAACTTAAAGTATACTAATAATAAAATTTTTAAAAAAAGATATAATTAAGACAAGACAGAAAATTTCCCATACATAAAATGCCAAGATACACTATTTTGTTTATTTGTTTAATTTTGCCTGTCCCAATAGCAAGGATAAAAAGACTATATACTGCTAATATTTAGTAGGATGTGGGGAAAAAAATCACCTTCCTATACTTTTTTGGTTTTTTAGATAGGGTCTCGCTACGTCACCCAGGCTGGAATGCAGTGGTGGAATTATGGCTCACTTCAGCCTTGACCTCCTGGGCTCAAGCAATCTTCTCACCTCAGATCCCTAGTACCACGCCCAGCTAATGTGTTTTTTGGTTTTAAGTAGAGACAAGGTCTCACTATGTTGCTCAGGCTACCTTCTTACACTTCTGATGAAAGTATTAGTTTTTCTTTTTTTCTATAGGGAATATTCTCAAATGACTGTGTGCTCCAAATATTTTTTTAAATATTTAAATGGGAAAGTTTTATTCTAGAAATTTATATAAGGAAGCAATTGGAGGAATTTGTAAGTATGTATGAATAAAAAAGTTTATCAAGTTATTTATAATAGTAAAAACTTAAGGAAAACAAACTTATCTGAAAGCAGCGTACATACATAGAATGGAATACTATATAGCTATTAATTTTTGGAAAAATATTAATAAATGGAAATATTCATGATATTTTAAAAATAAAAGGCTACACAACAGCATGTAAAATATGCTACTAATTTCATATAGATATATATGATATGCACACACATATGAAACTGAGACACATTGAGTATATAAGGACACAAAAAGGATGAAAGTAAAATGTGGGTAAAATTATGCTAGAGAGCTGGTAAGAAAAATGAATCTAATATAGTTACAATGTCAGACAAATTAGTCTTTAAAGGAAAAGCATCACTAGAGATTTTTAAAAAAGAGTTACCACATCTTTCTTCTTTTTTTAGCCTTTGTGAAATACTTCTAAACTCACAGAAGAAGGGCAAGAATACTAAAAAGAATTTGAGGATACTCTTCACTCAGATTCACACATTGATATCATTTGACCACATCTGCTTTATCATTATTTCTTTATAAATACACATTAGTATTTTTTCTGAGCCACCTGACAGTAAGTTACACACAAGATGCCCCCTTACCCTTAAACCCATCAATGTGAATTTCCTAACAACAAAAACATTCTTTCACATAATGCAGTGCAATGATTAAAATCAGAAAACTTATACTGATGTAACATTATGATATAATTTACGGTCCATATTAAAGTTTTGCCAATTGCCTCATAATGTCCTTTATAACAATTTTTTTCCTTGGCCCAAGATCTAATCCAGGATCATGTATTGCCTTTCATTGTCAAGTCTTTTTGATTTCCTTTAATATGGGTACAGTTTCTTAGACTTACTTTGCCTTTTGTTATACTGACATTTTAAAAGAATATAGGCAGTTATTCTGTAGACTATTCTTAAATTTGGGTATGTCTGATGTTTATGCATTTTTGGCAGGAATACCACATAAGTGATGTTGTCTTCTTCTCATTGAATCACATCAGGAAGCCCATGAGCCAACATCATTCATAATAGTGGCCCAGTATTCCACTGTTTGGTGAACCATTTAAACCAATTTCCTACTGTAGTACATTTAGGTGGATCTCAACTTTTAAATATATGATAAACTATGCTGCAGTAAATATTCTTGAACACACATATTTGCATGGCTAATTTCCTTTGGGTAAACTCTACCGGTGAAACCACTGAGACAAAGGGTAAAGGGTAGATATATATTTTTTTTTGATGGGCTATTCATCATTTAAGCATTTATCACTTTTTTGGGTTACAAACTGTCCAACTGTAAAGTTTTATTTTTAAATGTACAATAAATTATTGTAAGCTATAGTCACTCCATTGTGCTATGAAATAATAGCTCTCATTCATTCTAACTAAATTTTTGTATCCATTTGCCCACTCCACCCCTACCCCTATCCCACTACCCTTCCCAGCCTCTGGTGACAATCATTCTATTCTCTATCTCCATGAGTTCAATTGTTTTTATTTTTAGCTCCCATAAATGAGTGAGAACATGCAAAGTTTATCTTTCTGTGCCTGACTTATTTCACTTAACATAATGTCCTCCAGTTTCATCCATGTTGTTGGAAGACAGGATCTCATTCTTTTTATGGCTGATTAGTACTCCATTGTGCATATGTGCCATATTTTCTTTATCCATTCATCAGTGGTTGGACACTGCAGTTGCAATCTTGGCTACTGTGAATAGTGCTGCAATAAACATGGTAGTATAGATATTTCTTTGATGTACTGATTTCCTTTCTTTTGGATACATACTTAGCAGTGAGATTGCTGGATCATATGATAGTTCTATTTTTAGTTTTTTGAGGAACTTCCATACTGTTCTCCATAGTGGTTATACTAATTTACACTCCCACCAACAGTGTACAAGGGTTCCCTTTACTCCACATCCCTGGCAGCATTTGTTATTACCTGACTTTTGGATGCAAGCTATTTTAACTGGGCAAGAAGAAATCTGCCCAGAACAATGTCCTGGAGAGTTTCCCCAATGTTTTCTTGTAGTAGTTTCATGGTTTGGGGTCTTAGATTTAAGTCTTTAATCCATTTTGATTTGATTTTTGTATATAGTGAGAAATAGATGTCTGGTTTTTTCCTTCTGCCTATGGATATCCAGTTTTCCCAGCATCATTTATCAAAGAGATGGTCCTTTCCCCAATGTATGTTTTCAGCACCTTTCTTGAAAATGAGTTCACTGTAGATGTATGGATTTGTTTCTCCACTCTTTCATTGGTCTATGTGTCTGTTTTTATGCTAGTATCATGTTATTTTGGTTACTATTGCTCTGTAATATAATTTGAAGTCAGGTAATGTGATTCCTCCAGTTTTGTTCTTGTTGCTCAGGATGGCTTTGGCTATTATGGTTCTTTTGTAGTTCCATATATATTTTAGGATTATTTTTTCTATTTCTGTGAAGAAACTTATTGGTATTTTGATAGAGGTTGCATTGAATTTATAAGATTGCTTTGGATAATATCAACATTTTAAGCCATATTGATTCTAAAATGTATTACTACATCTTGATAATATCCAAGTGAGCATGAAGCTCACAATTCTCAACTTGTTTGCCCTTAACACAACTTCAAAACACATAAAAGAAAAATCAACAACACAAAGAGAAATTATAACTAAATTACTTGGTAAAATAAGATATATCAAGAAGACAAAAAAACTCACAAAATGTTTTAAAAGTATAATTAATAAGTTTAATCTAATAGACACACAAAAAATATTCCCCTTCTCTCACCTTCTCTCAACTACCCCTACTGCAGAATAATATAAATTCCAAGCATACTGTGACATTTATAAAAATTAACCACTTTATTGTCTTCAAAGCATGTCTAAATAATCTTTCAAGGAAAGGTATCAGAAAAAACACATTCTGTATCTGCAAATAGTGTAGTTTAGTTATTACCAATGAAAATATCTCTTTGGAATAACTATATACTTGCAAACTAAGAAAAAACCCTTTTACATAATTTATAAGTAAAAGCCAAATTATAGAGGGAATCGAAAGTACTCATGATCAAATAATAAGAAAGTGCTACTTATAAAAACCAATAGAATGAAATTAAAACAATACTTAGAGGAAGATGTATAACCTTAAATCAATGCATTGGAAAATAAGAAAGCCTTGGGAATATGGGAGCTAAATACTCAAAAAGTGAAAACCAAACAGAATTGATCCAAAGGAAATACAAAAGTGACAAACTATGAAGGCAGAAATGAATAAATTAGAAAACAAATGTATAATAGAAGAGTTAAATAAAAGTTTTTAAAAAAGACAAACCTCAAGAAAGACTGACTAAAAAAGATATAATAGAGATTTCAAAAGATAGTAAAGGGAATAGTAGAAACAACTATACATCAGTAAAATTTTACCTGTAGTTAAATACATTGGAAGAAAAATACCAATTATTAAAGCTGTTAGTAAAGCAAGAAAAAATAACTTAATTATCCTATAATCTCTAAAGGAACTGGTTCAATAGCTAAAAATCATCCCATGAATAAAACAGTGGATGTAGAGGGATTTTTAGGAACAGATATTAGTGAATATTTGCATAAAGTCCTTCAGAAAACAAAGAAATGCTCCCCAACAACTTATATGAGGTTACTGTAACAAGCCTCAAATATCAAAATTATAGGCCAATTTGACTCATTACCACAGATGCAAAAATTCTAAATAAATATATTTTCAAACCCAACCTAGGAATGTGTAAAAACTATCAAGTTGGCTTAGCTCAGTTGTGCTAAAAAAAAAAAAAAAAAAAAAAAGGTGGGTTTAAAATTTCAAAGATCAATAGTGTAATTAGTACATTCACAGATTAAAGGAGAAAAACCATATAATCAACTCAATATGAAGCAGGAATAGTGTTTTATAAAATACAACATTAATTCATGATTTAAAAAACTCTCGAAAAATTAGAAATAGATAAGAATTTATCTATCCTAATGAAAGATAGTTATAAAAGAAAAAGCATAGAAAACATCATTTTAGCAGCGAAAAATTAAAAGCAATTTTTAAAAAATCAGAAACACACCAAGAATATGTACTATCATCACCTTTTTAGTTACCATCTTACACAGGACAGTAAGACAAGAAAAAGACAAAATTATAATGATTGCAAAGAAAAAAAACTATCATTATTTGTAGGCAATAGGGTTCTTTATATGAAATCCCAAAAGAATGTATAGGAAAACTATTAGAAATAATAATGAAGCACATCTATTAGGTAAAGATACAAAATTCAACGGACTCATCAACTCAAATGTCCAACAACAGTAAAATAGACAAATTCTGCCATATCAATATATAAAGAAGCACCATGCTAGGTCAGTCATCTACTGGACTGCATCTCCCATCGGTTGAGGATTTCCCCGGGTAGTATAAGCTTCCTTCCCCCACAGTATTGGGTTTTTTGGGCTGTGCTTGTGCCTTGGCCAAGCATGTGGCTTCAGAGGAGACTGGGTTAGAAAGACAAGTGGTGCATTCTGGTAAGGGATGTAGCCTATTCCAGCTAATACCTCCTGTTGAAATCAGAGTTCAGCTGAGGGAATGAGATACTGGGCCTCAAAGGTGCCAGATACACTCATACTAAAGAATTTGAACTTTTCTTTTTTTAGGCAATAGACTCTATTAAAAAGTTTAATGAGTGAGTGTCTGCTTTGTATAGCTGGGTTGGTAACAAGAATTCTTGGTAAGAAATAGTTAAGGTAAAGAAGATTGAGGGAAACAGATATGGGGTTTAGTTTGTAGCATTGTGATTTGAGTTTCTGTGAGACATCATCAAACTGCAGCTTTCATTTAGAAGTTTAAAATACCGTGTGCAACTCAGGGAAAGACCCAGATCAAGAGGACTACCAGGGGCAGCAGAAACTGTGGAAGAAAAGATCACCTGGGGAAGCATGTGAAACAGAAAGAGAAGACCACAGAGCTCTCCAGAGCTCCAGAGTTTAAAGGGTGAGCAGAGGAAGAAGAACCGACAGAGGAGATGGGAAAAAATAATAAGGTAGAAAAATAACCGGGGAAAATAGGTCCAAGATCTGGGTGCAGTCGCTTTGATGAAAAGAACAGACAACAACATCAAATGCTAAAGGGAACCATGATAATGAGGTCTGAGAAGAATTAATTAGATTTCATATTTAAAGATAACAGGTGACTGTGATAACAATAATTTCAGGAGAAAGCTTGTGATAAAAGCCAATGGGAACTCAAGTGAAATATAAGTCTAAGTAGGGAAGCACTAGTCACAGTTGCATTGAGGCTGGGAGATAAACTAGAAGGTTGTGGGGAATCCAGGCAATAAATTAAGAAAACTTGGGCTAAGGCAGCGGCAGTGATGGTGAGAGAGCATGGATAGCAAAGTTTTGAGGTACATATGTGAAGTATTTGGTGACTGAGTAGACTGTAGGGCATAGGGCTGAACACAGCCAAGAAGTGAGACGTGTTGAAGGTGTCCTGGAGAATTCTATCTAGCCTGCGAGACTGAGGGACAGATGAGTCATCAAATAGTCTTAGAATACATGAGATGGAACAATTCGGGGGAAAACATATGATTTCCATTTTGGACATGGGATGTGTGAGATGGCTAACATGTGATAGTCTATTAGAAATATCTAGGAAACTCTTGGACTTATGAAGCTTAAACTTAGAAGAATGGAGATGAAAACACAGATTTGTAATTTATCTACATATGGAAAGATAAAGTTACACAAATAAAATAGTATATATGGCTTTCCACACAGGGAAGGGACTGTCCTACAAAGACTGAAGAATCCAGGCATGAAACATGATGGCAAAGGACCTTAATGTAACTGTATTTGGAGGGAGGACCTTTAAGGGGTAATTAAGGTTAAATGCAGCCATGAGGGTGGGATCCTGAGCCAATAGAATTAGTCTCTTATAAGAAACACCGGAGATATAACAGAGACAATTACCCAATTCTTTACCAAAGAGATTCTTCTGTTCTTACATGGGTAAAGGCCTGAAAGACTTCTGTGTTCTTTTAAACTAGGGTGGAAAGACTTGCAAGAAAAGTAGAAAAAGCCTGCCTTGAAAATTCTCCTACAGTTCCCAAATCTGTAGCTATAAATGAACTGCAAGATAGGGCAGACTTCATTCTGTAAACAAGAAATAGTTCTCAGACAAAAAAGACTTGCATTTGGCTCTAAAATGAACATTTATGGGGCTTGATAAATTACCTTTTTTTCTCCCTACTCCAAGATATCTGGCTTTCTCTGCTTTTACACGTTGCCTCTGATTAGGGCTTTACATTAAATGTATTTTTTTTTTTTTTTTTTTTGAGACGGAGTCTCGCTCTGTCCCCAGGCTGGAGTGCAGTGGCGCCATCTCGGCTCACGGCAAGCTCCGCCTCCAGGGTTCATGCCATTCTCCTGCCTCAGCCTCCCGAGTAGCTGGGACTACAGGCGCCTGCCACCGGGCCCAGCTAATCTTTTGTATTTTCAGTACAGACGGGATTTCACCGTGTTAGCCAGGAAGGTCTCAATCTCCTGACCTCGTGATCCACCCGCCTCGGCCTCCCAAAGTGCTGCAATTACAGGCATGAACCACCGCACCCGGCCCATTAAATGTCTTTTATACCCCACCTCACCCATGCTACCTTTCTTCAGCTGCTTTTTATGAAGATAGCTTGGAATGTGATTTTGTGCTTCTCTTCCTTCAAAGGAAGAAATGTAGATTTGTTTAGCCTGTTTGAAGCAGACACTAGATACATACTGATGGGCTTGTATTCATCTCCTCGAGCTACCAAAATGAAATACCATAGACTTAAACAACAGAAATTAATTTTCTCACAGTTCTGGAGGCTAGGAGTCCATGATCAAGGTCTGGCAGGGTTGGTCTCTGGTAAGGGCTGCCTTTCTGGTTTGTAGACTATGGCCTTCTTGCTGAGACCTCACATGGCCTTTCCTCTGTGGCTCTCAGAGCAGAGAGAGAAGGAGAGGGAGATGGGAAGAGGGGAGGGGAGGGGAGGGGGGGGGAGAGGAAGTCTCCTCTGGTGTTTCTTATAAGAGACTAATTCTATTGGCTCGGGATCCCACCCTCATGGCTGCATTTAACCTTAACTACCTCTTAAAGGTCCTACCTCCAAATACAGTTACATTAAGGGTTAAAGCTTCAACATATTAATTTTGGGTGAACACAGTTCAGCCAAGGTGAGCAAGAGCTCATCTTGCTGAGATAATTCAAGAGGCAGAAGAACCCAGCACCAAATGGCTGTGGGTCTTGAGTACCTGTTTAAGTTTTTAAGAGGATTATGGAGAGTCTCCTAAGAACTTAAAAGGCTGCTCGTTGACTTTATTCTTTTTTTTTTGATATTTTAGACAGTTGGTCTTTGTAAACACTTTAAAGTTACGACAATACCCCATTTTTTAAAGTTAATGTGAATAAACATTTATTATTTACCAACATAAATAATTAATTTGTACTGTAACTTTATGCAGGGCTGACTGTCTCTTAATCACAGTGAACCCTCAACAATAACATGGAACATCTGTAAGGAGTATTTACATTGAAAGAATGCAAGAACATCAGCTTAAACTATAAGATCATTGAAAACTGAGCATGTCAGAGGACAAAGAACTTTTTGAAAAGGCTCTTTGAGCTTATGGCTACTCCCAGGGAAGAGTCCTGCAAACCGTATAAGCACTCCCTGGACACCCTGTCTGGTGGGAAGGTGGAGGCCATTGGACCCTAGTGGGAGGCTCAAATAAGAGGGCTGATAATGGCCACAGCTGTAACCCTGGCCTTGACCCTTGAATTCTGTCCCAATGCACCTCTTCAGCATTTGTGATTAACCCCAAGAAGAGGAGGAAAGCACAAAAAGCTGAAAGATAGAAACAATTAAAGGAGTGCTGGAAGAGTCTGAAAGCACATGGCTCTCTCATTTGTGCTTTAACAATAAAGAATAAAGCCAGTGGGAAGAGAATTCTCTCCTCACCTTCACGCAGCAGCTGTGGGAGCAGACCCGGTGAGATTATACCAGCATGGCTGAGGTCATGAGAGAAAAATGGGAATGTAGCTGCAGCCACTAGCATCAGGCAGTGGCGGAGGTCAGGAGTAATGAGAAGAGAGGAGAGGAAAGCCCCAGGAAGCAGCTAAGGGAATTCTGAAGAGGTCTTTGAGAGTGCTTGGGAGAGATCCCAGGAACCCTTGGAGAAGAACTGAAATGATCGGAGTCATCAACATTTCCCCCAGTGGGCTATATGCCTGAGAGTGCTACAGTTACGGCACAGTGTGTTCAAGCTTCTTCCTTAGAGTGGTAAGGGCAGGGTTCTAAGGTGTGCAGTTGCTTGTAGATTTTTAGAAGGTCTGACTGCAATGTTGGTGCTAGTTCTAGTGCACGAATCTCAAGGAGGCAGGCCACATCCATTTAACTGTCTGTCTACTGTACCTAAAAAGCACACCACATAGGCACAACAGTACAATCACTGAAGAGAATCTTTTTATAGCCTGAGCTAATCAATGGTGGCCAGGTTGCAACTCTTGAAGACCATAGAAGCAGAGAATGATGTGATTCAACAGCTGGAGCATGAAAGATCTTGCTATTCATATGAATGCAATGGTCTCCTGTACACACACACACACACACACACACACACACACACACAGAGAGAGAGAGAGAAGTGTGCACAAAGGTAAAGGTTCATTCTTCCTTACTTAACTGCATCTCCCTCCTACCCATTCCCCAGCCCCCAACACACACACAAGCTCTGATTTAGAGCATCTGTTCATTCAAGCTTAACTTTTATTTTCACTTTAACCTTAGTTCACTTGGATGTAGATGTTGGGATAAGGAGAGATCCTTATATATATTGGGGAATGGTGAAGGAAGGAGCAGGTTGAGTAACTGTATGATGTGCCCCAGTCCCAACACCTCACTGCCCCCCTTCCCATCCCAGCAGAAGAATATGTCTTTATGCAGATAAAACATTGGCTAAACCTTCCAAGTCAGGATTCAGTTTGGTTTCCAGTGTGGGAAAGTATCCACAGTTAACCCCAGTGGATTTTTCCTGAGCAGGAGAGGGAAAATATAATAGAAAATAAATATATAGACATCTCTTAGTGCACTAGTCTAAAAATGGTCATGACTGGAGCTTAGCCTGCAAGCTGCATCAGCTGCTTTACCTCAACTTTTTGCCCTTTCCCAACATGCACATATTTATAACCTGGGCTTCCCAAACAGATTACTCTGTATTTCCGCCATCTGGTTTATGGTTTTTTTTTCTTTTTACATACTACAGGCAGCCAAATGGTAAAGCCAGTAGGATTCTTGTTTGAGCAAAAGCAACTCTGGCAGAGTGTTGTAAAATAACAGCACATTAGCTACTTGGAAGCAGTAGCACGGCTCCAGAGACTTCAAGAATGCTGGAAGACTTTAAGAGGGGTTAATTAGGGGATGAGAATGGACTCCATTGTAAGTTTTGGCAGAATATTGAAATGTTGTCTTCATAAGTATGGGGAGAATTTTACCGAAAAGTAAAAGGTGAAATGTTTCAATTTTGCCTTCATTTTATGACTGTCTCCATTGAAGAGAAATGGCTTGGTTTCATTTGTGTACAGACATAGTTATTGTATCTTTGTTACTTCCATTTCTATCAGCAAATAGAATCAAGACAACATTAAAACAGGTGTCCCTCGTTCAGTGAAAGGTTCCATTAAAGCTTGTGTTGCAGCAACACTTTTGTTAAGTGAATCCTATGACACTGTTCAATTCCACTGTAAAGGTCAGAGATTCAGTCTGTAGGAAGAGTATCTGTCCCTGAATAGAATGAAATCATAGGTCAGAATATTGAAAGCGTCCTCAAAACACTTACATAAAAGAACAAATTATATCTGTCAGAAAACATATTGTTATTCAATATATGATTAAAAGTATTCTACACTCAGATTATGATATACAAAATAGAAATACAGGCGGTGGGAAACTCTGGAAGCAGTCTTATCTTCCTCATCCTGAGATACAGGTTCAACTAATGCTAAGAAATCAATTTCTAATGATCAGAATTCTTGGTTAGAATGTTTCAGTTTGTTCTAAACAGCTTCCAATTACCTTAGAGTTTCTGACCTGATATTCTAGGTAATTTTATGGGGGTTATGGGGATGAGGTGGAGTGCATTTTTTCTAGACTTTTATGGTAATCCATCTGGATATCTTTTTTTGTATCCTTATACTACAGGATCAAAGAGGGGAGTGTACAAAGCAATATTTAAAGCATTCATTCTCTCTTTCACTGGGGAGTTAGACTCTGGTGTTTGCAGAAACAGCTGTCATTCAACAAATAGTTTTGAAGCATGGTTTGGGCAATGGATTGTATATTTTGTGACTTTTCTTATCTTAACTCAAAGTTTGCTTCATTTAGCTGATAGTGTCTGTCTGCCTTAAGGCTACACAATGCACAATGCATAACTGACATGCCATGCTTATCTGTTATGGATTAAACTTAAAAAATTTTTTGAACACTAACTAGATCAATTCATTCATTCACTCATTCATTCATTCATTTATTAATACAGAGATCAGATACAAGATTACTGCCCTAAAGATGTCCTTAGTGCCAGGAAAAGTTCTGAGTCTCTTTAAAATGCTGAGCACGGCATGCACTCTCTGTCATTTAATCAACAATCCTTATAATACAGGAATTTTTATTATTGTTTTAACTTTTAGGTTCAGGGGTACATGTGCAGGTTTTTTATACAGGTAAACTTGTATCACGTGCATTTGTTATACAGATTATTTTGTCACCCAGGTACTAAGCCTAGTACCCAATAGTTGTATTTTCCACCCCTCTTCCTCTTCCCACCGTCCACTCTCGTGTAGGCACCAGTGTCTGTTGTCCCTCCTTTGTGTCCACGTGTTCACATATTTAGCTCCTACTTATAAGTAATAACAACAATGTAGGAATTATTATCCTCAATTTACAAATGTAGAAACTGAGATTCAGAGGGGATATACAATTCGCCTAAAGTTATATTGTCATTAAGTTGCAATCTGGATTGAAACTTAGGGTTCTCTGATGCAAAAATAAAAACCATTTACTTCCACCTCAACACCATACTGACTCTTAGCAGTGTTAAGAATGAGATAATCAAATTATGATGATAGAGTAGGATTGGTAAGTATTGTAACCTTAAGAGTATGCTGTTCTCAGCATGAATATATATCTTAATTCATGAATTCCTTAAGTTTAGAAGTCTGGCAGGCAACTGTTCTATAAAGGAGGGGGAGATTGGTACTATTTAACATAAATTTCCAGCAGTTAGCAACCCCTTGATAACATATTTACTGACAGTTGGAGATCTTGTAGTTTTATAGGATAAAATCTATGTGGGATCCATTCGTGCAGATGGCAGCACGAATTTGGAGAGCAAGGGAAGATGACAGGGAGAAGGCCAACATCTCCCCGTGGCCAGTTTCACAGTACAGGTGAGGTACAGGGGAAAGCGAAGAATTGGGAATGAAACACTTTAAGGTTTCTCTTTCTCTTCCCTTCCCTGGACCAATTCTAGCCCCCATACATTAGAGGGAGAAGAAAGAAATTCAGCAGACAAAGAGAAAGAAAATGAAGAGTGGTGAAGTGTTGGTAAGTGACAAATAGGGTAGGAAAACTTTCAGAAAATGCTTTCTACTCACTCAGAAATGGTGGAATAAAATGAAGCCCTCAAAAAATGCCTGGAATAATGATTCTTAATTTTTTGATGAATGTTAAAGTTTTGGATGGGGAAAATTTCCTCCCTAACATAAGTGACTGTAGGCAGAAAAGTACATAAAATACAGAGGCACTCCATTGAGTGAATGTGTTGCACCCAAGACAGCTTCCAGGGTAATTGGAGCAACATTCAAATATGGTTTTATGGTGTCCTGCCATCAACTTCTTTAGCTTATAGTTCACTCTGGCTGAGTCTTCATGGGGTCCCTTAGAGGGGTAGCTCAAGTTCCTGGTTGGGCCTATGGTCTCTAGGGTCTAAAGGGGACCAAGGCACACTGATTTCTTTTGGAAATCTATCACACCTTCTCACTTATTCTCAGATATGGAACCTAGATTTGTTCTCTGTCATACTGATAAAAGACATAATGAGATAAACAGAGATTTTATGAGAACTTTTATAAGCAAACTTGGGAAACATTCAGCATACAGAGAATGAATTTCCAGAAATATCGTCTATGTGTTTTTATGATGATGATGAATATTGCTGAAGAGGAGTAAATGTATTGGTTTGTTTTAGTTTGGAGGCCATGGAATACTCAGAGGTAATCTATGGAGATAGTTATTCGGTTGGAAGTAAGGCTTTTGAGAGAAGAGTACTTGTATGCAGTGAGAAGAGGAGAAGACTAAAAGCCAATTTAGTAATATTCCTGTAAATGATGGGTGATCACTATGAAGATGTGTTTGTTTCTGTTTCAAATCAATTGAAGTAGTCATCTGCTTTAAGTCAAAGTAAAGGTTAGAGCACAGTTCTAGGCATCAGCTGAGAAAGAAATATATCAGAGTAAGTTCCCTCCCTGCCCTTTTGTCTTTACTGCTGAATCTTAACTTTGTAGAATAAAAATTTGTGCCAAAATGAAAACACAGATAAGCACTTGGGAATAATTAGAGGGAAATGAGACACAAAATGCAGATAATTCAGGGAAAAGTTTCTGTAGAGGAAAGGACACTGAGATAGGGATGGCCACCTGTGCATAGTCTTCTTTTCTTTCTGAGAACACAGCCACAACCATGCTTCCCAGCCTCCCTTGCAGCTACATTCACCACAGGACAGAGTCTAAGCAATGGCACCCAAGTGGAAGTAACAGAAATCACTTCCAGACATGTTCCTTGAAAATCTTCCACACACTGGTCTAAGCCCTTCTGGGTGACTAGAATGAAAAAGAACTTGTGTTGAAGGTGAAAGAGCCCCAGTCAGCCTGGTTAGTGAGCCACCATGTGTTTCTTCAGATGGAGGAAAATCACCACCATCAATGAGAAACATCTGCCTTGACTGTTATTTGAGCAAGAAATAATTTATTGTTTCAGTCACTCTGCGGTTCAAGTTCCATTTGTGTCAGCAGCTGTACACCTAAGAGTCACTAAAAACAGTTTTATGTTAATTGTTGGAAGAGGACCTGTACATGAGAACATGTATATAATATTTAATTGCATTTTGTAAATTAAAGAAACCAAATAAACTGCTAAAAACTCCTTCTTTGGAGATCTCTAACATGTCTTTCCTGTGTCTGTACTTGTTGAAAGGGGACCTCTTAAAAGAGGACAGAAATGGGTGCACACACTGTTCCAGGTTCCCATAGCACTACAATTTCATGATCCCATGACAGTTTGGGCCATAGCATGAGCTGTTTTGATTTCTAAAAGGGAGCTGGAAGATTTATGTCTTTCCTGTTGGGGAAATTCTCCTGATTTATGACCACCATGTTTGTAGGTACTAAATCATACTGAAGTATACTAAATATTTTGTTTTTTAATTTTGGTTGAGCAGCGTGCTGGTCATCCAAGTTAATGACTGTTCATGGGTGGTGTGAATTCTGAGAGGCACTTGTGGTGGGCGTACGTTATTTGAATGGTAGAGGCAGATTGATAGTTGCTGTGTCCCATGTGAGAGCCAGGCAGTCCAGCAACTGCCAGTGCACTCACTCTATGACCATAAACTTGAATTGTTATGATTGTTGGTAACAGTTGTACTTTAAGCCATGAAGAAGAGTTATTTTAAAATGATGATCCATGTTGTTCCCTAATCACTATTTTTAAAGGCCTTAATGCTTCTACAGTATCATTGTTAGAGCTAACTCATGTCCATGTAACTTATGGAAATGTTTCCAGACCACATTAATATTTATCTACATAACCATCAGAGTAAATTCATTTATTATTTGAACATCTTTGCTGTCAGCTAGTTAAAGCTAATTGTTTACTTTTCTTTTTGAAAAATATCATTCCATGGTTACCACCGTGTTGTTTTCACATGGGTAAAACATCCTTTGAAGTCAATCATTTATCAATCAAAATATTTTTTACCAATTTAGCAGATTTTGCTTTACTCTCAGAATACTGTTAGGTACCAGAAGTGTGGGGAAGAAAGGAGGTGTATATTACACGGTTTCTACAGTCTTAAGAGAGACATACTTTAATATGATAAGAAATATTGAACATGATAAGAAACATTCACAAACAGGGCAGTATTTCATATTTGATTTGCTCAAGAGGTCTTGGCATTGAATCATGTTCCTGAGATTTTGTAGCTGTATAATACTGAACAAGTCATTTGACTCACATGGGCTCAGGTTCCCCAATTCTTCAAAACAATTATGATGCTACAAACCTCCCAAGACTGCTGTCAGATTAAGGAGCAGATCACCTAGTATGGTCATAACATCAGTTCTGGGAGAACTAGAAAGTGGTCCCCAGTTATCAGTCAGTTGAGCCAGCATTGGATGAGGAGTCCCCACAGACAAGGAAACGCTTAGAGAACAACAGGTTATCAAGGAGGAATTACAAAATACAAAGCCATCAGGACTCTGAATTCACAAGTGTAGGTGATGGCCAAATAGGTCTAAGTAATAAGATCATGAAACCAGAAGTGTGGTGATTTGAACATGGTTCCATAGTATCTTTTTCTGTGTTTCTTGGTGGTCTCCTATATATCAGCTGTGGCCCTAGAACAAGAGAGGTGTTCAACTCATATCTGGCTTAGGAGGACACTAGAAAACCTACCACTGATTGCTCATTTCTCTGAATTGAGTAATATTTTTTGAATCAATAGGTTTAATAATGTACTTATCACCTGATTTATTTATTTATTGTATATTGTCTTACTAGGTTTCAAGTTCCATGAGAATAGGAGCTTTTTGGTTTTCACTGATAAATCCCTAGTGTTAAGAACTGTAACAGTATAGGTGTTTGATATTACTTTGCATAAATGAATAAATTAAATAAATAGTTGAGTATCCACTATGGGCAAACCATAGTGTTTAGCCCTGAGTCACCTACAAAGATGATTAAGCCAAGGTCCCCGTCAAGAGATGGGCTCTGTTCAGTCTAAGCCAATTATCCAATGTTTCTGCTTGCAATTGATTGAGAGGTGGTCTGAATTAAGATAACTTTGGCCGGTAAGTTAGTCTTCCAGTAGCATTTGAGAAAGAAAATTCTGCACGCTTAAAAGAAATCCAAGAGAAATCTCTGTGCATCTCTCTCTCTCTCCTTTTCTTCATCTTAGCCTTTGGTGGCAGTGATCATCTTAAGACCACAAGACAAAACCAACACAGGGAGGAAGGTGGGAACTGAGAAAATAGAGGAGAATTGGAGGAAGAAGGCATTTCACCTGATACCCAACCCAATTCTGGACTTTCAATTATGTGAGCCCTTGAAAATCCTTATTTAAGCTATGGGGAGTTGGTTTGTGCTACTTCAGCCAAAGCATCATACTTATTAAAATTCCTTCTAGAGAGTTGAATAAAAAGCATATGTGGTCATAAAGTACAAAGTAGTCTTTCAAAAGATTCTATACCCAGAGGCATTATTCAATGCTTCCCCAGATAGAGGAAGATGGAACAAAATCCAGATTGGCTAAATTAAGAATACAACCCAAATCTTTCTACTTTTGCCAAGAAGCTAAGGAAAAAAAATCATACAGAAAACCTGTTATATGGAACATCTTATACCCTTTGAGACTCTAAGTAACTGATGTGCATGTAGTAGTAGTACTAATATTTTGTATGCACCCAATTATCAAGTTGGTCTTTAAAAGGTGCTATGATGGTTAGTGAAATAGCTGACCTGGGCATCCAACAGCATAGCCTTCATTTTCTTGCCTTGTTGGCCTTTCCATGGCTCTTCTATGTATGGGTAGAAAAGGGCACAAGAAGAAGATGAGCTTCAAATGGATCACTTCTAGTGCTAGATATTATCATGAGTAAAGCGTTCATGAGGGAGGAATTTAAAACTCCTGGTTAATGGAGAGTATCTAAAATTTAAATAATATATATGCCACTACCACTCCCACTCTCACCCCAGTGCTCTCTAGACACCTTCTCTGCTTATGTTCTTACTAGTATTTATTTTCTTAATATACATGCTTTAGTTATGTCATTGTTATTTTCTATATTCCTCTACTAAATTGTAAGCTCCATGAGGACACGGATTGTTTCTGTCTGGTTTACTACTAACCTCTACCACCTAGAAGAGTGTCTGATACATAGAACTATATAACATTTATGTTAAAGATAAGTAAATTATTTTTTTATTTGCACAATTACAAGACATTTTAAAAACTCAGTTTTAAATCAAAAATCAAAGCTTGAAAAAGCATATTTTATGGTATCTCCTTTTAGTTAGTAAATAATTTTTAAGCATAAATTTACTTATTTTAAAATGTGAATCCACTCTGAAAACATTTAACTAGGGAAAGACTATATTAAGGAACATGTAGATTCACTCAATCTGGGAGTGAGAAGAGAATGTGGAGATGTTTTTAAGCCACAGACTTACCTTAAACACCGTGAAATTATAAAGATGTATTATTTTTAGATGCACTTTTAAGTATAGATGAAGCATTCTATATTAAATCTAGGATCACATATCAGTAAGTTTTGAAAGTGCTGCATTCAAAAAATGCTCAGTGCTTTCAAATTTTTTCCTGGAAGAAATATGAGACAAAAGTATTCCAACTTCTAGGTTAATGCACAATGGACTGAAAGCATGCGCTCATGTTTGTTCTTCTTCTTTGGGTGGTTACTTCTTTGCCTGCAAAAGTTGCATTCCCTTCCCTAAGCTGCAGCCACTTCCTTGGTTCCTTACCCCTCTTATTTCCAGTTATGTGAGAAGATGTTGTGGTCCAGTGATCTGCAGAATGCTAACAAGTGTTGAACAAGTGTGGAATCCATATGATTCCTTCAGTCCATTAGTTCTCCTAGAATGAAGTATCCAGTTTCTTTCAATAAATACCATTGGCTCCTTGTTCAAGGAGGTGCTCATGAGTAAAACTCTCTACTGCATGGCTCACAATCAAAGGGAGTTTGTTAAATAGGTCATCAAAAGGCTTTCCCAGCTAGATGGCTGGAGTGCCATACTTACTCAGCAGAAGCTCGTAGTCAACCATGGTGTTTATTCACTGAAAGTCAGGCTTTTGTATTATGAAACTTCTAGCAAATTTGATAAGCAGTAAATTGCAGATATATCACTTCATCCCCCCAGAAAGTGTGTGTGTATGAAATCAGCAGAATACTGCCTCTCTGTGATTTATGGCCCACTTTTGACCACCTCTTATCAGGTTCCCACAAGCCCTTTTCTGATGCAGCTTGTGTCTGAATGACAATAGACAAACCAGTGCCATTATACACCAAAATCTCTCTCTGCATTTTAGACACCAAGATTACATCTGGGGTATTGATTTATTGCTGCCTTTCCCCCCAACAGGGACCAGTTTGTTCAGCCTGAACAAGATTGACTATTATTAAACGGAGCCAACAACTCTATGTGAACTTGGTAATAAAATAATCATTTACTCCCACCTTTCTAACAAACTGGGCATATAAGGAAATGCATGCGTTTAAATATTTAGGCTGTTTATTTGTCTCTGCTTGTCTCTTTTTTAAGTATGCAAAGTAAGATAAAACAGGCCTTTGGAGGTAGGGAATCTTTGCAGTGTCTTGGATGTTGAAACACAATGTGCTTCTTTTTATGAACCACACTGAAATGATTACAAATCTCTGCTTTGGTGTGTATTTCTGAAACACATACTGTATCTGTAGTAATGAGGTTTTATGACAGCTTTAACAGTTTCTGCAAAATTTATATGTTCTACCAGTACATCATTTTGGGGAGCGATATAAATTTTACAGCACATCAGAGTTTTATATCACCTACAAACGCCTGATGTAGGATTCACATTAAGTAGGCCCCACATCCACCCACAGTTTTCTATTCTTTAGGGTATTTATGTTTGCCAGGCAAAAGAGACTTCAACACTTTTCTCTTTACAAATGATCATTCCTCCTCCCTCGTTACCTTTCAGTTTAACATCATTCGGTCTATTTCTTTATGGGAGATTCACCCACGCTCTCATTGATTTACATAGCAGACAATCTCTGCACTATTTCTGCTTTCTAGCTCCCACGTATGGGGAGGGTGGTGTTTCTGGGGCCACCAAAGACTTGAGTGAGGTAAATGAAAATCAAAGAAGGGAATCTTTATGCCTCTTACTTTCTGAACTCCCAGTTGGCTTTTGTGTTCTGACAAGCGGCCGTGGAACACAATACTTAAAATCATAACTGCCTTAAGAAATCCGAGCATGTTATTGCAAAGTCTGTGGGAAAATTCTGGGACGATGATTCCAAAGATTAGATTCACTGAGATTAGGAAAAGGACAAGCTAATTCAGAATCAAAGTTGTAGCTGAACCTTTGTTGAAGATCTTAGCAGTAAGCCACCTTATGAAAAATGTCTGCCACACCAGTTCCCTGGCTCAGTAATCTCTGTCTTTAACATTTCCCAATCCTATCATGCCTGAATTTTGGCAGTTTCGCATCTCATAATGAATGGGGAAGAAAGGGTGGGTTGGAAGGAATAGTGGGCTTATATAGTTTGTCTGTTTTACTGAAAAGCCATTCTTATTGCCTACTCCCACCCCTCACCTCACTCTCTCAAAAACATTCTGCTCAATCTACTTGGTTTGAGTAGGACTGGGCTTGAAACCTCAACCTATAGCAGCAGATATGTGGCTCAAGTCTAGCCAATTGATTTTCCTTGTGCCCATGGAATCATCATCTTTGCCAATCACATGGTTCAGGGCTGCCAGTGGCCATCTGGAGGCCACATAGGAAAAACCTGTCTGAGACTGAAACCTAAAAGAGCCCAGAGATGGATAAAAAGTGCTAAGACCTCCACTGAACCTCTGAATGCAGCATGCCTAAAGCCTACTCCACTTTTTAGACTATTTATTTAGGACATCCCAATAAATGTTCCCTCTTGACTTAAGCCAATGAATATGAGGAGCAGGGTAGATGCCAACATCTGAGGAGTGAATTCCCATAAAGCAAATTATACTTTGGACACCTCAGGCATATGCTTTTCACACAACATACAAGGTCATTTGTCTCTTTATAACCTGTGCTATGGCCATTCATAAGTTATGACATTGTGAAACAAGAAGTAAAAAAGCATAGGATTCTACTAAAATAAAATGTTGCTCCATCCTGATGGCAATATCTGTTTTAGCCAGCCCAGGAGACCACCAGCCTGGACCAAGATAAGACCAGAGGCATCTAGATTTAACCTCCAAGCAATAGGGAGCCAAGATAAGTATTTGAGCAAAAGAGTCGCAATTGCAGATTTGCTTTCTAAGAAGCTAAGACTGCAAATCTGTAAAAGAGGGTTGACAATAGAAAGAGATTTGTGCAAGGGACAGCTCTCAAACCAAGTAGAGAGATGATGCTGGCCTTAGCTGAGGCAGTGGCAAGAAAAGGGGACGAGAGAACTAGTCTTGAGAAAGTTTCAGAACTCAGTAATTGAACAAGTAGATATGGGAATGGAGGTATCAGAATTTCTAGTAAAAAGACAGAAAGGCAGTGATGATGTTAATCATCCCAAGAGAGAGGAGAAGCACATATTGGGCAGGTGGAAGGAGGAAGGGATGGTAGTTTTCTAAGGCAACTCACCTCTGATGATAGGTTTACTGTCTTTAGGAGAACCAGGTGAAGATGTCCAGTGATCAGTTTGCAATATGGATATGGAAGTGTAGAGAGATATTATGGCTGAAGACATTAATGGTAGGTGACATCAGCATGGCCTGGCAGTCCAGTCATGGGGATGAATTCATTCACTCACAGAAAACATGCATGGGGAGCCATGGAGGGAAAAAGGACAGACACCCAGGAGCCACTGACATTTAAGGGGTGGATTCTATCTGAGGATACAATGAAGGAGACCAAGCAGGAGCAATCAGAGGCCAGGCAAGAGAACCAGGAGAAAGTAGGTCCTCAGGGCTTAAAATGGAGAGCATATTCACAAAGAGGAGAGTAGTCTACAATCATCAAATTTACAAATGTGACAATATCACTGAGTTTCTCAATTTACTTACAAATGAGTAAGTTACAAACAACCTCAAAAACACATCTGTTGGAGGGGCCATATGGGAAACGGCATTACTATAGAACTGGATTTTTGGAGGAAAAACGTCCTTGCCCAGTGACAGCAACACAGCTGAAGATGTATTCAACATCATCCAGCAAATGATATCATGCCCTTCCCACTTTAGAATGTTCTTTTTCCTTCCCATCCAAATGTGATCAACCCTTACGGATCATGCTCTGCTTCTCACCACTCAACCCCTATTCTTCTCATGCCCACACACACATCCTCTCTGTGCCACGACCCCCACCTGTACATTACTGTGGACACTTGTTACATGCCACACACTCTTCCATGCACTTTGCATATATACCAGTTTATTTAATCTTCCCTAAGACTCTGTGATGGAGGCACTATTATTACTTTCATTTTGTACCTGAAGTCACTGAGATGCTGAGACGTTAAGCAACTTTTCCAAGTTCCCACAACGTGGAATGTCAGAACCAGGGTTTGGCTCTTATTATACATTGATCTGTTTTTGTGTGTGCACACGTTTGTGTTACGTTGTGTTACATGGGAACTTTCAGTATAGCTTGCAAACCCTTTGAAGATATTGCCACGATCTTATACTTTAAAATCTTCTTTGCCTTCAGTAATAATAGCTAATGTTTATTAAGTACTTTCTAGGTTCACAAACTTATGCTAAGTACATGCATTCCATTTATTCTAGTCAACCCCAATGATGTGGATAGGGTTATTTTTATTTCTCTTTTACAAATGGGGAATTTGAAGTTTGGAGAGACGAAGTAACTTACTCAAGGTCACCAGTTAGTTGGTGGTACACCTTGGATTTAGACTCACATCAATGCTAACCTCTACACCATATTCCCTCACAGACAGTTGCTTATATACAGTAGCCTCAATAAATGAAGAACTTACTGATTGACTGTAATCATATATGTGACTACAGGGGTGCAAACTCCCTCCTTGAATGCAGAATTCATCCTGCTTGCTGGCCTGTCCCAGTTCCCTTCTACTTTCCATCTAGTGGAAAACTTCTGAGTATGGCTATCATCACATTTTAGATTCAAAGCTACAGTGGAAGCTCAATTATCCAAACAAATCAGGGCTCAAAGGTACTCAGGCATGCAGTGGGTTTGACTAATATAGTTTGAAGATTTAAAAAAAGAGACAGAACAATGAAAGAAATGTTCAATTTCAGCATGTCAAGGCATAAAAGATAAAGGAACTTGGCTTTAGGGAGTCATTTGAATAATGGGACAGTTCAAATAAAGGATGTTCAGATTACTGACTTTGCACTGTACTTAATCTACCATAGAGAGAGCTGCACTCTAGAGCATTTGCATTGGCAGTAGGCACCCACTCTCAACATTCAGCTCAACCATACTCCCTTCTCCAATTTCCTTATCTCATCTCCATACCATAGATCATCTCAAATGCTTTTTGTCACTTTGCAGATGAGGAAATCCTTTAAGTTATGCTTTTTGTGGAATGCTGTTATACAGTAGCCAAAAATAAAATCCATTCCACCTGATCTCCTTTTCCAGGTTGAGACCACATTGTTACTTTCTTTCAATAGAAGCCCTAGGAATAGTCACAGCAAGAATAGTAGTAGGTGGTTTGCCAAAGTGCTGTCTCAATACCTCAGTCTCCCATTGGACAATTTGCCTGAAGCACTGTCCAGATGGTTGACCTGACCCAGGTCTATCATGGTGTGGTGAAAGAGAGTGAGGAAGGAGGTGCCTTGGCTTTCCCATTGTGGAAGGCAGAGGTTCTATTCATTCATGCTATATATTGCTCCACTTTTGAGGCATGGAATGCACCATACTTAGGGTAACAGAAGAAAAAAGTTAATCAAGGGGGAATTTGACCAGCCCTCAGTTGGAGGATTATTTGGACTATGTAGGAGAGATGCTTTTAGCATAAAATCACTTGTTAGTGAGAAATGTCTGGTTGTCTAGTGAATATTCCAACTTCAGGATTTGAATAGTTTATCTCCTAACATCCAAATGAAATGGAATGGCTGAAACCTAGGAAATTAAAAAAAGACCCTAGAAAAGAAAAAAAGGACAAAGTCTCAAAGATGAGCCAAAGAGTCTGGGGATGGCAGGTAGGTGGGGAAAGTCCAAACAAATGAGGATTATTCTCTATTCATCTCAGTAATTGTGGCTACATGGAGGTTCCTGGAAACTTAGGTCATAGAATTCACCCACAAACACTGAGGAACGAGAGGAGTCATTTTTATGTCTCCACCTCCACCCTGCTTTTTGCAGATTCTATGGCTGAAAAGACATGACAGGAATTTGAACTAAGAGTCTATTTTATAAAACTTTGGAGACTCCATAGGCATGCCACAATAGCAATGATAGGAATGTTTAGTAACATAACCAGTATTTGATACAATGACAAATTTCAGCCCAACTTTCCTTTATCAATATTTCATACAGGCTTACCTAGAGCAGTGCCATTCCACACCTACTTCTGTACAGACAAACATGCTCAATACCTCCACTCCCAGCCCAACTCCC
Source organism: Homo sapiens (assembly GCF_000001405.40). Classification (NCBI taxonomy): domain Eukaryota; kingdom Metazoa; phylum Chordata; class Mammalia; order Primates; family Hominidae; genus Homo; species Homo sapiens. The sequence goes on along the minus strand of NC_000002.12, from coordinate 67,070,746 downwards.
CACCTGAGCTCTACATACAATAACACAGGTTTCTGGAGTTAGATATTACACTGCTAACAACTATTTTTAAAATGAGAATGAGCATTGGCATTTTGTACAAGACTACCTTCATAGTCTGAGCTGTGTTCCTTGGCTATTCTTTTTTTTAACTTTTATTTTAGGTTTGAGGGTAAATTTGAAGGTTTGTTACATAGGTAAACACATGTCACAGTGGTTTGTTGTATATATTATTTAATCATCCAGGTATTACACCCAGTGTCCAATAGTTATCTTTTCTGCTTCTCTCCCTCCTCCCACCCTCCCTCATCATTAGACCCCAGTGTCTGTTTTCCCTTCGTGTTCATAAATTATTACCATTTAGCTCCCACTTACAAGTAAAAACATGCAGTATTTGATTTTCTGTTCCTGTGTTAGTTTGCTAAGGATAATAGCCTTTAGCTCCTTCCATGTTCCTGCAAAAGATATGATCTTGGTTTTTTTATGGCTGCATAGTATTCCATGGTGTATATGTACCACATTTTCTTTATCCAATCTGTCATTGATGGGCATTTAGGTTGATTCTATGTCTTTCCTGTTGTGAATAGTGCTGCATGTGCATGTGTCATTATGGTAGAATAATTTGTATTCAGGTGGGTATATACCCAGTAATGAGATTGCTGGGTCAAATGGTACTTCTGCTTTTAGCTCTTTGAGGAATCACTATACTGCTTTCCACGATGACTGAACTAATTTACACTTCCACCAACAATGTATAAGTGTTCACTTTTCTCTGCAACCTCACCAGCATCTGTTATTTTTTACTTTAATAATAACCATCTGACTGCTGTGTGATGATACCTCATTGTGGTTTTGATTTGCATTTCTCTAACGATCAGTGATATTAAGCTTTTGTAATGTTTGTCAGCCACATGTATGTCTTCTTTTGACAAGTGTCTGTTCATGTCCTTTGCCCACTTTTTAATGGTGTTGTTTGTTTTTCTCTTATAAATTTAAGTTCCTTATAGATGCTGGATATTAGACCTTTGTCAGATGCATAGTTTGCAAAAACTTTTTCCAACGCTGTAGGTTGTCTGTTTACTCTATTGATAGTTTCTTTTGCGGTGCAGAAGGCCTTTAGTTTAATTAGATCCTATTTTTCAATTTTTGCTTTTGTTGCAATTGCTTCTGGTGTCTTTGCCATGAAATCTTTGCCAGTTCCTTTGTCCAGGATGGTATTGCCTAAGTTATCTTCCAGGGTGTTTATAGTTTTGGGTTTTACATTTAAGTCTTTAATCTGTCTTGAGTTGACTTTTGTGTATGGTGTAAAGAAGGGGTCCAGCTTCAATTTTCTGCATATGGCTAGCCAGCTATCCAGGCACCATTTATTGAATAGGAAGTCTTTTCCTCATTGCTAGTTTTTGTCAGCCTTGTTAAAGATCAGATGATCGTAGATGTACAGCCTTATTTCTGGGCTCTCTATTCTGTTCCACTGATCTGAGTGCCTGTTTTTGTACCAGAACCATGCTGTTTTGGTTACTGCAGGCTTGCAGTATAGTTTGAAGCCAGGTAATGTGGTGCCTCCAGCTTTGTTCTTTTTGCTTAAAATTGCCTTGGCTATTTGGGCTCTTTTTTGGTTTCATGTGAATTTTAAAATATTTTTATAGTTCTGTGAAGGATGTCCTTGCTAGTTTGATAGGAGTAGCATTGAATCTATTAATTGCTTTGGGCAGTATAGCCATTTTAATGATATAGATACTTCCTATTCATGAGCATGAGATGTCTTTCCATTTGTTTGTGTCATGTCCGATTTCTTTGAGCAGTGTTTTATAATTCTCATTGTAGAGATCTTTCATCTCCCTGATTAGCTGTATTCCTAGGTATTTTATCATCTTGATACCAAAACCTGGCAGAGACACAAGAAAAAAAGAAAACTTCAGGCCAATATTCTTGATGAATATTGATGCAAAAATCCTCAAAAAAACAAACAAACAAAAAAAACAACTTGCCAACTGAATCCAGCAGCACACCAAAAAGCTAATCCACCATGATCAAGTAGGCTTCATCCCTGGGTTGCAAGATTGGTTCAACATACGCAAATCAATAAATGTGATTCATCACATAAACAGAACTAAAGACAAAAACCACAGGATTATTTAAATAGTTGCCAAAAATTTTTTGAAAAAAGTCAATACCCCTTCGTGTTAAGAACTCTCGGTAACTAGTTACTAAAGGAACATACCTCAAAAGAGTAAAAGCCATCTATGAAAAACCCACAGCCAACATTCTACTGAATGGGCAAAAGCTGGAAACATTCCCAATGAAAACTGGCACAAGACAAGGTTGTCCTCTCTCCACCACTTCTATTCAACATAATACTGGAAGTCCTAGCCAGAGCAATCAGGCAAGAGAAAGAAATAAAGGGCATCCAAATAGGAAGAGATGAAGTTAAACTATCTGTGTTTGCAGATGACATGATTCCATATCTAGAAAACCCCATAGTCTTGGCTGAAAAGCTCCTCCAGCTGATAAACAATTCAGCAAAGTTGCAAGATACAAAATCAATGTACAGAAATAACTTATATTCCTATACACCGACAACAGTCAAATAAGATCAGAAAGGCAATCCCTTTCACAATTTTTACTCTCTATTCTATTTAATACTTCTTCACAGAAAAATAAAAAGAGGAGAGGAGAGGAAAGGAGAGAAGGGAGAGGGGAGGGGAGGGCAAGAGGGAGGGGAGGGTAGGAGAGGGTAGGAGAGGAGAGGACAGGAGAGGAGAGGAGAGGAGAGAAGAGGAGAGGAGAGGAGGGGAGGGGAGAGGAGAGGAGGGTAGGGAAGAGGGAGGGGAGGGGAGGAGAGGAGGAGAGGAGCAAAAAAATCTGCCCATGGAGTTTGCTCTGCACAAAGCCAGAGAGCTGTGGCTTCATACTCAGACAGTCAGCTTTTCTGCTTTCTCTTCCATTTAGAGAGATTGATAGACTATTTGTTGTTAGATATTCAAATCCCTTAATGTAATTCCAAAGCTTGTTTTGATTCTTTGTGTTACCAAAGGTGAGATTTTGAGCAGAGACTGCTCTTTTATTTAGGAAAGCATGTTAATGGTTGTTTTGGTTATGAAAGACTCTGCATAGCAAATAAATAGGAACTGGGGAATGTTTTTCTGTAAAGCATAAGAGAAAAGAGGCGGGGTTCTGTGGTCCTGGAGAAATGAGAAGAGTCGGAAATAAAGGTGAGCAGCCGCAGCAACATTGCAGTGTGTCAGACAGCTGATTCCTAGGAGAAATGGCCAGTAATGAGAAAACAGAGAATTAACTTCAGGAATAGTAATATCTGCTGTTATCCTTCATGCTGTGAAATAAGCTCCCTTTGTTATTGAAAATTTATTTTCTATAATAGGGTGTGTTACTGACATCTTAGGGAGTTAATAGATGGAATGTTCCTGCTATTAAGATAAGACAGGGAAGGAAATTGTGGCTTCCACAGGTCACACTCGCTTTGAGGCTAGCAGAGTACCAGCAGCATCACTTTGGGGAAAAACAGCAGTCCTGAATTTCTAGGGGGTTCCCAGCAGCCAAATTCTCTGAAACCCAATGTAATCAGGCAGTGAGAACAGAGCAGCATTCCTATGTAACCTGAGTCCAGGAGGAAATGCAAAATAAACTCCTTTTTCCCTAAATGTAAAGGAAGATGGGATGACGGAATGATGGAGCAGTAGGCTAGATACTAATATATGTGGCTTCGGACAAACCAGATGGCAGATAATTGAGTTATAATTCATTCAATAAGTGTTTATTGAGCACCTGTTATGTGGTAGGCACTGTGCCAGGTGCTAGGGATATAAAATCCAATTACACAGATAGTATCCTCAACAAATACACATGTAGAGAAGAAGACAAGCACAAGAAGACAAGCAATCACCCAACAGTGAGATGAATAGGATGATGAGGATGACGCTCATAACAGCTAGCACTTCTCAAGTGCTTGCTGTATGCTTGGCACCAAGCTCAGTGCCTTTCATGTTCTGTAACATTTACTGTTCGCAAGAATTCGACACAAAAAATCTCTTCAGTAGCCCTGTCTTATGCACTTAATCTAACATTTTTGCCCAAGTTCATAATGCTTATATACTTCTTAATTATGGTATTGAAACCTTATAGTCTTATTCCAGGGTCTGTCCTTTTCATGGGGAGTGATCGGACTTTAGGGGAGGAGCAGGTGAACCAGTTGGTCATGATGGCTCTAAAGAAAGAGAACTGGTAATATTCGAACTGATGTTAAAATGTGAGTAATAGCTTCATAAAAGATGTTGGGGAATGGGAGTGGGGAAAGGATGTATATGCAAGTTGCAAGCAGTGGACTAATCTGTGGTGCTTCTGGAGATATTCACAGCATGTCTGGCTGAGAGTGCTTTAGTTTAGTTGAAGTATAAGGATGAAGGTGGGAGTGTGGCATGGGAGGGAAAGTGGGGACCTATCGGAGATGAGCCTAGAAAACTAAGTGGATTCTAATTGTGATGGCCCTGGTGTGCCAAGCCAAGGAGTTTGAAATATAAAGGCTTGAAGTCCATGGAAACATTTTCAGGAGTGGGATGACCTAATCAGAGTGTGTTAGAAGGTGTCACTCTGGCAGCACAAGAAAGATGGGAGTGGTTTGTGAGTGAAAGTGAGAGAGTCCAGTTAGGAAGGTGATACTCGTATTGATTTGATCCACTTGGTCACTCAAGAAATGAGACAGAAGGCTGTTGAAGAGAAAGCAAGCAAGTAAACCAAGAAGACAACTACAGACAGTGATTCACAAAGAACCTCACGGTTCATGGGTGCCATTATGTCCTTCCTTTAAAACTCCGAAAACCAGATCAATAAGCTCCTGGGAAATTACAGCGTTGGATGTCATCCTTGAAGCACAACTTGGGACCTGGCTTCCCTCTTGGCATGTCTCTTTATTGTTCCAACAGACCCACTTTTGAGCCTAGTCACAGAAAATGACCTTGGTAACTGCAGTGCAGATGCTAATAGCATATACTTGGGATCGACTTCTTGCGTTGAAATCCTATGCCTACTCCTTACTATCTCTATACTTCTTTTTGGGCAGGTTTTTATAAAACATCCCTGTCCTTCGGTTTTCTTATCTATAAAATGGGGTTGATAACAGTACCCACTTCGTAAGATTGCTGAGGATTTCAGGAACTAAAAATACGATTTATTGCATTGAGAAGACTGCCCAGTAGATGGAAGAAAAAAAAAAAAAAGAGCAATTAGTTTCCAGGTAACCACGGACCTGATTTCTGCCAAGCAGAAAAGCTGACTGTCTGAATCTGAAGCCAAGGCCCTCTGGCATGAGAAAACACTTCCCAAGAGTTCTTCAGGCTCTCCAGCCCTCTTGCTGAGCCCTCTGCACTCTTCTTTAGAAGAATAAGAAGTTATCCCATGGCCTCAGTGTGCTAGTGATTCAGATGCCTTCTCACAACTGACGAATCCCAGGCTCCTGAACCAAATCCAGAGAGCCTCCTTTTTCCATTAAGCTAAATAGTCGGGCTAAATAAAAACTCATTTTGATCAAAAAGGTTAGACAAATTGAAGCCTGATTCTAGATGTGTCTTGCGCAATGGGAGATTGTCATTTGGGTTACGAAATTTCCTGATGCCTTCCTTTGGCTAATAAATAGAATAAAGGAGGATCTCTAATTGGAAAGATCAGTCCTGTTTTGTGACACCCTAATTTATTTGACAGTTTTGGACTTGCCGTCTTCTATAGTTCAGAGAATCTTGGATTGAATGGGTGAAAAAAAGAGTTGAGTTTGAAGTCCTGAAGGGAAAATATTGAGGACTTTTAGCTATAAAGTCTCCAGATGCAGGCAAGGAGTCCAGAGACCTGGAATGGAAATCCCTCACTATCATTAAATCTATGCAGGGAACTTTCAAGTCCATCAGGACTACTGTTTCTCTTCACCAACTAACAATCTTCTCAGGAGTAAGTCCAATCTCCAGCTATGGCTGGGACACCCTAACCCTTGAAGGTCCCAAACGTCCTCCAACCTAATCTTATACCCTTGAGATCTCCAACACTTCCATGGCTATTATTTCACTAGAGGATTTAGCAGGGACAACTTAGCTCTGTACCTATTTCTCCAGGATCTGGGTTCTATCAGAAATCAATGACATTATTTGTCACTGACAAATAGTCAATGAAGTTTGAAAAGGGTATAACATGATCAGTGCCTACAAGCAGAAGTAGTTATTCACTAGATATTTAACAACATTTCAAGAAGAGAAAATGGCAGGAACAAAGTTGTGGCCATAAGTGGCCACAGGAAGAAGGAAGGAAGGTATACATTAGCTACGGAATAAAGTTAAGCTGTTTTGATGAAGAGACAACATTGGGGTAATTCAAACAAGATAGCAATATATTTCTTTCTCTGTCCAGAAGTAGGTGGGCAGTCTGAAGCCAGTAGAGATTTCTGCTCTGTGAGGTCATCAGGGGTTCAGATTCCATCTTTCTTTGCTTGCTATTTGCCAGCAATCACCAGCTCTAGGGCTCTGACCCAGCCCACAGTTAGGGAGACAGAGAAGTAAAACATAGGTGATTTTTTATTGAAATGGCACATCTGAGAAACTGTTCACATCACTTCCATTCACATCCCGTTTGCTGAATTAATCACACCAAATTTTATTGAAGGCTGAGAAATATAGTTGCTAAGTGGGCCACCACAGCCAGTTAAAACTCAAGGGATTTTATTATGGAAAGGAGGAAGGAAAGTATGTATTATAAGGGACAATTACTATCTGCTGCAGTGTTGGAGGAACCCTGAGTAACTCTTGCCCAATGTATGGAGGAGTAGCAGGAAATGAAGTTTTTTAGTTTGTCTGGTCTCAGGTAAGGACAGCACATTCTGTAATCCAGGCAGAGGGAGCAGAATATGCAAAAAGATAGAGGTGTGCCAGTTAAAAATGAATACAGAACCTATTATTATTATTATGTTAGTCCTATGAAAACTTCTGACACAATGGCTTCACAGAAATTAAGAAAAATTCACACTGGGACAAAGGACACCACGGTTCTATTTTAAGTACAGTTGGCATAGAGAGATTGTCAGCTCTCTGCTCCTGTATTATATTCCATTAGAGGTAATTGGTTATAAAAGACACCTGATTAGAATAATTTATGTAAATTCCTGTTGGAGTAGAAGGAAACTCCATTTAAGTCAAAAAGAAACAAAGGATGTGTTATATGACATGTGACATAATGTGTATTGGTCATTATATCACTAGAAAGCAAGACATGTTATTAATTATAGTATACAAATCTGTATTTAAATTATCATTTGGGTCAAATTGGGCTGAGAAAACGATACTATGGAGTTGCAGGAGTGAAAACTGAAAGCAGGAGGAGGTGGTAAGATGGTTGGGATGTGAATTGTGTAATGGATGTGCTTTGTAATGTACTTTGTAATGTACAGCAAACAGATTTTATACTTAATGCCACATTATATCAAGGTGTAAGCTAATTATCTAACCCTAGAAAATCCAACTCTTGTCAAAGAGCCATGATTATCGTCTTTGGAGGTCTCCAGATTCTCTTGTTTAAGAAGACCATCACCTCTGAAGTTTCCCTAGTAATAGATCCTTGTAAAAGGAACCGCAATTAGGAAAAAACAGCTTGATGCTGTTGGTGATCATGGTGCCTCAATCAAGTGCACTGCCACAGTTGGAGTAACAGCCCTCTTGTTGACCAAAGACATTTCCTGGACATGGTGATGCTTGAGAATAATTTGAACTTTCCTCCCCGCCACCACACTGCCTATCCTGTTAAGTAAGGTCCTGCTGGAAGGTTAGCTAGCAAGTGACAATTGGGAAGTACTAGTGACAGATTTTTAGCTTCATACCCAGAAGACCAGCTGCTCCATGGTGACCCTGCTTTGGCAAGCTCCACTGGCAGCTGGTTAAATGTATTGCATTTTGGCAAGTACCCACCAGCTGTTCCCACCTGTGGTCACATGCAGGATCTGTCACTTATGCTTATTAGATCTGTAAATCTGATGGATAATCTGACCTGTTACAAAGTTCCTCATGCATGGTGTATAAGTACCAAATATAGCGAATCTCCTTTCAGTGTGTGATTATTTTACACACAGCTTTTTATTTGCTTTCTCACATACCCATACAACCAGACAGTGCTTGATCAAGAGACTAATTAATTGGAGAAGTCATTCTGCTCTAGGATAGCAAATACATAAGACATCAGAACATGGTCCATCACTGAGAATGTGCCCCTGCTCAAAACCATTAATTCATGAACCCATTACATTTATTCCCTCATTGCTTACCTTATTTATCTGCATGGCAGTTGAAGTCATATAACTTGCCATGTGAAAGAGTTACGTAAGGCACAGAGCATGAAATACTCAGAGAAGTCACCTTATTAATTAGATTCTCACATCATAGGGTCGTAAAAATTAGAAGTGTGGAGGATCTACAACATGAGGTCATTTTTGCCCATCTTCTTCCTCTCTGCCTTCTGCCCGGATGGGATTATTTCCTATTGTATTTACTAGTTCTTTGTCCGCTTAAGCAGGAAATAGATTAAATATGGCGCTTTCTCAGTGGTCCATCCAGTGTTATCACAAAAGGCCCCAAAGTAATTGACACTACCTCCCTTGAACTTGTGTGATGAATCCTCACTCAGTGGCCTTTCCACTATAAATACAGGACCTGTCCCGGCTGACATGCTTGTATTATTGGACAGACTTTAATCTTAGCATTATACAGGACCACATTTTTCCTCCGCCAAACGCTATTTGCAGTTCTGTCCCAGATGTAACAACCTAATCAAAACAGAATTTCATAGAGCACTACACAGAGGATTGGTTTCTAGGGGACTGTGCAACAGGTATCTGTATGTTTACTGCCTTCTTTTATGAAATTTGATACAATGCAATTGGCAGAGTGCACATTGAATACCAGGACTCAACTCATAAGTAATGAATTGTAAATAATAAGGTTTAGCGATAGCCAGAAACATTTTTATGCACTCAAATGCCAGTATTCTCAACTATAACACTGCTAATGTTAAATTAACACAGCACATTTCTACCTTTCTCCATTGTCTTTCTCAGAGATGTATATTGTCAGCTGAATTGCATCCCTAACAACAAATGCTGCCATGTTTAGTGTGCAAAAGAGAAAGCTTTCAATGATCAGCAGAAGCAGGAAATCCATTCAGAGCACTCTGCCACAGAAATGGTTAAAGAACAAAAAAGCCCATTAGAAATGACAGAAATTGAGAAATTTTGGGGTGAAATAGTTTTTGGAAACCGTCTTCTCAGAAAACATGGATTAAGAACATACTTTATAATTACAAAAACAATGCTACCTAAAAGTAAAAAAAAAAAAAAAAAAAAGGACACATAGATTTAAATATTTGGCCTGTCACCGGCTGGTGGTATAAAAGCACATGGAAATCTTTGATTATTCTGAGCCTCATTATCTTCATTTGTCAAACTAGGGTCTACAACACCTACAGGCATACCTTGTTATCTTGCACTTCGCTTTATCGTACTTCACAGGTATTGCATTTTTTACAGATTGAAGGTTTGAGGCTCCCCTGCGTCGGCAAGTCCGCTGCTGCCATTTTTCCAACAGCTTGGCTCACTTTGTGCTTCTGTGTCCCATTTTGGTAATTCTCACAATATGCCAAACTTTTTCATTATTATTACATCTGTTATTGTGATCTGTGAGTAGTGATCTTTGACGTTACTATTGTAATTGCTTTGGAGTGCCATGAACCACACTCATATAAGATGCCGAACTTAACTGATCAGTGATGTGTGTTCTGATTGCTCCACCAACTAGCCATTCCCCTGTCTCTGTCCCTCTCCTTGGCCCTCCCTATACCCTGAGACACAAGAATATTGAAATTAAGCCAATTAATAACTGTATGATGGCCTGCGTGTATTCAAGTGAAAGGAAGAGTTAGATATCTCTCATTTCAAATCAAATGCTAGAAATGATAAAGCTTAGTGAGGAAGACATGCTGAAAGCTGAGATAGGCCTGAATCTAGGCCTCTTGTGCCATTTATCCAAGTTGTGAATGCAAAGGAAGAGTTCATGAAGGAAACTAAGTATTACTTCAGTGAACACATAAGAAAGTGAAACAGCCTTATTGCTAACATGGAGAAAATTTTAGTGGTCTGTATAGAAGATCAAACCAGCCCACATCCTAATCCAGACCAAGGCCCTAATTCTCTTCAATTCTATGAAGGCCGTGAGAGGTGAGGAAGCTGCAGAAGAAAAGTTTGAAGCAAACAGATGTTGGCTCATGAGGTTTAAGGAAAGAAGCCATCTCCATAACATTAAAGTGCAAGGTGGAGAAACAAGTGCTGATGGAGAAGCTGCAGCAAGTTATCAAGATCTAGCTATAGCCACTGATGGAGGTGGGTACACTAAACAACAGATTTTCAATGTAGACAAAACAACCTTCTAGTGGAAGATGATGCCATCTAAGAGTTTCATAACCAGAGAGGAGAAGTCAATGCCTGGCTTTAAAGCTTCAAAGGACAAGCTGACTCTTGTTAGGAGCTTATGCAGCTAGTGAGTTTCAGTCAAAGGCAATGCTCATTTACCATTCTGAACATCCTAAGTTGCTTAAGAATTATGCTCAATTTACTCTGCCTGTACAGAGTACATTGTTTTTAAAAATGGAACAACAAAGCCTGGATACCAGTACATCTCTTTACAGCATGGTTTATTGAATATTTTAAGCTCACTGTTGAGACCTACTGCTTAGAAAGAAAGATTCCTTTCAAAAGAGTACTGTTCACTGACAATGCATCTGGTCACCCAAGAGCTCTGATGGAGATGTACCAGGAGGTGAATGTTGTTTTCATGCCTGCTAACACAACACCATTCTGCAGCCCACGGATCAAGGAGTAATTTTAACTTTCAAGTCTTATTATTTAGAAAATACATTTTGGAAGGCTATAGCCGCAATAGTGATTCCTTTGGTGGATCTGAGCAAAGTCAATTAAAAAGTTTCTGGAAAGAATTCACCATCCTAGATGTCATTAAGAACATCCATGATTGATTCATGGGAGGATATCAAAATATGAACATTAGCAGGAGTTTGGGAGAAGTTGATTCCAACTCTTGTGGATGACTTTGAGGGGTTCAAGATGTCAGTGGAGGAAGTTACCGCAGACGTGGAAATAGCAAGAGATTTAGCAATGACGCCTGAAGATGTGGCTGAATTGCTGCAATCTCATGGTAAAACTTAAATGGATTTAAAATTGCTTCTTATGGACGAGCAAAGAAAATTATTTCATGGGATTGAATTGACTCCTGGTGAAGATGCTGTCAACATTGTTCAAATTGCAATAAAACTTTAGAATATTACATACACTTAGTTGATAAAGCAATAGCAGAGTTTGAGAGGATTGACTCCAATTTTGAAAGAAGTTTGACTGGGGGTAAGTACTATCAAACAGCATTGCATTTAACAGAGAAGTATTTTGTGAAAGGAAAAGTCAATTGATGTAGAAAACTTAATTGTTCTCTTATTTTAAGAAGTTGCCACAGCCACCCAAGCCTTCAGCCACCACCACCTAGGTTCACAGCTATGTATAATAAAACAAAACCCTCCACCAGAAAAAAGTTTATGACTGTCTGAAGGGTCAGATGGTCATTAGCATTTTTTAGCAATTAAGTATTTTTAAATTAAGGTATATGCACTTTTTATATATATCTAAAATGCATATATGTATATATGCATAATATACCTTTATTACAATATTTGCTTTATAGTGGTGGTCTGAAATCAAACCTGCAAGGTGTGCCTGTACCATCAAACTCCAAGGCATGCCTGTACCTTCAATTGTCATCTTTAAGATAGCATTTTAAAGAATCAAGTTTGATGCCGTAACAGCAAGAACTATTTAAATGGTAAAAAAAAAAAAAGTAAATAAATGTAAAGTATTATTAGCATTCTTATCATTAACAACATCTCATCCAGCTTCTTCATTTTATAAATGTAGAAACTGAGGCTCAAATGTAGTAGAACATTCATTCAGAGCACCAGATGCTACACACTAAAGCTAAGCCAATAAACAAAGTCTGTCATTGCCCACTGGGTGCACTTTCCTTTACATAACACAGAAGATTCACAATATTCAAATTTCCTTGAAGATAAGTGCATGGTGAAAGTGTGATACACTCTTCCAAAAAAAATCTAACCTTGCTCTTATACTCTGCTGCCTCTATCATTTTAGCATTTCTATAAAATATTATACATGCAAACTGGGATATAACAATTAGTTAATTGAGTCTTTGTAGCAGATGGTGAAAGTTTATGAATTGAATCAATTAATGAATAAATAAAAATAAACTGTTGCTCTCATTAGCGTCCCTAAAAATATGTAAATAGCATACATTTATTTTCATAGTTCACAGATGGAGGTACGGAGGCCCACAGAGACTCTGTTTGCTCCTGGGTAGGAGAGTAGTAGACAAACAATCTAAAAAGAAATTTCAAAAGGCTACCATTAATTTTTCTTCTTCTTTCTTATCCAGATCAAAACTGAGTAGAGACTGTTTACAATCTTTTCTTCCTGTCTCCTTATCTATTTAACATTTCATAATCCAATTTGGCCTTGGCACAGAACAAGTTGCACAAGCTGTGAGCAACCTGGATAACACTCAGTTCTCTGTCCTTCTCTTTCTGAAAGGTTTCACAATTAGAGGGCTAGAGGCAAAAAAGAGACTGGGGCTTTGGAACAAGTGCCTGAGAGGATAAAATGAAATCTTCCACTGTGCAAAGCACAGGTAATAGTCTAGATGGTACCATTTTTGTTAGAGATTTTGTGCAGAAGGAAGAGGAGGGAGATCGTTGAGTTGTTTGTGCCTTGGCATTTCCTTTTTTTTTCTTTTTTAATTATACTTTGCTATCCCTTCCCTACCCCCTCACCCCACGACAGGCCCTGGTGTGTGATGTTCCCCGCCCTGTGTCCAAGTGTTCTCATTGTTCAATTCCCACCTATGAGTGTGGCTTGGCATTTCTAACAATCCTAACATCTGGAGAGGTTTGTCTCTGTCCAAGAGCAGCCCTGGAAACACCCCCACAGCTATGCCTGTCCCTTAGGCAACCATGGTGGTGCCAGTGTAGAGTCAGAACCTCCAAAACATTTTGTGAGACAGGCTCATGCTACGGCATATTTCATTGATTGTTAGCACTGCATTAAAATATCATTTCAGGCAATTAATATTTTATTTATAAACACTTATAAATATTTATTATAAGTGACTATTTAAATAGCAGCTCATGAGAAAACAAATCTATTACATTCGTATTAAAACATCTTCGGATGCTTAATTATAGGAATATTTAGACAAATCATTAAAAATTTACGCTTTCTTGAAAAGTCTGTGACAAACCCAATTCTTCCCCCATTTAGCTGAGGGTGCAAATTTGATAGGATAACACACAAAAAAAATGAAAGAAAAATCCATCCTAATTTCCCCTCACTAGTAGTTAGATAGATCCTGTCTTTGTACCAGAGAAGCCAAAAGGCATTTTAAAATATTTTCTTAAAAATTGTCAGAAAAGGGTCAGGTGTGGTGGCTCATGCCTATAATCCCAGCACTTTGGGAGGACAAGGCGGGCGGATCATGAGGTCAGGAGATCGAGACCATCCTGGCTAACACGGTGAAACCCCGTCTCTACTAAAAATACAAAAAAGATCAGCTGGGCATGGTGGTGGGTGCCTGTAGTCCCAGCTACTCCAGAGGCTGAGGCAGGAGAATGGTGTGAACCCGGAAGGCGGAGCTTGCTGTGAGCCAAGATCTCGTCACTGCACTCAAGCCTGGGTGACAGAGTGAGACTCCATCTCAAAAAAAAAAAAAAAAAAAAAAATTGTCAGAAAACACCAGGTGTGGTGGCCCACACCTGTAGTCCCAGCTACTGAGGTGGGAAGATCCTTTGAACCCAGATGGTTGAGGCTGCAGTGACTATGATCCTGCCCCTGCACTCTAGCCTGGGAAACAGAATGAGAATTTGTCTCTAAAAAGAAAAAAAAAATGTCAGAACAGATGGATTCATTTTGGATAAATGTTCCAGGCTTACCTGGAATCAAAATTTATCATGTCCCTAAATGTGTCTGATTAAGAGTCTTCAGCTTCTTCAGCTATTTTAATCAGTTCCCAAACTTGTAATTGGCAGTCCTATTTTTCAGCCAGCAAGAAAAATGGTTATTGCCTGCATTGATTTGTTGTAGGGCATATCACCTTACCTCACTCTGTTCTGAAAATATAATTAAAACATTCTGAGAGTAGTAGTTCACCAATGTATAAGAATCTAAGTTTACATTTTCCTCTTTTATGAATCTTAAGTTTAGGGTAAAAAGAAAGTAAATGGGACTAAATCTCCTTACCTGGTTGTGACTGATTTCTTTCTGTTGAGAAGCACGGCAATTTCCATAAATCATAGATTTTCACCTCAATTACTACACTGTTTAATTGGACTTTATTTAACCTTCTTCTAGTATTTGCATCATAACTATGGCACAAATACCCTGTAAGACTTGCATACATACGGAGCTTTAAAAGTGCAATGACCAATTTGAAAGGAAAGTTAGAATCCCTTCATACATTTCAAAGAATTGCTCTTTGAACATTCTGTTGTTGTTGCAACATGTCTCTCGGTTATGCTTAGTTTAATTGCTGTTGGCTTTTAGTACAAGACAAGTTCACTCCACTACATTACGGAGTGGTTTGAAACAGCATCATAATCCATAAGGGTTATCTTGTAAATTTTAAGACCATCCAACCCTGTTAGTTGCTTTTAATGATCTGAAATATATTTCTGAAAACTGGCATTATTATTTGTAGTGGAAAATATCATATAATGTAAAAAAGATGGCCTGGATATGTTGCATAATCAAATCAAGATATAGAGATGGGTGAGCATTGTGGAATAGAAATGAGAAATCTGGAAAGATATGCTGGATAGTGATCTCTGATGGGCAGAGCTTTGAAATAAAATCCTAATAACCTGAGGAAATCATTTTAAAGACTTTCAGAAAAAAAAAAAAAGACATACAAGAACAGCTAGTTCTTTGCCTGGCATCTTTTCCCCCCAAAGCCCCAGTAAACAATCTCAAGTGCAGTTAAGATGTTAACAACATTGTTTTGAAATATTTGCCATAAGGTCACACACCATGGTGAATCACACCCTAGAAGCGAGCAATAGGATATTATTAAAAGACACAGCCTTTACATATCTAATTCCAGTTAACCACTTGTAACCTGGTTACAAATGCAAATTTGAACCACTTGTCCCATTTTCTTTCTTTCTTATACAAACAAAATCACCATCCACTATTGATATAATTCTCCAAGCAATGAGACCTGTTGACCTATTCCAAAAACATCTAAGCGTCATTCCATGAAAATTGTGATGTTTAGTTTGTTTCTCTGGTTGGGGGTCTGCTTTTTATTTTGTTTTATCCCAGAAGCAGTGACTATTTTTGGAATTTAGCTTTTGATTTTCCCTTTAATCCCACCCAGAATGCAGTGCTTCTAAACTGTACCAGTGTGTCACCTATCCTCTATTTATTACATCTTATGCTTTAAATATCACCTCTGACAAACAAAAGAAAAGCAAATGTCCCTAAATTTCCTGAAGGGCTGAAACATCAAGCCCGGATTATTATTGTTTATGTCTCAGCTTTAGCAGCTCCAGTGTCTCCATGGTCTGCTGTGTGCTGGGCTGGCAATGATGGATGGCCATTACGGCAGCTTATTGGAAATGGCTTGATTTATAACCTGTTCTCCTGCCTCAGTCTAATGGCTTCATTTCTTTCTTCCAGTGCGTGATGCCACAGCCAAGGTCATTGCACCAATGGCCTTTTGTTGTTAGTCTGCTGATGACCAGTGTGCCCAGGAGTCAGCATGGGGAGGGGTGAAGGGGGATAGGACACAGGAGGGGGTGAGAAGCCTGGGGGTGGGGAATTGCCAACCTTTACATTTTAATTTTTTTTTATCTCAGCCCCTGATAACTGCAGTAGAACAGTAGATTAAATGCTGTCTTCTATTTGCTTCCCGTGCTTGCCAGACAAGGAGCTGCTTTATGATCCTCAGTGGGGAAGTCTATTACTCACCTCTACTTTAAATGACCAACATCAAATATATACAGCTCCCATTAAAGCTGAGATCAATAAAAATGCCATTAAGATAGTAAAAGTTGCTGATATTAGTGAAGCCCCCAAACAAAATATTTGATTTTCTTTCAGGTTGTTAGTGAGATGGAATACGAACATATAAGTGAAAGGAGAACTGGCCATGCCTATGGTCAATAATTTATCTCAGAGATTCATTCAGCCTCTCACCCAATATTTCCCTCCTGTCTATTGATTCCCCATCATTATTTGTCATAAGCTGTCCTAACTCAAGGAGAAAATATGCCTTGCTGGTCCAAGGGGAGTCATACCTGGAGAAATAGAAAGGAATTTCATTAAAAGCGAGAAAGAACTGCTGTGGCTTTGAGAAACTCCAAGAGCAAGTTGCCAAGACTTTGTTAGAGTCCTAAAGTAAAGTTGTAAGCAGCTCAGCAACATTGCACATGGATGTCGGGAAAGCTGGTCTGAGGTTGTTCTGATTGTGGTTAAAAGGAAATCAAAGGGCTTTTCTGTATGAGATTTGAACATCCAATAAGTGTGTATGGTGGGTGAGGCAGGTGGGGCGGGCAGGTTGTGTTTTATTTCATTTTTTCTCTTCCCCTGGAATGTTTCAGTTGATGTTCCCAACGAGGCTCTTACAAGTACTAGAGGGAAGTCAAGGGCTGTACCTTAGTAAAGAGTATACAAGTTTATGCCAATATCATTAAGTCAAACTGGAATCTTAATGGTATAAGCATAACTTTGGAAATAGAATTAATTTTTAAAAGCCTGGATATTTGCTTAAGGGCAATTTTTTAAAAATGGGCTATATTTTATTTTAATAGGAAACATGTTTCTGATGTAGCAGTCAATGGTAATATTTGAAATTGGTTTTGAACAATGGCTTGAAAGCTTGATACCTCTCCAAAGGTCAATGATAAAGAAATGTATAAGTTAAATCTACCTGGAGTTGGCTAATTCTTGCCAACAGATGGTCTTATTACAATTTTCTCAAATCTTAAGTCAGTTTTGTCTGGAACATGAATTCATAGCATTTTAAAACTGAAAGAGATCTTGAGGAACACCTAGTCCCATTTCTCTATTTAATAATAAGAATACTACCGTTACTAATAATAATATTAATCTAATACTTACTCTGTGGCAGGCATTACCTTAAGCTACTTACATCCTCATAACACCTGCATTAAGTGGGTGAAAGTCCCATTTTATAGAAGCATAAAAAGGTTAAGTAACCTGCCCAATATCTTATAGTGCATAGTGGTGGCATGAAGACTCACACCCAGCTCTGTTAGATTTCACAGCTAATCCTAAAAGAAATATTTAAAATCAACTGGGTGAGCCTGACCAATTCACCTAATCTCAATAATGGGATGCCCTAAATTGGAGAGTACCAATAAAACTGTTTGGTGGTAATTCTGAAAATATTTTTATTGGCTGGGCATGCTGGATCACACCTGTAATCCCAGCACTTTGGGAGGCCAAGGCCAGAAAGAGAGATTGCTTGAGCCCAGGAGTTTGCAGCCAGCCTGGGCAACATAGTGGGATCTTGCCTATATATGTATGTGTGTGTGTCTGTGTGTGTGTGTGTGTGTGTGTGTATGTGTATATATATATATGTGTGTGTGTGTGTATATATGTGTGTGTGTGTGTATATATATGTGTGTGTGTGTATATATACATATATATACATACATATATATATATGTATATATACACACACACACACACACACATATACATAAATCCAGTCATGGTGTTGTGTGCCTATAGTCTCAGCCGCTGGGAAGTAGTCTTAGCTGCTGGGAAGGCTGAAGTGGAAGGATCACTTGAGCCCAGGAGTTCAAGGCTGCGCAGAATTGTGAAAATGCCATTGCACTCCAGCCTGTGTGACAGAGTGAGACCCTGTGTCAAAAAAAAAAAAACCTTTCATTGAGATTCAATAACGAGCATTTTTACTTTGAATTATCCATAAAAATAAAAAACCCAGAATCACATATTAGTTCTAAAAATGTTTCCCTTTTACTTCCTTGTAAATAAATAATAAAAAATATCAGTAACTATTAACTCCAACTGTCAGAGCCTACCCTATACCTAGGTGCATTAACTGCTAATAATAGAGATGAAAATTATAATTTACTTAGATATTTGTTAACTTCTACATTTGATTTATATTTTAGTTAATAAATGAAAAATTATATATGATGTCTATTCCTTTCGATATTTAACTTGCGATCCATGGGGCTATATTGTTTTCTGTGGCTTCAGAGTGAAACTTTGAATAAACCCCTCAAATCTCCCTTTAAATTCTTGACCAAAATTTATTTCTGGAGTGAAAATAAATATGAACTTGTTTGAATGTAGATCATCAGGAAATGGGGCTATCTCAGGGGCAAGAGGCAGAAAGGCTTATGCAACATATACAGAACCAGTTTTACCATTCATTCTAAACAAACTTGGAAGTTTTTAACTATCTACTAACCAATTAGTTACAGAGTACTTACCTAAATTTATCAGGTAACAAGTATTAGTGATCTCTCAATTTAGTTATATTGTCCATGTGACTGAATTGAGTAATTAATAAACTATTGTCAAGAAATCACTCTGGGCCAGAGGGGCTGATGACCATGTACGGAAACCTACGTGCCCCAGCCTCATTCAATATGACATTTAATGTATGGCATAGGTACTATGTCTATTATGATATTGTGTGGATAGGAAGACCAGTTTGGAGATGAATGTCATTTAGCTTCAAAATGTTGACAGAAGAAAGGAAAGATAAAAAGAGATATAGCAAAGAAGAAAGGGGTGAGCAAAAAGCAAAGAAGGAAGTGGAGAAAGAATAAAGGAAGGAAGGAAGAAAGGGAGGAAGGGAGGAAGGGAGAGAGGGAGGGAGGGGGAGGGAAGGGAGGGATGAAGGGAGGGAGGGGAGAAGGGAGAGAAGGAATATAAGGCAATGATTCTGGTATAACTGTAATTCAAGTTTTCAGCTCTGAGTTTCACATGAGTGAGTCAGCTTTTCACAGATGAAAACTCTCTTCCATGAGAAGGAAGAAATGATGTGCTTCTAAGTTAATGCTGCTCTTTCCCCTCCTGGAAACTCAAAGCTCATCATTTGTTCCAGTAACAGAGGGATAAAAACATTATTGAAGCCACCAGTAATGGGAGAAAATTAGTACTTAAATCTTGGTGTGATCTGCTCCTTGCTTCACCTTTTCATGAAAGACAGTTCTGCCAGGTGACCTGCTGAAGCTCAGAACTTCTAGTCTTCGGGATTTATCAGCCATTTCTAGTGTTTGAGAAGCTCCTTCCTCAAATTCATTTTCTACACTTTAGAGCACTTTACAATTTATAAAACATTTACATATTTATGACTTTAGTTTTTATTTTTATAGCAATCTTGTCCAAGGTAGGCAGGGAAGATGTAATTATTCTGATCTGATGGATGAGGACATGTTGCCCAGGAGTTGTTAGGGTCACATGGACAGCAGAGAACCAGGATTACTGCTTTTCTATAGAAGTTTAAAGACCAACTTCCAGCTGGTCTTTATATTAGTCCTGCAATGCCTCTCCCTCCTCTATTGTAAGAGCACCCCTTGTTTCTATTATTTTCCTCCATTTGCCTCAGCTGTAATTAGCTCGCACTTGGTCTGGGTAGTGGGTGTTGCTTCCACCATGATTGCTGGGTGACACATCACTAAAGGAGCTATTTCCCCAGCTCTTAGGAAGGCTCTTCACTGACAGGTCTCTGCTGGCAACTCTCTTGGGGAACCGCTTCTGCTGAAAGGCAGAGCTAACTGGCCTGCTTCTATGACCTCATCGCTGCAGCCATAGGCTTCACTTTCCCACAGAACCTTGAAGAGTCTTGGCTCCTAAAATCAAGGCTTTTCTCCACAGTTCTTGTTGTTTACCATCTGAATCCTTTTTAAATGAACAGTTCAGTAGTGTGAAGTATAGTCACATTGTTGTGCAACAGATATCCAGAACTTTGTCATCTTATAAAACTGAAACCCTGTACCCATTAAACAATAACTCCCTCTCACTCCAGCCCCTGGTAACCACCATTCTATTTTGTTTCTATGAATGTGACGACTTTAGATATCTTATATAAGTGGAATCATACAAGATTTGTCCTTTTGTGACTGGCTTATTTTACTTAGCATAATGGCCTCAAGGTTCATCCATGTTGTAGCTTGTGACAGGATTTTTTTTATTAAGGTTGATTAAGGCTGAATAATGTTCCATTGTGTGTGTGTGTGTGTGTGTGTGTGTGTGTATACATATATATATATATAATATTATATATATATAACATTTTGTTTATTTTTTATCTACTGTTGTTGTAGAATTTGGGTTGCTTTTCCTCTTGGCTACTGTGAATAAGGCTGCTAAGAACACGGGTGTACAGATATCTTTTCCAGGCTCTGTTTTCAAATCTTTTTTATATGTACTCAGAAGGGTAATTGTTGGAGCATATGGTAGTTCTTTTTTTAATTTTTTGAGAAACTGTTATGCTGTTTTCCATAGCATCACTTTACAATCCCACCAATAGTGCACAAGAGTTCCAGTTTCTCCACATCTTCGCCAACACTTTTTATTTTCTGGTTTTTTTTTTTTTTTTTTTGTGGGGGGGAGCCATTCTAAGGGGTGTGAGGTGTTACCTCATTGTGGTTTTAATTTGCATTTCTCTAATTATTAGGATGTTGAGCATCTTTTCATATGCTGTTGGCCATTTGTATTATCATTGTTGGAGAAATGTTTATTCAATTCCTTTGCTCAGTTTTAATTAGGTTGTTTGTTGCTGTTGTTGTAGAATTATAGAAGTTCTTTATATATTCTGGATATTAGCCACTTTCAGATATATGATTTGCATATATTTTCTCCCATTCCATAGTTTGCCTTTTTACTCTGTTAATTGTGTCTTTTGGTGCATAGCAGTTTTAAAGTTTGATATAGTCTCACTTGTCTATTTTTGCTTTTGTTGCCTGTGCTATTGGTGTCATATCCAAGAAATTATTGTTATATCCAATATTATGAAGCTCTTCTTCTGTGTTTTCTTCTAGGAATTTTATAGTTTTTTATTTTAATGTTTAGGTTTTTAATCCATTTAGAGTTAATATTTTGCTTATGGTGTAAGATAAAGGTCTAATTTCACTTGTTTGCATGTGGATGTCCAGTTTTCCCAGGGCCATTTGTTGCAGATTGTCCTCTCACCCATTCTTTCTCACCTTTAACACTGCTGTGAATGGCCTTTATTTTCTACCTTACACCATTTGACTCTCTCCTTCCTAGAAAAAAACCTTTCTCAATCCCACTTAAACTCATTTAGTGGATTGCATTGGTCTGGATTATCAGAGGTTTCTGTAATTAGGTTGGCTGTGCCAATAAATATCTTCATGGATATCCTGAATTTGTTTTGTATAAAGAAGAAATAGGCAGATGACATTGGTAGTGGATCGGTGAGAAATTTGCAATAAAACTCAAATGTGCAAGATGTGCCACATTTGTTTTTCTTTTCCTCAAATTACAAATATTGGATTTGCCCTCCATCCTTCACAATTTCTGGCAAATTCAAACTCTGGATTATCTGAGGTGGGGACTCTGCTTCTCTAAAATTCTGGAGACTAACATGGTTCTCAGATAAAGTAAAAAAGACTGTCTTGTCTCCAGTCCAACAGGGTAGCCACAATATCTCTCCTATTCAAGTGCATGAGGAGCCTTGAAGGCAAGAGCCTCTGTTGATTTTATGCCAAACTTGATCATGGAGCTATTTATTGGTTTTGAACATAAAAAATAGAAGTTACTATTTCTAGAGGACTCACTATGTGCCAGGCATTGTCCTAAATATCTTCCATGAATTCACTCATTTAATTCTCCCATGTACTCCATGAGATTTTTAAAAAAATATTGCTACTGCACAGATAACTAAACCAAGGCAAAAAGAATTAAGTAGAACAAGGCCCAGTGGTCTCACAATGGTGAGTTGGGATTTGAACCAAGGCAGACTGGCTTCAGAGTCTATACTGTTCATCAAAGCACTTGATGTTCTTCATTCCAACACTTCATTTCCTCCCAAGAAAGTCTAGAGGCTCTGCCACCTGTAGGTGGCTCTACTGAGGAATGGGGCAGAGGTCTCGCTTCTCAAAGAAAGTATCTGCTTCACAACCAGGGTGGAGATAGGGGTAGAATCTTCTCCATCTTTCTCTCCTGATCTTCAGTTCTCCCTTTCCCTTGCTTTTGTCATCTTTGGTTTTCTATATGCCACGAGGAGTTCAGGCATGTAGCAAACCAAAGGCAACAAGAATTTTCTTACAGCAACTTCTCTCTGATGGCAATAAAAATTCCCCCCAATCAGCAGAGCAGAAAGGCCTACTTACCTACTTGGGAAAGGAGCAAGGGAGAATATACAGGACTGAGTCTCAAACTAACAGCTCCATGTATTTTCCACTCAATTCATTATAAATCCTTCCCACCAAGGACCTTTGCTAATGTCCTGGCAGTCTTGGGACTGGTCCCTTATGTTTGTTTATTCATAAAAGACAACATATAATTCTTCTCAGCCAGAGACTTCTCCTTGAAGCATTCCATGGAATGAACAGTACTGGAGTTTTCCCACGGTTTTCAAGTCACTAATGGAAGGAGCAGTCCTGGCTGGGTCAGGTCCACGTGGAGCGCCCACTTGAACAGTGAGAGACTGGATGCTGCCATGTGTCGTCAGAACAATGGTTGCCGGAGTACACTGCTTTACCTGTTGTGCCGACCACATGATTTCTGTTGGCTCTTGTGAAATATAGGCAGTGTAGACTGAAAGAAAGTAGCAGAGAGGCCCCATACAACATCATGGAGTCAAGAAATGCATGTCTGGAGGGTTGAGAAATAGGTGCTGTCAGGGCCAAAACAAGCTTGGTCTCTGTGTTCCCTGTTTTCTCTCCCTACATCCCTCTCCATTAATCATCCACACATTCATCAAACTGGTTAAAAATACCTCCAGAAAATTTAAACCAAATTCTTAACCCTAATGAGTTAACATAACATTTATTAAGGAGGCATAAATACCTTTCAAACAAAAGTCATTGGCCAGAATTTGGCTGACTGGAGAGATTGAAACAAAATTGTTCAGCCTTTCAATTGAGATTGTGACCTTATAGGTGGGATAAGTAGAATTTTAACAGTAAATGCAGGATGTGTGTGGCTTTTGTAACTCTCTACTTGCCACCAGCTTATCAATGACAATTACATATCTTGCCAGTTTATGGTAAATACAAACTTGATGAGGTAATGCACACATTTAATTAATAAGCCTATAATGAATAAAGCATTGGCAATTGTAGGCTAGAAGGAAAATGCGTTTGAAACAAGAAGTACAAGCCGTTTACTAAGCTAGGATTTGAGAAGTAGATATAGCATATTTTCAGAGCATAATGCATTACCACTGATGCAATTACCCAGAAACATTAAGCCAAACAAAAGCTTCTGTTTTGAGAGGCATAGAATCTTAAAGAGCCAGCAATCCATTCAATAAGGTTCAAGAAGTCCTGAACAAAGAACAAGTGACTGTTGTCATTTTGGATTCGCTAACTTGGATATACTTTTCTCTTTACATAGAACTCAACACAATTTGAGAAGTAAGGGTGGTATTTGATAGCGCCTTATAAAGCCAAATGTCTGAGCCTTTTTACACACTGGTTTTGATTAGGGAGTTACACCTACTAGTTTTATGTTCTTTCTGGTTGGCAAATGAAGGAAAAGCCCTGTAGAAGAATGATGCATTCAAGATCTCTAGACACTTGGCAAACACCAACTCCATAATCTTTACAGCACCTGTAGCATAAAAAGCATTTAAGATCTTAGGAAGTGAGTCATCAGACATTAAATAGGGAGGATAAACCTAGTTCAGTGACCTTGTTCAGCACAGAGTGAGAGCAAAGTCATCCTCCTCTCACTCAGGTTGTTAAAAATGTTCTCTGGGTGAGAGAAAATTAGACACCCCACCTCCAACCCAAGAGAGAAACAACATTAAAGAGGGTCTCACAGTTCCTAACATTTTGGAAGGAGGTACAGACATGTGTGACCTGATGTCAAGCCTTCCAGTGATCTTGGCAACTGGAAATGCAAAATCTTCTACTTACCCATTAGCAATCAAAGACCGCGAGGCTGCTGGGTGTATCTTGAGTGACTTGGTAGAACATTGGATATTAGAAGACATTATAATTCTGTGACATAAAGAATGTTGGTTGAGAACTTAGTCTCTATAGACAGGATTTAAATCCTGATTCTTGTCCTTGATAACTGCCTGAACTCGGGCAAATACTTAATCACTTTAAGCTTCAGTTTCCTCATATGTAAAAAAGGGCCTTCCTCTTAGGGCAGTGGTTCTCAATGGAGGCAAATTTTTCCTCCAAGGGATTTTGACAATATTCGGACACATTTTGGGTTTTCACAACTGGAGGTGGGGATGAGGAGGATGCTGGCATCCAGTGGATAGAGAACAGAGATGCTACTAGATATTCTACAGCGCACAGGGTAGCCTCCACAACAGATAATCATTAGTCCCCAAATGTGCGCCAAGGCTGAAAAGCCCTACCTTAGGGTTGTTTTAATAATTTAACACAATAATCCACGTAAAAGCTGTTTAAAAAGTACCAGTATCATAATACGTCTTCTATTCATATTATAGATTTACCTTCATAAGAGACTAGTCTATGTATATATGTGTGTGTGTGTATATATATATAATTTACACACACACACGCGCGATTGGCTGTATCTGCAGGTTTCACACATGCAAATACTATGTATTTTATGTAAGGAAATTGAGCATCCACAGATTTTGGTAACTCTGTGCGTGTGTGTGTGTATGTGTATGTGTGTGTGTGTGTGTGTGTATGTATGTTTCCTGGAACCAATCCCCTGTGGATACTGAGGGATGACTGTAATTTGTTAGCAACATAAATAATTTGCACTGTAAATTCACTACTTGTTGTGCATACACAAATCTCAGGATGCTGCTCTGAGGAACAAAATGGTACTCAAGCTGCAATAGTCCTAACGTGAGCAATGCTGGGGAGAGCCTGCAGAATCCAAGGCTGCATTTCCTACCACAGATGATTTTCAGAATAAGTGGTGAGAGAAGCAGCAGCAGTAGTCATGCTGCGACCCATTCATTCTGTCCTCTGGGTGCTTCCCAGGGAAGAGAGAGTGCTGCTCTCTCTAGGCTGCAGCTTAACTGGCCTATTTCATGGCTGGACAAACGTAGTCTCCTCAGCCTCTTTTATATCCTTGACTCAATTGTAAGTATTCAACAGTGTGACATAAAGCAAAGGTGGAGTGCTTCTTCCAGTGCAGGGTTTAAAAAGAGGACTGCCTTCCAGCCCGGGTGGCCTCAGCCCCTAGGGAGGCCAACAGTGGAGCCAGGAGCCTCCCCAGGCCCATAGAGCCCTGCTGTCGAGAGGAGCATTTCTCTGGATCTACTTTCCACCAGACTTCATTCCCAGCCCTTGGTGAGACCTAATTCTGGGCAGCAGTACTGTCAGGCTCAGTGGGTGTTGCTAGTGAAGGGGGCATTTCTGCAGAGCCACAGTTCCCCCAATAGCCTTTCCAGTCCTTGACAGAGCCTAAAGTCCTGCAAATCTCCTCAAGTGCAGAGAGTGCTGCTGTTGAGGGAGGCATTTGTGTGGAGCCTCCAAGATTCCCTTCCCAGCCATAGTGGGGGCCTAAAGGCAAATACTCAGTCTCTGAAGGTTCTCAGAGACTGCAGATCTCTGAAGAGATGACTGCTATTGTGGGGTGCCTTATCCTTGGTGAAAAATAAATTCCAACAAATCTCCTCAGGTCCAGAGAGTGCTGCTGTCTGTCATGGGGTGCATTTCAGAAAAGATGCTGCCTTCCAAGGGTCCTTCCCAGTCTTTTATGAGGTTCAGAGGATGGCAGATCTCAAGTTTGGGTGCATTTGTGCACCTCCAAACTGCCTCTAATTCATCTTTCCAAATCTTTGTGGAGGCCTCATGTCCAGCACCAAGTCTTCTCATGTTTGGAGGGCACTGATATTGAAGAAGAGATTCTTTAGAAGCTGCTTCCTATGAGATATTCTTTTCAGTCATTTGGGGAGGCCTGAAGACAAGCAAGAAGTCTCCTCAGGTTTAGAGAGTGCTTGTGAAAAGTACAGTGGGTTCAAGGAGCAGCTGACTCCCAGACATTTTGTCCAGGTCTTGGGGAAGCCTGGACATCAGCCAAAATCACCTCAGTGTCAGAAAGCTCTTCTGAAGATGAAAGAGTTCTGAAGAGTGGCTGCCTCCCAGACCCTGTTACGAGACCTTGGAAAACCCTGAAGATTGGCAACAGGTCTTGTCAAGTCCTGTAAGTACTATGCTGAGAGAAGCAGGTTTGAAAACAATCTTGGTAGCTGGTCCCCTCCAAGAGGCCCAGCTTCTCTAAATAAAGCCAAGAAACTCAGCCAGGTGAAGGCTCCCAAGACCTCATTAAGGGTATGTTAATACTTGCTACAAAACCTGTGAAGTTTACCATTTCTTCTGCCTGGAAAAAAAATCCATTTCTAAGTTCTCTATGGAGGAGCTCCACAGGAGAAGTCACCCAATACTCATAAAGCCAGAACTGCTTGACCAAAGAGAATGCCGTGGAAGATGTTAGTCTGAGTTAACCCAACCAAAGAACCCCGCAGTTCTTGGAAGTGATGATCAAAATAACAATAGCTATTTGAGCTCACTCACCATTGGGCCTCATGTTGAAAGCCTTTTCAGGGTCTTACTGAAAAGAATCCCTTCCTTGCAGAAGTACAAAATGGAGAAACAAAATGATTTTATTAAGCTGTCTTCACGCCTCTTGTACCCAGTGGTATCATCCTCAGCTAGAGAAGGATGAGTCAAAAGAAAGATTGTCCAGGGGGGCTCCTAAACACCCCAAAAAAGTTCACCACAGTATCTGATTTGGCAGAGAAGCAACTAGTCTGTACCAAATCTGAAGGTATACCCAAGAAGCAACCGATGTAAAAGATCCCAGAAAAGGCTCCTAAACTCCAGGCAAATAATGCCATGCCAGTCAGTGGGTGGGCATGGTAAGGCAACCCTTGGTTTTCAATACTCTTGTGTCAGGCCAGGCTCCTTCTAACAAGTGCCTTATGCACCCTACTCGTGACTCCCTTCCTGCCTCGGATGGGTAACAGCTGATGGGGAGTGATTTTCTCAGTTTTTTCATCCTATCCAAATTGTACCAAGTATATCTCAAGTTCTTCTTCCTCCAGGGGTATTTACCAGATATTTAAGTCAGCATTTTTTAATCTTTTCGCATGCATCAGAATCACCCGGAAGATTGCTAAAATATATATTGCTGGACCTCACTCCTAGAATTTCTGATTTATCAGGTCTGGGATAAGGCCAAGAATTTAAACATTTCTCAAATCCCTCCGAAAAAAATTAACAAGAGGAAAAAAAGGCCAAGCATGGTGGCTCATGCCTGTAATCCTAGCAATTTTGGAGGCCAAGGCAGGAGGATAACTTGAGCCCAGGAGTTCAGGAACAGCCTGGACAACATACTGAGACCCTGTATCAAAAAAAAAAAAAAAAAAAAAAGGAAAAAGAAAAAGAAAAGAAGGAAAAAAAGAATTTGAATACTTCTTATAAGTTCCCAGTGGATACTTGCACTACTGATTCAGAGACCACACTTTGAGAACCAGTGCTTTAAGCCAACACTGGACTCACCAGTTCCTGGCTAATAATTTAGATTATTATGGTTGTGTCCCTCAATACACGGTCTACGAAACATCTGCATCAGAATCATATGCACACTTTTTGAAAAACAGGTAAGCAAATTTCTGCTCTCCCCTAAGACCTCCTGAATCAAGCTCCTACTATACTTTTAGCAGGTTTTCCTCAGTGATTTTGATGCCCTGTGAAAACTGAAAATTACTGATATGTGCCTTAAGTATTGGCACAAAATATATTGTTTTTATATGGTTAGTCCATGTAATATATACTTTATCAGATTTGGAACTTTATTAAGTCCTGCCCAGTATAAGATAGTGTATTTGAAAACATTTTTAAACTTTAAATTAATAAGCTTGTATTATTATTATTATTATTGTTATTATTAATATATCTTTCCAAAGAAAAGGTGATCAACTTGAGGTCAATTTCTTTGCATATTTTTGTTGCCTCCAAGACCTAGCAGAAAGCTGATAACAAACTCAACAAACACTTGTTCACAGGAAATAAATACATGTGTACATATGTCTGTGTGACATAAAAGGAATTCATTGGAAAGAAGCTAAATTTGGAAGCAGTGTAATAAGTTCATGGAGCTGTTCAAAGAACCCAGATTTCTATGCACCTAGGAGAAGCCCTCTTTTTGAGCAAGAAGCAGTTTTCTTTGCAGTTTCCTAGGAGAAAATCTCTTTCCAAAACTCTTGTGGAGAGGGCTGCTTACCAAGCCAAAGCTACATGCTCAGAAACCCTTGCACAAAAGGCAAATGGCTCACAAACAGTTTAGGAAATCAGATGTTTGAGGTGAAAGATGTTCTCTTACCTGAAATTATATCCAAAAATATGTTGAGTAGGTATGTAGTTTTGCAGAGATCCAAAGGAAAGTGATCACCATTGAATTCATCTCTTTCCTATGTAGTTAGAAGTTTTGCATCAGTTTGGGAGCTTTCAGTCACAGGTGATAGATCAAGAATGCTTAAACAGAAAAAGGAACTATTATTTCACAAAATAAGAAATCTAAAGTCAAGTCAGTTCCAAGGAAAATTTAGTAGCTTGACAATCCCCAACAACACACATGTTTTCCTTGTCTACTTTGCCATGTTCAGGGTATTGGGGAACTCTCCTTTCCTGGTAACAAGTTGACTGTGGTAGTTTCAAGAATTATGCTTTGACGTGGTCCCATCCAGAGCAGAAAAGGATGTTTTCCCATGCACATATTTTTATTACCAAGAAAAAAATCTTTTCCAGAAGACCCTCAGCATACCTCGGGGCCCATTGGCCAGGGAGGGGTCACAAATCCATGCATAAACCAATCACATGATAACAAGTCCTTGCTTGGGTTGGGAAGGAGACCATTTCCCAGCACACACATGTGGCTGGGCAGAGGCACTTTCTAAAACTGAAGCTCTTCCAGCAAGGAAGAAATGAAGCAATGGGAATGGCAATTGGGTAAATGAATAACAGTGTCTGCCAAATTGGTCTTCAAGTGATGTAGGTCTAAGATGTTGAATTTAAACATTGCATTTGACATTTGCAGTAGAGTCTCAGAATCTATCCCTTGAATATTTAGCAGCACTGTCACTAAGTAAACATCAACAACTAATTTCAGCTCTCTAGGCATGTTCTTATCTAAAAAATGACAATAAACGTAAGAGCAGCAACCCCAACCACACTAGCTGACATTTAATGCCACTTTAATGAGCTCATACTATGTGCTAGGGACTGTGCATTGTCATTTAGTCCTCACCACAGGACTATGAGATAGTAACTGTTGAAACCCTCATTTTACAGACAAGGAAAGTGACCTTTAGAGATATTACAATACTTACCCAAAGTTGCACAGCCAGCCTTCAGCCTAGAAACCACAAATAAGTGCTCCTGAGGGGCTCTTTACAATCATCTCTGCCTCGGGACAGGTTTGGAAACACTGGGAAAATAGGTTGTAGTTTGTTTAGCTGAAATCTGAAATAATAGGAGTTAAAGGAGAAAAGCAGTTGAAAGAGTCATGGAATTAGGAGATAAATGGAAAAGATGTAGACATTTGTGATCGGATTAGGTTTGCCAGATAAAATACAGGCATCCAGTGAAATTTGAATGTAAAATAAATGGTGAATGATATTTCAGAAAAAATGTGTCCTAAGTATTGCATGGGACTTATACTAAAGTATTATTTGTTGTTTATCTGAATTGAAATTTCACTGGGTGTCTTGATTTTCTTAAAACTGACAATCCTAGATGGGATGGATGATGACTAGTGGGTGGATAGTTGGGAGGATAGGGGAGGGATGGGATGAATAGGTAAAGCGTGTGTGTGTGTGTGTGTGTGTGTGTGTGTGTGTGTGTGTGTGTATCTTTCTTGGAGATAGACCAGCAGGGGAAGGCAGTGGCATATGATGAGAGTTTAGAGAAGATAGTCTAACCTAGAGAACAAAACATTTGCTGCCAAGGAGATGAGAACCTGAACATTTGCTTTGTGATTACAGCAATGACTCACTGTGTGACCTTTGATAAATTACAACTTCTTTGTTATACAGAGTTCTGTATTAATACAGGTGAGATAACAGTATCTACCTTATTTCCACAGAACATGAAAACAAGGTCACTTGAGCATTGCTTAAAATCCCAGGATTGAAGGAGGGGCAGGGGATTGTATTTTTGTTATATTATGTCCATGAGAAGGAAGAATCCAGAAAGCTCTGTTAAGCTTGGAAATCTTTTCTAATTTCTTTGGAAAATGCTCACTAAATAATGATTCCAACTCAGTGCTGGATGCACTGATTACAACCTACACTTTCTTTTCAAGCCTTAATTCACATACCTGGATAGATCCCTCGTTAGCTGAGTGCATTGCCCTCTAACTGAATCAGCAGAAATTAGCAAATTCAGACATCAGCTGTTTCTTTTCTGTGTTTAACAGGAAGCGTAATGCAACCTAGTTTTCCCAGGATTTATTTTTTTCACAAGTGCCAGAGCAGCACAACACCACAGGGATCTGAGCTGTGAGCATGTGCTGATAAAAGCTGGTTTCCTTTTGTGGTTGCCTTTTCATTGAATTGGCAAATAAATGGGCTTCTAATTATCTTTGGAGGTAGAAGTCTATTACATTTCACTAGGCCTGTGTATTTTGCTAATAAAATGAATACAACCCAAGAAACAAGAACAGTGGAGGGTGACAGGGTTAGCACTTTTACTGATACTCTCAGAGGCCTTGGAAGCATCCTCCTACAAGTAATCACATGGCCAGGGCCAAAGGAAAAGCACAGTGCCAGTGGATGAAAACAGGGGAGAGTCCTCACAGAGGGCACAAGTTGAGAAGATTACTCCAGGTGGCAAAGGAGGGTAGGAAAGGAGGTGAATTTCATGACCCCAGATTGTATACAGGGAACCCCAGACCACCGCCTAATGCAGGAGAACCTTATGATCAGTGGAATAAAAATGATGAAATAATTATGTCTTCTTGATCATTTGCAAAAGATTTCCTTAAATGATAGCTCATTTTGTATTTATTGCAATGATAAGGAAAGTGAAGTTCATAGAGGTGCAATGATTTACTCTAATGTGTATATAAGGCAATATTCAAAATCAGGTCTACTGGAAGCAAGGCCAGGAATTCTTCCACCATGTCCGACAGTATTTGCCGTGTGGTGTAAATTAATGCCTGCCAAAATGTGACCTTCCTCCTCATACGTACAGCTGTTGAAATTCCCACAATAGTGGGAATTTCCACTTTGAGGGTTAGAGAAGGAAGGAAACAAAATTATATATTGTATAAACCACATTAGGTAGTGACAGAGAAAGAAAATAAGGACAAATTCTTTCTGGATATTTCATCCCAGTTGTCAAACTTGGAAAGCCAAATTGGGAAGCACAATTGATTGGTATTCATTCATTCATTCATTCAACAAGTGTAAATTAAGCTTCTATATGCCAGACACTGTGCAAGGCCTTGTATATTCAGGGGTGTGTGAAAGAGCCATGCCATGGTTGAGCAACACGGTGAGGAAAAAGAAGAAAGTGAAAGCATGAGTATCTCATCACTGATTGTGGAAAGTGCTGTGGAAGACAATGACAGGACTTGAAATTATCCCAACACATAGAAACGATAAACACTCGAGGTAATGGATATCGTAAATATCCTGACTTGATCATCACACATTCTATGCGTGTAACAAAATATCACATGTACCCCATGAATTGTACAAATATTATGTATCAATGAAAAACAAATTTAGAAAGGATAAAAAACAGGGATGGCTTCTCCAATTTAGAGCAGACCATTCTAAGGCAGTGATCTGAAAAATGAGAAGGAACGCTGCAGGGGAATACTGGGCAGAAAGCATATGAGGCCCTGATGGTGAGACAGCACCATTCCTTCCAGGAGCTGAAAGAAGGCCCCTGAGGTTGAAATGAGGTGGAGGGGAATGAGAGGGCGGTAAAGGGTGCAGAAACAGGCAGGAGCCTGAAGGACTGGCCTGGACTGTTCTGTGTGCCCAACAGCAACTGGCGGGCCTGGCCTCTGGATGGAAAGAAGACCTACCAGAAGGGCAGGAGACACCAAAAAGACTGAGGTGAACTTCAGCTTGCCCAGTTTTCAGGTCTGCAATTCCAGGTGCATGTGGTGGGTCTGCCACTTCCATAGGTAAGTTATTCCCCCATGTTAAATTCTGTGTCTGCCACTAACCCTACCCACAGTGCCTAATACTGCCACCATACTCACCTTAGTAAATGGACTTCAGTTCCACATGGGAACAGGGGAGAAGGAAACCTAAGCTGCCAACTAGGTTCACAGAAAATATTTTCCCAAGCTCCAATAGAGACTATGCAGTAAACTGAAAGGTTTCTGGCCAAGTCCTAGCCACCTCTGAAAGCCGTTATCGTGTGCAAATCCCACTTTCTCCCATTGTCCTGTTTGCTGTTTGTGGCCGAGTAAGCACCCAATCTGGGCAGCAGATCGTTAGGAGTAACTGATTAACAGCCGCTGCTGTAGAACTTGAGAGTTTTGTTTTCCACAACCTGAAAGGGTGCTTGCTTTATGATTTTTTAATTACAGTGTAAATATTGCCGCCCCATAAACCTCTTGATTTATAGCGACAGGTGTGAAAGTTTGCACTTGCTGTAAAAGGCCCCAAGTCTTCTGTTCTCTCCAGCCCCTGTTTCCCACCCCTTTCTCAGGCTATCCTGGCAGCTGGCTATTTGGAGGCACTTACTTTACCTGCTGTCGTACAAGGGCAGCAAACAGCAAAATCTCTAAATGGAGAGCTTATTCTCTGATTTCCTCCCAATCTCTTTTTTGGGACCTCTTTTTCCCTGTTCCTTCTTTCTCTTCTATTTCCCCAAACCACTGTGTAACCTCAGCCTGGTTAAGAACTTTCCACTGTGACTCCCCTGTCCCAAGTCACACCTCGTGTTCTGATTTTCCCTCTGAATATATCAACATGGTCTGTGCTCCAAGTCCCTTAAACTTCTAAGAAAGAGGAATTCATTTAAATATTTATTCGTGTCTTCATTTATTCCACATATATGATTGAGTGTGGCTATGTTAGGCATATTGGTCCAAGTGCTAGAGAGGCAGCAGTGAACACGCCAAAGTCATTGCTGATATGAAGTACATTCTAGAAGGGAGAGACACAAAATACACTCATGGCCAAATAAGTTAAAAATTTCATTTCAGGCCAGGCCCAGTGGCTCACACCTGTAATCCCAGCACTTTGGGAGGCCCAGGCGGGCGAATCACCTGAGGTCAGGAGTTCGAGACCAGCTTGACCAGCATGGTGAAACCCCATCTCAACTAATAATACAAAAAAATTAGCCGGGTGTGATGATGCATGCCTGTAATCCCAGCTACTCAGGAAGGCTGACGCAGGAGAATCACCTGAACCTGGGAGGTGGAGGATGCAGTGAGCCAAGATCGTGCCATTGTACTCCAGCCTGGGCAACAAGAACGAAACTCCATCTCAAAAAAAAAAAATTATTTCAAACTCTGATAGGTGCTATGGAGAAGATAAAATTAGGATATGTGGAAAAGAATGATTGGAAGTGGCTTTGGCCAGAAGGACAGGAGATTAGGTTATGTTCTCCAACTTCCCGGCACATGGCCCCTCACTTCTGTTTCTTTTGGAAGCCTGGCTTCATTTTTTTTTTTTGTTCTCATGCCATGTTGACTCCTATCCACATGACCGTAAATGACCTCCCCATCTCTGTCTTTACATTGACTCAGGATGAGCAGTCAACAAAAACTAATTGTCCTTCCTGGGTCCTATTTTTAGAAATTAGAATCTAATTGATGCCGCATGGGTTAGGTTCCATCTTGGTAAAAATCAGCCTTGAGCAACCAGCTGTGTCACCTATGAGTACGGCCTAGATCTTCAGTGCTACAGGCAGAGGAGTGTTTAGCCTAGAGACAGGAAGAGTACAGGCTAGAAAATACGTGCCAATCTATCCCTGCCATAGCAAGATTCTGTGTTAGTTATGGGAAAGCAGAAAAGGAAAGAGAAAATAAACATGAGATTTGGTCCTTATCTTCAAATAACTTGCAGTCTAATGGAGATATTATGATATACATACACAAAAATATTACAGTAATAAATGGTGCTTCTTATAAACATCAAGGACATTAAGTGTTACAAGAACCCAGAACAGGAGACAGTGAATGTTACAGTAAATTAGTGGGGAGGCCAGATAATGCTTCGGATGAAAAGTAGATTCTACAAACATAAGCATAAAAGTGGGGAAAAACCCAGAAGCAGGTTTGTTTATGGTTTTCTCAGAGACATTAAGAA
Organism: Homo sapiens; assembly: GCF_000001405.40. Lineage (NCBI taxonomy): Eukaryota > Metazoa > Chordata > Mammalia > Primates > Hominidae > Homo > Homo sapiens. The sequence goes on along the minus strand of NC_000002.12, from coordinate 67,036,115 downwards.
GAACCAGAGGGAACTCGTAGCAGTGATTAGAAAAGTAACTACCTAGTAATCGTGCTTACAGATAGCTGGTATTTTGTAGACCTAGTCAGGGAAGAAATGATTGCATCTTGAACTGAAAAGAACTGCTAAAAAGAAATAATAAGATTTTTAGGTTCAACGTGTGCTAATAAGCTGAACTAAATAAATTAACTATCCTTGTAAGCTTAGAATTTAAAACCTGGTCATCTAGAGAAAACACCTGAAATAAAATTCCATAGCTATTTAATGTACTCTCACAGGCCTCCAGAGAACACAGCAATGTTGCTTTTCAAAGTATTTTGAATTTTAAGATTTTTCAATTCCTGTAGTCATTTCCAGTCACTTCATGTCTAGGGAAATTGCTCCTAGGTTGGTAACAACACCCATTGGATAGATGCATTTTACACCTGTGGCAATTATTAATAATGGCCTCTTTTACTCAAATTGGTGTTCCAGTTTGGATGATTAATTGAAGATTATCTTACTCCTAGGCCAAGTTGGATTAAAGAAATTATGTTTATTATTCTTGTATCTTTCAATGAAGAGATGAGAAAGCACAATTTTAAAAACTGTCTGAGGTAAAAGTTTCTAGGTGACTTGGAAGTTAAGAGATTAAGTCACTTGGAAGGTTCTGGGGAACAGCAACTCCATATAGACTTTTAAAGCATTACGAAACTCTTCATGTGTTATTATGCTTTCTCTGATTCTAACTCTGTCAGGCAAACAACCCAGTCTTAATTCCTAAGTTTATATTTCCATGACAAAAAAAAAAAAGGGGGACCGGAATGCATTATGGCTTTTTGGTAAAATGAACAGTTATTACTATCTTTGGCAAGAAGAAACGTATTTTTTTGACAGCAAAAAATTTTTTTGATTGAGCAAGGTATTTTCAGCTTTTCAAATACTAAAATGAAAAAATAAATGAGCAAAGGATTTGTGTGTCATTCAACAGAGTTTTAGTGTCAGCCATAACAGTTCTTAGTGGAAAAATGTTTAATACCTTCTACTTAATCAAAACTAAATTCCTCATAAATGACTATTTGATAAAAAGCAAGAAATGCCTATTAGTAACTTATCCTACAATGTGAAATTGCCCTCCTAACCCCCAAACCCTAAAAAATGAAGCAAAGCTGATTGAGAATATTCTGAGTATGGTATTAGAGTTTTGATAAACACAATAAAATGTCAAATATCAAATTGCTCAGCCAGAAAGACAATTGGATAACCTTGGACAAGTTGATCCTCACTGATTATTTTTCCCCAGAAGCTTAAGTGTGAATAAAATGTTCTGGCATTTCACTCTCTCATCAGTTTTACATACTGGGGTTTTCAAGTTTCTCATATCCTTCTATTCTATTATTATCCTCCTTTATCTTTCTTAGAGTCTATGCCGGGAATTACTCATGCATAAAGATTATGTGAGAAGACTTCATCTCTAGAGCTTTTTTCTAATTGTCAAATTTACAGTAAAAGGGATAATAACTATTGAGTACTGATTGATTTATGTTTTCATAAATGCTCTGGCAATTTCTAGATACCAGGAGCAATCATAATGTAGGCTGCAGTAGTTGACGGCCTTAATTATCAGCTAGAGGTTTTCCAAACTTTCCCCCCAAAATATAAAATCTTAGCAGATATAATTCCCCTAATTTTGATAATGGAGGGCAGAAAAAACTGTGCCTCATTGAAAATGCAAAGCTAGCATTCAATTGAGATAATTTCTTTATTCTCTTTATTGATTTAAACTCTGTCTGCCTCTTTGTGGCATAGGCCCATCCTTAGGTTAAAGGTGACGGTGTAGCATAATGGTTAGGAGTACATAGTTAGAGTCACACTGTCTAGGTTTTAAATCCCAGCTCTGCTCTTGCTAGCTGAGTAAATCAGGACAGATTTTTGTTTGTTTGTTTAGGTTTTGGTTTTAACATCTCTTGGTCCCAATTCTCCTCATTTGTAAAACAGTATCAATAGCACCCCTCCCAGTGGGTTAAATACACAGTAAACATCAGCACAGAGCCTGACACAGAGTAAAACCTTAATAAAATGTTACCCTATTACATGAAAAATATAACTAGAGGATAAACAGAGAGCTTAGATAATCGGTCCATTAATAATCATAGACTATGCATTTCTGCTCCAGCAGATCTTGGTATCTGCTGCCATCCTCTTTTTAATTTCTGACACATTCTCCATTTACAAGCTTAAAGTTCTCTATCTTTTTGGCACAGACCGAACACCATTCCCTGAGGAGGCAGTTAATTCATTCAGGCCAGTAGAAAGCAATCATTACAAGCAATTCAAAGTTCCCTTTGGACTTCCTGTGGGATGAGGATACAACCACTTCTTTATTATTTCCTAAAGAAAGGGTGACATTAACCTGGGTAACATATTAAGATTGACCCCAAATCAGTAGGAAATGTTTTCACTGAGTTACATTTCTGACCATTATAGTCATTACAGAAAGATTTCAGATACCATTCCTGATGGCTTACTTTATCATGAATCTACCAGATAATACTGGTTCATGGTACAAGGGTTCTTCAATTTCCACATTCCAGGATTTCATGTTGCAAGGTGTGTTTTTTGATCCATTGACATTCATTTGCTAACTCAGTTATCCACAGATAACCACTTTTATCTACCAATCAAGTAGAATGGCAAACAAATCTGAATCTATTAACACGGAAACTCAATCTGGTCAATTCCTTCCCAACATGTTACTGGCAGATTTCTGATTTTTACAAGCGTTTCAAGGCTTAAGTCAGTTTTATACTTAGATTTCTTAAAATGTTACTCCAATTACCAAGAGGACCAGTCACTGTTCTGAGCATATTTTCCTTTGTAGATACAACATTTATTAAAAATTAAGAGAAATCCATATTTTAATTTATGAAATAACAGTGGGTAGTTTTGGCAAACATTTTCTCCCTGCTTTTGAGAATACTCCCTTATTATAACTGCTCATCTCTACAACCTCTTTGGATGCCTCTCTGAGCAGCCAAATCTTCACATCCCTCTTAGATAAAAACCCGTTTTCTAGATAATCCAGGTAAGGCCTTGGTGAGAACTACCCTCCACAAACTGAAGTGGTCACAGTGTCCATTTGCCATCATTTTTCACAAGACCTATTGAAACTTCCTTCAAAGTCATGCTTTATCTATTCTATTTTGAAAATAGGTCTCTTTCCTTAGGGATTTTCAAAGAGACTCTAGCCGTTAAAAATATGAATGCTATTCTTCTCCTACCCTTCTGAGTCCTAATCAACAGAATCAAGAGTTTGGGCTGAAATATAAATTAATATGTCTAAAAAGATTAGTTACAAGATTCCCTATATGAGTATTAATCACACATTTGGGATCGTTGAGATAGTATGTAGAAGATACTATTTTCAACATGTCTTTATTTCATTAAGAAAGGAGATGATTGTAAAGTGATCAAGTATTCCTATTCAATTTTTGTGAAATCATTGGTAAAAAGAGACAGAATACATTTAATCAAGCATCTTGGGATTTCCTTTTTCTAAGCGAAAAGAAAGTTTTTTTTATTGGTTTTTTAAAATCTTGCTGCTGGCTGCCAGAAAAGTCACTTGATATGATACAATTGCTACCAGTAATAAGATTGTGCATGAGAAACCTCATTTTTGGCATTACACTAGAGATGAAAAGTAGAGCAAGAAAAAAAAATCACCTTTGTCAGACAGAAGGTTAGACATATTAAAATAAAATCTTAATGGAACCAAAGTGAAAACCTGTATCATGTCCAAGGTTTCTGGTGGGAAAGTTTCAGTAGTGATGAATTATTTCCCAAATGATGTAATTAATGGGGAATGTAGCATTTCACAATAGAAACAATGAAGTTTTGACAGACCCAGAAAAACAGAGGAATATTCTTCACATCAACTCGAAGTGGTCAAGGTTTGTATTCGTTTGTTTGCTTTAAATACTTAATCTACTCCATCAATCTGGGAACATCCCAGGAAGAAAACAATGCAGGGTTTAAATAGTTAATTGAATGCAATAAATGGGATCACCTCAATCTCCTAAATTGAATTTATTAGATGAAATGACCTTTCCTTTTGTTACATCAGTACATACAATGAAAAATAACCCAGTTCAATACATTGTTCCTCTGAATTTCATTGAGATAAACTCAAAACACTTGCTACTTCTATTTCATTACTTCCCATTCACTGCACAAATCCTTTGCATTTATTTTCAAACCCAACTCTGGTTGGAAATTCCTTTTGTCAAGGTTATTAATTTCTTCCATGTGGCCAAAGATAGTGGTAATCTTTCATTCTCATCCTATTCTACATCTCAGTTGCATTCAACACATTTGATCATTTCTTTTTTCTGGAAGCATATGTTCTTTTGTCTTGTCTGACTCGTTTCTCTTGGTTTCCTTTATATTTATTAAGTTGCTCTAACTTAAGCTCCTTTTCTCACTCCTTCTTCTCCTCCTCTATGCTGTTCTAAGTGCTTATAGATCCAGGATCAGTACTGGCTCCCGTATCTTCATTTATGCAAAGTCTCTATGTAAGTTCATCCAGTTCCATGATTTTATCTGTATGCTATCGACTCTCAACTTTAGTTTCCAATCCTGATTACTCCCTTGAATTCCAGGCTCATATATCCAGCTTCCTTCTTGATATATCCAGTTGCATATTAATAAGGACTGTGACATTTTCAAAGCATGTCTTGACTTCCGCACAATCCCTGCCCAGTTACCTCTTAAAATGCCCACTCATACTTTACATTCTCAAATGTGTTTCTGTCCTTAGTGTTTCTACATTCTCAAATGTGTTTCTGTCCTTAGTGTTTCTACATTCTCAAATGTGTTTCTGTACAGTCCAGTGAAGACTGTACCATCTATTCAGTGGCTTAAGCCAAAGCCTTGAAAGTAATACTTCTATCACATCCTCCTCACTGATTTGGCCCACCATGATCCTAATGCAAACCATCATCATGTCTTTTCTAATCCACTGCAATAGCCTGTTAAATGATGTTCCCATTTTTAATTTTAACATCCCTAGAGCATCCAAAATGCTCTATTTTAATGTAAGTTAGATAGTTACTCATCTGCTTAAAAATCCTTCTGAGCTCATTATAAATGCTGTTTTCTAATGTATTTATTGTCTTCATAGCATTATCATTACCAGAAATTACTGTGATTATTTTTAGAAGACTGTATGACCTTAAGGCAGAGAAGGTACAATTCTGTCTTATTGACCAGTATTTCTAAGTATCTGGTACATGATAGATATTGAATACATTTTGAAAATTTTTCAAAAACATAGTTTTATTCTATGAAGAATATAGTTTGGAAATATTCATAAAGCAAAAATTATTTCAAAGCACATAGGGATTTAACCAGAGTAAAATCCTTTTCAAAAAGTAATAGATCAAGAGAACAAAAGTAATATATAGATAATATCAATAAAAATAAAATTAAGACTGCATATTTTAAAATACTCATGATAAATTATAAAAATGGACAATATTGTAGGCTACAATGGAAATCCCAAAGGATTCCAATCAGCAGAAATAATATAAGGTACATTTTAACAAAAAATAAATAGCTAATACAAAAAAAAACAAACTGCTGAGATTTTAAAAATACTGTTTTATTTAATTTTGGGGTTAAAAAATCAAAAATAAACATAATGTAAAAGCTACTTAGATGTGAATGACGATGAGAACACTGCATAGAAAAATGGATGCGTTATATCCAAAGCAGTAATCAAAAGAAAATTAATAATCATAAGTGCATTTATTAGAAAATGCTTGGAACCAGAAAGAAAGAGGGAGCATAATAAAACAGGAGAGAATGAATCTGAAATCAAAATTCAAATCAATACAATTAACACATAAAACCAAGATCTAGTTCTAATAAAAGATCAACAAAATAGCCACCCTCTGTCAAAGATTATAAAAATATAGAAAAAATATAAATAAAAACTATTAGAACTAAAAAAGGAGCCATAGATATAGAAATTATCCAATTTAAAATTATAAGATAATATTATATATAATTTTATATAAGAAATTCTAGATGAAATACATAATTTTATAGGAAAATGTGAATTTTTTAAATTAAAGTAAAAGATACATGAATAGATCAATAATTTTATGAGACATTTGCCTGCAAAGAAAAGAGATCAGATGCAGATGGTTTTATAAATAACTTAATCAAACATTCAAGCAACAGAAAATAATTGTTATTTATATTTTCCTATAACCTTGTAAAAGAAGAAAACTGATTGCCTAATACAAGGCTAATACAGCCTTGATATTACAATTAAAAAAAACAGAGCACAAACAATAACTATGCACACAAAAACTTTAAGATAAAAATTCATAGTCATCTATTAGAAAGAAGAATGCATCATGATCAAGTAATGTTTAGTAATGTAAGAATAGTTCAGCACTAGGAAATCCATGCATATAATAAATCTGTTAATATATTTTAGAAATAAATATATGGTTATTTTAATGAATTTAGAAAAAGCACTGTTCAACCACCATTCTTGATTTTAAAAGACTTGTAACAAATTCAATTGCCATTAGATGTTTACTCAGCATCATGGTAGAGGGCTTAATGTATGCAGCAAGAAGAAAAGAAAAGCAATAAGACGTGTATATACTAGAAGAAGAGAATAAACTGTCATTGTCACCTACTTAGAAAATCTAAAAGTGTTCAAAAATAAATCAAATAATTCACTATCTAAAGAGAATAAATGGGAAACAATTCCTATGATTATTTTAATAAATATAGAAAGATAATTTGGCAAGATTCAACACGTTTATGCCAACATCCTTAGAAAATTCAAGATATCTGATAAAAGTCACTATGAAAATTCTACAGATTATTTCCTGTTTGATGGTAAGATATTAAATGCTTTCGCTCTAAGATTGGTAATAAAGAAGAATGTCTACTTACAACTTCTATTCAAATGGATATTCTACCACTTCTAGGCCTTTTGGCTAAAATCAAGTGGAAATGGAGGTTCTAGACATTGCAATAATGCAAAGAAAAAATATGACAAAAGCTATAAAGATTTAAAAGAAAGAAGAAAGATTGTTTCTATTTGCAGATGGTATGATCGTTTTTGTAGAAAATCCTTAAAAAATATACAAAACAACTTCATAAATAAGTGAATTTAATTAGTTTATAGTATACACGGTAAATATACAATATTCAATTGAATTTTTATATACTTTTAGCCAACTGTTGAAAAATTAAATTAAAAATTTATTTACAATAGTGTTTAAATTATAAAATATTTGGGAATCAATATAACAAAATATGTGCATTACCTCTACAAGGAAAACTACAACATGGAAAGAAATTAAAGTAGACTTAATAAGTGAAGAGATATACCATGTTCATAAAGCAAAAAATTAAATGTTATTATGATGCCAATTCTTCCCAAATTTATCTATAGAGTCAATGCACTTTCAAATGTAAACCCAGTAGTCTTTTCTGTATAAATTGAACTGATTTTAAATTTTATACTGAACTGGAAAGGACCTAGACTATCCAAAACAATTTTGAAAAGTAATTTAGTTGTAGGATTTACATGACTTGATTTCAAAACTTTCTGCAAAATTGCAATAATTAAAACAGTAGCTGGCATAAGGATCAACACATAAATAAATGGAATGGAAGAGGAAGCCCAGAATATGTTCACACATACCTTGTCATTTGATTTGTGACAAAGTTATGCAATGAGAAAACTAATTCCATCAAATGATGCTGGAGTAACTAAGTATCAATATTGTTTTGAAAAAGGAACTTGAAAAAAAATTTTAAAAAAAGAGAAAGGAACTTCATACCTACTTCGTGTAATACACAAAAATTAATTCAAGATGCATATACATCTAAAAATAAAAGCTAAACTTATAAATCTTTGGGAGTAAAGCATAGAATAATATCTTCATGACTTGGAGCTACTAAAAGTTTTCATAAACAAATAACAGAAAATATTAATACAATAGAAAAAAGTAACATAATAGACTTTATCAAAATTAACAATGTCTGTTTATCAAAAGATAAGAAATAAATAAATATGCAACTACAGGCTGGGAGAAGAAATATTTGCAAAATGTATCTAAAAAATGTCCGGAATCTATGATATACAAGGAACTCTTATAACTGAATAGTAAAAAGCAAAATTCAATATGATTCTTTAAATGCAAAATATTTGAACAAGTGCTTTACAAAAGATGGTATATAAATAGCCAAAAACACATGAAAAAGTGCTTCAACTTTATCTTTAAACAGATGATAAGTGAAATAAATAATATTTACACAATAATTGGATAGCATATAATTCCATTTATAAAATTTTTAGAATAGGATAAGTTAATTGATGGAGGAAAAATTCAGAATAGTGGTTGCCTTTGAGAAGGTGAGAGCACAGATTGACTAGAAAAAGGAATAAGGGAATTTTCTGGCTAATGGGCTTTTGTTGCCAGGTTTGTGCATTTCCCAAAACTCATTGAAGACTCACTTAAGATTTGTGCATTTCATTGTAAGTAAATTACTTTTAAAAGAAAAATGTACAAAAATATAAAGCTCTAGTTAATACTGTGAATGCTGAAGCATGTAGAAAATGTATTGATGTCTATGGTTTACTTAGAAATGTTTCAAAATCTAAAGTATATTATTAGATGAAAAACATTGATATATGAATAAATATGTGACAAAGTAAATATAGTACAATGTCAATGGTAGAATCTAGATATTTTGTATATAAATGGTAGCTGTACAATTCACCTTGATTATCTACTTGAAAACTTTATAATAAAAATACATAAAATATATAATATGTAATAGAAATTATTTTAAGATATCTAAAAAGAATACATTGAAAATGATTATATCTGATAAAATAATCCAGAAGGTGGCTGAATAAAACATAAATATACAAAAAAGTTTTCTAGTAAATGTAATAGAAAACTCTGACTTAAATCATAATAATAACAAAGCTATAAGACTCAACTTATAATAGCAACAAAATCCATGACTCAATTAATACTAGTAACAAAAGATAAAATGTAATAGAAGCATATTTGATAAGAAATGTGTGAAAATGATATGACAAAAATTATAATGCTTTCCTGAACTGGAAAATTTCTGACCTGACTGTAAGGAGACATCCCATACACCTGTGTGTAAAATGAATTCATATAAATATTATAGGATAGAAATTTTACTGACACTAATATAATTCAATGCAATCCCGATGAAAAAAAACTAATGGAACATGAAAAAGTGACTCTAAAATATAGTTGGAAGAGCAAAAGGATTGAAATAATAAAGCAAATTTGGAATAAGAACGAAAAATCTAAGGGAAAACACTTTGGCATGTTAAAATAAATTATAACATGTCAGTAATTTAAAAAATGTTGATTTGCCAAATAAATTATTGAGACAAAATAAGGAGCCAAGAAAGAAACTTTTATAAATATGACAATAGAATAGAAATTATTTTAAATTAGGAGGCATATAATTTAGTAAAAGTCTTGGCACAATTACATATCTATTGAGACTATAATAGTGTTCAGCCCCTATAATACATACTGAATTGATGAAGTTTCTGATAAACATAATGCAAAATGATAAACTTGGAAGAAGAAGGTAAAGGAGAACATTTTATATTATTTTGGTAGATTATATCTTCAAGAAAACATAAAGATCATAAGCCATAAAAGATAAAATTGACAATATTGACTGTGCACAAAATAAAAATATCTTTAAATAAATACATATTCTAAACAAAGATGAAAACAAAGGTTAGAGGAAGGGAATTATCTATGGCATAGATAATGTAAATAGGGTACAGATAGATGAGGCACAGGAGTAAAGCTATTTATAGTTTTTGTAGCCAGCTTGTTTGTTTGTTTGTTTGAGATGGAGTTTCGCTCTTGTCGCCCAGGCTGGAATGCAATGGTGTGATATCGGCTCACTGCAACCTCTGCCTCCCGGGTTCAAGCGACTCTCCTGCCTCAGCCTCCTGAGTGGCTGGGATTACAAGCACTGGCCACCAAGCCCAGCTAATTTTTGTATTTTTAGTAGAGACGGGGTTTCACCACATTGGCCAGGCTGGTCTCAAACTCTTGACCTCAGGTGATCCACCTGCCTTGGCCTTCCAAAGTGCTGGGATTACAAGCATAAGCCACCACACCTGGCCATGTAGCCAGTTTTTACCCGTAATATTTCAGAGGTTCTTTCAAATTAATAAGAAGACAAACAAACCAATAGAAAAAAAATAAGTGAAAGCTATGAATTAGTAATTCATAAAAGAAAAAAATACAAATAAGGAATAAACAGGAAAAATGCTAAATACTATTTTACAACAAAAAATAAAAGCATAAAATACACATCATAAAAATACACGTTGGAATGACAACAGAATGTTTTTAGTCTGTAAAAATGAAAATAATATTTCAAATAGATTTTATAATGACTAAGGTAGAGAGTGAGAAGAAATAATATCTTTCATACACTGGTGGTAGAAATAAACAGAAGCTCTGGAGGGAGATTTTGTAGATCTATCAAATTTTAAAGTATTCTTTTAATCATCAGCACCAGGTCTAGGCATACATCCTTACATATACAAGTAAATAAAGAGTAATGTGCAAGTGTGTTTATTGCAGTGTTTTTGATAATATCAAAAAATGGAGAAAACCTATATTTGCAACTATTAGAAATGGTTAAATCAATGGTATATTCACAATATGAAATGTTATGTACACATTAAAAGTTTATATACTTACATGAAAAGAGATCCATTACTCATTGTTGATTAGAAAACAAATTACTTGTAAAACTGATATGTATCTGATTATTTGCCTTTGTTTAAGAAACTGTATACTTTTAAACTATGTTGAAAATGGTCCAGAAATATAAAAGCTAAGTTCTTAATAGTAATTTCCTGTGGGGAAAATATTTCTTTGAGAAGTTTAAAGAGAGGTAATACTTTCATGTTTTCATATATCTTTCTGTAGGCTTATACATTCCTCCCCTCTAACACACACACATTCTTTTTTTTATTTTTTTAAATTATACTCTAAGTTCTAGCGTACATGTGCACAACGTGCAGGTTTGTTACATATGTATACATGTGCCATGTTGGTGTCCTGCACCCATTAACTCGTCATTTACATTAGTTATATCTCCTAATGCTATCCCTCCCCCGTCCCCCCACCCCACGACAGGCCGTGGTGTGTGATGTTCCCCTTCCTGTGTCCAAGTGTTCTCATTGTTCAATTCTTACCTGTGAGTGAGAACATGCAGTGTTTGGTTTTTTGTCCTTGCGATAGTTTGCTGAGAATGATGGTTTCCAGCTTCATCCATGTCCCTACAAAGGACATGAACTCATCCTTTTTTATGGCTGCATAGTATTCCATGGTGTATATGTGCCACATTTTCTTAATCCAGTCTATCACTGATGGACATTTGGGTTGGTTCCAAGTCTTTGCTATTGTGAATAGTGAAGCAATAAACATACCTGTGCATGTGTCTTTATAGCAGCATGATTTATAATCCTTTGGGTATGTACCCAGTAATGGGATGGCTGGGTCAAATGGTATTTCTAGTTCTATATACTTGAGGAATTGCCACACTGTCTTCCACAATAGTTGAACTAGTTTACAGTCCCACAAACAGTGTAAAAGCTAACACACACACATTCTAAGAGACAGCATGCTATGTATTTCTTGAAAAACCTTGTTTTAAAAAAGAAATTGCAATGGAAGAAAAAGGAAGCAATGAAATGTAGAAGGAGAAAGAAAGTAAAAAAAAAGAGGAAAAGAAAGATGGATGGAGAGAAGGAAGACCACATTGCAGAGAGGAAGAGAGCTAATGGAAACTAGAAGTGTTTAGAGAATGAAAGATAGGCTGTGGTGACAACTGAATAATGAGTTGTGAGGAGGGAAAAATCTTCCCAGCCAGAAAGCTTAGATGCTGGAAAGGGGGTTCATGCTTTAGAGGGCCCAGATATCACAAATACACACATATGCACTATGCTCAAGACCTCATGGGCATTCCATCACTCAGGATCTAATATCCATTATTGGCCCTGCCAGCATGACACTAAACTTCCACTGTTGTAAATAACACCGTTCAAGCCCCGGGGGGGATGCTTTTCCATATCTATTTCCTCCATCTTTGAACCAAATGGCAGCTGCATTTGAATTCTGATTTTTGTGGGTATACAGGTTATTTCATTACCCAGATAATAAGCATAGTACCCAATAGGTAGCTTTTCTATCCTTACCTCCTCCCACCCTCCACCCTCAAGTAGGCCCTGGTGTCTGTTGTTCCCTTCTTTGTGTCCATGTGTACTTAGTGTTTAGCTCCCAATTGTAAGTGAGAACATGTGATATTTGGTTTTATGTTCCTGCATTAGCTTGCTTAGGATAATGGCCTCCAGCTGCATCCATATTGCTAAAAAGTACATGATCTCATTTTTTTATATGGCTGCATAGTATTCCATGGTGTATATGTACCACATTTTCTTTATCCAGTCTACTACTGATGGGCATTTAGGCTGATTCCATGTCTCTGCTATTGTGAATAATGCTGCAATAAACATATGTGTGCATGTGTCTTTATGGTAAAATGATTTCTTTTCCTTTGGACATATACCCAATGTGGGATTGCTGGGTCAAATGGTAGTTCTAAGCTCCCTAAGAAATTACCAAACATAGTTCCATAATGGCTCAGCTAATTTACATTCCCGCCAGCAGTGTATAAGTATTCCCTTTTCTCCACAACGTCACCAGCATCTATTGCTTTTTGACTTTTTAATAATAGCCATTCTGGCTGGTGTGAGACAGTATCTTATTGTGGTTTTCATTTGCATTTCTCTAATAGTGATGTTGAGCATTTTTTATATGATTTTTGGCTGCATACTTGTCTTCTTTTGAAAATCATCTGTTCATGTCTTTTGCCCACTTTTTAATGGGGTTGTTTGATTTTTTCTTGTAAATTTAAGTTCCATATAGATTCTGGATATTAGACCTTTGTCAAATGCATAGCTTGCAAATATTTTCTCCTATTCTGTAGGTTGTCTGCTTATTCTATTGATAGTTTCTTTTGCTGTGCAGAAGCTCTTTAATTATGTACAATTTATCAATTTTTGTTTTCTTACAATTGCTTTTGGCATCTTTGTTATGAAATCTTTGTAAGGGCCTATGTTCACAATGCTATTTCCAAGATTATTTTCCAGAGTTTTTATAGTTTTCAGTTTTACATTTAAGTCTTTAATTCGTCTAGAGCTAATTTTTTCATATTGTGTAAGGAAGTCCAGTTTCAATCTTCTGCATATGGCTAGCCAGTTATCACCGCACCATTTAGTGAATGAGGAGTCTTTCCCTCATTTCTTGTTTTTGTCAACTTTGTCGAAGTTCAGATGGTTGTATGTGGGTGACTTTATTTCTGGGTTCTCTATTCAGTTCCATTGGAATGTGTGTCTGTTTTTGTACCAGTAGCATGCTTTTTGGTTACTATAGTCTTGTAGTACAGTTTGGAGTCAGGTAATGTGATGTCTCTAGCTATTTTCTTTTTGCCTAATATTGCTTTGCATATTCAGGCTCTTTTTTTGTTTCATATGAATTCTAAAATAGTTTTTTCTAATTCTGTGAAGAATGTCATTGGTAGTTTGATAAGAATATCATTGAATCTGTAAATTGCTTTGGGCAATATAGGTATTTTAACAATATTGATTCTTCCAATCCATGAGCATGAAATGTTTTTCCATTTGTTTGTGTTATCCCTGATATCTTGAGCAGTGTTTTGTTGTTCTCATTGCAGACATCTTTCACCTCCCTGGTTGGCTGTATTCCTAAGTATTTTATTCCCTTTGTAGCTATTGTGAATGGGATTGTGTTCTTGATTTTGTTCTCAGCTTGGATGTTGTTGGTGTAGAAGAATGCTACTGATTTTTGTACATTAATTTTGTATCCTGAAACTCTTCTGAAGTTGTTTATCAGATTTAGCATCTATTGGGCAGAGATTAAGGGATTTTCTAGGTATAGAATCATATAATCTACAAACAGAAATAGTTTGACTTCCCCTTTTCCTATTTTGATGTCCTGTATTTCTTACTCTTGCCTGATTGCTCCGGTTAGGACTTCCAGTACTATGTTGAATAGGAGTGGTAAGAATGGGCATTTTTATCTTGTTTTGGTTTTGAAGGAGAATGCTTCCAGCTTTTACCCATTCAGTATGATGTTGGCTGTGTTTTTGTCATAGATGGCTCTTATTATTTTGAGATATGTTCCTCCGAGGCCTAGTTTTGAGTGTTTTTTACATGAAGGGATGTTAAATTTTATCAAAAGCTTTTTTTTCTGCTTCTATTGAGATGATCATGTTGGTTTTTTTTTTAATTCTGCTTATGTGATGAATCATATTTATTGATTTGTATATGTTGAACAAACCTGGCATCCCAGGAATAAAGCCTACTTGATTGTGGTGGATTAGCTTTTTGACGTGCTGCTGGATTTGGTTTGCTAGCATTTTGTTGAGGAGTTCTGCATCGATGAAGAATCTTCAATCAATATCCTTCATTCAGAATCCTTGACTCTTCAAGGATATTGGCCTGAAGTTTTCTTTTTTTGTTGTGTCTCTGCCAGGTTTTGGTATTAGGATGATGCTGGCCTCATAGAATGAGTTGGGGAGGAGTCCCTCCTCCTCAATTGTTTTTGGAATACTTTCAGTAGAAACAGTACCAGCTTTTCTTTATACATCTGGTAGAACTTGAGTGTGAATCCATCTAGTCCTGGGCTTTTCTGGTTGGAAGGCCTTTTAATTCTGATTCAATTTCAGAATTCATTATTGGTCTGTTCAGGGATTTATTTTTTTCCTGGTTTTCTCTTGGGAGGGTGTATGTTTCCAGAAATTTATCCGCTTCTTCTAGGCTTTCTAGTTGGTATTCACAGAGGTGTTCATAGTATCCCTGAAGGCTTCTTTTTGTATTTCTGTGAGGTCAGTGGTAATGTCCCCTTTATTGGTTTAACTAGAGGTCTATCAATCTTACTTATTCTTTCAAATAACCAGTTGCTGAATTTGTTGGTGTTTTGTACTTTTTTGCATCTCAATTTTATTCAGTTCAGCCCTGATTTTGGTAATTTCTTGTCTTCTGCTAGCTTTGGGGTTGGTTTGCTCTTGTTTTTCTAGTTTCTCTAGCTGCGATGTTAAGTTGTTAATTTGATAGTTTTCCAACTTTTCGATGTGGGTGTTTATTGCCATAAACTTTCCTCTTAACATTGCTTTAGTGCGTACCGAAGGTTCCAGTATGTTGTATATGTGTTCTCATTAGTTTCATAGAATTTCTTGATTTCTGCCTTAATTTCATTATTTACCCCAAAGTCATTTAGGAACAGATTATTTACTTTCCATATAATTTTATGACTTTGTGTGATCTTCTTAGTATTAATATCTATTTTTATTGTGCTGTGGTCCAAGAATGTGGTTGGTGTCATTTTGTGTTTTTTTTTTCAATTTGCTGAGAATTGTTTTATGGCCCATTGTGCGGCCAATTTTACAGTATGTGCTAAGTGCAGATGAGAAGATTGTATGTTGTGTTATTTTGGGGTGGAGAGTTATATGGATATCTGCTAAGTCCATTTGGTCAAGTGTGAGTTCTGTTCCCAGATATCTTTGTTAGTTTTCTGCCTTAATGATCTGTCTAATGCTCCCGGTGGAATGTTGAAGTCTTTCAATATTATTATGTGGTTATATGAGTCTCTTCATAGGTCTTTAAGAACTTGTTTTATACGTCTGGCTGCTCCTGTGTTGGGTGCATATATATTTAGGATAGTTAGGTCTTCTTGCTGAATCAAACCTTTTAGCATTATTTAATGTCCCTCTTTGTCTTTTTTGATCATTATTGGTTTAAAGTTTGTTTTGTCTGAAATTAGAATAGCAACCCCTGCTTTTTTCTTTTCTCCATGTGTTTGGTAGATTTTTTTCCATTCCTTTGCTTTGAGACTATGGATGTCATTGCATGTGAGATGGGTTTGTTGAAGATAACATTCGGTTGGGTCTTGCTTCTTTATCCACTTGCAACCCTCTGCCTTTTAATCAAGGCATTTTGCCTATTTACATTCAAGGTTAATATTGATACTTGCAGATTTGTCATCATGTTGTTAGCTGGTTATTATTCTGACTTGGTTGTGTAGTTGCTTCATAGTGTCGATGGTATATATAATTAAGTGTACTTTTGTGGTGGCTGGTAACAGTCTTTCTTTTCCATATTTACCACCCTCTTAAGTACCTCTTGTAAGACAGGTCAGGTGAGGACAAATGAAAAGATTATTAATTGCTTATCTGAAAAGGATCTTGTTTCTCATTCACTTATGAAATTTAGTTTGGCTGGATATGAAATTCTTGGTTGGAATTTCTTTTCTTTAAGTATGCTGAATATAGGCCCCCAATTTCTTCTGGCTTGCAGGGTTTCTACTGAAATGTCTGCCATTAGCCTGATGGGGTTACCTTTGTAGGTATCCTGCTGCTTCTCTTTAGCTGCCTTTAGCATTTTTTTTCATTTCTAACTTGGAGAATCTGATAACTATGTGTCTTGGGGAATGATTGTTTAGTATCTCTCAGGGGTTCTCTGCATTTCCTCAATTTGAATGTTGGCTCTCTAGTAAGATTGTTGAAATTTCCATGAATAATATCCTTAAATATGTTTTCCAAATTGTTTGCTTCCTTTTTCTCCTTCTCTTTCAGGTACATCATTGAGTCATACACATGGTCTCTTTACATAATCCTATATTTCTTGGAGGTTTTGTTTACTCTTTTTAATTATCTTTTCTTTATTTTTGTCTAAGCAATTTAATTCAGAGAAACAGTCTTTGAGATCTGAGATTCTTTCCTCAGCTTGGTCAATTCTGCTGTTAATATTTGTGATTGTATCATGAAATTCTTGAAGTATTCCTTTTAGCTCCATCACATCCATTTCTTTCTTAAAATGGTCATTTTGTCTTTCAGCTCTTGTATTTGTTTTACTGTATTCCTTAGATTCCTTGGGTTGGTTTTGACTTTCTCCATAATTTCAATTATCTTTATTCCTATCTATATTCTGAATTCTATGTCTGACATTTCAGCTATTTCTTCCTGGTTAAGAACCATTTATGTGAAACTAGTGCAGTTGTTTGGGAGCAAGAAGACATTCTGGCTTTTTGGGTTGCCAGAGTTCTTGCACTGGTTCTTTCTCATCTGTGTAGGCTGATGTTCTTTCCATCTTTGATGTTGCCATCCTTTGGATGGTTTTTATCTTTATTTTTTTTTTATCTTCTTTGATACCCTTTGGGGTTTCATTATGGTACATGAGGGTTCAGTCAACTGGCTTCATTTCTGGAAGATTTTTGGGGACCAAGACTCAGATCAGCACTTCTAGGCTGCATGCTCTAACTCTGAGGGCCTGGTATCAGTCCCCTTGCTTTATTCTCTGTCCCCTTGAGGTTAGGAACCTGCTGCACTGGAGTGGCCTGGTCCAGTTCCTGGTCCACTTGCCACAACACTCCAATGGGTGGTGTCATCCAAAGTGCTTTGTCATGGCTGTAGCTGCAAGATTCTTACTTGCTGATGCATGCCAGAAGCTGCAGTAGCATAATGGGATGCATGTATTTTGCTGGGGTGGGGCACTGGCAGCCGCAGGTTAGCAGTGATTCTCACCAGTTTTCCCAGCACTCTGTAATTTCAGTGTAGAGATGAATCTATCTTGGTTTCTCATTTCTTGTTCTAGCTGGAGAGTATTCTGGTATTTTTCAGTGTCAGAAACTGGATCCCCCAGAACAAAATCATGTTTCTTGGTAGTAACCTGGCTTGACCTTCCCTCTCATGGTGACTACAAGGGGAGCACGCATACCCATGCATATAGCAATGTATATATCCACCTACCTGCCTTACAGGGCATCTGGGAGAGCCACGATTTTCTTAAATTTGTGTGTGTGTGTGTGTGTGTGTGTGTGTGTGTGTGTCTACAAGTAACAATCATGAAGTATAATACCAATTCCTACTATTAATGTATAAATCTAGATACTAGTTAAGAAGTGGTAAAATTGAAATATCAATATTATCAACTTGCATGAAAAAGATAAAATACTCTACAACTTTTGATAATGATAATTTATCATAAGCAACCATGTAAGTATTTAAACATGATATACAAAAATTTTAATTTAATTTCTAAATATAAGTGTATTTAAGAACCCTAAAAATTTAAGTTGCTACTGCCACAGTAGACTGAAATTTCTAAAACTAAAATTAATAAAGTACTTCCAAATAATTACAATAAGTCATGAAATGTTGTCAAATTTGGCGTTATTATTGGTAGTGTATAAATTATGCAAAACTCTTGATTATAGTGATTATCAGTGATTTTGCTTAAATACAGATGATATATATTTTATGAAAAATATGTGATAATTTATGAATTATTTGTCTTAAGGTTATTACTTATCCAACAGCACTGGTCCATCAATAGAATACTCAGATATGTGCAATATAATTGAATGAATGATTCTTTTATATTTTGCCAAATTTCAATGTTATAAAAATTTAGCTTTAAATTTTTCTAATTTGTTGTTATAAATGAACATATATCAAGGTTTGAGAATGAGATATATTTATTTAACAGATTGGCAATTGGATTTAGATCCTTTGAATATTTACTCATAAGGCATATGGTCCTCCATTTGTACTCTGGCCCCAAGTCCGGGCAGATATTATGTACTGACCTGATGCTAGTTTCTTCACAGTTTAAGTCCTTTATCCAGCCCCTCCATTTTCCTTGCCATTCTTCATGTGGGAAACATTGACAAAGTCAACAAATCTGTTGATCTACCTGTATGGAGCTTCTCTCTCTTTTTAGCAAATTTAGACCCTGAACAAACTCCTTTGCTTTCTCTGTGGTTTTAGCCTCCCACTCTCTTTTGTATAAAATCCTACATGGAGAATTCAGTCCTCTTCATCATCTCTGAGATTCTTCATCCCCCTTGAAGGCACTTGACATGTTTTCATTTCCCATGCATACTATCTCCTGCCATGATGGGAATATAGACAGGTCCATGCATGGAGAAAAAGGATGGGGGTGTGATGGTGGAGCTTCTTTTTCTTTCCCATCAATGAATACATACCATTTTTGTTGTGCTGGAATAAGCACCGAATTTGGAGCCAGAATCCATATTAAATGGGTTCAAGCACTAGTTTTATTCTACTTGCTATTGCCCCTAGAAAGATATGTTGTCTTGGGCTTTTCGTTTGCAAAGTGAAGAGGGACAGAGAGGGAAATGGATGGTGATATGGTCTGGCTCTGTGTTCCCACTCAAATTTCATGTCAAATTGTAATCCCCATGTGTTAGTAGAGGGGCCTGGTGGGAGGTGCTTGGACATGGAGGTGGATTTCCCCCATGCTATTCTCATGATAGTGAGTGAATTCTCATGAGAACTGATGGTTTAAAAGTGTAGCAGTTCCTCACCTCACTCTCTCTCCTGCCACCATGAGGAGAAGGTGCTTGCTTTCCCTTCGCTTTCCACCATGGTTGTAAGTTTCCTGAGGCCTCTCCAACCATGTTTTCTGTTAAGCCTGTGGAACTGTGAGTCAATTAAACCTCTTTTCTTCATTAATTACCCAGTGTGAGGTAGTTCTTTATAGCAGCGTGAGAACAAAATAATACAGATAGTTTCTTCCTAACCCAAACCTTATTATGGAATAATAGGTGAATTCTCCACCTCTGCCAGGAAGGAATTAAGAGGGAGAGAAAATGAACCTCAACCACTACCACTGAAAAAGTGGTGCAGTAAAAATAGGCATTTGGGAGACACTGAGCTGGAAGATCTACAATTCTAGCTCCTAAGATCACCATGTTCACTCCTATAACGTGTAGGCATGGCAAGATAGTGGCATCTCAGCAGATTAAATTATTTTCAAAAATAATGGGCTTCTTTTATAGGCTACAGATTTACTATAAAATAATTTGAGCTATTTTCCTCTTTGGCTCCCCAAGGAGATAAATAAGAATTTGTTTTCTGGATATTTGGGATTTTTCTCCAAGGAACAGTTAGGCTATTGTATTCAAGGTCAATCATCAGTTAAATAAATTTAAAAAAACTATTTTGCTAAAGTAGCAACATATTCTGCACTCTTGGAATGTGACTGAACTCTATAATACAGTGTAAGTGGCACTATGCCAATTTCACAGGTAGCCTGGGCTAGTTTGGTCTGGCTTCCCACTTCCTGTCTGCCCCACAGTTTTGTCAAAGGCACAGCTTACAGAGAGAGAAAGGCCAATGTCCAAAATGGAAAAAAAAGAGAGAGAGAGAGTTCTTCAGCAGGAATGTACCTAAAGCTTGTCACTTAATGATAATTAGACTTGGGTAGGAGGAATGAAAGGAAGATTCATTATCAGACAGCTGTTTTTTTTTTTTCACTAGAATTTGGTTTAGAGGAGAAATGTGAACTGTCATAACTAATATCAACCATGCTGGTATCTCTTTCAAATACATAAATACCAAAACTGAGGGCAGAAACCCCAGGATAGAAAGCTACATGCCATGCCATTTGGGATTATTTCCTTTTTATTTGTAAGAGATCAAACATGATTAATATCTGCCCTAACTCAAAAGGAAACATTGTTAGCTTAAAGAAAAGCTCTTCTAATTCTCCTCATCTTACCTGAACTGAACACCTTCTCTG
The DNA here is from genome assembly GCF_000001405.40 of Homo sapiens. Classification (NCBI taxonomy): domain Eukaryota; kingdom Metazoa; phylum Chordata; class Mammalia; order Primates; family Hominidae; genus Homo; species Homo sapiens. The sequence goes on along the minus strand of NC_000002.12, from coordinate 67,015,390 downwards.
ATGGACATTGATACCCTCCAAATAACATTTCTTTGGAAAGTGCACCATCTTTTCTCATAGCTAAAAAGTGTATGAAATATGGCATAAGTGGAAAAACAGTATATCCTTTAAGATGATGACAACGTTAGGTTTATGTTAGGGCCTCACACTCTTGCCTCAGGGGAAGAAACGGAAGAGAGAGATGATAATGAGAAATTTATCTGATTCTACTGAGGCCTTGCCTAAAAATTCAATTCTTCAGATTTTTAATATGTGCTCACTTTTGTCCTTCAGATATTGGAAGGTACTCAATATTGTATGAACATTCTCTGGTGGTTCGTGAAATCATGGTGACTTGGGTCTGGGCCCAATCTCAATTCATTTGCAAGGTAAGCATCAATGTTGCCAGTATTGCACTTCATCGGGAAAATGTTCTCTCACTTCTGTTATTATCATGCCTACGTATTCTTTATGAACTAGAAAAATTTATTTTATCATTCCCCTCCCAATACATACACATGCACATGCACACACATAGAGTCAACTCTCGTAGGTTTTGTGGGATATATAAAAAGCTGTATGTGAAAGCAAGAATCTTTTTTTTTTTTTTTGAGATGGAGTCTCGGTCTGTCACCCAGGCTGTAGTGCAGTGGCGCGATCTCGGCTCACTGCAAGCTTCGCCTCCAGGGTTCATGCCATTCTCCTGCCTCAGCCTCCCAAGTAGCTGTGACTGCAAGTGCCTGCCCCCACGCCTGGCTAATTTTTTGTATTTTTAGTAGAGACGGGGTTTCACCATGTTAGCCAGGATGGTCTCAATCTCCTGACCTCGTGATCCACCCGCCTCCTGACCTCATGATCCACCCGCCTTGGCCTCCCAAAGTGCTGGGATTACAGGCATGAGCCACCACGCCTGGCCAAAAGCAAGAATCTTTAGAAAGAAATATCCTACAGGGTATGAATGCAAACAGCAATATGATACAGTATTGAAAATAGGTGCAAAAATAAGTAACTCCCTTTGCCCTATCTTTGTGCAGGTGTCATATCAATCTTGCATAGTGATTTATACTAGTTGTGTCTAATTGACTCCCACCATTTACCATCAAAGCTAGGCTGCAATAGCTTAAATCTGTTCAATTGAGTCAATTGCTCAATTTGAATAAGCCATACCCTTTGCTCTGGGGGTAAGTATATAACATGTTCACTTTTAAAGAAATGGACTGGCAATTTCTAGAGAAGTATTATTTATCTAAAAGTAATAAAAACTCTTAAATATATGAGGAAGTTATTTACATAGAAGCTATTTTATAATACATTATACCACACTCTATGGAATGCAGACTCTGGAAACAGACTGGCTGTGTTTACATCCCGTATCTTACCAACTGTGTAACCTTGGGCAAGATACTTAGCCTCTCAGTGTCTTTGTTATTTTGAAAGTGGACAATAATGACAGTACTAACCACATGGGAATGTTATGTGGTTAAAATGATTAATAAATGTTAAGTAATTAGAACTGTGTCTGGTATATAGGAAGTTCTATGGAAGTTTTTTTAACATAAAAATTGTATCTTCCTTATAGGATTAGATACTGTAATGGTTAATACTGAGTGTCAACTTGGTTGGATTGAAGGATGCAAACTATTGATCCTGGGTGTGTCTGTGAGGATGTTGTGAAAGGAGATTAACATTTGAGTCAGTGGGCTGGGAAAGGCAGACACAACCTTAATCTGGGTGGACACCACCTAATCAGCTGCCAGCGTGGCCAGAATATAAAGCAGGCAGAAAAACATGACAAGACTAGACTGGCTTAGCCTCCCAGCATACATGCTTCTCCTATGCTGGATGCTTCCTGCCTTTGAACATCGAAATCCAGGTTCTTCAGCTTTGGGACTCAGACTGGCTTCCTTGCCCTTCAGCTTGCAGACAGTCTACTGTGAGACCTTGTGATCATGTGAGTTAATACCCCTTAATAAACTTCATATACATATATACACACATATATATGTGTGTGTATATATACTATATTGCATATATATACACACACACATATGTACACACTTATATATGTGTGTGTGTGTATATATATATATATCTTATTAGTTCTGTTTCTCTAGAGAACACTGACTAAGACAGATAAGTAAACTCTTCTAAAGCACTAAGATAGTACCTGGCATGTAAGTAATTACTACATGCATTCCCTAGTATTACACAGATTGGAAATTATTTACATTTTCCATTAACCACTCACTACATTGGTGCTGATAAAGGGATATAACAATTGGATAAAGACAAAAAGTAGCCTTTATTTAGCACCAGCTATGTGTCAGTCACCCCATTAGCTATGAGCATTAAATTGTCTCTGCCAATTTTCACTAAAACCAAATAAAGTACAACTGCCACAGTTTTACATAAAAGGTGATAAAACCCAGGAAGGTGAAGCAAGAGACAAACCATAAAAACATGAAGCAAATGAGTCCTGGAGAACTCAGACTTGCCAGACACCAAAATCCAAGCTCGTTCCGCTAGATTTCATAGTTTGTGTTTTCAAGGAGCTAACAACTTAGTGAGTAGATAAATACACATAAATAATTATGGGCATACCAGGCATTGACAAACATCTAAACAAAGATATAAGCAGTATGTGAACACAGCAAAGGGAGACACATCAGATTGGAGAGGATAGAGGAAGCGCTTTAGAAAAAGGATGACATTTGTTCTCAATGCCAGAGAAAAGTATTCCTTCAATAACAATGATCACTGGCTGCAGAACATGTTTTGCATTGGGTAAGATATTCAACGAAGAGCAGGGTGCAGTGGTAAATGTGGGCAAATGAGTGAACACTGAACCTGGAGTAAAGGGTGGATGGACTGGAACAGGGTAAAGGAAAAAGACTAGGAGAAAAAGTGGAGGGCATTGTGAAAAACATCCGCAAAATCTCATGCCTTGGGACTCTTAAAACCTTGGAGAACCATGCTGAACACAAACCTTGTGTGCTTTCTCAGACTTAACTGCCTGTTTATCTACAAAGGTTACATGTGCCTCTTGGGCAACTATGCCCATGCTATCTTTGCATAGCTCCCCAGCAGCTGTAGTCTGAATTGAAATCACAGAAATGAAGAAACTTGCCTCCCTCATGCCAAGCCCTCTCAGTGCTAAGGTATCTCTCCACTTTCTAACCTGGAAAAAACACCCTATAGAGAGGCTTGGGGTCTGATTGCAGGCACAGCTGCCAAGAGGTTGAAGGATGCAACCTTGGGGAGTTAGCTCGGCATGGAGTAAACTTGGATCAATGAACAAAAAGAGGTTGCAGGGTGCGAGGAAGGTGAGTTCCCTTTCATTTCTTCCTTCTTTGGGCTATTCTGAGGTGCAGTTTCTGCTGAGTGCCTAGCACACACATGTGCTGAGCGACCTGCTATGTCCCATTGCAGTTCACTGTGTAGCAAATGCCAGCTAGATGGCTCAGAGCATCACACTGCTTTGCATCTACCCTTGCTTTGCATCTACCCTTGCTTTGTTTCTCTTTTTTTTTTTCCTACCTTACAACGGGCTTCTCCCTCTCAAATTAAAAACTAAACAAAACAAAAACAGAACTTTAATCCTGCCTCAGGCTCTGCTTCCTAGCGGACTAGAACTAAGGGAAGAACAATGTGTTTCCCTATTTATCTGTACACTTGTCTATCCCTAATTTTCCAGCACTTCTTACCAATCCTTTAAAAATCCTGAAAAGTTTCATAAAGAGAGTGAATTAAACCATGCATGGTGATGCATACCTGCAATCCAGCTACTCAGGAGACTGAGGAGAGAGGGTCACTTGAGCCCAGGAGTTCAAGGCTGCAGTGAGCTAGGATCACAACATTGCACTCCAGCCTAGGCAATAAAATGGTGAGATCTCATGTCTAAAAATAAAATACAATAAAATACAATAAAAAATAATAAATAAAAGAGAGAAAAAATTAAAATTCAACACTATAGGTCAAACCACAGTTATATGGAGATGTCATACATTATTTTATTGGAAACTCTGATTAATGACATAGAATTCACATCTTAAGATGCTAGTGCCATTCTCAAACACCATAGTTAAACACTCTCTTAAGAGTTTTCTTAGTGCTTCTAGTAGTTGCCTTCTGGATAATGCAAACAGATTTACCCGTATTCACTCATTTATTTATTTATCAATAATTGACTAAATTTTTAGCTCTAGTAACTATCCTAAGTATTGAGATAGAGAGGGGTGTGTGTGTGTGCATGCTTGGTCATATAACATTCCTAGGAATTTTACAATCAGACGTCAATTAAAAATAACATATCACATTCAGAATCCACACATAATACCATGTAGTATCAATATTCTGATTACAAACTTGGCTTGTACTTTTGCTCTAAGAGTGGCAAAAGGAGACACCAGTGACACTGCAGTTATAGTTCTACCTTTGTAATACCAATATTGTCAACTAAAAGGGAAAGATTTCTATCACTTAAGTGGTAGTTAAAGCACATATATTAAGTTATCATTTTAGTTTTGTATTAGCCAGTGAGTTTGAACTTATGCAGAGTCTTTTTTGATGTATACATTTAAAGGTTTTGTTTCTATTTACCCCCTTTTAGCAAAGTAAAACTCAATCCCATTGCCTTGCCTCTCTTTATTGTCACTGTGTCTTTTCTGGAATTGATAAAATCAGATTATCTGCTTTATTTTTTCTCGGTATTGCTAGCATCCTAGCTTTGAGTAACCTGGAATACCCTGATAACACCATTGGTCAAGTTATTATTACATTTAAAGCAGGTTTGCTAGAGGAGGAAAATACTTACGTTTCTTATGAGCAAACAAAATGAAAAAGTCTAGCTCTGATTTTGTAGGGGTGAGATGTAGGTTTTAAATTAGCAGAAAGGTAAAATCATAAGGTCCATCTCCTACACAAAGTTATCTTGTCCATTTCAGATTATACTTCTTTTTTTTTTTTCTGTTTGAGCCTCCCCCATTTTTGATGGAAAGGGTTGGGCTTATCAAGAGGCAAAAGAAGCATTAGAACATGTCAGTCATCCATAAAAAACAACCAAATATGAACCTAGAACTACTTGAGAAAATATGCCATTGTCTGTTGCAATGCCTCTCATGGTATGTCCATGAACTGCTCTGTGGCAAGTGTCCTTAGTTAAGGAGCTTGTGCCAGAAAATAAATCAACTGTCACTAAGCACCGTGTTCAGTTCAGCTGACCACTTTTTCATGGTAAGACCTTCTTAAAGTGAGTAGAGCACTGATTTACATTCTGGCACCAACATCTTATTTCACTGCAGGAAGGTGGTTTGAGTAGCACTGACCTACCGCATTAGTCAAGACAGTCTTTGTTACGCTGCAGCAACAAGCAACCCCCAAATTTCAATGGCTTAACCCAACCCAACTGCTATGGTTTGGCTCTGTCTCCCCATCCAAATCTCATCTCAAATTGTAATCCCTACGGTCAAGGGAGGGACCTGCAATCCCCATGTGTTGAGGGAGGGAGGTGATTAGCTCATGGGGGCGGTTTCCCTCATGCTGTTCTCGTGCTAGTGAGTGAGTTCTCAAGAGATCTGATGGTTTTATAAGTGCTTGGAAGTTCCTCCTTCACACCTTCTCTCTCCTGCCACCTTGTGAAGAAGGTGTGTGCTTTCCCGTCCACCATGATTGTAAGTCTCCTGAGGCTTCCCAGCCATGTGGAACTGTGAGTCAATTAAGCCTCTTTCCTTTATAAATTACCCAATCTCAGGGAAGTTCTTTATAGCAGTGTGAAAATGGGCTAATACACCAACTCTAATTTCTCCGTCATGTTATTCATCTCATACAGGTTGGTGGGGGCTCAGTTGCAGTCATAGGGATGGGCTGTGGGAGGTTTCACCCTCTAGCAGTTGAACCTCTTGTACTGTGTGTCCTCTTCATTTACCATCACAGGAGAAGAAAGACAGACAAGCAAAAGCCTGTATGCCTCTGTCACATAAGTAACACCTGCCACTTCCACACACATGTCATTGGCAAGACCTAACCACAAGGCCTCACTCGACTTCAAGGAGGATGGCAAATGGTGAGAGCAAATAGAGTATTTCATGAGCATCAGAGTCACTGCCATATCCACCATGCCAAACTATATGACACTAAATTAATAAATTTATAAATCATAACTTTAACTTCATGTGTTTGAACATGACAACACGATTAGAGAGGCATCTAAGATTTAACATTTTCTCAATCTTTTCTTTTTCTTTTTTTTTTTTATTAAGATGGATTCTCTCTCTGTCACCCAGGCTAGAGTGCAGTGGCGTGATCTTGGCTCACTGTAACCTCTGCCTCCCAGGCTCAAACAATTCTCCTGCCTCAGCCTCCCAGGTAGCTGGAACTGCAGGCATATGCCACTACGCCTGGTTAATTTTTGTATTTTTTTTTTTTAGTAGAGTCAGGGTTTCCCCATGTTGGACAGGCTGGTCTCAAGCTCCTGACCTTAAGTGATCTGCCCACCCTGGCCTCTCAAAGTGCTGGGATTACAGGCATGAGCCACCGCACCTGGCCTCCTTTCTTCTTTATGACCTTTAACTGGTAGTGTTACATTTTGCAATCCTTAAAAAAAAGAGTGCTGTAAATGGAAAAATTCCTTATGTTGAAATTTGAATCAGCTCTAGCACAATCTTGTCTTCTGATGTAACCACATTTCTGAAGAGAAAAAGTCCTCCTTGATCTGTCCTCTTGCTCTGAACCTCAGCTACATCAAGGAAACACCTTGTGTCCTGGAGGGGCAGCTCCTTCCTTGGTGGACTCACCTCCTCTAATATAGTTTTCATAGGCTTAGCATCACTGGGCAAGTCACCCGCCACCTCTGCCTTGTGCAGAATTTGCATTATCTAAAGATCACTTTGTAAGCTATGGTCCATTCGCCTTTGCAAATACTGTTTAAATATAGCATCCATAAATAAATGTTAAATAATTCATGAACATAATTTTGTAAATTCTGCTAGGCCACACCTCTCTAGGGGCATATTTATGAACATGCATCAGCCCGGAATCAATGTGTCTGCCAAGCTCCTTGCCTCTGAGGCAGAATTCCCACATCTAGCCCAAAATGCTGCAAACGGCTCCGATTCCTTTTCAGTAGTCATCCATCATACTGTCACTTTAATTCAGATGCTGCTACTTGTTTTAATAACATACATCTTACACAAAGAATATTGCTAACACAAGAATCTTGGGGTAGATTTTTACAACCTCATAAAATGGTATTAACCCTCTGATCCCTGATCTTCTTTTCATGCAGCAGGGGCCTCTGAATGCTTTCCCTGCCCCCTCTACACCCTCCAATCTTCCTGATGCTTATCAATAACCTTTGTTCATGGGGCTATATAGCACCAGGACCTGACATCAATCACTGCAGTAAAAATATTATTCCTCCAGCATTGCCCTGAAGAATTATGGAAAGAATAAAATTGTTATTGCAGGAATTATTTAGCAAACAATAGATGGATAAAATGTATTACAGTAAGTGTTAAATTATATCACCTCATTATGGAGAGCCAACTTCAGATACCATGAAGGTGGCTCACTGCCTTTTCTAAGTAGTTCAGAAGAACAATGGCAAAGACTACAAAAGATTTCAAAAGAAAACACCAGACTATCACAGCTAGGATATATTCTACTGAGGAGACATTTGTTTGGGGGAATAATTTGGAAGAATGCCTCCTCCTGCCCATTTTGAATAGTAAGTTGGAATTCACAGATGAACAATAGGGGTTTATATTTAGTTATTGACTATAGGATGCTATTCTAGGAAAGAGAGATTCTTAAGAAAATAGACGTGTGGTCTAATCACCCCCACTTCCACTTAGTCACTCCTCACACTTTCTGCACACTCCTCTAAGCAGGGGTTGGGGGGACCATTTTCATTGGTGAGGGAAATATACATCTATTACAATTGGGTATTGGTTATAGAAAAGTGGACCATACCGATATTCGTAGCCTCTGCCAGTGTTGGAAAATAATGTTCTTGAAATGTCAGATTAAGGCCTGCATTTTAAGTACTATTAAGGATACCTAAGCAAGGTTGGAAGCCAAGTTGTTGTTTTTTTTTTTTTTTTTGACCAAGTAGTCTTTTATCAGTTATTGCATATTTTTTTTTCTTTTTTCTTTTTCTTTCTTTTTTTTTTTTTTTTTAGGCATAATGTTACACTGGGCTCCTGGGATTCATTTGATCAACATGATTAAATTATTTCCTTACTCAGCTAGAAGGAAATTACTAGTTACCAGACATTATGTGTCTGTTAATTATGTGCAATAAGGCTCTCTCCAATCACACCAGCTCCTGCATTCATGTTCTGTGCATTTTAAAGGCATTATCTTAAAAATTTTAAATATTGAAAAGGGACAGCTATAATTTTGTTTCATCTATTTAATAAATAAGTAATCTGTGAAATCAGTGGTACAAAGTGTTTCTTTGCCCTTCGTGTCAGCATAGACATTCTTAGGAAGAACATACTAAAAGATTCTTTTCACTTCTGTTTTCACAAAAGAATGTTTCTCTTCAGCTTTCTAGGGCAACAGCCAGATCTTCTGTTACCGAACAGAGTGAATATGGGCATTGCCAAAAATACAAAAACAAAACCCTGTGATTGTGTGGCTCCTCAATGCGTTCTGCTCACCTGGGGTGGGTGATGGTGCCAAATTTACATTCCCTCTTGTAGCTCAATCTACAATAGGAGCTTTCAAATGAGATTTTTTTCTTTTTTCCTTTCTTGCAAAGGAAGAGACAACATATGGTAGCCGAGAGGCCTTATTTTGCCTCCTAATGAAATGATGTGCTTCTGTTTCATATTAAAGTGTTAATTGGTCTGAAATTAGGTCTTACCAAAAAAATAGTGCTTTTAAAATACTTAATATGATTCATTTTCTGCAGTCAAAGCCAGATGACTTTTATTTTTGTATCAAAAAGAGAAAGTGGAAAGCTAGCTCTTCCTCTCCTGATGCCCCCACACCTCCCCATCTGCCTGCGCTTGGGACCCAGATCCAATAACTGGCTTATAGAACAGAAAGCTCTTTAGAGTCAGAGCTTGCGCCAAAGCCTAGAAGGTTTTGTTTGAGTTTGAGAATCTTCATAGGTTTATGAAATCTCAACAAATATTTCAAAGAAGGAAGTTTCACATTTGAAGTAGGTGATCCTATTAGGCGCTGAGAGACAGCGCCTTTGTTGTGGGCCCAGGCAGCATTTTATGTAAGATAGAGCTGTGTCCCACTAATATGCCAAGACATCACTTTCATGCCAGAAACAGATAGGGCTGAACTTGTTTCATGCACTTTGGCTTTCATTGTTAATAATGAATGATGAAAGTTCAGAGTAGAGGAACTAAGTGGATACTCGGCTTTAAAAGAATGAATTTTAACAAGCAACATGCCAAACTAGTCAGACACACCACTTAGATGGTCAGCAAAGAGTGCACAAAGAGAGAACTCATCCTGCAACTCTATCCACAGCCAGCAGTTCACAGAGAGCCCACTGTGGGGACACTGGTTATTCTGTGAGCCAGGAGAAGCAGGAGGTGACTCCCCTTCAAGATAGATTTCAGCTGCTCCAGGTCAAGTGACACGTGCTTCTCCTACTCCCACCGCACTCCCAAGGCCTGAGGGTGGTAGGAGGACCCAGGAGTCACAAAATTGGAAGCTCTTGTCCTGGTTTCACAGAATGGGAAGGAGATGGACATTGAAACAGGGACAAGAAATGAATTTTAAATCTTAATGGATAAAAATATTGATTAAATGAATTAGAGCTTCTTCTAAGTAAAGCCAACACTTCAAAATTCACAATTTCTTTTAATTTATTCCTTCCTTTCTTCTTCCTTCCTACCTTTTCCTTAGTTCCTTCTTCCTATGCTGCTCCCTTTCTTCCTTTGTTCTTCCTTCTTGTTTTTCCCCTTGCCTTCTTTTTCTTTTCTCCTTCCTTCCTTCATCCTTCCCTCCCACCTTATATTTCTTCCTTTCTTCCTCCCCCACTTCCTTCCGCCTTGCTTCCTCCCTTCCTTTCTCACTCCCTCGCTTCCTTCCTTAATTTCTTTCTCTTTCTTTTTCTTTATTTTAATTTATAAGTTGACTTTCTGGAAAAGGAAGTCAATAACAAAAAGCACACTCTGAAGATCACTTACATAGTATTTATTCATTCAACCAATATTCATTAAATGCTTACTTCATGCTAGATATCTAGTAGGCATCCAGGATAGAAGATTGAACAAAATGCACCCAGTCTCTTCTCTCAAGAGCTCAGAATTTAAACTACTGGGTGCAATACATTTTCAGCTCAGTCTCCTACACCATCTACAGTCACAACTTTGGAGGATGAGAACTGATCATCTGTTCCATCAGTTTGATCATCAAAGATTCCAGTTCATCCTTTCAACTTGACATCTAGAACAATAAAATGGACATTTTAGCAACTGATATTTTAAAAAAGATTTTCCGCAATAAAGAATAAAACCACACAATTTGGGAATTTAAGTGGAGATTTGAAAGATATAGAATGCCAAATTCTCTGAAAAACACATTTGAGGTTGTCTTAAATGTGTTGTAAGAGAGTGGGTGGGTAAGGAGAAAAGGACCCTGCGCTGGTAGCCAGGACATGGTAACTATAGCCTGTCATTACCATGTTCTAAGGGTGACCTCCAGCACAGCCCTTCACGATTCTCAGCAGCCTGATCCATTATAGTAGTGTTTTACCGTTTGCCTTCTATACCTCATTGAATTGATGGGAAGATCAACACAAATGCTATACAAATAGAATGGATTACACTAATATCTTTTGATAGTCAAGAGCCCTGCAAATTTAAATTCTGGGCCTTCAAAGCCAAATTTTAGAAAAGAATTGCTTGATATTTAATGCCATACAAATGAGAACATTCTCATACTCTCAGTTTAGCAGAGTACCCTAATTTTAGGCACTTCTCTGAGATGCTGAGGCTCTTGTCCTAGCATTTAAATCAAAGAATTCTTTATAGATAATCTATAGGACTATTTCACTTTAGGTGTCAGAATTTGCTTTAGAGTATCTTCCCAACCACATCCAGACCACGGCAAACCAGCCTTAGGAATAGACGCAATATCATTGCTCATACAACTGCAGTAAGATATTGATTCGCCCTTTTTCCACCTTAGAAAGTCAGGCTGATACCGACAGATCATGAACTGATTACTAGCTTGTATTTTTGCAAGGCTATAAAATATGGAAGCTCAGTTTTGCTTATTTTTTTCTATTAGTTGAAACCACCAGTTGTTTCAGTGCCAGAACTGTAGACATGCCCTGTAAGCCTCGTCAACTGTGCCTTTGACTTGTAAACCCACTGCCATTTGCAGTTTGATGACTGGATATCTTTCCACACCAGCAGGATTGGGTGCACACATTTGTGTTGCCTTGTACAGAATTGTTCCTTTGCCTTGTACAATTTACCTCCCAGCTACCCTCATCTTACCCATCTTAACAACAAATCCTAAAATGTCTTTCTCCCCGGAACACACATTTTTCTTCTGTGGTTTGAATTTTGGATGCTATGGTCCTTGTGTCTTCTCTGGAGACTGGCCTTGGGTGTCTAATTGAAATGCCCCTTTATTTCCCTTGCTTTGAACATACTGTTCCCTTTAGATTATTTCTCCAAATTTGGAACCTAGCTATAGCCTTTGGATTTTTGCTTTAAAATCTCTTGAAAAATAAACTCTTCCCTGATAAGAAACATTATTGATATTTCTTTTACATCCCTTCTGCTTTTTTGTACTTCAAGTATTTAGAGATGTACAACATTTACAAAACAACATTGTCTATAATAGCAAAAATGAGATTTACCCGTTTATCATTAAATTAGTGAAATAAAATATGCTATATTAGCATGACAGAATATTAAGCAGCATTAATGACATGTATAGAGATGAATATTTACTGACATTGAATGTATACATGTTACATTAAGTAAAAGATAGAAAAGCACTCCTCTACAACCAATTAGTCAATTTACTATCTATCTACTTACCTACATGATCTCGACCTATCTTTCTATCTAGTTCATTAAAGCAAATAATTGTTTACTTACGGATGGTGGGAGTACGGGCATATTTTAATTTCTCCTTTATGCATAGATATACTTTTCAATTTTCTAAAATAAATATTTCTTGCCTTTGAAATAATTTAAAAAGCAACGAAGATTAAAGCAAAATAATAAGACTCCTGGCTAGTGCAGTCCTTGTGGACACATTGGGCGATTACACCAAGTCCTGACTCAGCACTGATTATGAGTTCTCCTAATTCCCACCATTAGCCTCTCAGGAATCAGGTACTCTATATACAATATATGCCTTTAGCTTTTGCTCAGTACATTATATGAAGTAGGTACTCCATGAATGGTTAATGAATTTAAATAAACAAAAATCTTTCTCTAGTGCCCTGTAAATGCTAAGAATAAAGAATGCATTGTTATGTAAATGGTATAACTTAGGTTCTTCATACCTACAGTAGGTTTGACTGTGACTCCTACTTATTCACCACTCCTGAATTCACATCCTCTACCATGTGACTGTACAGTTTCTCCCCCTAAAGGCAGAGTACACTTCTCCGCCCATTAACTTTAGGCTTGACTACATGTCCTGCCTATGGGATATTAGCAAACATAGAAGCAGAGGATTGAAATGTGCTTGCACACTTCTTCCTTGAGCTTCTGTCATCACCATGAGAAGATAATGACTTGGCTAGTTTACTAATCTGAGGAGGATGGGAAACATATAGACAAGATTTGAACCTGATGTATAAAGCAGAACCGTGCTTAGTTGAGCCAAGCCTGTTTCAGCCTACAAACCACCTTGACTCTCACTGCCAGCCCAACAGGAGATGCATGAATGAGAATAAATTATTGTTGTTTTTAATCCACTATGTTTATGATAACTTGTTACTTAGCACCATTATGGAATTAGTTGATCAATACATTTCCTGGATGTTAAATTTTATTATATCAATAGTTGCATATAAGATATTAGTAAAACTTGATAAAAAGTGCATAATTCCAGATATAACAATGATCACAACATAGTCTTTAATTATTATATATTTCTGGAAAATGGACAAGACAGGTCCGAAGTTTAAGAGTATAAAGGAATTGAGAAGCCTCTTGGAAGTCAATTCAGGTAAGGTGAGCCACTCAAGACAACACTTGAGTTTTGACTGTTAGGAACACCAATTTCAAATGGGGCATAGTGTAAACATGTACACCATCTAGTCCTGCAGACTCAGATTTGGGTCCTTGAGAGAGAAGGAGGTAGAAGCCATAGCAGTGCATGATGACAGATTGAGTGGAACACAGAGGAAGCTCAAGTAATGACCAGTAATAACTGACCATACTTACGTGGGAGCAGATATGAGACACAGTTTAGGCTTCTCCCAAATTCTGAGATACAGCATATTGAAGAAGATGTGCTTCATAAAAATAATGGCAAGAGCCAGGGTAAAATGTGGTTTGCTATTGTTTTACAAGACTTCATTAAGATGACCCCATTTGTTCTCATGGCCTAGTGAGGCATCAGGAAACTGAAGTTGTAAGAGTGCTGTTTCACATCAACAAGCAGAGGTGGGATCTCGCCATGTTGCTGCCAAACTGGGGTATCGCACTTGAGTTTGCCACTAGTTCAAAAGACCCAAACGTGCATCCAGGAAGTTTATAAAGTCATGTGAAATCCTCTTTTAATATTTTTGCAACTTTGCATGACAATTGCTGCTCACAAGGCCATAGTGACTCAAGAAATGAGGTGTAGCATGGGTTGCCAAAGAGAAAAATAAAAGCATCACTAAAGGTGTTCCACATCTGAGAGACATCAAGTTAGATATGGAAGAAAATAGCTATTACTTAATTTTATAAATTAAAAACAGTCAGAGCTGCTCTTCTTTTTATTTTGAAACTTTTTTTTTATAAAATAGTGGCGGTAGACAGATTTTACATGCTCTAGTGGTTTCTATTGAACTCGTACTTTCAAAAAAATTTTCTGTTTGCTTTTGGTAAGATTTGAATGGGTCATAAGTATGTGGACACCAAAAATTAAAATGCTACTTAAACTTTTACCAACTGTTTTAATATACATCAAACAAACTGCATTAATCCTTTTATAGTCGTTTTGACCTACCCTGTCTGCATCTTAATCATTTTCTTGTTGTGCCAATATTGTTTGCATAAGAGTAGGCTTATAATTTATGTTTTTTATTAAAAGGTGTCTGTGGAAAAGAGATTTACCATGGCTCTTCAGAAAATTATATTTTTAATCAGCTGTAGAAATTCATGGCACTTTCTACATATGGGGCACCTATTACAATGATCCAAACAGACCAAAGCCAACAAATAATCATGTCTGTCTATTGTTAATTCTTAGAAGAACAAACATATGTTTTGAATGTCGTTACTGCTAAATTAGCAGGAGCAATCAGGCATCCTAGGAGAATAAAATAAAAATGCAGAGTACTATAGTATAATTACTATTTGCATTTAAATTTTGTGCAATACTTTTCTAATTCCATGTAGTAATAGTAATGTCTAACATTTACTGAGATCTTTGTGTGTGTCAATAAATAAGAGGATTACCTCAGTTAATCTTCACAACAATCACATGATATAGATACTATTATATCCATTTTGCATATGAAGGAAGAAACTGAGGTTTGGAGAGATAGAATCTCTTGTCCAAAGTTGCAGAGCTATTCAGCAGACACAAAGATTCAAGCTTGGCAGTTTGACTCTATTGCTCACGCTCTATGGTAGGCTTTCATTATTAATCTGCTATGCTAACGTTTGGTTTAGATATTAATTTTGACATAACAGTTAATTTTATCAGTAACAGAGAAAGTTCTATCATTTTGAAGGAAATAACTCTTTAGTACCTACTTCCAGAGTGGATTGTAATGGGAGAAACAAAGGATTTATCTGAAACAAAATACATCATTTATATTTCTTACCAAAATAATGATCATGGATATGCCTAATGGTACCCAAAGATTACTCTTTCTTTAGTAATTTAAAAAGACAAACTGTAAAAGGCGAGTGTTATAGCTTATTAGTGTTCAAATTTTTAGAATATGAAGTGCTTGATTGATATGCAAAATTTATGGAATAAGGATAGAGGCACAAACTGGAGGTCACAGGCTGTGGTCACAAACCCTGAAATGCATTCATTTATTCATTCACTTAATGGGTATTTATTGAGCACCTACAATGTGCATTGTTGTTGGTATGAAGAATCAACAATGAACAATTCATAAAAAACTACGTCTTCATGGAGCTTACATTCTAGTTGGGAGAAAGAGGAACAAATAAAAAAGTTTAAGTTCTTATATTAATAAGTATTATGATTTAAAAATAATGGAGGTGATGGCAGAGAAGGAGAAAACAAGGCCACACGTTTGTTAGGTGAAAAAGGCTGTAATATCACAGCTTCTAATTACATTAATGTAAAAAGAGGAGCGTAACATTCTGTCTTGATACTACCCTTACCCAAGGTGATATAGGTGCCTTAGTTGATTAGTGAATCACATTACTAACTGATTCCTTACTGTGAATGAATACGTGTAACTACTAATAAAATTCAGAAGTCTGCTCACATGGAGCTTACTAACAAATCAGAAGAAATATAATGTGCACTTACTAAAGTGAAAGAGAGGAGGGAAGAGCATGTCTCTTGCACCCATCCTGAAGTGGAGTTCAATCAGCAATTCAGAAAAGAGAAATCCTACAGGCTGGAATGACGATAGGGTTAGGACAGGCTCCTTAGGGGAGGAAAAAATCAAGTTTGGACTTCAAAATAGGTAGATGTGCTGCTGGACTTGGTTTGCTAGCATTTCGTTGAGGATTTTTATGACTGGGTTCATCAGGGATATCAGCCTGTAGTTTTTTTGTTGTTGTCGTGCCTTGCCAGATTTTGGTATCAGGATGACACTGGTTTTGTTGAATAAGTTAGGGAGGAATTCCTACCCTTTATTTTTTGGAATAGTTTCAGTAAGATTGGTACCAGCTATTCTCTATACTTTTGGTAGAATTCAACTGTGAATCTGTTTGGTCCAGGGCCTTTTTTGGTTGGTAGATTTTTATTACTAATTTACTTTCCTAACTCATTATTGGTCTGTTCAGGATTTTATCACAATCAAGGGGACTTTTTTCTGGGATGCAAGGGTGGTTCAACATATGCAAATCAATAAATGTGAATTACCACATAAACAATTAAAAACAAAACCCATATGATCATCTCACTAAGCACAGAAAAAGCATTTGATAAAATCCAACATCCCTTCATGATAAAAACCCCTCAACAAACTAGGCATCAAAGGAACATACCTCTAAATAGTAAGAGCCATCTATGGCAAACCCTCAGCCAACATCATACTGAATGAGAAAAAGTTGAAAATATTTCCCTTAAGAACTGGAACAAGACAAAGACGTCCACTCTTTCCACTCCCATTCAACATAGTACTGAAAGTCCTAGCCAGAGCAATTAGGCCAGAGAAAGAAATAAAAGGCATCCAAATGGGAAGGGAGGAAGTCAAATTACCTCTGTCTACCAAAAACATAATTCTATATCTAGAAAACCCTAAAGATTCTTCCAAAAGACTCCTAGACCTGATAAATGACTTCAGTAAACTTTCAGGATACAAAATCAATATACAAAAATTAGTAGTATTTTTATACACCAGTAACATTCAAGTCAAAAACCAAATAAATAACTTGATTCTATTTACAGTAGACACACACACACACACACACACACACACACACACACACACACACCACAAACACCTAGGTATACATTTAACCAAGGGGGTGAAAGATTTCTATATGGAGAACTACAAAACACAGATGAAATAAATCATAGGTGACACAAACAAATGGAAAAATATTCCATGCTCATGGATTGGAAGAATCAGTGTCATTAAAATGATTATACTGCTCAAAGCAATCTACAGATTCAATGCAATTTCTGTCAAATCATCAAAGTCATTTTTCACAGAATTAGAAAAAAATTCTGAAATTCATATGAAACCAAAAGAGCCTGAATAGCCAAATCAATCCTAACCAAAAAGAACAAAGCTAGATCTATCACATTATCTGACTTCAAACTATACTACTACAAGGCTGTAGGAACCAAAACAGCATGGTACTAGTATAAAAATAGACATAAAGACCATACAGAATAGAGAACACAGAAATAAAGACACATACTTACAACCAACTGATCTTTGATAAAGTTGACTAAAATAAACAGTGGGGAAAGGACACCCTGTATAATAAATAGCCCTAGGATAGCTGGCTAGCCATATATACACAGAAGAATGAAACTAGACTCCCACCTCTCACCGTATACAAAAATTAACTCAAAACAGATTAAAGACTTAAATATAAATATAAGACTTCAAACTATAGAAATCCTAGAAGAAAACCTGGGAAAAATTATTCTGGACATTTGCCTAGACAAAGAATTTATGACTAAGACCTCAAAGCAAATGCAATAAAAACAAAACTTGACAAATAATTAAACTAAAGAGCTTCTGCACAGCAAAAGAAAGTCAATAAACAGACAACCTACAGAATGGAAGAAAATATTTGCAAGTTATGCATTTGACAAAGGACTGATATCCAGAATCTATAAGGAATTTAAACAAACCAACAAGAAAAAGAAACAAACAACCCCTTTAAAAAGTAGGGAAGGACATAAACAGATACTTCTCAAAAGAAGACATACAAGCAGCCAACAATCGTGAAAAAATGCTCAACATCACTAATCATCAAAGAAATGCAAATTAAAACCACCATGAGGTACCATCTCACACCAGTCAGAAAGGCTATTATTAAAAAGTGCAAAAATAACAGATGTTGGTGAGGATGCAGAGACAAGGGAACACTGATACATTGTTTGTGGGAAAAAAAATTAATTCAACTCTTATGGAAAACAGTATACAGATTTCTCAAAGAATGAAAAATGGAACTACCATTCAATGTAGCAATCCCATTACTGGGTACATAACCAAAGGAAAATAAATCATTTTATCAAAAAGACACCTGTACTCATATCTTTATTGCAGCATTATTCACAACAGCAAATCACAGAATCATCCTAAGTATCCATCAACAGTGGATTGGATAAAGAAAATATGATACATATGCAGCATGGAATACTAGGTAGCCACCAAAAAAAATGATTAAATCATGTCCTTTGCATCAACATAGATGCTGCTGGAGGCCATTATCGTAAGTGGATTAACACAGGGACAGAAAAAAAAATACTGCATGTTCTCACTTATAAGTGGGACCTAAGCAATGGGTATCATGAGCATAAAGATGGAGACAATTGACACTGGGGACTCAAAAATAGGGGAGGGAGTGAGGGAGGCAAGGATTGAAAAACTACCTATTGGTTACTATGCTCACTATATGGGTGATGGGTAAATAGAAGCCCAAACCCCAGCATTGGACAATATACTCATGTAACAAACCTACATATGTACCTTCTGAATCTAAAATGAAAGGAACAATAGGTAGAGTTTGATTAGGCAGAAACATTTCAGTCTGTCCTGGAAGATTTCTGAAAAGAGGGTCTATGTCTGTCCTCTTACCCCTCTCCATTCATATCTCTATTGCAGCAATTATTTTCTCCTGGTGAACCACATGCAACCATTTCCAGAGATCTTATGGCAGGCAGAAGTATAAGAAACGTGATGACACAGAGTCTTGGACTAAGAGGCGAACTGTGGGGTTGGGGGGGTTTTCCAGCCATGTGATCTTGGCCATGTCACCTAACCTCTCTGAGCCTCAGTTTTCTCACTTGAAGAAATGGCACAACAATAATTTCTCTGCCTCCTTCTCAGGACTACATGGAGTTTAAATGAGAAAAAGTGATGATGTAGAAATGCTCTTGCTGGCCCATAAAGTACTATACAGCCACCAGAGGCTGGCAGGCACTCCTCTCTAAAAGTAGGCAACAAAAAAGAGACATGTCTTGTAGAGATTTTAGAAATTACCTTACCCAATCCTTAAATTTTGCAGATTAGAGAAACCAAGGATCATGGTAGTTAATGAACATCTATGAGAACACACTACTAGAGTGTGGCAGAACCTACTTCCCTAGTTTCTAGACTCTCAGTGTTCTTTCTACCATGCACTATTTGTTGAACCATGGCATTGCATCAGTACTAAAGGAAAACTGCATTGAAGGGAAGAAACCTGAAAAAAATGCCTCCGAGTTTAACTTCAGATGTGCAATTAGTGCCTTGGTCCCAGCTGATGCCTTGATTCTGTTTGCTCCGGAAATAGTATTTTAGCCAGCACCTGTGAGGTGTCACTACCTCCCACCCCAAGCACTTTCCATGTGGCAAGACAGTAAGACTTATAGCAGACTAAACTGAGAGAGTGTTACCTACTTAAACTGTTTTTCTGACTTAATAAGAATTTTTCATCTACAGCAAGCCATTTTAAAATATTGTCTATACACAGTCACTCTGAATAATAGGTCTGCACACAGTAAATGTCACCTCTCTAAATCACAGGAGACCTTGGCAGCACAGCACAGGAGGCTCCATAACAGTTTAAACTTCAGCCTCCCATTTATTGTGGATGTGTTTATAAATCTCACAGGGCACTCTTCTGCCTCCTGGGAAATCCAAAAACGGTGCCGTTGTTTGTCAGGGTGTCTTGTCCGGGATGTTGAAGTCCTGGCCATCCTTCTTACACCTGGATCCCATTTGGCTCCAAAGTGGGTCAGCCAAGATTGTTGTCAAAGATGCCATTTTCTCCTCCTTAATGACCAGAAAACTCTGTTCCAGCAAAAGTATATGGGGCTTTGAAAACTGGGGGGTTTTCAGAATATATGCGGGAGCTTTCTTTCTTTTCCTTTTTTTTCCCCTTTACCTTGAATAAATGATCTTCTCTACAAAAGAGCTTTGAGTTTCTCACATGAGGGAAGCAAAAGACAGCTTACACAGCAATGGCATTGAAAAACTCCTTAGCCATTCCCATCTGTCTTGGTTAGTATGAATACTTTAGCATTAAGTGGAGAAAAGGAGAATCCATCAATAGTTAATAACTGACCTTAAGATGGGAATTCAAAGTTCACCACAATTACACCCAAGTGTCAGGGAACACACATGGGACACTATCAATATATTTGAGTACAAGAGCCTGGGATGGCAAATTTAAATACCATCAGAGAAAGAACTGAGCATTATTTCATGAGAAAATATTGTTACTATGTCTGCCAGCCCATGCTCAGATACTCAGAACCAAAATTCTCAGGAATAATTGTGGGAGGTAAGCATAATCTAAAAGAGCAAGTAAGAATCAAGCTGAAATTCCATCATGTGGTGAGGTTGTAAACGAAATGTTTCTTAGATTCAAAGGCAGATTGTATTTTAAAGGTGGAAATGAGATTCAGTAAAAGATTAAAAGAAAACATGTTTGTGCTGAGAGACTCAACATGGATTGTCATCAAGGATGTGCAAATTAAAACCACAATGAGTTATCACTACACTGGAATGGCTAAAATTAAAAAGACCATCAACACCAAATGCAAAACAACTAGAATTCTCTCACACACTGTGACACTGCTGGTAGGAGTGTAAAGTGGTACAACCACTGTGGAGAACTACTTTCTAGTCTCTTACAAAGCCAAATGCACACATATTTTATGACCCAAGCATTTCATTTCTGGGTACTTACCTTGAAGAAATGAAAAGTATATGTTCACAAAAAAGACTTGTCCAAGAATGTTCACAGCAGTTTTATTCATAATGGCAAAAATGTGGATGGGAGCCAAATGCCCATCAAAAGAAGTAGTAAACCTGGCAGCATATTCACAGAATGAACTATTAATCGACAATACCAAGGAATGAATCATAGATGCAAGTACGTTGATAGATCTCACAAACATTATGTTGAACAAGATCAGCTAGACACAAAAGAGTACATCCTTATGTGATTCTATTTAAATAAAGTTCAAGAACAGGCAAAACTAGTCGATGGTAATAGAAATCAGAATAGTGGTTCTCTCTGAGGGTAGAGGGGGACACAAAAAAGAGACAGGAGGAAAATCTCCTGGGAGGGATGCTTGGCGTTCCTTACATGGGTGCATATAGACGAGTTAAATTTTGGACTTAAGTTCAACTCATTTTATCTATTCATTAATTTATGTAATTATACCCCAATTAAAACAAAGATAAATATATATGGATTAAGAAATGTAAAACTAATTATCTTCCCAGTGCTCACGATTATAAAGGCTTACTACTCAAACGGTGAGCCACAAGCCTGTCAGCAACATCACCTGGGTGTTTTCCAGGAATGTAGAATCTGGCTTCAGACCCAACCTATTGAGTCAGAGTGTGAAATTTAATAAGAAACCCAGAAAATTCATATGCACATTAAAGTCTAAGAAGCATGGTTATGATAGCTTTGGTTTTTAGAGAAAACTACAACACCCATTCATCCCATTTCAGACAAAAGCAGTACCCTTCGAGGGAGTTGCCTCAACTCCATTTGTGTAGTACAAAGATTGCTGTTAATCAAAGTGCACCGTCAAGTCCTCATTCAGCCAAGAAGTGGACATGTCCCTTAGCGAGGCCAAGCAGATTCTCTGTCCTTAGACATTATCTCTAAATGGAAGAAAGCAAACATTGAAAAACAGCTGAAGTTCATTCATTCAATGATGGTAGCAGATGAGACAGGTGCATGGTTCTTGCTGCCACCATCTCTTCACTCTTAGATTTGTCTGTGTTAGGAGCCTGGTTCTCTATTCCTGCACTGAATTCTGCGAGTCACCTGTTATCCTTCCAATAAATTCACTTTTGGTTAGGTTAGCCAGGCTTGGATTATTTTGTTTGCAACCTAAATCCTTAACTGATATTCTGTATTGACTCATCCAAAATATTCAAGGATGCTAAATGTAGTTTTTCATTGCATGGCAAAAAGCTGATTGTGATTTTGTTTTCTGAAAGCTTTTTTTGTTTTCAGAAAACTGATTTAGGAGGCACTATAGGCCAGTACAAAAGATCACCTTAGAATCTTCCATGCCATCCCATTTTACCAATACAACCTCAAGAGACTTAAGTCCCCACAAGGTTCGACCTCTATAAAATAATTCCACTGGGTGTGCCATTCACATTTATTCTTCTCTGTTTTGCTATATACCTGGGAATGACAAATGGGGTAAAAATCAGTGGGAATCCTTAAAAATCAACCACCAAGAGGTAAAATTAATTTGAAATTCAGAGACTGGTAAGCTGTTGCCTGTGTGGCCTGCTCACACTTTAATATTTCTGAAATAAATATGACATCGTCAGATTTGGGGGAACAAAAATTAGTCTTCTGGTAGAAGATTGACTGCTGTGTAATAGAAGTCCACTTTCAATTTTTCTTATTTCATACAAAAACAAGAAGAATCTTTTTGTGTTAAAAGTGAAAGCTCATTAAACTTTTTTATTCAAGTAGATATTGACAATAGCAAAATAAACACTTTGCTTTCTTTTTTAATCTAAAGACATTAGTTGTGAAAAAAATCTATTGGTTTTTCATAAATACAGTTAATTTTAAAAGAAAGACTCAACTTTTGAACTTACTGATTTTCAATTAAATATGACTTCCTTGTTAACTTTGTGTAAAAAAAAAACCACACACCAAAAATGTTTATTTTCACTTTTAATGTCATCTACAAAAGGGGATTATTTTAAAAAATGTGAATGAACTTCTAAATTTGCATTGTGATAGACTATATAACAGAATTCCTCCTACTTGGTTTTCAAGGAATAAGTTTCAGGTTGGATGGGACTTGATCATCCATCATCACAGCCATGGTCACAAAATGAAAATAAATTATTTCTTTATTTTGGAGAGACTCTTTTCTAGGACCAGGGACCATAGTACAAAAATATTTTAAATGAAGGAGAAATGGATTACATGGCAGATACTACCAGTTGCCTGCCTAGAATCTATTCCTCTTTTCTTCCTTACTAATAGGACCTGGGTTTATTCTGGGAGGCAATGTACCAGTTAAAATACTCCATTTTCTGGCCTTCTTCACAACTACATATGCCAATAAGATATAAACAGAAGTCATTGGGTCGGGATTCCTGGAAAGTTCCTTAAAACACTGAGTATGGAGGTGGTTCACTGTTTTATCCTCAACCTGTATGTCTCCTTTTGTGTGGAATATACATGTGATGACTGGAGCACCTACTTGCCATCTTGAACAATGAGTCTTTGAGGCTGGAGGCCTTTTGAGGACTACCAAACCTTGCTAGAGATATGAGTCTCTACTCTATATGGGGCTCTTCTGTTAGGCATAGCTAAATCTAAATCTAATTCTAAATGATACAGGTGGGTATTGCT
The DNA here is from genome assembly GCF_000001405.40 of Homo sapiens. Lineage (NCBI taxonomy): Eukaryota > Metazoa > Chordata > Mammalia > Primates > Hominidae > Homo > Homo sapiens. The sequence continues at coordinate 66,992,024 of NC_000002.12, read as the reverse complement.
TTCTTTATGTTATATCTCCTGGTTTGTGGGTTTGTCCTTTAGAATCATAAAATGTTAGAGTTGAAAGAAAACTCAGAGAACATCTAGGCAAAATTCCTCATACTATAAGTAGGAAGAGGCCCAGAGAGTTTCAATGATTGCCTGAGACCCTGCCAGAGTTATTTATCAAGTATCAATTATAATCAGAATTTATCAAGTACACATTTTTATGCCTGTCAATGCAACACTTTCCAGGACCCAGGACATCTGTCTTCTTTCCAGGATACCCAATGTGCCTCTAAATGCATCACCTTTCCTTGTTGAAATCTATAAAGTAGTACAGATCTAATATATACTTTAATATTAAAAATATTAGGGAGAGAAGCTTGTCTTTTTAAGCTCTACCATGCCTCCATAATAAATATGGGCTGACAGAGAGTCAATGATCATATGGATTCCATTCCTATGTGTTTACGTGCACATGCACGCATGTGTGTCTGTTTCAAGGAGAGATAGTAGTAGTGTGAAAGCCATTTTTAGAGGAAGCAACTCAAACCGCTGACGGACAATGATGTCTGACAAGCATTTCTTTTATTGAATAATCCAGTTTACAAATGCATCCAGAAAGACTGAGGAGACTTGACTAGGTTGAAAATATGACAACCACAATCAAAGCCCAGATGGGAACTGTGCTGTGAATCATAAGGTTAGGACAGGGAGGTTTCTCCTTAATGAACTCAGCTAATTATAGTAGATCCCCCGGTCAAGATATACACTGTTCTCCTCTGTAGCAAAATCCTGTTCATGTAAAAAAGAAGAGACTTGAATTGCTCTAAGTACTTTGCAAGATCTGCTACTTGTGCTTGTTTGAAAGATTCGGAAGCACCATTGTCTGGGTGCAGACTGACAGCTGAAAGTAAATCAAGACAGCAGTTGGGGAAAAGGCACTTGAGTAGCCAACTTGCCTGTTTCATAGATCCTTACAGAGAATATAGGCATGCTGGGGCATTTTTGTCTTAGCAATTACTACTGAGATTTGCCATTGCAGTGATCCATGGGGATTCACTGAAAAGGTTAATAGCATCTATCAGATTTACAGGGTACAACAAGGAAGATGGCACATTCCCCCAGTGTAAGGTGTAATGTCACCTGTGTGGGCTGAGCAGTCCACATTCATTACTATTCATTGTCCAAATGGCCTGGGTTTTAACCAGTCTTGGAATGTAATCTGTCAACAGTTGAGCATTCATCGCATGAGAGGTAGCAGGAGAGAATAGAAGAGAGAAGACAACAGAACTGGCATATTGTGCTATCAGCTGATGGACCTTCTGCAAAAGTTAAGACTAATCAATGCCTGCAGTGAAAAGTTGAGACAGTGTAAGACCAAGGTGAAAGTAAATATACAGACCTTGTAGTGCAACTCTTAAAAATAACTTCATTAACACACCCACAGGCATGCTACCAAAGCTCAGCGTAAAGCTGTTGTTTCTCATCCACTCATTCTTACACAGAGTTTTCAAAAAGCTGTTCAGATTTGTGTAAATATGTGACTGTAATTGGCTTTCTGATTTCACAGCTTATCAAAGGCATAAAGGAGGGCTCACCGACATTTCAAAGACAATAACCACATTTGATGTGATGGTCTATGATTCTCCCCAATGTTTTTAACCCGCTATTGGAGAAACAGATGGTTAGATTTTCTAGGAAGCTTAAAACAGAAGCTGAGCTAATACAAAACTGCTCAGCTATCAGATGGGGCAAATCCATTCTGTTGCCTTTTTTTATTTTATTTTTAAATCACAACCCATCAGAAGAAGGATTTAGCTTCACAAAAAGCTATTTACCAGGAAGCTTTCTGCAGAAGAGAAGGACATGCTTTGTTAAACCAGATGCATTTTATTTTTCCTGGAACCAAGATTTATGAAAGCAGTATGCTCATATTTCTCCATATACAGTAATTGGAACTCATTATGCTAATTGTATTTCCATTATCACTAATTAACAATCAGAGTGACCTGGCCCACAGTCTAATTTGTCTTTAATCTGTTTTTGTATAGGGAGTTTTACCCTGTAATTTCAAGGTGATAATTCTATTTAGTGCAACTTTATGAATTACAGAAGGTAACATTTTTGATACCCCATACTATCCCTTTGTAACTGTTTGGGATGAAATGGGGAAGCAAATGTATATACCTACATGTGCCCTCTCACTGATGAGCTAGATACTTAACCCATGACATCATAAGTGCATCCTTCATGATTCTTGCCCAGATTGAACTTCCAGTAAAAGAAAGACACAGTTGTCCATACTCAAACTCCAGCTTTCAATTTAAAATATGTAATACTTAGTATAAGAAGTTAGTATTTTCTGTCATCAAGAAGCAAAATGGGTGTTTCAAATATCTTCTAGTGATTAGTTAAAAACTTACAAATACTTCCATGTGACAAATCTCTTGTAAAATGGCAAAGGACAGGTTTGAATCATGAAGCAACTCCCTTCTCATAAAATGAGATATCCAAGGGAGAGAGAAGACACAGCTTGATATTCCCTCTCAGAGGATATGTTTGTTATTTTTTGGGAAAATGTATAGCAGCAGGATGGTAGAGGGGGAAGAAGCTGGATTTTCAGCCCAAGCTTTTGAGTTAAGTCCCATTCCAATGCTTAATCAAGAACACCACCCTTTCTGAACTTTCGCTCCTTCAGCTTTAAGACTGAGATAATATATTTGAGAGAAATGTTCAAGGCGGCAAAGAGCAATGGTTAAGAGTAAAGGCTTGGAAATCAGACTGACTTTTAAAATTTGGACTCCACCACATATTAGCTGATAGTCTTAAGGAAAGCCTCAGTTTCCTTATACGTATATTTTAAATGGGCATAAAACATAGTTCCTTCTCACAGAATTCTTTCGAGATCAAACTAAATAAAGACTAATGTATATAAGAGTTTTGCAAAGCTCCTGGCCCATGGTAAGCCTATAACAAAGGCTGGTTCTGATGTCTGGGAAGAAGTCACGTGCAAGTGCTTAGTAAACAGGAAGAACAGGGGTGTGACAATCGCTAAGCGCTAAGGTATTTTGTTTCATCCTGCGGATTGAAAATGAACATCGTGAACCTTCGCAATTGTGAAGAAAATACTTCTATTGATAAGGACAGAGAATACTATTGAGAGAGAGAGGGATTAAAGGAGACAGAGTACTATGAAAACTGCACATAAGAAATCCATTTTAGGCCAGGTGCGATGGCTCACACCTGTAAGCCCAGCACTTCGGGAGGCCGAGGCAGGCAGATCACCTAAGGCCAGGAGTTCAAGATCAGTCTGCCTAACATGGCAAAACCCTGTCTCTACTGAAAATACAAAAATTAGCCAGGCGTGGTGGCAGGCGCCTGTAATCCTAGCTACTTGGGAGGCTGAGGCAGGAGAATTGCTTGAACCGGGGAGGTGGAGGCTGCAGTGAGCTGATATTGTGCCACTGCACTCCAGCCTGGGCAACAAGAGTGAAACTCCGTCTCAAAAAAAAAAAAAAAAGAGAGAAATGAAATTGAGAGACTATGCCTCGGCTTATCCTAAAAAACCTTGGAAATTTCTGAGGGCAAGCATCTGATACATTTTCTCATACACTGGCTTCTAATCTGAGTAAGCAATGCCCCAAATGGCACCTGATCTGGTAGGTTTCATTAGATCTAGCCTCTTAGCCTGATTGGCTTGGTTTTCCTTTATAAAGTCAGCAACGATGAGTTCTTTGGAAAAAAAAAAAAAGAAGAAGCCCCTCTGTAATATCCTACCCCACTGCTACCCAGCCGTCTGCCAACACTTTAGAACCAGTTGGATCACCACACCTTTTCTACCGCACTAGAAAAAGAGTTCTCATGTTTTCAGGGAGCCTAGGTTCTTAGTTTGGCCTCCTATGCCATGACAGGGAGATTTTTCTGAAGCTCCCAGGGTCTCAAACAATTTTAGCTCTATAGCATACCCTGGTTTCACAGGCACACACACAAAAAAGTGATTTGCTTTTCCTTGTCCATGGCATAAATCATGAGATATCACGTAATCAACGAAATAATCTTAATCAATGCTTCACCGTCTGGCTTTCCATAACAATTCTAACTCCCCGTTGATGTTTTCCATCTTCCCTTCTGTTAGACCAGATGGTGCATGTTCTAGCCTCTTTATTATCTTTTTCTGACCATAGTACTCTGTCCAAAGATTGTTGTAAGAAACCTCTTGTGCTGTCAGCAGCAGTGGCTCTGTTCTGCCTGTGATACATCAGGATAATTCAGGCAGCCTTTGCTAATGACTCCCCATTTCTAAATTCAAGCTTTTTTCCAAAGTCACTTTCTGACTAGTCCATAATTGTTTGATAACACAACCACTTTGATCTTCACGTATCCATTGTAAGCTTTCTTTTCCAGGTAGCAGCAAAGTCCAGTGGGAGTACTTCCCAGCTGGCATGATGCTTTCTCACTAGAAGAGTTTGCAATCAGCATCCACCCAAAATCACAAATGTCTTCTTTCTTATTAAGAAAGGAAAAAGAGTCATTATACCTCCATGCTGAAAAAGTTAGACCAGTAGATTTTTCTCACATACATCACAGTTGAATTATATTAATCTTCCTAGACAACTATTTTCCATTTGTTTTTATGTATAAGCTATAATGCATATGAAAAAAAAACCCTTGAAATAACTGACATATCTGAATATCAGTGGCACAGTGGCTCAAAAAGAAGATGATGGTGAGTCAATTAAATCTGTGGATGATTTTAAATATTAATAGCAACAATCAAACCTATACTTTTCCTGCTCTGTGTGTATATTTGTGTATGTGTTTAAAACTATCAGCACAAAATTAATTCCCAGATAGCAATATCCTCTCTCTAGAAGTCATTTTAAAAATGATATCCCCAAACAAGCTGTTTTTCTGGAGTTTTTGCTGATCTCCTCAAAACATAAATTCACATAATACAATGGGTAGGAAATATAATTGATATATTAAGTTGAAAGAAAACATCGGTATCTGAAGTCCAAAGAATACACATCAGTCACCAAGTCGATAGATATGCTCACTTGCCATCATTTTTCTGTGGTATCTGACAGAACTGAATATCACAGTGTGGAAAGATTTTATCAGAAAAGTTTTTCAATTTGTTCTTTAGGAAGATAGATCTGCAAATATTCCCTTTATTCCTAATGATTATAGAATGTAAATCTTGTTATAACCCTATTTCATGTACATTTTATCTCAGGATAAGGTAGATTTCCTTTTAGGCAATTTCTTTTTTGTTTGTTTGTTTTTCTCTGACCAGCAAGCACAATATATGCTTGGTCCTTGGGTTAAGATGAAGCCCAAAAATTCAAACTTTGCATGCTGTGACCATCTTACCATAGGGACATATTAGCTGTATTGTCTTACCCAAACAGTGTCTGTCACATTTCCAATCTGACTACATGTAAAGAATTTCCTGTAGTTCCCATAATCAGTATTTGAATCTTAAAGCATCTTCCAAACCACACACACACACACACACACACACACACACACACACAAGGTATAGTCACCAGGCTATGGTCGAAGCTTCTCATTTTCTACTTATCCACATGACCTTAACTTATTTACCTAAGGAAAAATAGCAACCAGGATTGGGTTTTTTTTTTCCTCTCTAGAAATTTAGGACAATACTATAGAATGTAATTTTATACCAAGCACTGTATCAATAGAGGTTAATGTGATTAAACATCTTTCCTAAGCCTTAGTGAAAACTTTACATGATTCTTACTTTACTGGTGAGGTTTCTAGGATTTGGGACATTTTTAGCTCCTTCTTTTCTGTTCAAGAGGAGAAATGGAAATGTTTCATTGTGCAATTGATTATATTCTTGTTCTCCAAGTGCATGCTGCCTGATGATTTGCATGTGGGGGCAGCCAGAAGGTCTCTGAAACATTTCCCTATAAAACCGTTTTGTTGATAAGCTTTCCCATAAGCATGGCTGAGGAAAATGGGTCAGATTATATTTCTGAAGCTGTTTAAAGAAACATCTTCCAAATTGAGCAATATACTCTAGGCTTTCATAAAGCATCTGAAGTGTTCAAGTTTTCCTCAAGTCAGGCCTGAGAAAAATCCCAAATTTCTCCCCTTTCTCCTGCTCTTCCCAATACCTGAACATGGCCTTCATCCTGCGCAAACTTTATTATCTCACCTAATTACAATAGGTGCTCTTTCAAGGACGGGGGCATGGTTATTGTCCTTCTTTATTTTCTACATATCACAAAGTGTTATTAGATATAATCTCTCCATTTTTATTTCAAGCAGAACAAAATCATTATTAATTAATTTGCAAAGACTTCTAAAGGTTTTTTAGACATGGTCTCCAGGTTGTTTTTATCATTCCACATCTTTTACACTTTTCATGATTTCATTGCTACTTCGAATAGAAAGCAAAGCTGAATTGAGAAATTTAGCTGGAATCTCTATTGCTGCAAATTGTGCAGAGTCCTAATGTTCTGTTTAATATATTCCTTTGGAATCTTGTTTCTTGTGAGGATTTTATTCCCTCTTGCCATACTTGCTGCCTGTGAAAACTGAGCTTCCAAATTCAGAAGTAGGGTGGGTGTTACGTTCCTCAATAGGAATCTCATGGAATGGTGTGTGACGTGATTCTGACAAGGATGGTTGATTTCAACTTCATTCAAAATTAGTTAATGCTAACTTATTTGTGCCTAGTGAACATAGGTGTTCATTTCATTTTTTTTCATTCATTCATGCATTTACTAATTTAATATTTATGAAATAAGTCTCTATGTGATAATCCTTTTGTAGGCTCTTGGGATACAGGATAATTAAGATATAGTTACTGGCCCCAAGAAACACATAGTTTAGATGAAAAGACCACACCTAAATGACTAAACATAAGTTTATGAGAGCAGGGATTTTTCAGTCTTAATAAACAGCTGTCATAGTACCTAGAAGTGCCTGGTACATCAAAGGCCCTCAGTGAATATTTGTTGAATAAACCAATGACTAATATGACATAATGATGGCAGAGGCTTAGTCTATCTTTTCACTGTTACATCCCCAACACCTAGAACAATGCCTAGTTTGTACAAGGAATTCAATTGTACAAGGAATTCAATAAATATTTAGCACTAGCTATGGGACTGGCATGTGATTGGTATGATGATGATGATGATGATAACAATGATAATAAAGAAAACATTAACACTTACTATGTGTCAGTACTTGCACCACCTCTCAAAAAATTATTTAATCTTCGTAACCGTCCTATGAGATTGAAACTGTTACTATTCCCATTTTCAGGTGAGAAAAAGTTAGGTAAGCCATGCATCTAAGGCACACAGCTAGAATTACGGAGCTGAGATTTGAAAGTAAATGATCTGCTTCAACAACACACCCTCTTCAACACTTTGCTACATGCTCAATGCATGTCTGTTCAATTGACTTATCTTCAACTACAGCCAGGCTTTTGAGAGTCAAGAATAACAGGTTAACTGGTCTGAATGTTATTCTCTTGTTTTGTTTTTTTTTTTTTGACAAATCTCCTCAAAACATAAATTCACATAATACAATGAGTAGGAAATATGATGGATATATTAAGTTGAAAGAAAACATTGGTAGCTAAAGTCCAAAGAATACGCATCAGTCACCAAGTGGATAGATATGCAACTTGCCACCATGGACTATGTTACTCATATTTTTCTAGCACTTCACTGCTTGAACATATAGTACTCCATGGAATCCTCACTTACTGAACGTAGTTTTTGAGAAATATTTTAGAAGGGTAACTCTACCTATGGTTTGTAAAAGACGTCAAAGGAGGAAAAAACTAACACCAAGAGAGCAAGAAAGATTCCTGAGGAAAAGTCTGAATAATGGGGACTTCTCTGAACCAAGAAGATGTTTGTAGGAGTAGAGCTAATGTGCTCAATAATATGTAGAGATTGCCTAGCTATGGCCAGTAAAGGAGAAAAAGATCATGTCAGTGGTTGAAGCACTACTAAGGGACCGGAGGTACTATTTACTGAAAATTTTAAAAAGTATCCCACCACATAGTTTGGCAAACTACAGTCCATGGACCTGATCTGGTCGACCACTTATCTTTATAAACAAAGTTACACGGAAACACAATCACATCCATTGGCTTACATATAGTCTATGGCTTCTGTCCTGTTACAGCAGCATTGTTCAGTAGTTGCAATAGAGACAATATGACCCACAAGCCTCCAATGCTTTCCCTGCTTACTATCTTAGATTCCATGTGCATGTCCTTTATCCACTTTTTTTTTTTTTTTTTTGAAACAGAGCCTAGTTCTGTTGCCTAGGCTGGAGTGCAGTGATAGGATCTTGGCTGACTGCAACCTCCGCCTCCCAGATTCAAGCGATTCTCCAGCCTCAGCATTCCGAGTAGCTGGGATTACAGGTGCCCACCACACACACCCAGCTAATTTTTGTATTTTTAGTAGAGATGGGGTTTCATCATGTTGGTCAGGCTGGTCTCAAACTCTGAATCTCAAGTGACCTGCCGGCCTCGGCCTCCTAAAGTGCTGGGGTTACAGGCATGAGCCACTATGCCTCTAGTGGCAGCAAGAGCCCTCTATCTGTTCTTGAAAGGGTGCAAGGATATTTCAAAATGTTCAATTAATTAATCGACGTTGCTGAACTCTGAAACTGAGATAGACTTGCTTTCAAAACAAATCCCCTGATAAATAAATTATGCATATAGTAACCTCACCTAGGCAGAGTCCCAAGGCACCCACCTATAATTGAATCAATTTAGTTCACTGCTACTCAAAAATATTTATTTAACACTTTTCTCATGGCTAAATGGGCAGTGATAAAATGAGTAAAGGCAAAGGTGATAGTTCGGTGGATACAATAAAGTAGTAGTTATAACCTCACTGAGATGTTAAAGTGGTCAGACACAAGGAATTCCACCAAATACAGCCCATTTTTCTTCTCCTACAATAACTTCAGGTTTCTTCTTTTCTTTCCTCTTTACCTACCCCTTAAGGCCACCTTTAAGTGCTGCTTTCTCTGAATGAAGTGGAGTGAAAACAGCACTTCTGTGGGAAGCCAGTGACACATACTGGCTCTCTTTGGTCACTTCCTGGATGATATTACTTGCTAAACCATTTAGTTTTTTTGACATTCCTTGTTTTTTCTCTTAAGTGGTGATAATTTCCTACAAGTTGAATGGAAGGAGGAGTCCTACTTTTCTCAGAGATCATTTCCAGGTCTAAGAGCTCTCTTTCTAAGGTTTTGGCTTCATTTGGACACCTCACAGCTCTGACTCCTTCTGAAAAGTTACATGTACATTCATACCTTATGTAGTAGCTGGATGTGTCCCCCACAAGATATGTCCACCTGGAACCTCAGAATGTAACCTTATTTGAAATGAGGGTCTTTCTGGATATAATAAAACTCTAGATTAGCATGGGCCCTAAACCCAAGAATAGGTGTCCAGATAGGAGACAGAAAAGAAGACACAGGGAAGAGGCCAGGTAGAGATGGAGCCAGAGACTATTGTTATGTCTACAAGTCAAAGAGCACTAAGGACTGCTGATAGCCACTAGAAGCTGGTAGACGGGCATGGCACAGATTCTCCCTCAGAGCCTCCATAAAGGTACCCACCTGTCCAACACTTCGATTTTTTTTTTTTTTTTTTTTACTTCTGGACTTCAGAACTGTGAAAGAATAAATTGTTGTTTCAAGCCACCAAATTTATGGTAATTTGTTATAGCAGCCCTAGGTAATCAATACACTTTATTATATAATTTGTCTTCTAATTCTCGATGCTCCTAAAAATTGGGATCATTGCTATGTGCCATACTTTCTTTCTGTCTTAGATTGCTACGATGTTTTTGGAAATTTTACAATGGGTTCTTTGTTAAGTAACAAGTCACAGATCTTGAGAAAACACAATCACCCTCCCCTCAACTTTTTAGAATTTAATGTGAGTTCTGCATCTGCCAGAAAATACATTTTTTAAGCTGAAAATAATTTTTTGAAAAATATATCCCAAAGCTTCTATTAGAAACTTTTAGAGATATATGCCAAAAAAAAACGAGCTGCAGACAAAGATATAACTGTTTTTAAAAATCCTATTCTAGCATATTAAACACACACTTACTTTCAATATAGACAATTAATGCCATCTGCTTTACTTTTGGACTCTAAAACCACATGATTTGTGTGTTCAGATAATTTTCCCCCTTGGAATTAGGGTTTTAAAATAAGGTGTCTTCCCTTTCAAAAAGTAGCTGAATGAATCACTGGCTTTATTTTGGAAATCAAATGTCTAGCATTTATGAATTTTAACTCACATTTATTAGTAAAATTTCATCAATTACGTAATGGATTGCTAAAATGTCACTCTTATGCTTCACTCTCAAAGTAACTACATGCTATATGCTTAGGAAAATATCATATAATTATAAAGTGATTCTGGGTTCTAGTAGATTACTCAGTAATTATACTTAATACTGTAGTTCCAATAGTGATTACTATGAAAGCTCATTACAAAAAGCAGAAACAGTCACATATGTATTCTTAATTATATCTGCCACAATAGAAGTTAATGTTAATTGAAGTGATTTATAGTTAGTATGGTAACTCAATTAAAAATATGTACTTGTAGTGATAACCAACCTTTGAAAGAACAAAGTGTCAGATCAGTACCAGAAAACTTAAAGGAGAGTCACCTTGGCCTAATTCTGTTTGGTTTTATTTACTTGGGAAATGCTTCTAACATTCTCGTTCTATGAGCTTATTGTTCTTATCTTCCCAGCATCAAGGACAGTACTTGGCATCTGGAAGTACAGTACCTTGTGTGTACTAAATAAATGAATAAATAACTTGAAATATTTATTATAATCCATACACAATTTGATGATGAGATCCGTCTGAAATTATTCATAAGTGGATTGTAAGATTCTAAGTTGGTGCTTTTAATATTTTGGGGTCATTGGCCCCCGTGGAACTATGGTATGAAAGCTCTTGCTCTTCCTTAGTAAAATGTGTGTAAACACAAAGTTTTGCAAATGCTTTCTGGAGGTTCTAGGACCCCCAGAAGCTCATTATTGAACTCAAGTTAGTATTAAATCACAGTGACTCTGGAGAAAAGAAGCATTTTGTGAGCCTTACTATGTACTCTCAGGTGGGTGATGTTAGGGACTTTCCCGAAAGAACCGGTAGTATACTGTTTTCTTAGTTTTTCCTTTCTCTGTCATTTTAAAAAGGTATATAGGCCGGGTGTGGTGGCTCATGCCTGTAATCCTAGCGCTTTGGGAGGCCGAGGAGGGCAGATCACCTGAGGTCAGGAGTTCGAGACCAGCCTGGCCAACATGGTGAAACCCCATCTCTACTAAAAACACAAAAATTAGCCAGGCCCGGTGGTGGGAGCCTGTAATCCCAGCTACTCCAGAGGCTGAGGCAGGAGAATCCCTTGAGCCCGGGAGGCAGAGATTGCAATTGGCCGAGATCGCACCACTGTACTCCAGCCTGGGCAAAAAGAGCGAAACTCCATTTCCAAAAAAAAAAAAAAGTATGTAGAAAATTAAATCATTATTTCACTCATAACTAATTTTGCTTCACAAACACTTTTAAATTGTCCAATGTGGGAAATTATACAAAGTCTATTCCTTTGATAGGTGGCAACAAATAGCATACATTTTCACACATAAATATACAACTCGTTGAAAAGACAAGTGTGAGACATAAAATTTCTAGTTCACAGGAGATATTTGGCTCTATTGCTGAAATGTTGCTCATAACACATTCCTAAATGCAGATATTTGTAAGATGTCATTGTGGTCAGCTGTCATATAAAATGATGACTGTTTGCCCAGTTCCACGGTATACAGAATCCTGGGTCAAGAATTGGGTGGACACAGGAAGTGTCAGACAGAGGCTCCGCCCTTGAAGAGCTCATTATCGCACCAAAGAAACAGTAACAATGCTCAGCAAATATGATGGGACAATATCAAAGTGCACAGTCAGAAATTCTCCTGGGATCCAGAGGACAGGCATAATGAAGGTGGGAGTAGTGGATAAACTTCAGAGTCAAGGTGGCAAACAAATACAATCTACTTTTTATTTCCCAACTTTGTTTCAATGTAGACGTAAGAATGTGAATATTGACCAGAATGAAATAAATCAGAAGGTCTGATTGAGATCTCAGTTTAAAAGCCTGAAAGTCTAAGAGACTATGATATCCATTTAGGAGACCTGAACATCTTACATATTTTGGAACTTTTCTGGGGACCAAAGTGATCCAGACCCAGGTGATACCACCTAGAACTTTTTCATCATACCTAGAAAATCGGTTCTGAGAAGGAAAGAGAAGTGTGTTCCCATTGACAAGCGTGCTGCTTAAGATGTCTTTTCATCCCAAAGTAGAAGATTTTGTAAAACCCTTCAGCTACAAAACCGCAAAGCATTAGAGAAAATAATTAATGTAAGCAAATTATGATAAAAGTATTTCCAGCCATCTCTTGACCTAGTGGTAAATTATAAGTCTCCATGCTTAAATATAAAATCCAAAGGTACTTTCTTGGCAATTGACAATGGGAGAGATTTACGCATTACGTTTATAGATGCTTAAAATTGAAATAGTAAACCAAGTGCAAACACACTTCTCTTTTTTTAAGTTTTGGGATACATGTGCAGAATGTGCAGGTTTGTTACATAGGTATGGATGTGCCATGGTGGTTTGCTGCACCTATCAACCCATTATCTAGGTTTTAGGCCCCACATGCATCATTTTTTCGTCCTAATGTTCTCCCTCTCCTTACCCACCCCCCCCCCGCCCCGACAGGCCCTGGTGTGTGTTGTTCCCCTCCCTGTGTCCATATGTTCTCATTGTTCAGCTCCCACTTATGAGTGAGAACATGCGGTATTTGGTTTTCTGTTCCTGTGTTAGTTTGCTGATAATGATGGCTTCCAGCTTCATCCATGTCCCTGCAAAGGACATGATCTCATTCCTTTTTTGGTTACATAGTATTCCATGGTGTATATGTGCCACATTTTCTTTATTGAGTCTATCACTTACGGATATTTGGGTTGGTTCCAAGTCTTTGCTATTGTAAATAGTGCTGCAGTAAACATACATGTACATGTGTCTTTATAGCAGAATGATTTACAATCCTTTGGGTATATACCCAGTAATGGGACTGCTGGGTCAAACGGTATTTCTGGTTCTAGATCCTTGAGGAATTGCCACACTGTCTTTCACAATGGTTGAACTAATTTACACTCCCACCAACAGTGTAAAGGTGTTCCTATTTCTCCACATCCTCTCTAGCATCTGTTGTTTCCTGACTTTTTCATAATTGCCATTCTAACTGGCATGAGATGGTATCTCATTGTGGTTTTGATTTGTACTTCTCTAATGACCAGTGATGATGAGCTTTTTTTCATGTGTTTGTTTGCCACATAAATGTTTTCTTTTGAGAAGTGTCTGTTCATATCCTTCACACACTTTTTGATTGGGTTGTTTTTTTCTTGTAAATTTAAGTTCCTTGTAGATTCTGGATATTAGCCCTTTGTCAGATGGGTAGATTGCAAACATTTTCTCCTATTCTGTAGGTTGCCTGTTCACTCTGATGGTAGTTTCTTTTGCCTTGCAGAAGCTCTTTAGTTTAATTAGGTCCCATTTGTCAATTTTGGCTTTTGTTGCCATTGCTTTTGGAGTTTTAGTCACAAAGTCTTTGCCCATGCCTATGTCCTAAATCATATTGCCTAGTTTTTCTTCTAGGGTTTTTATGGTTTCGGGTTTTACATTTAAGCCTTTAATGCATCTTGAGTTAAGTTTTGTATAAGGACACACTTCTTTTTCTTCTATTTTCTATTTTCATTTTGGAAATCTGAAGGCTGTTTTTTCTGCTCTCATTCTAGTTTCATATTCTGATATACTCAGCATTCCCAAGGCTTGAAAAACATATGAAAATTGTTCAAATGTTAAAAATTTTTTAAAGTAACATATCTCTATTCAGGGATAAAAGTCACCCAGTAGAAGCAACCCTTCATTTGCTCCTCCACCAAGAGACTGTCAATGTCTTCTCCAAGGAATATTTCCCTGCCCCTGAGATGTGGCACACTGAAAAGAATATAGAAAAAACATGCAAGTAGTTCCTCCCATTCTTCTGGGAAGAAACATGATTTTTGTTTTATGGTGAGTCTGTGATGGACAGGGAGTATTTTCTAAAATTGACCCAAGGCTGGGCACAGTGCCCCACACCTGTAATCCCAGCACTTTAGGCAGCCAAAACAGAAGGATCACTTGAGCCCAGGAGTTCAAGACCAGCCTGGGCAACACAGGGAGACCGCATCTCTAAAAAATAAAAAATAAAAATAAAACTGACCCAGGGAGCTACACCTGATTTCCAGGTGGATTAAAAAAAAAAAAAAAAAGGTTCTTTCTGATTTTAGGTTCCAAAACATTGTCAAGTTAAAATGGATGTTTCATTAAAAAAAATTCTCATTCCCCTTTGACCACTGATTCAATATCTATGACTAAAACTACTTACACAGTGATAGGCGCTCCCTAAATTTAATTGTTCAATAAATACTAACTAGCACTGAGTTGGTGTCAAGCATTGTTCTTGGCACTGGAGGTAGAGCCAGAGGCAGAGTCTGAGGAAGGCAAGACCACCTGAATGATGAGGCTAGCCCAGCAGCACTCCCTGAAAAACCAATGATTTTGCTTTTCAAGGTCAAAGAAGACAAGGTGTTGGGGCACTTTTGTCTTCCATAACAATTTTCATACACGTGGAAGTCTGTAGCTTGTTTTAACAAGAAGCCTCAGAAACAATGGCTTCATTGAATGTCTTCCTCTGAGAAAGTCTACACCAATCTCTACATTACGAATTCTTTCTGACTTGGTTGCTTAAGTATTCTTTAGTTTAACTTTAAATAGGTAATACTTTCACATGGTTCAAGTTTTTTTTAAGTACTTAATAAAATGCATTCCTTCAATTCATTCTACCCAATGCCTCCCTACTCACCCAAAGAATACTCCTTCTCTTTCAAGGTATAATGGTATAACCACTGTTATTGTATATCTTTTAGAGTTTCTTGATTCATACACAAATGAATGAAAATATATTTGTCATTTTTCTATCTCCTTTTTTTTTTTTACAAAAAAAAGCATTCATACATACTATTCTGTTTTCACTTAACATTAAATCTCAGATTCATTTTATGCTGGCACATAGAGAATTACTTCATTCTTTTTTGAAGCTGTATAGTATGTCATTATACGAATGTACCATAAATAATATTCGTCCAGCCCCAGTGGACTTTCAGGATTTTTCTAGTCTTTTACTATTCAAAACACCACTGAAATGAATAAACTTGTACGTATGTCATTTCTTATGTATGTAGTGTATCTGTAAGATAGATTACTGCAAATGAAATTGTTAGTGAGTATATTCATTTGTAATTTTGATGGATATTGATAAATTATCCTTCAGAGTTATACCAGTTTATATACATATCATTTTGAATGCCTATTTCCATACAGCCTTACCAAAGAGTATGTTGTCAAACTTTTAGATTTTTGTCATTCTGGTGGGTAACAATGTTACAATAGGGTCATTTTCAATGTACCTTTCTTTCTTTTTATAAAAGAAGTTAAACATCTCTTCATATGCTTGAACGAGATATTTTAATGAACTCTTTGTCTTACTTTTGATAAACCTTTCTTTTCCCATTTTCCTATTGGATGTGTGAACATTCTCTTAATTTCTAGGAGTCCTTAAAGTTGAGAAAATTAGCCTTTAGTTTGTCATGAGTTGCAGATTTTTCCAACTTTGTCATTTGTTTTTCAATTTTGTTTTTAAAAATTTTTTGTCTTTTAAAAAAATTTAATTTAGTATAGTTTTACTTTTCCAAAAAATTCTGTGAATGAATTCCCATATACCCCACACTTGATTTCCCTATTATTAACATCTTATGTTAGTATGGCCCATTATTATTATTATTATTATTAACTGAAGTTCATACTTTATGCTGATTTGTTTGGCTAAAACTTTTTATTGACATGAAACTTGTGTAACATAAAATTTACTATTTTATTTTATACTATTCTAATAATTATGATTACACTTTTGTACATTAACATCTCAGTGATTATGTTAACTGAAATAAGCAATGCAATATTTTTCTTTATATAAAATGATATATTTACTATTTACAAAGCACTTACTCAGTGTTCTACATACATGGCCAACTGAATCTTTCAATGATCCTTCACAGTAGATATTTCATACTATTTTAAAATGTATAATTCAGTGGAACTTATCCAGTGTTGTACAACTACCACCTCTGTCTAGTCCTAACACACTATCACCAACCAAAAACAAACCTCATACCCATTATTCAGTCACTCCCTATTCCCTTGTCTTTTCAGACACCGGCATCCACCAATCTGATTTTTGTCTCTGTGGATTTCCCTATTCTAGATGTTTCATATATACGGAATTCTACAAAATGTGATCTTTGATTCTGGATTCTTGTATTTGGTGTAATGTTTTTGAGATTTATCTATGTGGCAGAATGTGTCAGTACTCAGTACTTTTTTCCTTTTTCTGGCTAATATTCTATTGTATGTATTACCATATTTTGTTTTTCCATCATCCATTGATGGACATTTGTTTAAATTTTTGAAGAACTACCAAACTGTTTTCCACGGCGGCTGCACCATTTTATATTTCCACCACCAACATTTCAAATTCTCCACACCTTCACCAACACTTGTTATATACTGTTGTTGATTTTTTTCTAGTAGTATCTCATGGTTTTGAGTCCCTGATGACTAATGATGTTAAGCATCTTTTCACATCCTTGTTTGCTATTTGTACTGTATATCTTTTTTGGAGAAATATTTATTCAAATACTTTGACTACTTTTTTGTTGGGTTATTTGTCTTTTTGTTGTTGAGCTGTAGGAGTTTTTTTTTTGTTTGTTTCAGATACTAGATTCTTATCATATACATGATTTACAAATATTTTCTCTCATCCTGTAGGTTGTCTTTTAACTTTCTTAATGTTGTATTTGAAGCAAAAATATATATATATTTTCCCTATGTTTTCTTCTAGTTTTGGTTCTTATGTTTTGGTAATTGATCAATTTTGAGTTAAATTTTTATCTGATGTAAGGTAGGGGTCCAACTTCATTCTTTCACATATAGATATCCAGTTGATCCAGCACTATTTGCTTGAGACGATTCTTTCTGCATTGAGAAATTTTGGCTACTTTATCAAAAATTAATTGAAGTGGAGGGAACTCAATGGTACTGCCATAAAAACAGACACAGACCAATGGAACAGAATAGGAAACCCAGAAATTAATCTGTGTATCCACAGCCAACTGATTTTTGACAAAGACACCAAGAACACCAGGGAAAAGAGAGGCTCCTCAATAAATGGTGCTGAGAAAACTGAATATCCATATGCAGATGAAGGAAACTAGATCCCTCCCTCTCACCCTATACAGAAAATCAATTCACAATGGATTAAAGACCTAAATGTAGAACCTGAAACTATGAAACTATTAGAAGAAAATATACGGAAAGCACATCAGGACACTGGTCTGAGAAAAGATTTTATGAATAAGACCTAAAAGCATAAGCAATAAAAGTAAAAATAAACAAATGGAATTATATCAAACTAAAAAGCTTCTGCACAACAAAGGAAACAATCAACAGAATGAAAAAAAATTGGTAAATTATCTCAACAGACATTTAACAGAAGAAGACACATGAATGGCCAACAAATATATGAAAACATGCTCAACATCACTAAACATCAGGGAAATGCAAATCAATACCACAATGTGGTATCATCTAATCCCAATTAGGATATCTATTATCAAAAAGACAAAAAATAACAAATGCTGAAAAAGATGTAAAGAAAAGGGAACTCGTATGCATTGTTGGTGGGAATGTAAACTGGTATAGCCACTACGAAGAGGTTGTATTTTGGGAGGTTCCCCAAAATACACTACCATAGGATCCAGGAATTCCACTCCTGGGAATTTATACAAAGGAAAGGAAATCAATATATCAAAGTAACATCTGCACCCACATGTTTATTGCAGCACTATTCACAATAGTCAAGATATGAAATCAACCTATGTGTCCAACAACAGATAAATGGGTAAAAAAAAAAAAAACGGTGTATATTTATACAATGAAATATTATTCAGCCATTAAAAAATGAAATTCTGTCATTCATAGCAACATGGATGGAACTAGAGAACATTATGTTAAGTGATATAAGCGAAGAACAGAAAGTTAAAAACTGCATATTCTCACTCATGCGGAAACTAAAAAGAAGTCTATCTCATAGAGCTAAAAATAGACAATACTAGAGGCTGAGAAGGGCAAGGATAAATGAAAGTTAGGGAGACGTTTGTTAAAGGATACAAAATTACAGGTAGGTAGAAGAAATGTTTTAGTTATACTACAGTGGTAGGATGACTAAAGTTAACCATAATATAATAAACAGTTTAAGGAGCTAGAAGTAGGATCCTGAATGTTCCCAAGACAAGGAAATGATAAATGTTTGAGATGATGGATATGCTAATTACCCTGATTTGATCACTATACATCATATCAAAACATCACTATGTACCCCATAAATATAATTATTATATATCAATTTAAAAAATAAATTGGCCATAGATTTATGGATTTTTTTTCTGGACTCTCAATGATATCCAATTGGTTTTTCCATGAATAAACCAATAAGCTGGTTTTTCCATGAAAAAAACCAATAAGCTGGTTTTTCCATGAATAAAACCAATAAGCTGGTTTTTCCATGAATAAACCAATAAACTGGTTTTTCCATGAATAAACCAATAAATTGATTTAATTTAAAGCAATAAAATAAACCATGAATAAACCAATAAAAGGATACATGTTTATCCTTTTGCCAGTACCACACTGTTTTGATTACTGTAGTTTATAGAAAGTTTTGAAATTGATAACATATCTGTCCTCCAACATTGTTCTTTTTCAGTACTTTTTTGGTTATTTAGGGTCTCTTGTAATTTCAAACAAATTTGAGGACTGATGTTTTTCATTTCTTCAAATAACAGGCTATTGGAATTTTGATAGAGATTCCATTGAATCTGTAGATGGCTTTGAAGAATATTGCCATCTTAATAATACTGTGTTTCATTCTTGAACACAGGTTATCTTTCCATCTTTGGGTTTTAACTTCTTTCATCAATGTTTTGTAGTTTTTAGCATACAAGTCTTTCATTTCTAGGTATTTTATTGTTTTGCCATAAATCAATTTCTTAGTATATTATATAATCAAAACTATCAGTATCTTTTATACTTATAGATTTTGAGTTATAGTTACAAATTCCTCCTCTACTTTAAGATTGTGAAGGAATTTCTTCATGTTTCTATTTTGAACTTTTATGGCTTTATTATTATTTAAATCTTCAATTTCGAATTTATCTTGGTGTAAAATGTGAAGTATATGTCAAAATTATTTTTTTCATTTGGCTTTCCAATTGCTCTAACATCATCTATTGTATCGATCTCCTTTTCCTCATTGATTAAAGATGTCACTTTAACCATTTATTAAATTCCGTACATGTTTGCACTGTTTACTGGACTTTCCATTTAGCTCGTTTATTTTTCTGTTTATACCCCAGCACCACACTATTTTGATATTTGAGTCTTTATAATATGTTTTAACATCTGGAAGGGCTAATCTGTCCTCACACTTCTTTGTTCTCACAGTTTTCATTGTTATTTTTGTTTATTCTTTTTTCTTATAAACTTATAAAATGTCAGTTTGATTGGGATCACATTAAATTTAGAAATTAACTTAAAGAAATTTTACATCTTTATGGCCTGGAATCTTTCTATCCAAGAACATGCCATGCCTTTTTGTTTGTTTAAGTCTTTTATGAGGCTGTTAGTAATATTTAAAATGTTTCTTTATGTGGGAGTGAATCATTTATTGTTCTGTTTATTCCTTGGTATTTTATCTTATTCATTACTCTTATAAATGGGACATTTTCTTTCATTACATCTTCTAACAGGTTTTTGTTTGAAATCAGTCTAATTCATGAGAGCAGCAATAAGTGTTTATTCTCAGGAAAGGATTCATAAATAATTACTAACTCTTCTCACTTTGCCCACAAAGGCATATTCTAAATTATGATTTCCTAATACTAGTATAAATTCCACCTTTTATTATAATTTATGCTCTAGATTTGAATTAAGAAAGCCTTAAAAACTATAAATGAATGACATTGAAGTAATAATGTTTTATACTATCTTAGTATTATATATTATCTAAATGTAACATTAATGTATATATTTATGTACATATGAATATATATGTACAAAATATACATACATACATATATACTCAAACACATACAAAACCTATACATATATTTCTGGAGTGAAAATATCTTTGAATTGATGTTCCTTTAGTTTATTCTGATAAGCATATAATACGTCATCTCAATGTTACATTTGTAGAGCGAGGACTTCTTTGGAATAACTTTGAACCTTGAAACATGAGGACTTTCCTCAGCCATATATTTCAACACCAATTGTATTTTATTGGTAGATCAGCTTATTGTATAAACTAGATATTTCCTGACTCTCAAAGAAATGGCTGGTTTGTGTCATTCATCCCTGCAGTCCTCATGACAGATTTTGTTTATTCTCTTTCCAAGTAATGTCAGCTTCACTTTTTATTCTTCTTGAAGATAAGAGAAGACTCTCCTAAACAATGAGGAAATCGACAAAGTAATTGTTAGCATGTATATTTCAGAAAAGATTTGCTTGCCATTTTTGGCCTATTTCATTCAAAAAATTTGGAACTTAGAAATTCACTGGATATTTAACAAAGAGAGTTTTTATTCATTTGTATGCTTATTTATTTGTGTTCACTGAACCAGCTCAGAAACTGTAACATTTAACTTTACATGTATATGTATATGTATATATATACATATACACACATATATACATATACATATATACATATACATATATATACATATATACATATACATATATGTGTGTGTATATGAGTGTGTTCATGTATATATACACATACATATAAACTTAAATGTCATATATATACACACATACATATGTATCTTACTTTATATATATATATATAACTTTATGTATTATATATACACACACACATTTTTTTCTGGAAGATATAAGCAATTTAAAAATTAAACAGAATCACGTTTAATATAAATTGGCACACAATAGATATTTGATAAAAAGTGAATAAATGAATGAATGATTCAAGTTAACAATTCACTTTCAAAGTCAGTTTTCCATTTCTTAATTTTGGCTTTCTTACCAAAAGAAGGCGCCTTTCTTTACTGCTGCTAATAAAATCTGGAGGGATTACAGGCATGAGCCACCACACTCAGCCTTGAATTAGGCTGGGTGGTCATCAAAGAATGGCGAAGAAACTTTCATTGACCACAGGAATATTGCATGGCCCTAGATTTCCAAGCGCACAGGAAATGTCAAGCCCACCATCCATGTAGTCATATTGGGCGAATCTAGGCCAGTTCCTCTAGTGAAAAAGAGTATCATAAATGCCTAGTTCACATTTTGTCTCTGAGAAGGGGGCAAAGAGTTGAGGCAGTAGCGGAAATTTATTCTCGAAAATTCAGATCTAGTAGGGAAAAATCTGACTAATAGACAAGAGCACAATAGAGAAAATATATAATTGTTTTAATGGGTGGCCTTCTACCAACCCTAACTTCAACAATTATTCAGATATTATGAATCTTACTAAGACATTAAAAAATAGATCTACATTAGGCAATAATTTTCATGGTGGAGTTATAAATGAGAGACTTGAGATTTATGGTTTCTAAAACCCTGAATCATCCCTCCAAAATCCTGAGGTCAAGTATTAACCCACACCTATGGTACCTACAAGGCACCTGCACCAAGTACATAGCACACATTATCTCATTTAACCTCAAAACAACTCTATAAAATACTCCTTCTAATATCCTTATTTTATCAGTGAGGAAAGAGAGGCAAAGAAAGACTCAGACTTTGGCCACCAGTAAATGTTTGATCTGGGATTTGAACCTAGACCTCTGCTATATAGTCCAAGCTCTTTAGCCACTGAGCCTTTTTCTCCCCCCCCCTTTTTTTTTTTTAACTAAAACAAATTTGAGAACTTTTAAGCAAGATGAACAAAGAGGCAGATAAGGGAACTTTCACTTGAGTACAAGTTTTATTTTTCCTTTTTCTTTATTTTTGTTCTCACATTCAGCTGAAACTCTAAAGTCTCCCCCACCCACTCTCCCATTCAAAACCTTAATACCAATGCAACAAAACCATTTCATTACAACAACCTATAGACCCTGTAGGTCAATCTTCTTGCAGGCTAGCTCTAAATGTGCACACAATGATGTACTATGAAAGAGGAGATCAGCTTCCCTGGGGCAGCTGCATGGATGCTGCACATCAGGACCTGGAGGTCACCAGCAAGGTTGTCCCTGAAAAGCACAGATGACTGATGACCCAAATGCACAAGGGGCCCTGGAAACCTCTTTTATCTTAAGTCCCCCAGTGCGCCCCAGTCTTCCATTTCTTCCACACCTTGTTTTTCATTCTTCATGCCTATGGATTTACTCTTCTTCCTGGCTTTGATTAGCCTATCCCACAACCAACCTCCACTCTGCTTTCCTGTCCTCCCTAAGAGCCAAAAGCACTCTGACATGAGGGAAGCACTCCATCATTATGATGGGAAGTGTCAGGTGCACAAGATAAATGCAAATTTCATGGCACCACTGCCTCATTCAGCCAAGTTTTATGAGACTGAGAAAACTTGGAACCTTATGCTGTGGGGCCATTTGGTTGGCAGGGAGAAGAACAGACTTTATCCAGCACTGTCTGTTGGCAGCTCTGGTGCTAGATTTATACAGTGAGTTGGAGATGGCTTTGGCGATTGAGGCTGCTGCTTAGCCAGCTGGGGGCCTCTCAAGTGAGGGAAGAGTAATGGCGTGAATCCTGGGAGAGAGCGTTCCACCTAAGCACTCCCACTGGCATCTTCAGCTTCCTACTTCAGACTGGAGAGCTGGTCCCAATGAGACTGGCCTCACACATGGAGCAGTCTCCAAATTTCAAGCCACTCTTCTCTGGTGCACACCTTACTAATAAAACCTGGTTCCAGCAAAGCTGGAGCAAGAAAAAGATTTCTCTGGTGAGAAACTAGGTCTGTTTTGTTATTTGTTTTTGAGTTTGTATTTTTCTATTATAGAGGATGTTACTCTATCTGCTTCCAAATGTATTATCCAGAGGAGGCCTACACCTGGGAGAAGAAATTTCATACAGACTGTGGCAGAATGGCAAACAAAAAAACCAGCTAGGATTCTGGGGCCAGACTGCCCAGAGTTTGAATACAGCCTTCTTCCCTTACCAGCTCTGTGTGACCTCGGACACATTTCTAATCCTCTTTGCCTCTCAGTTCTCTCTGTTTAAAGTAAGCATAATAATAGCACTTATCTCATGATGTAGTTGTATAGATTGAATGCGTTAATAAGAAGCAAAAATGTAAAGCACTTAGAACAAGACATAGCCAATGGTGACTTAATACGCATTGAACTTTGGCTACTATTAGTTCAGCAAATGCACTTTCCCACTTCTCGCATGGTTTGGTTTTCTGCCTTCTAGGAGTCAATCTGAAGACCTGTGACCACAATGAGGAATTTCAAAGGGGATCTTCAGTACTGCCTGGATATTTTAAATGGACAACCAGATAGCACAGGAAGCAGCCCAGCTCCAGATTCTAGGCTCGCAGATGGTGATGCTGGAAAGGGGAAAAGAAACGTGAGTATCTCTGTAATCTTTGTTTGAGAATTGCAGGAATGTGCCATCTCCTCTCCACAGGGAGAAAAGACCTATGATGGAAGGTTAAGTATGTAATTATCTTTTCTAATGCTCTGATACACCACAGTATATAGGAAGATATGAGACCAAGATCAGTTCTTTAAAAGTGGAGTGAAATTCTTTGTGGAGAGCAGTTCAGATCTTGAAGACCTTGGCAATAATTCGCAAACAAGGAAACTGACATCTAAAATAAACATGTTCCTTGGCCTCACAGCCAGACGAAAGCAGAGTCAAGATTAGAACCCCAGTTCTAAGCTCTTATTTCAATGTTCCTGTATTGCAGCTCTCTAGGGAGCCCAGCCTTCCAGCAGGGTAGCTCCTTTTGAAATGATGTTCTTTTCCTCACCAAAATCCTCTCTTCCCTAGGTACTGTCTCTTGACAGTGGCTAAACTGTCCAGGCATTTAGAGTCATAGGTTAGTAATCATCTAGTACATTAGCACATGTATATAGAGAAGATGGTCTTCAAGGTTTTGGTATAAAGGGGTCATCAATTAGGGGATCAATTTTGGGAGGTGATTACAATTCACACAGTTGTTCCTCTTATCAATGGGGTGAGGCAGATTTGTTCCAGAACTCCTGCAGATGTTCAAGTCCCTTATATAAAATGGCATACTATCTGCATGCAACCTGTGCCCATCCTCTAATAATTTAAAGCATCTCTAGATTACTTATAATACCTAGTACAAAGTAAATACTATGTAAATAGTTGTTATACTGTACTTTCAAATTTGTATATTTTTATTGTTATATTACTTATTATTATAATTTTTTAGTATTTTCTATTCCAGGTTGGTTGAATCTGCAGAGAAGGGACCCACAGATATGGAGCACCCACTGTTTACCAGACACTGAGCTAGGTATTTGGGATGCCACAGAAGAGTATCAAGAATCACCCCTGCCCTCAAGCAGCTTTTAACCATTGAGCAGACACCAGGGAAGGGCCAGAGGAGCAGCGTGGGTGGAAAAGGATATTGTGAGACTTTGACAGAAGTAGGAGTAGGAGGGATATGGGAGGAATCGGACTTGTTTGGCCTTTTAGGGTTTTCGGCATAAATCTTTGGAATTACTGCATCAATAGTTTATGTGTACTTACTTAAGGTAAGACTCTATTCTGCTTTTTTTCCCCTAGACTTTTTGGAAAGCATGTTCAGAAAGCCTCTTATCTTCCCTAGCACAAAGATTGTTTTAACTCTAGCTTAAATAACAATAGTAAAAGTGATCAGGGTAGCTATCATTTGTTGAAAACTTACTGTGTGCCAGACCCACTGATAAGAACTGTGAGTTAACAGATGATTCATTCATGGCCCAAAGGAGCCCTGTCTTTCCTGAGTTTTCAAGTTCTATACAGAAAGGTCTCCTGTTTAGCCTTGCTAAACTTCGCACTGAGGAGGGGGCCTACCTCGGGAGTCCCAAATGAGTGTTACAAAGCACAATTCATAAACATGTCCGACAACTTCCTGAGGAAAGAGCTTTCCAGAACCCACACACCAAATCAAATAGTTAAGAAGAAAATGAGAAAAAGGTTTTAATTTAAATCAATTATACTTTTAAATTATTTTCTTCACACAATTTATTAGAAGAAGAAGAAAACCCCCTAAAGTTCTGAAGAAATATTAACATAACATGCCTGTAACTCATGCTGTGTTTAATGAGAGGTGCTGTTTTTCCTGCCATGGGGCCATAGCCCAATGAGTGATGGCTCTGAAAAGGGTCACATACATATTCATCAAATTCGACATGCACATGTAAACTGGTTTTAATAGGCCATGACAGCAGAAGTTGTGTCGGGCAAATAGCTGCATATGTGCTCCTTTCCTCCACTGGCACATTTAGCCATTAACACTCTGGTATCCATGGATGAAATATTAGCTTGTTAACTTCAGGCCATCAGTTGTTGTTGATTCTCAGTAGCAACTGAGGGAAGAGATCCCCTCTGCTACTTTATTAGGGGAGAAGCTTGAACTTCAAGATGCTCATTTCACTTTCATGGTGTCATTAATACTATTTTGTTCCCTGAACTTGGAGTCCAGAAGATGCATGAAAATTGTTCTGACAAAAATTGATATTATACCCAGTTCAAACCTACAGATGGCATGGGACAAAAACTGATATATCCAGTTCAAACCCACAGATGGCATAGGTTTTAAAACTTTTTCTTAATACATTTCAATGCAAGATCCATTTTCTTCAACTGTCAACCATTTTGAAGGTCATCAAAGCATGCATGGTTGTTGGTTAAGTGGACATTAGCAGCAATTATGCATCCTTCTAAGACTCTCTCCTTCGTTTTTTGATGAATAGATTGTCAAGTTCAGAAGTGAACTAAATTATCACAGTGCAACCGAAGCTACACTCGATTCATTTTAAAAAAAGGACCCTCAAGTAATAAAGTGAGATGTCTATGTTTTCTAGAAGCTACCATACAAGAACAAGACCCAAAGCCCATTATTTCAAGACACTCAGGCCCTGAGTTAACATTGATAGATTATCTTTTTGCAACCATCTGGAGGCCCCTGGCTACCTCAACCATCAACTGTTGGATACCTATATTTAGTTAAACAGAAGAATCTTTCATGGACCATTTACATTTAGCCTGTTCTGTCAGTCAAGTTTCTTCCTAGATTGAGTTGGTGTTTTGTTCTACTTTCTGTTAAACAAACAGCTGTACATTTGAATCACCAAGGTACTGGGTCTAACCAAAGTGACCTTTACATAACATGTTGAGGAAGAGTTTCATAGCTTGGAAACAAATCTGTCATTCATAGTCAATCACATTTTATTACTGATCTCTTGTTCCTCATCCCCATCCTTTCCTGCTTCTTCTCCAAATCAGCGATGAATCCTTGCCAAAAAAAAAAAAAAAATTCTGCCCTTTATTCACCAATAAGTGTTCCAGATCGTCACATGCTTAAAATAGGATCAACTTTAGTTGCCAAGATAGTAAACAACACAATAAAATAATTTATCCACTAATAAAATTATACTATATGGTGAGAAAATATATTAAAAAAGTAATTAGTTGAATAAATTAACTGGATATTTGTCTCTTTGTCATGAATATATTTTCCTTGGCAGAAGGAAGTATATGTAGGACCCCTGTTTTTTTTTTAGCTTCCTCATATTTAGTTGTGAATGAAGAATACACTGGATCCAACCCTATGGGTATTATACAGGGAACAATTTTCTAAAAGAAACCTACAAACACTCCAATATCAGATACTGTACTGTTCAAGTTAGAGGTATCAGATCTATTCTGGCTTTTTCAATGGAATATATTTGTCTTCATTCTCAGACTTGGTGTCTTGGGACAAGATAATTTAAGGAAGACTGCGATTAACATAGGCCAGCTCTCCCTTGTAATATATGAGTGGGCTCAATACAATGTATTCTAATGCTGCATTACAATACAGTGATTTTTATGCCCCACCTTCCATACATTTAAGAGTTGTGAGTGACTTTACATGTTTTGAGCTACTCTCAATTGAGAAGATTATCACCATGTCAATAAGTGACATAATGTGTGTTCAGTATTTTCCCAGTTCTGGCTTAGGCTCATTAGACCACCACTGCCAAAGAACACAGGGCACAATTTGCTTGATTTCTGCTTTTTTAGAAAAAAAGGCCCTCCATTTCTAACTGTTCTAATTACATTTCAGTGCAATTAGGAAACTCATCCCTAGAAAGCAAAGTTGCTTTCTGTGACTGGTGAGCAGAGGCAGAAAATGAAAGGCCGGCTCTTCCTTGGCACTGCTGCCCATCACTAAGAGGCGGGAATGACTGGTGAACTTGGCTGATTCAGGAAAATGCCATCTGGTATAGATTTCCTTTCAATTCATTGGGAGGAATTCAGGATCATGGGCAATAATTGAAAGCTGTTGTCTTGGGGTGATATTTTATTTAGCTCCTTTCTTTCTACTTAGTTTCTGGAAACCAGGCTATCTGCCCTAACACACATCTACTTATTCTACCTGTATTCACACTGCTGACAAATCCCTCTTAAGCTAAGAGTGCACACCCATAAATAATGTGCAGTTTGCATTTATTCTTCTCCAAAGTGCTGTAAACATCAAGGCCTACTTATCGGAGGTGTATGCATGGTAACAGAGGGTCATTGAGAACTAGGGCCAAATGAATTGAAGTAAGCAGAATGAATGGCGTTGTTGGTCATAACTGAACGCTGTGTCTGAATTGAGTCCACTCAAAGTAGATCACATATGACTTTAATCCACTGCTCTGCCCAGCTTTCTCAGAAGATAAATCTGTCTCCAGCTGTTATTTACATATTATCATTTTACTGTATGTCACTGTCATAGTTTCAGACTTGAGTAAATCCACATTTAAATAGCGATTTGTCTCCTTTTGATAGTAAATATTCTCGTAAGTGGTGGTTAGGATTAAAGGGAATTTGTCGACAGTAGGTAAATGAAATTATACACTCAGCCAAGAGAGCCTTCATTGGGAAGCCCAGTCCAGCAGGTGCCAGTTGTCCCACAAAATTCCCCCTTTGAAGGTAGAGTGATAATTCCCTGAAAGGAGAAAAAGAAAAGGAGGGGTGGAGGAAATGCATATACAAATGTTCTCAGCTCTCCAGACTCCCTGGGAGGGGGCAAAGCCTGCCCCAAACAGCCCTGGAGACACCACCACTTAAAGGTTAGCAAAGAGTTCTTTTGAGGTGACATTTAAACCTTTAATAGCTCCCAGCCAGCTTGAGGAGGAATAATTTTCTCTCCCTGAAAGCTGGGAGCCAGCACTGCTCAGTTACCTGTCTACAGAGGATGTCAGGGTGTGGAGGAAACCCAAGTGGGGCAATTTGGGAGGAGGGGGCAGAGCCCGCCGGTGTCTGTGGGCCTTGCCCTCCGCCCTAATTGCACCAAAGGCTGAAAAAAGCTTCAGGTTGCACGTTAGGCCCTTGCTGAGATTAGCAATTATAATATCAGTTTCCCCCAAACAGGGCTGACAGAATGGCTGGGGGAGCAGAGGTGACTTAAAGTTTAGTAAGTCTCGGGGAAAGTTTATTGTCTCCTGCTGTTTTCTGGCCCACAAATTTGGCCTTTCTACTACCCAGCACTGGCCACAAACAGTAGGAATCCTTTTCAATCACTATTAGCAACACTTCATTTCAGTCATATTTGACCCTTGGCAAACTACAACTCAGGGAAGAACATTCTTTCCAGAAAGGAACCAGACATCATTCAGCTAGAGACGATTTACTGTGGGACATGGAGCTTATTTGCTTTTGTTGAGCCCCTGGAGCTACTCAGCCTGTTAAAATGGATTGTCCTTTTGCACAGCCATGCCGGTGGGAGGGTCATTCCTGAGAGGCAGAGAGGGGGTGGAGGCCAGCCCTGGTCTTTATCAACTTGTCATCTGGTCCCATTGCCCTGAGCCAGGATCTTTGGAGTGCACTGCCTGCCCAAGTAACCTATTTTGCAGCTTGTCTTGAAAGCAAGGCATATGTTAGGTAGTCAAGAACATCCCTTTTCTCCTCCATGTCAGGGCCATAGTGGTGTCTCCTCCAGTTTTTGCTTATATTTAATTTGCTTGGATATGAAGAAAGAAAATAAAAGCTAACCAAAACACTGAAATCTTGAAAATGACTTCAATCAACAGAAAGGCACATTTCCCCAGCTTTTCCTTATATACTACATGAGACAGCATTTGGATTTTTAGTCTATTTTTTTTCCTCTCCCATCCATTGTCTACCATGGGAATTTCTAAGCAGTGCTAAGAGGACCCTGACTCAACAGTCTCCTCTCCCACCTGGGTATCTTTCATTGTTATTAAAGAAAGTGGGTAAAGGGGAGTTACTGTTTAACGGTACAGAGTTTCTGTTGGGGATGATGAAAAAGTGTTGGGTGTTGATAACGGTGATGATTCTAGAGCATTGTGATTGTACTTAATGCCACTGAATTGTATACCTATGAATGGCTAAAAGGATAAATATTATGTACATTCACAATATTAATCTAATGTTAATATTAATAATTAATATTAACTCAGCCCCTATATGGCTGAAATGTCTGACTGGTGCTTTCTTTCCTAGCATCTTCTCCTAGGAAGCAGATGGTCTTCACAGTGACCTGTATAGTAAGGAAGGTTAAGGCAGCCACAAAGAACCAACCTGGGCTTGCTTCAGATGGAACTAGAAACAGAGATGGGACAGCCAGAATTAGAATGCACGTCACTGGGCAGAAACATGGACAACCCACTAAAACATGACCTTCATGGGCGTGGAACACTCAGATGGCTTACAGGCTGCAAATTAGGAACAAGATGGGCCTAAGTAAAAATGATGGGAACTGTCTTCTCACAATAACCCACAGACATTTAAAGAGGTGAGAGATATGGATTTCCAGAAAACCACACATATTTGGGGGAAAATAGGGGTCATTCTCCAGAGGCTTTGATCCATTAGTTGGCATTTCACAAAAGGCGGCCAGACCGTGTTGATTCGACAACAGAGGTGTAAGCTGGGACAAATTAATTTACACTGCTTCATGTGGGAAAGGCAACAAGGCCTGATATGTCCATTACTAGTCTTAAGAAAAAGTATTTGTGCAATGTTAACACAGTTTATACAGTTTATGAAATCAACAAATGATTTGATCTTTTGCAAGCACCAACACCCCTTGAATAAGCTTTTCTGAATTGCCCTGGTCAATCCTTGTGACTTGTGTTTTAAGTACTCTTTTTAAGTTCAGAACAGTGTAAAATTTAAAATCCAAGCCGTATTTTTCTTTCCTTTATAAGAATTTAAGCATTGGGCTGATTTTAGGCCTGAAGCTTTCATTGATGCTAGAGTCAATCATGAATGACTAACCTAGACCTTCTAGGAGGATTGCTAATTGGTTGCGACTCATTACCTGGAGCTATAAGAATGGCTAAAAAGAAGTAGCCCCATCTGAGGAGAGCCTTCTATGGTCACTTCAGCCTGGAATTCATTCCCTTTCTCTCAACACTTAACAGCGTTTTGATTATTTATTGGTAAATAATCTGCTAAACTCTGGAATCTCTGAGGTAGCCCATGGAACATACTGGACACAGAGAATCTGGATTTCCCAAGGCATCAGTGTGCTTTGGGGCCATACCTAGAAGCTACGCACCTCAAATTCTGTGGTTTATAAAGTTCAATAAATTGTCTCTACCTATCTGAGATAGAGGAATGGACTAAATGTGAGGTAGACTTCCAAGGGACAGGACCATATAAGTAGCAGATTTATTTTATTCAGAAAGGGCAGCCCCTCATATATATTAGAAAAATTAAATCACTCATTTCTCATATTCCAAATACTACCACAAATGAAAGCTGGCCTGGGACTCTCCCTGCCCCAGTCTTCACTGAGACCCTAAGGTGATAGATATGATGCACAAAGGGGTGGTAGATGGACCCCCCCTCTCCTGTGCTTATAAAGACTGATAAAAAGAATGATCTCAGAAACTGTTTCCGAACTCTTTGACCACTCAACCAGATGCAGCAGATAAAAGAGATTACAGAGGAAAGAGGATTTTTTTCAAGAAGAGTGGGGAGGATTTTTTTTTTGAGAGAGTTTCCAGTGTTGTCATTTCATCTTCCCTTCCTGTGGGTGAGTGGAAGGGGGTGTTCATACTCACATAAACCAAGTGAGCAGAGTTTCAGGAAACTACTTAACACGAGCTGGGTCCCTGACTAATGCCTGACTCTTGGGATGGTGAATTTGGGTCTGCCTGCAGCCTCAGGCGTCCGAGGGCCCTTTGTGATCGCAGGAATGCCAGCACCTCTCATGTGATCTGGAGAAGGCTGGCTGGCTGCCTGCATTGGTGGTGGAAGGTAGTGGCGGAGAGACTGGCCTGCACTTTCTGAGTTGGCAAGACAAGAGATGCAAGCGTGTCTCCCATGAATCACGTGAGGGAGGTGTGGAAGAGAAGACCAGTGTGGCATTGCATTGGGTTCTGTCCAATATGATCTCCTGGAGCAATGACACACTCAGCACCCACAAGGTACAGGTGTCCCCCAAGGGGCCAATAAAGTCCTTTGGGAAGCAGACTAGGTATTAAAAGTAGAAGTGCTACTTTAAGAAACATGTGACAGTATAAATGTCTAATTTAATTATTAATAAATTTATGGATCAGTCTACTTTTACTATGTTTGAGTCAATTTCAAATAATTTCTGTTTTTCCTAATGTGACAATTATATAATTCCATTAATGTGCTGCAAAATAGAAGTAACCTGAAATACAGCAGTTTAGCAATTTTCTTCTCAAGAAGTTTCAGTGACTACCTGGAATACAGTTTCATCCACCAGAGTTAAGAGAACTTCAGGAGGAAAAGCTCTAGCAAGGAATCTCTTAATAGGATAAATATGTGCCCACAAGGAAAGAATGAGTTTAACAGTACACCAGATCCAGAGAGCATGGTACTTCTCAGCAAAGTGGCATTTTTCTATCCCCTTACCTCTCCCCACTCTCTGTCACTCCTACCTTCAACCCCGGGGTAGGAGAAAAGCCACAGGTGGAGGGTGGGGGAAGCTATCTGTGTAAGCTGAGACAGAGTCCAATAGAAAGACAAATGCTTTCCACACACTCACTGTTGCAGGGTCTCAGCCTTAAGCAGGTACAAGCTAGAGTTGAGAGGCAACTTAAAGGTAAGTCAGGCTTTGGAGTTCTGATGTGATTGGGTCTTTTAATTATTTTGTGACTTGGTTCTGTGACTTAATGAACTGAAGTGACCCAGTGACTCTTTATTATTAGACAGTGACCAGAATTGTTGCAAGTAGCCCGAGTTTTCATTCAAAGCAGAAAAAGTGAAATAAAGTTGAATGGAAACTGCCACTCTATCTCAACTTACCAGTTATTCTACCAACAGCAGTACCATTGACAAAGATATCCATATTAATGAGGATGTTAGGGCCTAAGACAGCAAGTCACGGTCTGACAGAAGAAGGAAAAGAAGACACAAGAATAAAAATGAAAGCACTGACCAAGCCACAAATGGCTCATGAGAAAATGTATAAAGTCCTTCAGGAGGCAGACTTGGTGTTAAAATGAGAATTGCTACTTTAAGAAACATGTGAAAGTATAAATGTCTAATTTAATTATTAATACATTTATGGATCAGTCTACTTTTACTATGTTTGAGTCATTTTCAAATAATTTGTTTTTCCTGATGTGACAATTATATAATTCCATTAAAGTGTTGCAAAATAGAAGTAACTTGAAATACAGCAGTTTAGCAATTTTATTAGTGCCAGTCGGGTACTATTCAATAGTCAACCTGCCAGATCCAAGTGACAATAAGCACGTAAAGATGATGACTTACATGTGTATCCAGTCATCCTAACTCCATTATACGCTCTGTAAGACAAAGAACCATGTTTTATCCTTTGGCACTTAATAAATATTTGTCAAATAAATGAATGATTAAGTAAATGAATGAATAAGATATGCAGCCAATTATGCATATCATTTTGATTCCCATTCTTTAACAAATAGAATTCTACTTGTACCTAAATTACCAAATAATTGCCTTATTTTACTACCTGGCTAGTAGAACACTAGCTATAGAAATCCTCTTACTTGATATTGATCTATTTGCCAGTTGTCAATTTTGTTATATTACTCCATCTGTATTAGTTAATGCCATTGAAATAAATGCAAGTCACAGAGCCAGATGAAATGAAAAGTGGGTAAATTGAGTAGCAATATATGTTACCTAATTATTACACTAAGAGTAAAAAAAAAGTACTGTAAAAACTGTTTTTATAGCTTTAAAGACTATAGATAAATATTTTTTACTTTGTAATTTACATTCGTCACCTATAACAGAGGTGATAAGAAATGTAGGAAAATAATTCATTTTTCAAGTGGCAAAGTCATCTTCCTAGTCCCAGGAAACAAATAGGAGGTCGGTTTTCCTATTCTGTGGACTAACTTGCCTCGTGGTGGGCATGGGAACCAGGGAACCAGTTGCCTCCTATCCAAACAAACCGTGTATCAGAAGACTCAGTGAATAAGTTAGATTTTCAGAGAGGAATAATGTTGAGGTGCTATTTTGCTTTCCCTAGTTGGATCTGCCCTACATGGATAAGCCAGCATCTCTCTTTTTCCAGAACAGGCCTTTCCAGGAACAAAATATTAACGGGTGAAAACCTGCCAAATATAATTGGTAAGAATCATTTTAGTCTCAGATAACTGTTTTTTTTTCTCTAATCTTTCTCAGTTGTAGCAATATGATTTCGTCAAAAACAACATTGGTCAGATACTCTAAGAATCCTTTTGGGTCCCCATTAGTGACTCTTTCCACCAAGCTTGACCACAGCAAACTGCAACCGTACTTTCAACATTCCTTTGAGAAAGCAACCCAACATTCAACTACCACAGATTTATGGTATGAAAAATGGCATTTCTAAGGACCTTTGAAAAACGTTAAAAATGAACATGGCTTTACTGTTATTTTCCACAGCAGGAATCTAAATTTATAACTACTACTTCTAATCAATTTGGGAACTGCTCATAGAGCTAGAGAAAAAATAAGTTCACATGCCGCATTCTTCAGTTATCATTATATATTACAACTGACTTTCCACATCACATTGAATAGTTGCCACTGTAAATGTGTAATTTTCCACATGCTTTCGTTTTAAATTTTCAAAGGATCCTATTACCATCCTATGCCTAGGAACTACCACATTTGTGTCCAGGGTGGAGAGCTGTTTATCTTCTTCAAAGCAATTTTTGTTGCTACGTTGTGCAAGTGTAGATGGTTTTCTGATTGGTTATTGAAAGCCAAGAAATACCTTTTAAGCAATTTGTTTCTTAGAACATTTTGTCCACCTCATCACAGTGACGTGTCTATGAATGCTCTGTTTGCAATACTAAGAAAGATAATTTATCTTCTAGTACCTTCATCCATTGCAACCCTTTATTGCCAAAGTGGGTCAAACATTTGGCACTTGAAATGTTTAGCACTTAAAATTCCAGATAGACTAGTGATAACATGACTTAAACACAGACAGTCTTTTGAAAAAAAATTGAAAGAAAAAACTTTAAAGTTTCAGCAACACTTCATAGACATGAAATTGATCCCCAACCCAAACAACTCTATGCTCCATTATCATAGAGTAAATTTCAGAGCTATTTAGGTAGAACATAAAGTTCAGAGAGTCATGTGACCAAAAACTCCAAGAGCAAGTAAATGCATGAGAGGTCAAAGGGCATGGAGCTGAAAGAAACATCTGGATTCCATCTTTTGAACTTTTAATGGAAAAACTGATCACTTGGTGCACATCTGGGGGTTTCGACAAGAAGAAAAGGTGGGGTTTTATGTGGGGGCTTGCTGTAGTTTATCATTCTTCCCTTGTGTTGCATATTAATCTATCATGTTAGTTATAATGCTGGTTATAATATTTGGGATATCTTAGAACATTACTGAAATTATGTTGTTTGATTATCTCTTCCACAGAGTAAGATTTTGCTTTTTTTAGTTTCTTTACTTCAAGTTTTGCTCTAACAGGAGCATCCCAGAAAAAAAGTTAGGGAACTCACTCATCTGTGAAGACTGTACTTTCCCTGGGGAAGCTGTTCTTATCCTTCAGCAAGAAGAA
This sequence comes from Homo sapiens, assembly GCF_000001405.40. Lineage (NCBI taxonomy): Eukaryota > Metazoa > Chordata > Mammalia > Primates > Hominidae > Homo > Homo sapiens. The sequence continues at coordinate 66,956,538 of NC_000002.12, read as the reverse complement.
CCATTTCTTTTTTTTCTTTTTCTTTTTTTCGAGACAGAGTTTCTCTCTGTTGCCCAGGCTAGAGTGCAGTGGCAGTGATCTCGGCTCACTGCAAGCTCCCCTTCCCGGGTTCACGCCATTCTCCTGTCTCAGCCTCCCGAGTAGCTGGGACTGCAGGCGCCCGCCACATGCCCGGCTAATTTTTTGTATTTTTAGTAGAGATGGGGTTTCACCGTGTTAGCCAGGATGGTCTTGATCTCGGGACCTCGTGATCCGCCCTCCTCGGCCTCCCAAAGTGCTGGGATTACAGGCGTGAGCCACCGCGCCAGGCCAGGAAGAACCATTTCAGAAAACCCAGGGAAGTGGCCTGTAGCATCCAGCCAAGGTAGTTCACTTCCTACACCCCAGATTAACTCTCTAAGACATCTACATATAAAAAAAGTCTCAGAAAAATCTCAAAGAGCCTTTAAAGCAAGTGACCTGGCTTTTACCACATTGTTCCTGGGTGAAAAATGTGTCTCAAGCACAAATAAAAATAACACAGATCTCTTTGCTGGAGAGTTGCAGGGATTTACTCCCTGTCTATTACTAACTGGGATACCATGAGCAAGTCACTTAAATTCTTTAGACCCTAGCTTTCTCATTTGTAACATGATGGTCCTGGACTACTTGTTTCAGACTAGTTTGTTTTCAGCAGTGATATTTTATATGCATTGATCATTGTCCTGGATCTGGCACTAAAAATAGCTTTTAAAATTTCTGAGTGTTTAAGGATGTATTTTTCAATTTCTGCAGCACTATCCCATGCCTTATTTCCCTTGATCTTGTGGGCAGATGTGGCAACTATTATTCTCCCCATTTTGAAAGGAGACCACCAAGGCTTACAGAGAGGTGAGGTACCTCATTAGCACCCATCTACTGGCCACAGAAAGGTGATACATTTCCTTCCAGCGCAGCACTCTTTCCAGGATGCAGGGTGACTTTCATTTCCTGTGATTAACTTTATGAAAATGAAATTCCTCATCAGCAAGATCCGTGCCACAGAAAAGCTTATCAACTGATAGATGTTAACCAAGGAAGTGCTCCCAGAATTCTGAGCAAAGACATTGGGGCAACTGCTATTTTTTGAGAAGGAAATAGACAAATACACAAGAGAAATAATCGAGCTGTAATAGGACACCTTTTTAAACTGGAAAAGAGCCTAGTTTTCAGATGTAAAAAAAAGGTTCACCATTAACCAGTCAAATTTAATGAAACTATGAGCATCTGAACATAATGTGCCTTTTTAAAAAAAATTTTAAAAGTAAAGAAAGATCTTATACTTACAGGTATTAAAACAAGGGACTGTAAAACATAGGGATTAAGAATTCAGGGTTTGGGATCAGAAATGTAGCTTTGCCATTTACTCACTGTGAAACCATCAAGTTTAAAAAGACACTAATTGGTATTCTTAATAAGACTTGTGAGGATGTTGCTTTTATATCTCAAGAGCAGGCAATCATGCAAAAGGAAAATTTTACTACCTAGAATGTTTCATTGGAGATGAAAATTATGATTCATAAATTTAAAACACATAGGATTGTGTGATCAACACATTAAATACTACCGAAAGCTGAGTAAGAGAATTAGAAGGTAAGAGGGGGAACTCTTCCCAAAATCAGAGAAAACATGAGTATATTCACATGATGAAATAAAAGATACGTGACTGAGGGCAGATATAAGAACTCCCTAAGGATTCTACAAGAGGTGAAATAGTAAATGGAGGAAAAGCAATAGACAGTGTATTAATAGACAACTTTCTGGATTTAGAAAAAAATAAAAAAATAATTTCAACAAGATGCATCAAATATTAGGTAAAATTAATGAAAAGTAATCCCCCAGTTAGCAATTGCTGAGCAAAACTGTTGATTTTTGAAGATAAAACATCCCATTACTGTTCTGTTATCTTCAAAGAAAAGATTATATAGATGATAGATAGATAGATAATGCTCACCCATATGTGTATATAAATATATGAACTGTAATAAACATGTAAATATCACACACATATGTATATAAAATTATCATCAGATTTTCCCTTTGAAATACTAAATGCCCAAAGATAATTGAATTATATCTATTTACAGGAAAGACTATAACCTAGAAATTCTAAATCCAGACAATCATTTATGTGTGTGCAATACTAACAGAAACATGTAGGAAAACAGATATTCCAACCATATATCCAAATGTAAAAACATTACTTAATGATTAGCTTAAACTCACTGGTGAAAGTATAAAGTATCTGGAAAGGAAAATGTGAAAAAAAACAGTAATGAGTCTTTAAGATAAATAATGTTTAAATAAATGTTATTATGGTTATAAGCCAATATAAATGTCAAAATAATTCTTTATAAAGAATACACATCATATAAAAAATGAACAACCATTTAGATCTAAGATTATTTAAAAAGAAAACTGGTAAATTAGGCAGGAAATTAAAGAATATAAAAGCAATATATTTTTAGATATCTCAAAAGAAAGCTCGATATCTACCTTTCATTTTTGACAGGTGAAAACATGGAGCTAAGTCAGACTTTAAATATGTAGAATTTAAATTACTATATGTAAATCATTAATAGCATAAAAAGAATATATAGATTTCAGATCTCTAGAGAAAACTTAAGGGACAAACAAGCAATAGTAAAAGACATTTAAAAAAATAGAAGAAGACAGGATAATAAAATAGCATACAATGAAATAGTGGATGATATTACTTCTACTCTTTTACTCAACTACCATGACTACTACTATTTTTACCATTATCATATAATGGCTAATACTTATTGAGTATCATGTGTGAAGGTCTTACCTAAACTCATTGAACTGCTTATAGATATTGAGAAATTTGCCCAAGATCACATAGCAAATAAGTATTAGAATCAGGATCCAAGACATAGTGTAACCTCAGAGCCTAGTTCTCAATGCAGTAAACATGCCCAAAACAAATGATAATAAAAGTTTTAAAGTACGTGATGCAAACTAAAAGAATACAGAGGTGGAAACACCAATGTAAAATAAAGTTGCGTTTGAGAAAAAGCATATTAAATGGCACACAATTTTATACTGATAGAACATATAATGTTTTAAAAATTAAATATTTTTGACACAAGTGAAATTTCAATGATGGTATTAATATACTTACATAAATAACAGAAATCCAAGTTCAACCAGAGAAAATCAAAAGTGACACTGAAATTTTAATATACTTTTCTCAATTTTTCACAAAACAAGTACTCGGAATAAAATAATAAACTGACTTGAATGATCTCATCACTATTTTTATACCTTTGAATCTTTTAGTTATCAAGTGCCAAGGGTACATTTACAAAAAAAAAAATCACATTCTAGTCACAAAGAAAATCTCAAGAAGTTCTTCAAAGTAATAATTATTTATGCTTTGTTTTTTAATACCATGAAATAAAACTAGAAATTAATTGCAAATCACAATTTGAGGCACATTATTATTCTCATAAGCAGAAGAAAAACTAAAGCATCTCATGGTTTGAAAGAGTTCGTGATTCATTTACCTTCAGGACATCTTTGATAAGAGTTGAAGAACTTCAGAAAATTCTGGCAACTGAACTTGACTCCAGAAAGCCCTGGAGATTTCTAAAAATACATATTCCTGGGCCTCAGCATAAATTTACTGAATCAGAATTGCTTTGTGTAAAGCCCAAGAAGCTCTACTTTTGCCAAGCTCCCAGCAGATTCTTCTGCAGTCCATTAGCACTAGCCATTGCACCAGGTATTTATTTGAGAATTACCAGTCCAGGTAACTTCTAAAGAACCAAATGGTAAATCTCAGAGGCACAGTGGCACAAAGAACTGGAGGGACTCAATAGATTGGAAATGCTCCAGGCTTTTTATTACAGTGTTTAAATACATGGCAACCATCCTAACAAATTCCTCAATGCAGAAAGAACTAAGTTACTGGAGCCTTTCAGTCGTCAAGTCTCCTTGGGAAGGAAAAGGCTCAGTTCAACCCAAGCTGAAGTCTTCCCTGAGGGAAGCTGAAGGATTGGCTTAAGATGAGGCTGGTTTAAATTCAGATTCACAAAGCAAGGGAAATGTAATGGTATGAACCCAAGGTAACTAAAACAGAGAGAGTGTGCATGAGACACCTGTGAGCTGACATATACCCGTTTTGCCCAGCACTAAAACTATCCTTATGGTAACTTGACTGCGAAATTGATGTCACTCTATAGTGTTTTCAAGGTCAAGCCTCAAATCTGGGCTGTGTGGCTACAGTGCCAGAGTGCTAAAAAATTAGCATTTTTATTCTAGAAAGAAAAAAATAAAGCAGGGGAAAAGTGGTGTGGCAATGGTGTTTTACATGAAAATTAAAATTCAGTAATTATCAAAGTATTTAATCTGGTAAAAATTAAAGACTGCCCATTTGAAACAATAAAAAGAAGTAGTGCATACAATTATAAAGATGAGAGTCCCCAAATTTGGAATGTTACTTTTAAACTTTAAGATGTAACTCTACTGAATGAAGAAAACCAATATGCTCTCTTCCCCCAAATCAAATAAATCAATATAAGGAGCCTCCAAAAGAAACTTCTTTCCTGTTCAATTTTAGGTAACTTCAATGATATAAGTTAAATATAAATAAAAAGTTCTATAAGAACTGACATGACAGAAGGCTAACAGAGTTTGGAGTTTCCCATAATGTGTGATCGTATGCCATCTCTTGAGAATCCACAAATGTGTGAAGAAAAACCTCTTCCCTCAAGAAATGTAATTCATTATACCAGGTAGATATGATTTCTGTTTTTCTCATGCACAGGGATATTTGTCAGCTTTACCTTAGGCATAGGCACCACTGGTAACACCTGTTATGCCCAGCGTGAAGGGTAGCCTAAAGCATCTTGCCAGGAGAGCTCAGGTACAGATGGTGGCATTAGAGCAGGAACTTGGGAAACCAGAGCTCAGCATGAAGACATTGCTTTTCCACCCTGGGGAGGTGGTCTGGGGAAACCAGATTTCAACAATACTTGGCTTCTCCCTATTACTAGAATATACTTGTTCTTACATGCCACTGTCACCCTTCTACTCACGGTGCCCTCCCTCATCTCCTTTCTTGACCCACTACTACTCATCCTTCCATGCTCTGTTCCAGTGTCCTTTCTCTGAGCTGTCTTCACTGCTTCCCTGGGCAGTCAGTACCCCACTCCTCTTAGCAGCATGGCACTTGGTATAGCATCTCCCATCACTCTGTGACTATTTAGGGTCTGTTCCCACTGCTGGACAGAGAACGACTGCATTGAATTCATTTGTATGTATTCCTAATCCCCAGTCAGGGCCACTGATTCCCCAGAGGAGAGTTTAGCAAGCTTCTTGGATAATGTGAGGAGTGAATTGCTACATGGATGCTACTAACCAAGGACTCTGGGGTAAGATAGGCAGTGACTATAATAAGAAATGTATGTAGGAGAAAGAGAAGACAAAATCTCCAGGGTGAGAGTTGGGCTGCTCATGTTGTTAGAATTCTGTAAGATTTTTTAAAACTGGAAATTCCTATGGGAAGATTTTATTTTTAAAGTACCTTGGCAGTGCCTACTATTAGAGTTTGTAGGTGCTTTAGTAATAACTGGTAGGAATTCTGGAAAAAGATTTCAGATACCTTCTAAAGAGAAATTCAGCAAATATTTATTGGACACACTTTGAGTGAACTTTAATACAAGAAAGATGTGGCGAGAGGTGTCTTAAAATGAAAGAAGGAAAAATTGAATAAGTTCTTTGACCTAGGAGAACTTCAAAGAGACCAATGATCACTTGTTACTCATCCATCCATTTATGAAATATTTACTGAGGACCCACTATCTATCTGCCAGGTACTGTTCTAAGAGTGTGGGTAGCCCCCATCCCAGCATCCTTCTGATGCCAGGTACACTGGTAGGGGGTGATTGGTTTAAGTGTCTTGTTCTGAGACACGTGATTCTAGGGAATACTTTAACCAACTTCCTTTTGCATTTTATAGTGAAATTAAATAATCAAGTCATTTTTTTTTCGAGATCACAGTTTGTAGAAGAGTTAGAACTAATATCTGTGCCTCCAGGTAGCAGTGTTTATTTTTTTCCAGTTGCCTCTTTTAGCTGACTCGATTTTTTTAATGATTCCATACAGCAGTCACCCACGGCTGCAGCAGAAACTGCAGACAAAAACCAAAGAAAGCAAAGAAGGAAGAAGTAAAATCAGATGTAGAGTTGCAGTGCCTCTCTTCTAAACGCCACATAAATGTGCATTTAGCTCATGTTTATTTTTACATACTTCACCAGAAAATGGCAACTGCAATGTCTCATTCCTGATGGTAGCTTCAGGCAAAGAGGAGGCATAAGGAGAGAAAGATGCACAATAAACAAGCAACAAGCCCTTTCTACACAATGCAGATTTCAAAACTTTCACCCTGGTTCTCAGCTACAACAGTCTCAAAGATTTGCAGCAAGCTCTAGGTGATTACTAATGGTTTTTCCTGAATTCCAAATGTGAGTTGGGATAAATTTATCTCCACTTAACTAAGAAAATACAGTTTTGTTCTCAAACCTAAAAGTATATTTTTTTGCACTATATGCATTAGAAAGTCCCTTGTGATGGAGAGTCTTTGTTTCCACCCCATTGAGTTGGTTTAATCACTTACTGATTTTATTTTATTAGACTATAAGAAATATTTTCTCCTCACTTAACAAAACTGAGGCATATGTGAAGAGAAGATGGATACACCTCGGCTGATTTCAGCTACCAGGCATCCCTCACAAATTTTCATTCTAGATTATTCCTTTGAACAGTCAAGACTTATAAGTGTTATTTGACGGCTTCCCTTGATGTCTCAAAGGCATGTCAAACTCAAAATGTGAAAGGCTACTCACACGGTTCATACTTCCACTTAAAAGATCCCAGAAGAATGCTTCCAGTTCAGTGAGTGAGCTACCAGCCTTCCATGTTTAGAAAACCAGGGGGCATTCTTAGTATCTCCACTAGTTCAACTCTCTTACTCAGTTCACCACTGATCCTACTGATTTTACCTCCCAGCTATCTCTTGCATCTATCCACTTCTGTATCCACTGTGATTGCCACCGTAACGCCTAGTGAGGTCTCATAACCATGAGACCAAGCCATTTATGTCCAAGCCACTCTTCCTACTGCAATAAAACAATCTTCTCAAAATGAAAATGGGATCATATTGTTCCTCTATGTAAATATTTTAATGACTACATTTTGTTTTTAATGGTAAAGAGGTACTCTCAGGGAGGTCTCGAAGATGACAGTCAGAACCATAACATGACCTTGGTCTGGATCCCTCCTGCCACAGTGCCTTTACACATGCTGGCTCCTCAGTCTGGAAAGCTAGCTCTTACACCCTCAATTCTTGTTGCCCTGTTAAATCCTTCCTCTCTTTTTACTTCTTAATTATCCCTTATTTAGGAGGAGTCTTCCTTGACTTCTATAGACTGAATAAAATATCCCTATAATAGACTTCAAACATTTAGAATACTTCTCCTTCACAGATATTTCTCCTTCACAGTTTTTACTACAATAGTAATAATGTCGTATTTTTGGTCTTATTTGAGTAATATTTCTTCTTTGCTATTCTCTAAGAGAAAGGCTCATATAAGTTTTTGACAGATTTTATATCACTAGGATCTAGCTTCATTTCTGACATAAAAGAGGCTTTCAATAAATATTGGTTTAATGGATGAATAAGTAAGTAAACAACATATCCAAAGTATGAGTAGTCAATAGGCACTATCAGCGAAGTCATTCAAAATGAGGCTAATTTTTCATGTTATGATCTGTGCGGATAGAAAGATACACATTGCAGGAGAAGTTGCCTACAAAGTCAGAACATCTGGCTTCACACTAGCGCTTCTTCTTGGTCACTTAGTGGCCTTGAGCAGGGGCCTGTAAGTGCCTGATATTAGTTTCTCATCCATAAAGCCAGGGAACAATCCATTCACTGGGGTAATATGAGAATTACATGACATATGTTTAAAAAGACCTTATGATCTGGAAACCCCACTCAATCTCGATTAAGAAGCCAGAGGACAGCAAAGGCCTGTAGGAAACTGTAGAGAAGTGGGTGAATACAGCCTTGATTCCTTCTTACAAAGGGCCAGTGAACTGTTCTCTAGAGTTTTATTGGAACACGGCCACTCGGTTTGATTTTTTTGTCTATGGCTGCTTTCATTCTACAACTGAGTTGAGTTGTTGTGACAAAGACCATATAGTCCACAAAACCTAAAATATTTACTATCTGGCCCTTTGCAGAATATATTTGCCAACCCCTTGCTCTAGAGTATTGTTATTGTTACTGATATGGTTTGGATTTGTGTCCTTGCCCAAATCTCATGTCAAATTATAATCCCCAGTGTTGGAGGAGGGGCCTGGTGAGAGGTGATTTGATTGTGGGGGCAGATTTCCCCCTTGCTGTTCTCATGATAGTGAGTTCTCATGAGACCTGGTTAGTTTCTGTATGCCTCACTTTGCAGAGGGGAAAAAAGTACATGCATCACAGATACATTGTGAGGATAAAATTAAATCATATATGCAAAATATTTAGTCCAGTTTCTGGCCCATAGCAAGCATTTCTTAACCATTACTATTACTATTATCCTATCCTTGTAGCTGTAAAAATTATAAAATATATCATTTTAAATAAAATTAATGTAAACCTTCCTTTTAAAATAAATAAATTACTTAGGTGCTGAGCTCTGAAATATCTCAAAGAAGTAGCATATCTTTTAAAAATCCCCAGCTACTTTTAAATAAGAAAATCCGAAGCAATCCAGTATATGCAAATAAAAGGTACAACAAATATATGAAAGGAGCACAAATGATTTCAGAAAAAAACCTCTACAATAACAATTTTACATTAAAGGATTTTTTTTTAAAAATCATGATTCCCTTCGCTTTTACAGCTATGAAGCTTGGACACAAATTTGTCTCCAACTTATAGAAAATTTCTGTGAACAAATTTGTCTTCTAGCCTTACAATTCATTTCTTTGCTCTAATTATCTATAAAACTTTATAGATTGGATTTATTGTATGCTACGTTTTCTTATAATATACCTCAAATCCTCTTTGGGTTGAGGCAGCAGATGAGTAAATTAGTTCATGTTGTTCTACAAATGCATGTGAGTGATTGAACCTGATAATATCACTTTCTCTACCCATCAAAAGCCTACCCAATGGATGGTAGTGATGGTAGTACAACATTTTGAGGGTATTTAATGTCACTGATTACACACTTAAAAATAGTTAAACTGGTAAATTTTATATTGCGTATATTTTACCACTATAAAAATGTCTACTCAGACTTCTGGCTTAATTAAATAATACTTTTGCTATAAAAACCCACCCAGATCCCATAAGTCTGAATTAATCAGCCTTTCCTGTATATGTTGGACCCTTGTTTGTTCTTCTGGTATAGATAGAGCTTCTCACATTGCAGTTATATCCTCTTATGTTTTATCCTCTTCTGGGCTATATGTTCCTTGAGGGCAGGTACACATCAGTCACCTCTGTATCTCTCTCACACTGCTGAGCACACACCAACTGCTTTGTAAATATTTGCTGAAGATGGGCAGAGAGGAATGGAAGAGGGTGGCAGGGGCTTTCAACATCTGCCCCAGTGTTATTGAGGTGCAGCAGAAACAAAAAGGTAAGGTGATTTCCATTAGACAGTGCTGTCCTCAGAAGATGCTCCAAACAACTGCCCCCCATTCAGTTTTGCTCTCATCTGAAAATTGACATATGTGGTCAACAAATAAGTACATTCAAAGCTCTTCAATAACAATCCACGCAGAAGATTTTAATCATTTATGGATCTCCATCAAAACACTGACAAAGACATGGGAGAAAATATCACCAAGCAGCACAGGCCAGAGCATGGCTATGGCAAAGTAGGTACCACAGGCTGTGGAAAGGGGATCCTTGCTGTACTCCAGCCACTTGGTGCAATTCTGGATGTAGGCCCACTGTTGCCAGAGTTTCTGACTTTTCTCTAAGCTGGAAATTGGCTCAAAATTTTAAAAACAATATTGCAGGCCAAACAAAACATGTCTTTGAGAAGTGTGTGACTTGATTCTAACCCTTCACATACGACCACAAATACATTCAGAGTATCTCTTGTACAAATTCCTGAAGATGTATTCTTTTGAATTCAAAGAATAATCAGTACCTAATGCAGAAGACTATTTTTAGAATTAAATGAGTTAACATGTAAAAGTGCCTATTAAAATATATGTTTCTGTTTAGATGCCCAATAAATATTCATTTCCTCTCTTCCTTTCCTCTTTCCTGCTTTTTTAATTGGGAGAAAGGGTTATTTGATTTAATAAGAAAACAGGTAAAAGGGAAAAGATGCACTATTTTACATAAAATATGCTTTTTTTAATATCAAACTCCATACCAACTAAGCCAATACATTCCACTTAGCCCTTCACCAGTTTAGATCTCTGCAGACTTGCTTCAACTCAGACAAGGCTGATTTGTAACTGGTGGTTGGATTTTTATATGACAAGATGTTTCCAAATAAGTTTAAAGATGCTTGAAAACATCCTTTTCTCTCCAATTATTTAAAGAGAAAAAATTCTCATATTTTATTTGTACTATCAAATTATCTATAGATAAAGTATTTGTTGGACAAAGTAAAGCTTTGATTCAGTTTTCTCTGAATTACTGTGAATTTCTCATCCAATTCTATGCAGTTTCAAGGTATTCTCTAAAGCAGCAAAAACCACACATAGTCCCAAGACCAATTATTTCCCAAATCATTAACAACTCTTTTGTAAGCTATCAATTGTAGTATTTGGGCAGCATTACCAAAAGGAGATACCATTAGAGTCAGAGTGTAAACTTCAAGTTTATTTCTGTTTTAGAGCTGGATAAATATAGACAAGTTATTTAAATCCTAAATAGCCCATTCCTCATCTGTGATAAGGGGCGGACTGTATTTCTTTCACAAGTTTATTGTGAAGGCCAAACGAAATAAAGTTTACAAAATTACCATATAAGCTGAATAATGTTAAACTAATACATACCTTGCTTTAAGTGGAAGAGACAGCTAGTTATTTAGGTAGGTGTCCTGAAATAGCTCTGTTGGTAGTAGTGTCTTGACATGTGGATGAAACTCATTCTGTTTGTGATTTCCATTGAGTAGCTGCTCCAAGTTACATAAGACTTCCTGCCCTACAACTTCATCCTTTATATCTGCAGCATGGACATAAACTAAAGTAGAAGGGGAAATTATTGTTATTATTACTGCCAACAACACAGCAATAACAAATATTTATTGAACATTTCCTATGTTTTAGCCACTAAGCTAAGCACTAGACACATATTGGTTCAAGCCACTAAGACTTAGAACAGCTCTATGTGGTAGATATTATAATCTTCAATTTACAAATGAAGAACCTGGGATTAGAAATGGGTGGTACCTTGCCTAGGGTCATTCACTAATACATGGTAGACACGAGATTCTAATTCTGGCAAAGCCAAACCAAGGCCACATCAATGGGACAGCAGCATGGTATAGTGTTCCCAGGAAGACACCTTTCCAGATAACTGAGATTAATGCTTCAACTGCCAACATTTTTGGGAGGAGGAGGGGCCCATATTTGTACACCATGTCTGAATATGGTCTTCGCAGTGAAGATAGCATCAAAATCTTTTTTGAAAACTTTTTCTTTTTTTTTGGAGGGGCCTTGGAGATTGTCTGGTCTAACCCTCTAAATCTTCAGATGCCATGACTGACACAAAGTCCCTTTGGCTATGATATAAATCAGCAATGCCCCAAAGGAGCAAAGTGATATGTAGGAACTTCTCTGCAGTAAATGACAACACATCACTATGGTCTTTTTTATTCTAAGTTTCTTTTGTTTATTTGTTTCCTGGTTTTCTTTCTTTCCTCTCATTTTCAAGTTGTCATGTGTCACTTGCTCTGTTCCTAAAGAATGTGCCATTCACACCTTATGTTGCACTACTTATAATTTGCTATGAGATAGGAAACCAGGTAACTCTTTAAGACTGGGTGTCAAATAAGAGTGAATGAATTCTGATCAAGGACCTAAGAAGAACTCTTAAAGAATGAAGTGCATATGCTTTTGCCAACAGAGGTGGCTTCCATTTTGGTTTCCCTGATAGTTTTCAGTGATATCTTGGATAATTCAGTTTGTCAGAGAAATAAATGCCATATAAGTGAAAAATTGAATACTTTTAGAAGTGCACATCTCAAAAGAAGACATAAGTCATGCTTCCAAATAAATCTATTTCCTCTTCCAGTTTCCCCATAGCAATTCTTAGAGTTAGCCAGCTCCACCTGCTCTCTTTACATTACTCTCTCCTGTCTTTTGTATAAGTATAGTCACATCATCCTTTACCCTTTTACTTGAGTTGTCATTTTCCAGCTGGAAAACAGCAAATTTGATCATTCATACAGAAACAGCGTCTGTTGCTAACCCCTCAAGCTGGTGTACTGGTTTCATTTCTTGCAGCCAAACATTCAGGAACATGTGTTTATATGTATATCTTTCCCTTTATATTAGTAATAAGTGGGTCATTAAGGACTATATAATGAGAGAATGAAGTTTTCTGGCCTGGTAAGTCCCCAAGCTTCATTACCAAATTCATCTTACATGTCAGCCATTAAATAGCTTGGCATTTTCCTCTCTCTTCCATGCAGTATCATTTAATTTCATCTAAATGGAGTTTTCTCTATGGCCATAAACATCATCATCTTCGTTGCCACCACCATCAAGAAGCATTTATTACCTGCTACAATGCATATGGTGCTATATTCGGTATGGTTCTACACAACTCCATCATCATGGCCCTCACCCATGGGAGTCCATGCAGCACAAGGGGACTACTCAAAATAGTGAGATTTGAGTTGAAGTCCAGATCCCCTGCCTCCCCCTCCCCCCGCACACATTGAACAGCTGGGTTAGCTGGAGCAGAGCATTTTCCTTTTCTGGGTCATGCCTTATCCGAAAATAAGACAATGAGTTACATTCTCTCTATGATTCTGCACACTGTAATGCAGATTCAGCTGCAGCCATTTTAAGAGGGGAGAAGATTGGTAGAGGAGCGAATTGGTCTGTAACTTTAAACAGCTGGCTATGCTCAGAGAGGTAATTAGCCACTGAGTCCCAGGTCAGAGTTGTCTATACAGAACTTTGATCATTTCCTTGACTTCAGTGTGGTTTCTCTATGTTCTCAACACTTTCTATCATTCTTATTCTACTATTTTTTTTCTGACCTTGGCTCCCTTTGCGTTTTCTCTAATTCCTGGCCTTCTTCACACCAGGTCCTCAATCTCTGTTGTCTTACTTTTCCCAGCCACACGCAGGGACTCTGTCCCAATTAGAAGACTAGCCTTAAATGGTTCTAAAAGGAAGCTCCAGAGGCCTCTGGGTCCCTACTCTGGAAACTATGTCTGATCATCTTGAAAGAGGGCTGGGACCGAGCCTGGTACATAGGTCATTCAGTTGAGTCACTAATCATTGCACTGAGGATTGAGGACTGAGGCTCATCACATAGAAAATGATCCTGGGCAAAGAAGTAGAGGAAATGGGAAAAGGAATCCCAAATGATTTTGAGAATAAAGAATAATAGAGAAAAATAGACAAGTCCAAATAGTGATTATAAAGACAGAAGTGGAAGCAAAAACCCAAAAAGCATGCCCACACTGGGCACACACAGGAACACAGGAGATGTGGGCAGCAGGAGAGAGAGAGAGCAAGGACTTAATGGATCCAGAAAGGAGTTCTGAGATTTATGTCCCAAAATGTACCTAGGGGCCAGGAGAAACATTTCATCCCATCCCTGCTTGTGTATAAATTAGGCTGAGTCAAAAGGCATAAAATCAGGTAGATAGTCCTGATGTATAAACCATAGCCGAATAGTAATAGTAACCAAATTATCCCCTTAATAATTGTAGTTGATTTACATTAGCTCTTCATGACTTTGTGCTAATTGCTTGCTATGCATTATTTTCTCACAGAAATTCCTCAACTACTTTTTTGTTGTTATTCTGGTAAAATATACATAACATACAATTTACCACTTGAACCAATTTTAAGCATACAGTTCAGTGGTATTAAGTACATCCACAATGTCATGCAGCCATCACCACTATCCATTTCTAAAACTTTATCATCATCCTAAACAGAAACTCTGTGCCCATTAAACAGTAACTTTCCATTTCTCCTTCCCTCCAATCTTTGCTAACCACTCTTCTACTTTCAGTTTCTATGAACCAACTACCTTTTAAGAGTAGCCATAAAGGTGGAGCTACATCATACTTAGTGAAGTTCTAAAGTCAACATGTAAAGCAGAAAACATAAACCATCCATATTCTTAACGAAAAGGCGTAGGGAAGAAAGGTATCATGTTAATGACAGATAAAACATTTCTCAAAAAGAAGGGCCCAGCCAGTTGATCTCCATCACTGGTCAGTGGATCCCCAGGTATAAATAGCAGCTTATGCATTTAGGATCCTATTGCACAAAAGTGTACACTGTATCTTTAAACAATAGAAGCACCCTAAGCTAGTTGAAATGCTTATATCACAAGAGGACCTCAGGAAATAAGACAAAATGAGGAAAAAGCAGATTCATATCTCCTGTCTCATGTTTACCAGGGAAAATACATATTGAGTTCAATGGCAGATGGAATCATTCTTGCAATTTAAATTATTGTTCTCTTCCTTCCTCTTTTAACAAACATATAGTGTTGAATTCTTTTATGCTGAGTGTGTAGGGTTTAATTCATTACTATTATTACCCTTTTTATATTGGTGAGGCATAAATAAGTTAAGAAATTTCCCCAAATTCACAAAGCTTCATGAATACTTAAATTTGTACCTTTAACCATTGCCCAATATTGCCAGATAAATGGTTATGTATTCAAGCAAATTAATTTTTTTTCAATATTCAATTTTTTATTTTATTTTTAAAATTAATCAGGGAGTCTATTGACCAAGAAAGCTTATAAGAGGCACTTTTGAGTGTTACTCTAAAATTTCACATCCGTTTTTTCAAACTACACAATATGTAAATCTCTGGACTCCAGGGGCCAATTGTAAATTGGTTTCAAATACCACAGAGCACATAAATCTTCCTCCTCCCTTCTTCATCTCCCGCACCTCATAATCTACTCACTCTTTGACCTCCCTACAAGAAGCATGACTGCCTTAAATTTAGAGTTTTCCTTTTCATTAAAAAATGCACACTTTAAACCCTAATCTTATTTCAGAGAGGGGGTTAATCAGCCTTCTTAGTGAGCTTGGTTACTGCCTCAGGTGAGAGGCAGCCCACAAGGAAGTGTACTGCCAGGCAAACACCACTGATTGGAAGTTGGAACTTAGAACATTCAGGAATGATTTAGGAATGCAGACCAATTTTACTTATTTGAACTAGCCAAGGGGAAGGTCAGGTTGAAACCATTAAAAAATCTAGATAAGAAAATATTTTGAAGAAATACTGTTTTACGACTCCCAAATACCCACAATAATTTGAGCTCGTCTAGGTCTATCCATTCATGCTATTGCTGACTGAAAGTTCTTAAGGAACTGCTTTGAGAAATAGATGAGACTAGTTTCTAATTAGCATAGCTGTTATAAATGAAGGTAGGTTATTTAAGTGCTTGAAAACAATTTTTTTCCTAAGTAATCTTACTTATGCTACTAATTTGTACTTTTTTGTAAAAAAAAAAAAAAGCAGTATGCTGAGTAAAGGTAAATTTTAGCCAAAAGTAATATAGTTTCATCACTGCATAATTAACCTTAGCACAGTGCAGAATAGCCTTGCTCCAAGTTTCAATTACATTATAGCTAAAGTCGCATAAGTAAACATATGATTAATTAAAGAGCAAAATCCACTTCTACAAAATAATGACTTATTCTGGAGAAAAATAAAACAAAAAGAAAGGTGATTCTTGGGGTGGTATGTATAAAATACATAGAGTTAATGATTAAAAAAACTTTTTCCCAAATCAAGAATCCCATCTTCAGCCAAAATGAGAATAATACAAAAGAGTTTAAGCATATTCATTATTTTCCCATTTGGAGAAGTCCTCTCTTTCGTATTATTTATTCCATTTTCAAATTCCATGCTCCAAAACATAAATGTGATTTTCACTGATGCTCTTCAACTTTGTCAGGCCACCCAACCCCCCTTCTCTTCCTTCCTAAATTTAATTAAAACCAACATTCAGGCATACTGGAGAGAAACATAACACAAAGAAAAACAATTTTTAAAAGCCCACATTAATCATGAGCTTTAGAGAAAGTCACCATAAATAGGATGTATCTAGACAAATGACAAGCTCCAACCACTTAAGAAAAATGTCTTTCCAGCTGCAAGGATACCAGTGTTACTGAAGAACATAGTTCTTTTGTTCTATAAATTCCTCATTTTCATATGAAGTTACCATGTTTCCTACCTTGATATAGAACCATGTATATTCAAAGTTGCTTCATCTACCATATAATCTCATGAAAGCCGAGTTTTATTTCATGGTGTTGCCAGGCACAGAGGAAGGAAAAGCCAGTACCTACTATGTGCCAAGCAAAATGCTCGACATTCTAGATGTTACTTCCTTCAACAGTCCCATCATCTCTATGAAGTTACTCGAGTCTTCTCACCTTGAGCTGGAACTTTGAACCCACAGAGGTCCTACTATCCCAGAGGTAGGACCTACTTTTTTGCCTGCAGAGTTGCAGAGACATACTTAAGAACATCAGACCCTCACTGTCTCCTTCCACATTTTGCACATAAGTCTTTGTGGTTGTTTCATTTCAACCATTCCACTAAGAAGCATTTTGATCAAAATGAATAGAAAAATATAAAAAGATTGCCAATGGCAGAAACCTCAATGGTCAACCTCAAATGGTTGACTAAAATGGAAAGAAAAAGGCAGATTAATCAAGATTATTACAGAAGGCTGTCTGATGAGCAGAGATCAGAATTATTCATGGTCAAAACATTCACCCAACTGCTCTTTGCCTTGGTTTACCTCAAATGTAAAAAAGGTAATAACATGGCCTATATACCATTCTTAAGAGTATGGGAGAAAGTTATATAATTGTCATAGATAACTAGGTTTGTCCGAAGTAAAAGGAAAATATATAAATTACTAAGTTTTTACTATAAGTCACCTCCTGTGGAGCATTTTATATATGGTTTCTTAATCTGTACCACAGACAAGTGAGATGGGTGTTCTCATCCTCATTTTACAGATGAAGAATCTAAAGCAAAGAGTTTAATTCCTTGACCAATATTAGACTACTAATAAATGATAGAGCCAAGATTTGAATATAGATTTTTCTGTTACCATTTCTCTGTCTACACCTGGCTCTTCCTCTCTTACCATCTATGGTTCTGAAGAGAACTCACAGCATCATGGTGAGGTACCACATAGAGTGAGTCGACTGTCACATTGCTAATTCTCACCTATGACTCATGTTTACTCTGTCCTAAAATGTCACGAATATATTGTCACCTTCATTGACACCTCACTGGATATGAGCTACAAAATGTTAAGGATTTTAAAAATTTTCTTTTTTCTTTGTTATCATTTTGTTCCCTTATGTATCCCAAGGATTAACAACAATGCCCAGCATGTGGCAGGTGCTCAGTATGTTTTTATCTAATGGATGCATTGAATAAACTCCTAGTCTGACCTGAGCTCCATGACAGTATTTGATATTGGTCTAAATCATATTGGTAACTCAATCATTGTATCTGTGCATGACTTGCATTTTTGAGCTCTGAATCAGGTAAGCTATTCCTCATTAGCCTTCCTATTTCTCTCCTTCTAACCTTCCCTACAAATTCCACCAACCTTGTTTAAGATGGTTTAGACTCCAAATTCAAGACTGTACTTGTTCACATGCATCAGCAGCCCTTCAGGACCATGTTTCCAATAAAATACAAGCTCCCTAAAGATAGATGTACGTTGTAAGTTTAGGAGCCCACATGCTGCCTTGGGAAAAGTCATATACACATTCTACCTCATATAAGAAATGTATAATTAATTTGGGGTCCTAAGATACCCTAAACTTTAACTCTTTCTCTTATGAATTCTAAGCCTTAATGATGACACATTACACTGTCTTGGGAGAGTAGCTGAATAGCTGGAACACTGAACCGCCTCCAGCTGGCTTCTAAAACTTAGCCCATTATTTCTGATTCCAGCCAGCCTCTTTTCAATATTCTTTAATCTTCCTTCTCCTAGCAGTCAGCCAGCCAACCACAAAGTGCCAAACTTTGCAGGCATGAGCTTTCCCCCTGTCAGTCCTGTGAGAAGGTCTCTTGTCATTTGTTTTCAGACATACACATTGTGTATGATTGTCTCACACTTATCAATTTGCCAAACATGCATGCATGAAGAGTGGAGGTAAAAGATTAAAGCCACTCAAGTAAAGAGAGGACAATCTGACACAAATAAACTCTATCCTATGGCCATGTGTTTGATCTTTCCCAACAATGTGCCATATAAACTTACCACTTCCAGTTTAAGAAGCACAACTTATAAACAAAATCATATGAACAGCAAGTGCTTAGCACGGTATCAGGCACACAGCATGTGCTCAATAAACACTCAATTTATGAATTTATGAACATCAAACTATTTGTTCAAAATTGCAGCCCTTTGGGACCAGTGTTGCATGCTATATTTATCCAAAGAGGTGGCCTCCAAACCTTTTCCATTAGATCCCCAACCAAAATAATGTTTGAGCAGGCAGTGCCACAGGTACTACTGTACATAACAATAATATATCATGTTCTTTATAAAGCATATACAGAATTATAACAGTAGAATCAGATAAAAAAACATATAAATAGAAGTTTTAATATTGACCCCAACAAATAAAGTGTCCCGAAGTGGATGATACTATCATATATCACCTCAAACCCATGGTATAACTTCAAAATCTGTTATTTTTGGAATTTCCAAATCAATAGAAGAGAAACATTAAAAAATGAATAAAAAGTCATCAAAATGGCTAAACACATCATATTTTGTTTTAGAATGTTTTCAACCTAACATTTATACTATAAAGATGCCTAAAATTCTAGAAATTCACTTCAAACTAATAAAATAATATTGTGAAATCTTAATTTAGGAAGAGCTGGGAAACTGATCATTTTTTCTATTCCTCTCATTAGACTCATATCTTTAAGCTACTAATTTTTAAAAAATAGAATAGCAGAAAAATGAAACTTTTTAAGAAAATTCAGTATTTCTCTATTGTAAGTGAAACTAGTTCTTAATTTTCCTTTAAGTGGTGGAATTCATGGACAACAGGAATAAATAGAGGAAGTGAGATGTCAAAAAGGGAGGAAATTAGCACACCATTTTATGTCAAAGGGTCATATGCTGACTATCAGTCAGTTCAAAAGCCAAAATTCTTAGCAATCCATTGACCAAAATAGTTCAGAACTCTGTAGACTGTTAGAATCAGAAGTACCTTCAAATTCAACTGGCCCAAACACCCCTTTTTACAGGTCAAGGGACCAAAGTCCCAAGGCATTAACAGACACATTTAGTGGTAGAACTGGGATTAGAACTCACATGCCTGATTCATAATATAATTCACTATGCCATGCTGCCTGAACAGTGACTTGCTTTAAAAAATGATTCATAACTGCAATTTTTTTTGAGTGCCACTTGTCCAAGTGCTTCATAAATTTGGGTTTAATCATTCCAACTAGCCTATAAGTTGGGTTATATTACTGTATGTATTAGTTCATTTTCACACTGCTGATAAAGACATACTCGAGACTGGGTGACTGACAAAGAGGTTTAATAGACTCAAAGTTCCATGTGGCTTGGGAGACCTCATAATCATGGTGGAAGGTGAAAGGCACGTCTTATATGGTGACAGTCGAGAGAGAATGAGAATCAAGCAAAAGGGGGAACCCCTTATACCATCAGATTTTGTGAGACTTATTCACTACCATGAGAAAAGTATGGGGGAAACTGTCCCCATGATTCAATTATCTCCCACTAAGTCCCTCCTACAATATGTGACAATTATGGGAGCTACAGTTCAAGATGAGATTTGGGTGGGGACATAGCAAAACCATATCCCTGTATTATTCCCCTTTCAGAGATGAAGAAACTTAGGACCAGAGAAGCAATTTGTCCAACGGCACACAAGTGAAAGAGCCTGGACATTTACTATTACCTCGTCATTTTACTCTCAAAAAGAGAAATTTTCAAATTCTAACCAAATCCAAATTATGTAACAGTGGGTTGTCAGAATAGGTGTTTTTATTGGCTAAAATATTACAATGACTTTTATTCCTTTCAGACAAATATTTAAATAATATTACTCCACAGAACCCTGTCATGTACAGTCCTGAGAAAATCTAGGCTCCAAAGTGATATCCATCATCATCATTTTTAAAACTGAAGCGGCAAAATCTGAGGGTGACACTATCACTGTAGTTCACCACTTTCCTCCTGCTCTCATGACTGCCTGCGTGACACTATCAACCAAGACTTGGATATTACAACCTGGCTCTGAGCAGTAGTATAGTAGAAACACGACTTTGCTGTCCAGTAGATTTGGAAAGTTTAAAGAACAACATCAAGATACCAGCACTGTACTTCCCTCTCTTCTGCAAAGCATTCAGCTTATCAAAAGAATGTTGATTGTTTACTTCAATTTCATAACTGACTTCATTGAGATACTGATAAACAAGGTCCAATCTGTGATGACCCCTCATCCAAACATTTTATGTTTAAATGTCTTTCCCCAGGGTTTAATGCAGAAAATACTGAAAGAAAAAAAAAGGCAGCTCTCCTTTCTCAACCAACCAAAAGAGTTGTTTTGAAACTGTGTCTTTTAGAATCACAGCACTGATGGGAGTAGCTCAGGGACCCCTGGAAGAAGACTAAGGAAAGGATTCAGGGACTCTCAGCACCCTTAAAGAGAACAAACAGCATTACCTATATTTATATTTTGTGTTCTACAATTTGAAAAAATGAGTATGAAAACTCCTCCTAATAGTGCCTTGGAATCTTCATCCCCCTAAGCAGTTAAACTGCATTTTCTGTGTACATGCCTGAGGCTCATCTTTAATGTACTTAGCACTGTCTTGTATTCATGACCCATATGAGGAAGCAGATGTTGGGCTGGCATATGGTGCCCACTCATAAATTTCTCTAACTTTCCCTGGTGTATAAGTCACAGGCAATGAAGGGTTCCAGTGACCAGTCTTCATAGCTCTCCCCAAGGAGCTCTGGAGCACTGGTCCCATTTGTTCACCTCGGGTGGGTGAGCCCATGCTTTGGGCATCCATCCACTAATAGCAGGCCCAGATGGAGGCAGTTGAGAGGCCAGCAGGCTGGATCCAGCTCTGAGAGCTGCACTCAGCATCCCACCTGGGAAAGCCAGGGCTGCAGAAGCATTTGGTCCTCCATAGCATGCAGATGGTGTTGGGAGGGATTGAGCCGAAGGTCTCATGTGCATGGGGTATTCAGAACTGAGTTGCAGTGAAAAAAGTAAGTGAATGACAAAGAAGGGAAGTACCTGTTAGTAGATCCTGATGTGAGGGCTCACAAATCCAAAGGTGGCTATGAAGAACAAAGGGAGGCCTCTCCTGGTATAAAAATGAAAGCATACCCTCATTCACCCACTTCCTTATGAAAACTGCAATGGCACAAATGATCTGATTGTATGTGATCCTGCACTTGCACATATTTTGTCTTTAATTTGATTGAGTTTTTTCTCTTATCTGTATCAAAAATAATTTGAGAACATGAACCACATCTTCTAAAACTTCTCCTCCTTTCCAAAGCACCTAGCACCATACCAGGGGCAGTGGTAGTGACCATCAATCTGTCATTCATCCCATACGTGATTACTGGGTGCATAGCATGCAACCATTTAACCTGAACTTTGTAATTCTAGAATAAAGTAATTCTATAATTTTTTGAAAGTTATTTTTTCTTTAAAAGGAATGTCAGGCAGGTAAAAAATCACATTTATGTATTTTAGAGGTAGGATAGTATGGTAAGTACTGCTGAAATTAAGGTCAACTATGTGTGGATCCCTATTCAGCCCTCTATCCTTCTACCCATCTGTCCTGTTATTGTACCTCTTCTGTGCTGGAAGCCGACCCTGTGAAGTCCCATGAGAACAGAGAGGTGTATACGTCAAATAGGAAAAAAGGTGTTGAATGACAGAATAGTCTGTACGATCAATGAGATTGTAAAGGAAGATACTGCCATCTCTGACAAGCCAATGAGGGAAGGGCTATTCAGGGTGTGACCACTGGGCTGAATACCATAGGAAGCAGAGGAAGCAATGCTATTGAGTTGCAGGCAACGGAACAGCATATACCAGAGGTGAGGTATGAAGGAGAGTGGCATTTTTTATTAACTATGGGTATATTTCCCATCCTTCACTTTGACCTTTTCCCTCTTTACCTGTCAATTCTTCTTAAAATTCAATCAATCAACAAATATATATTGGATATTTACTCCATGCTAGATATAGGTATTCCTTTATTTTCTACCTCAATTTCTTATCACCCTATACCTGGATAACTGCAATTGCTTTTCCTAGGGAGCCTACAGCCCCTGGTCATTGAAGACAGAATCAGTGAATAAATATTGATGTTTAGTTATGTGAGTCACACTATGTTAGGTACTATGTGAGGCATAAAACTACACAAAGCAACCTCCCTGTCTTCAAGGAGCTTGAATTCTTATAGGGGAGATAAAGCAAGTATGACAATAACTGTGATTTATGGCATAATATAAGTGCTGCATGAGAGGTATAAAATGAATTACATGCATTTGCACAGTGTAGAACTCCATTAGGACATGGTTCATTAGTATATGTATTTGGATATACTATAAATTAACTCTTGATACAAACAGAAATAATGAACAAATCAATTAGAAGGCAGGAAGCCCTTTTTCCCAGATAAAGCCCAGATAGAAGAACTGAGTTTCAAGTTAAGCATCATCTTTGATAGCTTCATAGCTCTTCTCAAGATTCAAGACAATGGGACTGTGGCAGCTGATGGAAGAGGGAGCTGAAATGGTAAGTTCAGCAAGTCGTTATCAATGGCAGGGTAAAAGGAGTATGTGAAGTTTCCTTACAATGTCACGCATGGAAGGTCTGTTCTCATGTTCCCTAATCGTTCCATCATCCATTACTCATTTATTTATAAAGCGAGACACCCAAGAGACATTTTTTGCCACTGGCTTATCCTTCTCCCACCACAAACTATTACCAAACTTACCTCTGAATTATGTTTTGACTTCATTCACTTTTTTCCCATCTCTGTGGCTACTCCTCCTATTTAGAATACTGAACTGTAATTTCTTCCTAAGAGGTCTCCCCACAGCCACTCTGATTACTCCACAATCCATTTCCCATACTGAGTGATCTTTAAAAATGGAAATATGACTATGTTACCCCCATGGTTATGACATTTCCATGGTTTCATGTTGCTCTGATAATAAAACCAAAATCATTAGCATGACCTCAGGTCTTGCTGTATATCTCACTTAACCTGTCTCACTAACCTCATTACCTTTCTCCCCAAGCTTCCTTTAATCCAGCCACAATGGCCCTCCTTTGGTATCAAACATGGCAGGCTCCCTCCTGGTGCAGGGCATGAGCTCATGCTGTTCTTTTGAACTGGCAAAGTCACCTCCTCCCTCCTGGGACTACCCTCCATGACTCCTGGCTCACCTAGACCCATTTTTGACATCTCAGTTCAACTAAAGTCTCACTTGCTTAGAAAGGCTTCCCTGATCTCAAGCATCACCCCTCATCTTCAGTTTCAGATAGAGTCTCTGAGTTTATGTTCTCCTTAGGACTGTGTTTATTCTCAGTTTGTAATTAAACATTTATCAATATGATTATTTAACATCTATACATCTGTCTTTCCATGCAGATTGTAATCTCTATGAAAACAAGGGCTACATTTATTTTATTTTATTTTATTTTATTTTATTTTATTTTATTTTATTTTAGACAGTCTTGCTCTGTCACTCAGGCTGGAGTGCAGTGACCCAATCTCAGTTTACTGCAACTTCCACCTCCTGGATTCCAGCGATTCTCCTGCCTCAGCCTCCCGGTTAGCTAGGACTACAGGTGCATGCCACCACACCCAGCTAATTTTTCTTGTATTTTTAGTAGAGAGAGGGTATAACTATGTTGGCCAGGTTGGTCTCGAGCTCTTCACCTTAAGTGATCTACCCGCCTTGGCCTCCCAAAGTGTGGGATTACAGGTGTGAGCCACCATGCCTAGTCTACATATGTTTTTGCTTCTCATTTTATCTCCAGTGACAATCACAGTACTTGGCACATTGCTGGTGCTCAATACAAACATGTGAAATGAATAATTGAGTCTTAAGTGAATGTAAGCCCAAGAAAGAGGAGATTATGAGAAATCCTGTTAGATGTGGTGGAGTCCAGGTAGACTGATCTGGGCGAGGATCTGGGAAGGACAGGCTTCTTTGAAAAGAGGTATTTGTTTTCTTCTTTTAATTGCATCATCTTATGTTACAATGATGGTCACTAAAAGGTTATTGTGAGAGTGGACTCCTGACAGCCACATTTTATCAGGCATTTCAATGCATGTAATTATGATCTAGGGGTATAATTGTGGCCAAAGTCTTGCCAAATCCAGGTAATGAGGAATCACAGGTTCTGGTGCTTAACAGGGAGAAAAAAGCAGCTGCAGCCTGTGCCACCAGCACTCCATGTAAGCATCTCTTCACCTGAACTTCAAGGACATGAAGAGATGCTTCTTTTGCAGTAACTTACTGTTTTGTTTTGGTTTTTTAATAAAAATAGTACACAGTCAATTCAAACAATACAAGCAATAATAAATAAGAAAAATGCACTGCTCAGGGATGCTACTGCTAATGTTTTGGTAAACATCTTCCTATAGATAGATGTATATGTTTTAACATAAATAAAATGACATTTTGTATCAATCAACAAGCTGTAAAATGGATGGATCATCCATTTAGACATGGCACTGATTAGTTTTACTGAAAGTCATAATGGATATGGTTCTGAAGTTGTTCTGAGGATAAACATGGTGGAGGTAACATTCTTAGCCAAGTCAAGGAAGCTGTAGATTTTCTGACTATTCTGATTCAAACCCTCCAAGTAGTGCAACTTCTAAAGAAACCCAAACTCTTTATAATGGAAACATCCCGAAGTGGTAAAGAGATAATAAAAGAGTAGGGAGATCCTGATGTCACCCGTGACAGGCCTTCTGTTAATGCCTAGGCTGGAAAACCAAAGCTTGAAAAAGATTCTGGGTGGGTGGCGAGGAAGGCAAAGACAGTAACAAAGTTCTGTGTGCATATTCAATTTGGACATTCCCCATGATCACTGCAGAATTTGAAGGCAAGAAGTTTGAAGAAAAATTAGCAATTCATTAGCAGCCAAGTTTAAAAAGTCACTATACTCACTGTCTAATGAGGCTTTACAGTCTAAATCTCCAAGAAAGAAACAAAACATCTCCATTAACTGGTGACAAACATCCCTGTGCAGTTCTGGCACCGAGGTTGTGCTGACTGCTGACACTTGAGAGTGGGTAGTGATTCATATTATGAAAAGAACTAAATTTTTTTTTAAGAGATGCAACTTGGTAACTAATTTTTGTATCTCCCTGCCAGTGTAACCGTTTGAATGTTAATTTAATTTTACAGAATATCATTTATGTAAATGTAATTAGAAGGGAAACATGATCTGGAGATGCACAGCACCAAAGAAAATTTATTACTCCAAGGGGTATTGCTCTAATCATTCAACTGCAATATTGAGTTTCCCCAGATTTAATCTAAAAGCAATAAATTACAAAAGGCTAATGCCCTGCCCAACAACAAGCTGTCATGAACCCAAGTTGCAGGAGGAAACCAGAAAGAGGAAGAGAGGGAAAAAAGCCTGAAGTTTACTTCAGCAACAGGCTATCACCAGGTGCATATTTCCTGACATAAAACTCAGTAGAGATAGCATAGCTAGAAATAATTAAAAGCTTCATTTCCTAAACAGGAAGAAAATGGTGACTTCCAACCTCTCACTGCTTTTCCCTCCAGAAATTTGACCAGAGCTCTTTGCTTGTTGTTAAACATTATTATAAGTGCTTGAAGTTCAGGGCTTCATGTTCCCCAACAACAGAGAGAGAGAGGGGAATCCAGCCAGGATGAAACTGCCCCAACTTTTCACCTTATGGTTGTGCTGTGCTTTTGCAGAGAAAAGGAAAAAACACAGTCTGATTAATGTCAAGGTCCATATTGCATTCCATTGCGTGCATGCCTGAAAGCCAGTTCTCCCGGGGCACCTTGCCAACACAGAGAAGCCAAGCCTGCTAAAAGGAAACGCTCTTCAGACTCCTCTCCTCTTCATGCTGAGTAAAGGGTTGTGATGGAAAGAACTTGGGGTCTTAGGTGATCTCCCTGTTGCGTAAGCCCCACATGTGAACTTGAACATGGTTGAGACTATCTGGTCCTGTGAGTGTGCTCAACAATTGCCATGAGAGAAAGAGAAATAAAATCATCAACCTGGCTGTGCGAAAATAAAATCATCAACCTGGCTGTGCACAAAATGTTGCACAACCTGGCTGCACCTTAGTGAGGTGTTCTTAAAATACCATTGCCTGGATTCTACCACAGAACAATTAAATTGGGATTTCTGTGGTTAGGATTCAGGCATGGACATATTTTAAAAGCTCCCCGGGTAACTTTAATGTGCAGTCTACAAAGAGAATGACAGCCCTAGATAAAGGTTGAAGACATGCAATGGAACGTGCAGTTTTAAAGGGAGTCTCCGTTCAATAGGTCACTGTGTCACAAAATCATTCTAGTGGGTGGGGATTTCTTACATGGGACAAATGTAAAGAAGGAATGTATTTACTCATACGAAATAGATAATTGCAGCTGGTCAGATATGTAGCTGAGGTTATCAGGTAAAACCATATCATCTCAATGGGATTTTAAAACCTAAATTATAAAATCCTTTTATTGTTGTCACTATTTTCTTTATCTAACAAAGGACATAGTAGTATCACCTACCTCATCTTTCTTAAATTGGGGATTTGAACATCATAATCACACTGCATTTCTAAAAAAAAATATCCTAATCCTAAAAGAAGTTCTACATTTCTTTCATTATCCAGAAACCTCTTGGCTCTGTGTGTTTAGATATTTTTTTGTCTTGGTATTCTACATACTGATTGGGCTGTTTAATTCAGAGAAAGGTATGCAATCTAAGGTAAATGAATATTTTTAGAGTTCAACGATAGAACATCCTTTTTACCAGACCTGTTAAGACTTTGCCTCAATTCTCTTATTCTCCATTCTATCTTAAGATAGAAAAAGTCCCCTTTCTCTATGGTTATTGAGAAGAATTATGGCCATTGAGAAGAAAAAGAGAAATGTCAAGGTACTACAAATGGGAAACACCCAAATAATATAAACAGACTTTGTTATCTTAAATCATTTTTGGAATAATGAAGGATAAACATAAATACATCCATCTACAATTATAGTACAGATAGTCTTCATAAGTTGTCTAAGTTTACGTAGCTAGTAAATAATGGATTTGCGATTTGAGACTCAAGAAATGCATCCACCCAAAACTCAAAGGTAACTGAAAAGTTTGAATGGTTAATCACAGAGAGTAGCCTTTGAATGGATCCTTAAATGAAAGAGGCCAGCCAAATGAAGATCATCTGAAGAACAGTGAGAAAGAGCCTTCTAGCAAAAGCAACTTCTAATGCAAGGACCTGAAGTGGGAACACACTGGAAGTGAAGGTCAAGAGAGAAAGCCAGCAGGCTAGGGGAAGCCCCACTTATCAATGCCATCATTGTCCACTTGCAGGGTAGCACCAGAGACTGGTAAGGGCCACATCCTCCAGAAAGTACAGGTGACCACCTTTCATTCCAAAAGGAAAGGCCTTTTTATTCTTTTGGCATTTCAACCGTTACTGTGTAAGGTAATTACTAGCTGGCTAACGTTCGAGCAGGATTGATAGGTTCCATTTAGGTCAGCATTTGGCTTATGCTTTCCTACCCCAGAAAACCTGTCTAGGTCAGTAGGTTATAGGGCAAATAAATGCTGCAGCATGTCAGAATTTTTTTATTCCTTTTGCATTCTTGGCCTCCTTATTTGAGGTACAGGAGTCAGCCTGGAAAGCTGATGATGTGGCCCTTGGTCTGGTGCTGCACTTATTAATACTTAGTGACTAGATCAAGGTAACAGTAGTACTTGCAGTATCAAAAGATACCTCTAAACACTTTATTTAGGACAAGAACTAAAAATTTTAAAGGTACAATAAAAGTATTTATTTTATAAATTGTATTGCCTTTTAAAAAGGTGGAATTAATAAAAACAAGGTATACCTTGGGGAGATGGAGTTGGGTGGAATTTTTAAGGAGCAAAATAGCCATTTTTGTATATTGTTTTCTTCTATCAAGGAGATACATTTTGATATCATAACAGTAAATCCCTAAATCTCAAAATATGGGGGAAAAAGCAAACTAGGAAATATTTCACTTTTCGGTTGATGTGGTATGCATTTGATTCAAGTCCACTAGCAAGTTTATTTAAAACTACCAGTAGGTTGGGCATGGTGGTTCACTCCTGTAATCCTAGCACTTTGCAAGGCTGAGGTGGAAAGTGGGAGAGGATCACTTGAGCCCAAGAGTTAGAGACCAATCTGGGCAATATAGTGAGTATCTGTTTCTATAAAAAAAAGAAAAAGAAAAAAATTTAAAAATTAGCTAGACATGGTGGTGCATGCCTACAGTCCCAGCAACTCAGGAGGCTGAGGTGAGAGGATCACTTAAGCCCAAGAAGTCAAGGCTGCAGTGAGCTGTGATTGTGTCACTGCACTCCAGCCTGCGTGAAACAGTGAGACCCTGTCTCAAAAAAAAAACAACAAAACAAAACAAAACAAAAAAACTACCAGTAATCTGAAAACTCCACCTGAATCTCTAGAGCTCATTTTACCTGATCTCAGAAGTTCAAACCTGATAAAAAGTTAAAATAATCCTGAAACTCAAGTTTAATTGTTAGAGCCTAATCAATCTTTAGGTTATAGAGGTAGCCAAAGGGATGGCATGTGACCCAGATCTAGAGGTTATTGACTAAAACTTGTGCCAAACACTGTAGTTTTCATTATCCCAGGACCTTCCTATAATATAGTTATTTATTATAATTTCTCAATTATTCATTCTAGCAAGGTTTATAGTGACAAAACAGCCACTAATGAGAAGGCAAAATGTAATTCCTTAGGAATCTCATTTTTATCTGATGTTAATTAATGCCCACTTATAAATTGTGACTTAACCATAAAATTCACTTGGTGCTTGAATTTAATCTTTCATATTTATTGAAAAATTAGAAAAAAATATCTGCTCTAAGGTAGCCAGATAAGTCCAATATGCTAGTTTTATAAACATTTGAACCTATAACAGGTTTATTTCTTGGTGTGAATTATCTGAATTTCCTCCATGAGTAATATTTGTGGCATGCCAACAGATAAGAGTTTGAAGGCTAGAGGGATAAGTATCACTCTTTTCTTCACTCTGAGAGGCAGCTCTCTGTCAAGACTGCAATATTTTTAAATGTTGACAAGCATGTACACTCTAACACATGCCTTTTGCCTGGCTCATTATGTAAATTATATTCATGTAATGCATCACTCGGGTATTCAGGTGCAAGCCCACGGTGTCTAATACAAGTCCTCCTTGTCAGGAGCGGCAGCAATGTGCATTTTCAGTAAAGATAACCGATCAGGGGGAAAAATAACTGCTATTTTCAATCAGAACCGTATAAAATGCCCTTAGTCCAGAAAAGATGTGATGCCAGGCTAAGGCTCTAAAATACGTCTCTGACCTTATTATCCAGGCTCTTGTGTTAAATATAGTGGCTATAATAGAATTTGTATGCCCTAGTTTCTGACAGGTTGAATGTTGCTTAGTAATCCAGGAGTGGAAAATGGCTGCCTGCATTCAAAGGAGATCATAGATTACAGACATTTCCTGGGCATTATGACCAGAGGATGCTGTTGCAATGCCTCACAAAAGAGAGACAGCTTCCTAACCCCTGTAATTGGAGCCGGACTGCATTCGTTACCGATTGCAGTGTAATGAAGTACCCCAAAACTATTTATTTAGCTGTGGATAAGGAATCTGGGCTGGATGAGCTGGGTCTTCAGCTTTAGGGTCTCTCTCAGGAGGCAATCAACTTGTCAGCCAGGCCTGTGGTCCTCTCATCTTTAACAGAAAAGATGTGCTTTCTAGCTGACTGTCTCAGTTGTCAGCAGGATTCAGTTCCTCGTGGCTGTTGGGCTGGGGGTTTCTTTCCTTGCTGGGTGTTGGTTGGAGACCTCCTTCAAGTCTTTGCCATATGATGTCACGTGCTCTAATATGGGAGCCTGCTTCATCAAAGAAAGCAAAATGAAGAGAAAAGAGAGGGTGCCTTCCAGATGGAAGTCACCATCACTTCTGCATTAGAAGCGAGTCACTAGCTTCAGACCAAATACAAGGGAAGGAGTCTATAGAAGGACAGAGATGCCAGGAGGCAGAGATCACTGGGGCCATTTTAGAAGCTTTCCTACCAAAGGAACTGAGAAGATCTCTCAGGTGCCCACAATATCGCTGCCCTAACATGACATGTTTATCTTGTTACCTAGTGAAACCTACAAAGCAATGAAATGAAATGGTAACACCTTGGATCTCCTCTTATGCCAGGGTAGCTGACAGGGAATTTAATGGTGTTATTCATAGAGAGTACCTTGTCATAGTACAAAAAGTTTTCAATTTTGGAATTGAAAAAACTTATTTTCGATTCCAAATGCAAGCAAAAAAAATTTTTTTGTAAAAGAAATGTTTTAATGTCCTTTTTTTCCTGCATGGCTCCAATACCCACCAAGCAAGCCTATTTCAAAGTCCATAGGATAACCTATTAATCCAGCAATGGAGAAGGCAGACATTGCAGGATGGCTTTAAGAGCTAGAGAGGTACAGCAACCTCCTAGAGCCAGCCACAGCTAGCAGTCCACAGAGGATGACGGATGCAGGCAAAGATTTCCATGAAAACCATTTGATGAGGACTCAACTTGATGACTCTGCTCTTGTGAAGGGCCTAAGGAAGAATAACACTCAATAATAAAGCCTTTGAAACCAGAAGCATACCTTGCCCAACCAAGAGTTGTAAATGATGTGGGATAGGAGCCAAATTTGGCAAATAAAGAATGAGAAGCAGTTCAGGAATGTTCTCTTGACCACACTGGCTAAAGGTTATCACTAAATCCTAAATTGTGAGGAAGTAGAAAATCATCACCCAAGCCCACTGTGTATCTGTTATATTTTGTAAAGAGGTGGGTAGGATTTTCTAATAAATGACCTTGGAGCTCTCTGACAATGACCTTGGCTTCCCTTAAAATGACCTAGCTGTGACTAATGGGCTCCTTCTTTGGTAGGGGGGTCTGAGACTGCATGAGAGACTACACCCAAATCACTTCCTAAGTAACCAGAAACCCTAAGATTTCCAGATGCTGGTCATCTATATTTTTTTCAGAACATCCTTAAAAACACTGGTCCTAAGCTAAGTATTCTCACACAATAGCCTTATAAAAAGGGATAGCAGTAGAGATTGAGATTCCTTCAACAGAGTAATTGCTTCATGGTACATCCAGTAGCTTCCCTGGCCAAGCACAGCCCTGCAGGGTGAGTAGAGAACTCAGGACCTACTGACCCTTCTGCCCCTGAGTTTCAGCCTGTACCAAATGTCATTGCTGGTGTCCATCCTGAGAACTTTGCCCAGAATAAGTGCATATGTATAAATACTTACAAAACATCATATGATTATCATTATAGAGTGAGTCTTACTCATTGTTTTTGTTGTTATTATCATCTTCATTTTATATGGCTCAAATTTTAAAAACCCTCTAACTACCATAATAGAAATGCATGAACCCAGTGTGGTAACTGACTATGAGAATGAATATTCCAGTGCCAAGCATGGGCAACATCATGTAAGTCACATACCTCATAAAATGCCATTGTAACTACTGAAGCTTAGGTGTATTGTATATAGCACAGAATCTCATCATCAGAAATGCATTGATTTCACTCTTTTTTGAAGCATTAAACCTTAAAGGCTGTTTTCACCTAGATTCCATAAGAAGCAAAGTGTAAGAAAAAGGCCATGTGTGAGTAATTTATCTGGAAATGTAGTTCCAGGGAACCAGAATAAAACAAGGGAGGAGGGAGAGCCCATGCAAGTATATCACCATGGGTGACCAGTTGCTCAGTCCTGTGAGCTCATCTGAGAAGCAGAATGAAATGCTTTGCAAAATGTTCCTGAGGCAGGAAAAGTCAAATGAAGAAGCATTTACCCATTGACTTCCAGTCCCCATTGGTGAACATTTCTTCTAACCTGGTATTAAGCACTCTCACTTTCAGGATGCATATTCTTGAACACTAAGTTTCTATAGTTCTCAATGCAGTGACATCAGTAAAGAAACTCCACACCTGCCGGAGGCAAGAGGTGTGCATTTTGGGCCTGAAGCAAAACCGTACCTACTGGAAACTCACTGGAGCCTACACAGAACTGTTGGTTGCAACAGTGGCTGCCACAGGATATAGGTGTGGCTTAGAAGATCAGATATGATGCTTAAGAGTTATCTAATAAAAAGATTTTCAGATGTGGAAAACCCTTGTGGAGAGGAAATTAACCCTCAAAAGGGTAACACCTCAAGTCTTTAGTTTCTTGTTTCATAGTAGAAATTAAGAGATAGAACTTGAAGGTATGAGGCACAGAAAATCATCATATGAAGGCAGAAGTTGGCTTGTAGATTTTATTTATTAAGAATGTTATTGTTGGGGGAGGATATTTTGGGCCTCTGAGAGACATGCTCAGATCCTTTTATAGAAATCTCTTTAAAATGGCTTCCAAAGACCACCAACTACTGGTACACATGCCCAGTGTAATCCTCTCTCCTTGTTTGTGAGCTAAACCTAGTGACTTGTTTCT
Organism: Homo sapiens; assembly: GCF_000001405.40. Classification (NCBI taxonomy): domain Eukaryota; kingdom Metazoa; phylum Chordata; class Mammalia; order Primates; family Hominidae; genus Homo; species Homo sapiens. The sequence continues at coordinate 66,923,483 of NC_000002.12, read as the reverse complement.
AATGAAAAGAACTGTCATAGAACACCTAGTGCCACAATTCATTATTAAAATTTTTTTAGGCCTCACTCCATGAGAATGCAAACTCTAGAAAGGCATGATTTGGCTAACAATCATATTCCAAGCCACAGGACAGTGTTTGGCACATAATAGATGCTCAATCAGCATTTGTTCAATAAAACATATCTCAAAAAGGTATTTATTTCCTGGGATAGAAAAAGGGAAAGAGGAAAAAGCATTAACCCACTGACTTCAAGTCCCCATTAGAACTGGAGTGAGTGAGTGAGCAAGAGAGTCGTGGTCATTATTTAAAACAAGGAAACGTTCAAGCCTACAGGATTTTAGAGTCCTGGCATGGGTGCTGAGGATTTCTCCTAATAACCAGAGTGAAGATAGGTTAAAAAATCCCACATTACATTGGAGACATCATGGTATCTCAGAAAACCTATAAGCTGTTTGCTTAACTTATTTGAGACATTTTGTTTTCTGTCAGGGGAAACAATAATCATGATGTTACAAAGCTGTTGTAAGAAACAGTGAGTTTATCCATAAAAGCACTTTGCAAAATCACAAAGCACTAGACAAGTGTTAGTTGTTATTTGTCCTACGTCCTCCGGAGTTGCCTCTCTTGTAGGTTGGAGTAAGAGAGGAAAGTTCAAAATCCCAGGAACCATTTCTGTCTTTTCATCAGATTCCAAATGAAATAGGTTGGCTTTGCTCCTAAAACAAGGTGAAACCAAGGTAGAGAAGGAGAAGAGAACAAAGGGAAGAGACTTGGACCGAGGCACATACAATAATCTGCCATGAAGAAGTATCATGAAGCCATACAATGCTGCCAAGGACAAGAATGTGATGTTTTCTCATTTGACACATTTATTGATCAATTTATTTTTGTTATGTGGCTTGACAGAGCCTGAGAGGGAATGTGAAAACCTTTCACCCAAGTTCTAGAATGTCTGATATTGTCTTAAAACTTCACATTCCTCTGTGATTCCAATGGACTCATTCAGCCCCAGGTTTGAATTTTTTCTAGTTTTCACACACACACACACCCACAAAAAGGCATAATACCTGTAAGAAGGAAAGCAGTCCTCTAGAATTGAAGTGTTTGAAAAAAAGCTATGAGCTCAATGTTTTGGAGGAAATCCCTTCTATAGCAGTGGAAAGAAGGCAGCTCACTTTGGAGTAAGTGTGGATAGAACTGGAAATAGGAGATATGGGAGGGACAAGAGAAGGCCAATAATCTATGAGTTTATGTCCTCAGCTTTGAATGGTAGGACCGTATCTGCTATTCAGTTTTTGAAATACAGCTGTGCCATGTGGTAAGTATACACCACCCCCTCAGAGCCTACCTCCTGCCTTAGTCCTTCTGACCCCTCTCCCATAAGTCTACCCTGCTGGACCAGCCCAAAATCCAGAAATTGGACAGTTAATGCCAAGCTCAACATGGCACCTCCTGGACTCTCCTCTAGAGCGATGGCCTGTTTTTAAATCTGTACCAGATTGTCAGGTTGCACTAGATATGTTCAAGGAGGCTGATATCACTCCTGTATTGGCACTACTCTATACTTCCTCCCCATCCTGGTTCCCACTCCCCAAACATAGGTGCACACACATGTACGTACATGTGCACAAACGTGTACATACAAGTCTACATTTGCACACACCTGTGCATACATACATGCACACAAACATGCACATGCAAATTTATGTACAAACATACACACCTGCACGCACACATATCCTCACTTTGCCCCAGCTTCACCAACTTCTCCTTGCTCTTCTTTCTGCTAGCACTGAACCTTCACACTGGGACTCAGCTGCCATGCTTCACCTTGGGTATAATGATGACAGAGGTTGAGAAAGGTGACTCCCTCCATTGATGTATTTCGCCATGATTACCTCCCACCAAATGATACTAATACTCCTGAAAATACTTAACATTTATAAAATGTTTATTTTCTGATTCATGCCAAAGTACTTGTAAGCCTCCTTTTTTCTCCTATGAAAAATGATACCAACCATATCTAGTTCACAGATTTGTTGTGAGGAATAAATAAGGGACTGCATCTACAGGATTAGCACAGTGCCTGGATATAGCAATTGCAACAAATAGTAGCTATTGATATCATGGTATTTGTTATTAATATTAATTTTATCATTCAGTTTTTGAGTTGTGAGTTCCTATATCCTTCTAACTAACTCATCACATTTTCAAAATGATGTCCTAGTAAAGGAGAAAGAATCTGAGAAAATGTTTCTTCACTTCTTTTTTTTTTCTTTTTACTAGTAAAGCAAAGGAACGGGCAGAGGCAAGTGTGCTTAGTATTTTATGGTTAAATTTAAATTAACTTAGCAGCTGACATGCATAGAAAACCAAAATAAGCTATGACTTTTTAAAAACTATTCCTTCACAATGTGAAGGAATTAACAATTGCAATTAACAATTAAAATAATTCCAAGAGTTGTAATTTGGGAGGAGGATGATTTGCTAAAGCAATTCAAGGTGCAGCCTCCTTTCAGGAAGGTCATTACAGACTTTGCTTGTACCTCTTTTGGAACACAAAGGCCATGTAAGACACCTATTACCTTTCCAAAGAGGACATTATCAAAGTCTAAACTATGTCCAAAGTGTATTTTACACCTAATAATTAGGACTGGATGAGCAGCTAAGAAAAAAAAAATATGAACCTGCTTAAACTAAATTGGTTCAGCTCTAACTGATCTAATGCAGTTTTCCAAAGAATAATTGATATTATATAATTGTAACTGCCAGTTTATGTCAGAAAAGTGACATTTGATACTTTCTTGCTAACCAGCCTAACATCATCAATTAAAACATCACTTCTACAATGACATTTCACTAGTCAGCTTAACATCATAAATTATGACATCACCTCTTTCATGAAACCAGAAGATTGAAGAAAGGCGACTGACTGAGAAGCTATTCCTACTGGAAACTAAGATTCCTCTTTGATTTGTGCCTTTAGAATCTTTTTTGCTCTGATTATATTGCCGAGATGATTACTAAAAATAGTAATAATAATAAAAACCTCACAAGATCATAGTGGAAGCCATTAGAGCAAATTGTACATTTTCTAGCTCCCCTTAGTTATGGTTCAACATCCCTGGATGGTGATATGAGGATTTTATTTCACAGCTGAACTATGAAATGGCTATTCTTGGAAATCCCTGGAAAATAAGAAACAGAAAAGACAAATTTTGAGTTTGGGTTTGAATTTGGAATGGTATATTCATGTCTCACCAAACCCGTTTTAAAACAATTTATATGTCAGGAAGGTTGCATATACCTGTAGCCCTTCCAAAGGCTAACTACTTGTTTTTCCACCTGAGGCTCATAAGCACATACTATAGAAAATTTGATGGGAAATAGATCTTTTAAGATGGAAGGCCCAGATCCCAAAGAAGGAACATTCATTTTTGCCCACCCAAAACATTATATTTTAAGGCAGAAAGGAGTCATTTTCCAAACTGTTTCCTGAATACCTACTGGACCAGCAGCTGTAAGAGTAAGGAAACTGAGGCCAAGAGGAGGGGAAGCAACTTGCCTAAGGTCATACATAAAGCAAGCATAAGACGACATAGTCCTGTTCTACAGCCCTGTGGTCTTGCCACAATCGAGCATGAAAAATGCGAGATATGGCATCACATTTATAAGGCCACTAAACACATATGTGCTGTCTTCCTCTTTCTTTTACAATTTGGTAGTGGAAGGATAAGATGACCTTTTAGTGTGTTAATCAAGAAGGTAATCAAGTAGACTTCTTCAAAGCTATTTATATAATTACATATAGGATTACCACAAGAATTTGTAAAAAGATTATTTTTCTTTTTATATCATGTAGCAGAATTGAGAAAACAATAAAGAACAAGGTAAACATTCTTGTCTTCCACTAGCGTTTGGTTTGGAGCATAGTAGAGCCACATGCCTCCTTCTAAGCTAATCTATACTTGAAGTGTTGCCAAAAAAGAGTGCCACCAGGGGGATCATAGCAAAACTCTCACAGTTTTATCTGGTAGTTGTGATTTTAATTCTTAAATCCAATCATCAAATTCATTGGATTAAGGGGGTTTCCCCACACTAGTCAATGGTACAACAAAGAAACAAGTGAACAAAAATAAGACAAAACAATTACTTGTATATCAATATTTTAACAACTTTAATTGCACAGAATTAAGAAATTCTGCTTTATCCTGAATTTGGTTAATTATGACAGGCAAGTTTACACTGACTGCTACTGGGCAAAGTCCAACAGCAAAAGACCACAAGGCATAGATACTTGGACTGTTTGATGATCAAACGCTAAAAAGAACTAAATTTCTGGTTCCTCCCAGTATGATTCTTAGTGCATAGCTCATCCTGACAAGGAAAATTGTTACTAATTTTCCCAAGGCATAAGAAGATAAAGTACAAAGTAAAGTGTCATAAAAGGTCTTCCCCTTACATATTGCTTCTGCAACTGTAGTCACACCAGGAGTTTTCTGTGTGTTGATTTTTGAAGCAAAGGTAACCTTTTTGAGAGCATCTTTGGGTTAAAGAGTATAAAAATTAAGTCTGGTGTTTGTGATTGTATCAGTCCATTCTCACACTGCTACAAAGAACTACGTGAGACTGGGTAATTCATGAAGGAAACAGGTTTAAGTGACTCACAGTTCTGCAGGCTGTACAGGAAGTAAGACTGGGGAGGCCTCAGGAAACTTACAATCATGGCAGAAGGTGAAGGGGAGGCAAGTATGTCTTACCATGGCAGAGCAGGAGAGAGAGAGCAAAGGGGCAAGTGCTACACACTTTTAAACAACCAGATCTTGGAAGAGCTCACTCACTATCATGAGAACAGCAAGAGGAAAATCTACCTCCATGATCCAATCACCTTCTACTAGGTTCTTCATTCCACACATGGGATCACAAGTTGACATGAGATTTGGTGGGGACACAGAGCCAAACCATATAAGTAATAAAGAGAAAAGCCATTGCTATTACTAGAGGATGGCTGTTTTTTATAATAAAACACATCTCACGCCTACATACATATTTTTGGATGGGAAAGGGGAGCAGCGTTATTGACTTAGTAGAATTTATAATTTATAGAATACATTAGAATCAATGTTTGAGTGTTGTTTAGCCAATTTTGGCAATGAATGAACTCAATAGCAGGCTTCACAGCGTATAACAAATTCCAAGCTTCCAAGTAATTTTATGTTAGTTGAGGCATATTTTTCCGCATTAGAAAATGTTTAAATCTTCGAATTATTTTTTTAAGGACCAGAACTGTAGAGAAGGAATAAAGTGTCACAGGAATAAGAACAATTTGAGAGGCTCCAAATGCACTTGCTTTCTTCTTCAATAAGCCAAAGCATAAAGGTGGTGCCCAAATACTGGCCCAGGGGATGTGTCAGTTGCCATGAAAATAGTTCTTAAATAACAGAGCAAAGATTTTAATCAAATCCATGCAAATTGTCAGAGCATATCTTAGTCACCTCTAGAGGTGGGGTGTGATTTACTTAGCCTCATTTCTTGAATTTTTTCCAAAAGTTTTTGCCATGAATATTTATGTCTAGGGTTCATTTACCGACTGAATTTCCACTCCATTGGAATTATGCATCCCCATAGTGCACCGAAGAAAGGTGAGCAGTTAGAGGTGAGGAAAGAGATTTCCTGACCTTTTGGAAATAGCAAGCTACACTGGATTAAGTACAGCTTGAACGAGGTTACTTGTGTTGGTGAGGTGTAATTACCTCAAAATTATCTCACTGAAACAATTAGCATGCAATAGATTTGGTGCCAGATCTGCCGCTGTTCTGAACTTTCGTTAAAGCATCTCACTCCATCCTGAAATTGGGCAATTTATAATTCTTACGGAAGGTGCTAGGACTCTACATATTCCTGCTCCTGAGTGCAGACTTATTTACATCTGGTGCTTGTCAAATGAGTTGTACATGTGAAAGTGCTAGACTTGATGTGATGGAAGTGTTTCTTTGGTGATGAAGTGTTCCCTAGACAAGTTCCCGGAACCATCAGATATACAGACGACAGCCAGCTCCCCCTCTCGTTAAAGACCTCAAGTCCTCAAGCTGAAGGTGCTGAACTTCTGGTACCCAATCATCCTCAGCTGGTTCTTTGTATTTTTTTCATTTTAATTTATTTATTTGAGATAGAGTCTTGCTCTGTCACCCAGGCTAGAGTGCAGTGGCGCAACCTTGGCTCACTGTAACCTCCGCCTCCTGGGTTCAAGCGATTCTCCTGCCTTAGCGTCCCTAGTAGCTGGGATTATAGGCACCCGCCACCACGCCTAGTTAATTTCTGTATTTTTGGTAGAGACATTTCACCATGTTGGCCAGGCTGGTCTTGAACTCCTGACCTCAAGTGATCTGCTCATCTTGGTCTAACTGGCTCTTTTTAAAATGAATACAAGGCAAAAAGGACTCAAGTTTGAGCATGCAGCAAAATAGTACATTTTTGGAAATCATTTTCATTTCCTCTTTGCTTTTTTACAAAACTTCCTCAAATGGAAGGGGCATTTTTATTACACTTTATTTATGTTTCTGACAAAATTTAGAAGATATTTCTTAAGCAAAGCTACTGTCTAAACCTCAAAGATCAGTTAGTCATAGGCAGGGTAGTGATTGTATAGAAGAAAGATCTAAATTTTTGTTAGAAAGCTTTTAAGTAGCTTTTTGAAAAATAGCTTAAGTCATTTAAAAATACGTGAGAAACCACAACGAAATGGGATTTTTTTCAAAATCATTTTTTCCTAAATTGATTATGTACTATATACCCTGAAGGTGGTGTCTGTGCAGTTAGGGTGAAGTACAGTTATGAAATGAATTCAAATTTATACTCTATAAAAGCAACTCTTTCTTTTACTCAATAGAAGGAAAACAGTATTTGTCTTAAGTAGTAAACAGATATATGCTGATACATAAACAAGAGCTACTTATTCTGTAACTTGAATGGAATCAAGAAATACAAAAAGAGATCAACTAAAAAGGTGTCTGAAGGATTGTAAATGTTTATGATTCTTGAATAAAAAGAAACACAACATTATAAAACATATTTGTATTGGTTTTTACTACCTATGACAATATGGTGTACAAAACAAACTGATCTGGATAGACTAGAAAATAAACAGTGGCAGAGATGTTGTCCACAGGAAGAAAAATGGCTAAAACAAACATTTACTGTGAAGCCATTTTTTGGATATTTAGTAAGTACCAAGTGCTGTGTTAAGATTTCATATATCTTAACTAAGTCATTTATATTGCACAGCCATCTTTGCAAGTGAGTAATATCATCCCAATTCTCAAATTAAGGATGTCTGAGCCCCAGAGAAATCAAGAAACTTGGAAATGTCACATAGCTGATCAGTAATAGGCTAAAGTATGAATTCAGGTCTAACTGCAAAGCTTCAACTTTTTTTTACTACATAATTTAGTGAGTAGCTTTTTACTGAGGAACTTTCTTTCTCAGACACATACACACACACACACACACACACACACACACAGAGAGACGGGGAGAGAGAGAGAGAGAGAGAGAGATTAACCTTTATTATGGAAGTGCTATAAGTTTGAGCCTATACCAAATTGAAAGTGAAAGATATTGATAAAGTTTAAGGGTTATTCACAAGGAGGGGTGATCATATTATTTGGAGAGAATGGTCATATTTTGATACTCAAATAATCTTAATGTTTATTAATTATTGAGACTAACTGAACAAGACTTAAGCATTTGCCTCATGGAAGTCTTTTCAGTGTCCTCTTTGCCTTCACACCAAACTGCCCTAAATGGAGGATGCAGCTTTACTTTATCTTATTTTTGTTTCTAACAACATTTAAACTGAATTTCTCAAGCTAAGTTACTGTCCAATGAAACTCTAAAGATCCATGAAATGGTGATAAAATATCCATGGCATTCTGATATGCAACTGTGATCTTTATACATTTTTACTTTGTTGTTACTGGAATAAGGCTTTGATTTGTGTTTAAAGTTATGACTCTTCTCATAAAATTCTCTGGTGTTTTTTCTTTCAATTGTGTAATGGTGCAGTGTGCTAGAAAGCACATTGAACTGGAAGTAAAAGGACTCGGTTGGCCTTGGGTCATGTCCTTTTAGGTATGCCGTCTTAGCTGGGTTAGTCCCTGGGTAGCTCCAGACCTCCCTTTCCTCATCTGTCAGCAGGATGTTAGAAAACCACACTCAACTCTAAATTCCATCACAACTAGAAAATTTGACTTTTGAAAAACTTACTTGTGTGACTGTATAATCCAAAAAATTTTCATATATTGTAACTGAAAGCCTGCCCACTTAAGGTTAGACTCTTTTGCACTATGCAGAATCCATGCCTATTTTCTTTTATTCTTTAGTGAGTTTTAATGGGATGTTCTACTGAAATTTAGCACCAGTTATCTGACTGTGTTTTTGAGAGTAGTTTTTATTTAGACAAATTGACTTAGGAATATCTACTCAGCCCTATTCTCTTCGGTAACAGGCATTTAAAAAAATTAGTTCAAAGCTCTTCTGAGGTTGGCAGACTCATTATGTTTATAAGTTCCACCTACATGAGGCACTAGAACACATCTTCCCAATATTACATGTTGACACTTCTTCCACAATTCCCAACTTCTAAATGACTTCCAATTTCATTCTGTTTACACTCACTTTCTGGTGATCTCACCCAGTCTTATTTATACCATTTAGAATGCTGATGATTCCCACATTTTTGTCTCCAGATCAAACCTCTCTCCTGACTTTAGACTGCCTCGTTGACATCTGTCTATTTGACCTCTTTACTTGGATGTTGTTATGGATTGACTTGTGTCTCCCCAACCCCTGAAAGATATGTTGAAGTGTCAGTACCTCAGAATGTGGCTTAATTTGCAAATAAAGTGTTTACAGAGGTAATCAAGTTAAAATGAGGTCATTAGGGTGGACCCTGACCTGATATGACTGGTGTCCTCATAAAAGGGAAAATTTAGATACAGAGACAGACACAAACAGAGAGAAGATGATGTGAAGATGCAGAGGGAGAAGAGGGCAATGTGCCTGGAGGCATGCATGGACAAGTCAAAGAATGATGAGGCTTGTGGGCAAACCCCAGGAGCTAGAAGAGGCAAAGAAGTGTTCCTCCTTAGAGTCACCAGAAAGAGCATGATGACAACTTTATTTCAGACTTCTAGCTTCCACAACTGTGAGGCAATAAATGTCTGTTATTTTAAGCCATGCAGTTTTAGTATTTTGTCACAACAGCCCTAGAAAACTAACGCAGATGCCTAAGCAGCATCTCAAATCTTACATGCCCCAAGAAGGGCTCCTGCCCCACTCTCCTCCCTGGACAATTCTCCCTTTCTATGTTACTGGGAGCTCCAGATTATTGGTTGCTCTGACAAAACAGTTTGGAGTCATCCTTGACTCTTTCCCTCTCATTCTTCTCATTAAATCTACCCTCAAAATACAGTAATTTATAGAATCTAAGCTACCAGCAATTGTGAGGTACATGATTATCTTATCCATTCCTAAAAAAGAAAAAAAATCTAGCAATCTGTGATCAGTGCTATTGCTTAGAATTTTTATTTTATATGTATTTGAAGACCTCTACACTTATGTAAACATAAATTTGCCATATATCATTATTCAGTATGAGGAAAGTGTATGTGAAATAAGTTGGTTAAAGTTTCCAAAAAGATTATTGATTTCAAAACCTAGCTTCTTAATTACTTTCGATTCAGAATCATACAAGTACATGGTTTTCCACAAAATATCATCCATAGTGCCATTAAGAGTAGTGGGCAATGCAATGCTCTGCTTCCTGCAGATTTTGAACTGAAGTTGCAAAGCTCCAGGAACCTGTGATGCAATTGAGTGAGAATAAAAATGCAAAACCAACTATGTGTATGTGCAGAAAAGTGGCAACTACATCTCTATGTCTCCTGTTCTGCAGTGATGGTAAGAAGCCATCAATCACAAGACTCATTCCAATTTCAAAGATGCTACAATGTTTAAAAAAGAGAGAGAAAGAGAGAGAGAGAGAGAGAGAAAATGTTAAGACCAAAATACATATACTCTCTACCATTATCCCCTAGTCCAAACCACCCTCATCTGTTCCCTGGCTTCTCATTGAAGCCTCCTAATTAGTTTCCTTTTTTCTGTAGTTGTCCCTCTATAATCTATTCTCCACACAGCAGGCCATGTGATTCTTTCACAATGGGAATTCAATGGAATCTTTTCTATGTGTAAAGGCAGGTGGGTATAACTGGCTACAGAATATCATCCAATTCTATCACTTGACTACATGCAGATCTTTCATGTATGCAAATATTTTTCCCCACAACACTGCACATTTCTGAAGAGCAAGTACTTCATCACCCATCTATACAGGGTCTTCCACAGCCCCTGCTAAAGAGCTATGTCCATCTAGAAAGGGATAAAATTGCAGAGAAAAAAATGAAATATATACAAGCACTTAAAGAGGGTATCAATTAGATAGGGCCCACAACAGGGATAGAGTCATTACTGTGGTAAGCCTCAGGGTATTTGGAAAGTTTATTTACTAAGAATCTCATTGGATTGGCGGTCATAACATCTATGGAGGAAGTAGTGAATGTCAATCAAATTACTTTGTAGAAAGTTAGGTTGATCCACGTTTGTCTTTTAATTTAGGGAGTAAAGGAGCCTGCCCTCAGTTCACTTACCCTCAGAGGTATTCTTTAGGAAACTATTGTGTATAATTATAGAGTAAGACTGGGCAAGTATTCAATAAAACTGTGTTTGTTTTGTGTGTGCCTGTGTGTGTGTGTGTGTGTGTGTGTGTGTGTGTGTGTATGGATCATTCATCACTGGTGGTGCTGCCTTCCTCTGGATAACACTCTCAACCTTAATTCCAGCTCTAGTCAACTTGATTTTTGCCTTCAGTCTATACACTTAGAGAATTCTTTTTTTAATTCTGCCTGTAAGAAGCATCTATTGACAACTGCTTACCTTTAAGGTAATTTGGGTCATTATCAAAATTAAACTTAAATGACATATGCTATTTAATTCCCATTTTTAACTTTTAGTTCTATATTTTTATCTTGCTATTCTACATTGTATCCACTTTTTTAAATAACATAAAAATATTGGAATTTTTAGAAATTGTAAAGAAAAATGAAATAAATGAGATATTTGAGAGCCCTTTCTGGCTGGAAACTTCCTATACAATTTCTTCTTATAGTATGCATATTATTTACCTCTTGTCCAGTGGTTGTACTGAAAAGAGATCATCAGTTTAAATAATTCATATCCCTATAAAGGATTCGGATGATTTGTGATGTGAAAAGACAACATTATTTCAATGGTTTGGCTGTGCTGTGACCGAATGCAGGATTAATGTGATCTTTGGAAAGAGAGATTGACCCATGCAGCTATTATTTTATTCAGTTGAAAGACTTATCAGGAAAAAGACAAGAATGCCTACTCTCAACACTTCTACTCAATATAATATTAGAGGTTCTGGCCAGTTTAATAAGGCAAGAAAAGACTTTAAAGTGAAGTGTATCATCTTTGCAAGGTGGCCAGTATCACTGTTGTGCACCTTCAGAGATTATGCACATTGTATTGTATGCAAATGTGAATGGAATTCTGGAGCAGTTTCCTCTTAACATTTACCTACTCCAAAATTGACCACATAGTTGGAAGTAAAGCACTCCTCAGCAAATGTAAAACAACAGAAATTATAACAAACTGTCTCTCAGACCACAGTGCAATCAAACTAGAACTCAGGATTAAGAAACTCACTCAAAACTGCTCAACTACATGGAAACTGAAAAACCTGCTCCTGAATGACTACTGGGTAAATAATCAAATGAAGGCAGAAATAAAGATGTTCTTTGAAACCAACGAGAACAAAGACACAACATATCAGAATCTCTGGGACACATTCAAAGCAGTGTGTAGAGGGAAATGGATAGCACTAAATGCCCACAAGAGAAACCAGGAAAGATCTAAAACTGACACCCTAACATCACAATTAAAAGAAATAGAAAAGCAAGAGCAAACACATCAAAAGCAAGCAGAAGGCAAGAAATAACAAAAATCGGAGCAGAACTGGAGGAAATAGAGACACAAAAAACCCTTCAAAAAATCAATGAATCCAGGAGCTGGTTTTTTGAAAAGATCAACAAAAGTGATAGACCACTAGCAAGACTAATAAAGAAGAAAAGAGAGAAGAATCAAATAGACGCCATAAAAAATGATAAAGGGGATATCACCACCGATCCCACAGAAATACAAACTACCATCAGAGAATACTGTAAACACCTCTATGCAAATAAACTAGAAAATCTAGAAGAAATGAATAAATTCCTCGACACATACACCCTCCCAAGACTAAACCAGGAAGAAGTTGAATCTCTGAATAGACCAATAACAGGCTCTGAAATTGAGGCAATAATCAATAGCTTACCAACCAAAAAAAGTCCAGGACCAGATGGATTCACAGCCGAATTCTACCAGAGGTACAAAGAGGAGCTGGTACCATTCCTTCTGAAACTATTCTAATCAATAGAAAAAGAGGGAATCCTCCCTAACTCATTTTATGAGGCCAGCATCATCCTGATACCAAAGCCTGGCAGAAACAAAACCAAAAAAGAGAATTTTAGACCAATATCCTTGATGAACACTGATGCAAAATTCCTCAATAAAATACTGGCAAATCAAATCCAGCAGCACATCAAAAAGCTTATCCACCATGATCAAGTGGGCTTCATCCCTGGGATGCAAGGCTGGCTCAACATACGCAAATCAATAAATGTAATCCAGCATATAAACAGAACCAAAGACAAAAACCACATGATTATCTCAATAGATGCAGAAAAGGCCTTTGACAAAATTCAACAACGCTTCATGCTAAAAACTCTCAATAAATTAGGTATCGATGGGACATATCTCAAAATAATAAGAGCTATCTATGACAAACCCCACAGCCAATAACATAGTGAATGGGCAAAAACTGGAAGCATTCCCTTTGAAAATGGGCACAAGACAGGGATGCCCTCTCTCACCACTCCTATTCAACATAGTGTTGGAAGTTCTGGCCAGGGCAATCAGGCAGGAGAAGGAAATAAAGGGTGTTCAATTAGGAAAAGAGGAAGTCAAATTGTCCCTGTTTGCAGATGACATGATTGTATATCTAGAAAACCCCATCGTCTCAGCCCAAAATCTCCTCAATCTGATAAGCAACTTCAGCAAAGTCTCAGGATACAAAATCAATGTACAAAAATCACAAGCATTCTTATACACCAATAACAGACAAACAGAGAGCCAAATCATGAGTGAACTCCCATTCACAATTGCTTCAAAGAGAATAAAATACCTAGGAATCCAACTTACAAGGGATGTGAAGGACCTCTTCAAGGAGAACTACAAACCACTGCTCAATGAAAGAAAAGAGGATACAAACAAATGGAAGAACATTCCATGCTCATGGGTAGAAAGAATCAATATCGTGAAAATGGCCATACTGCCCAAGGTCATTTATAGATTCAATGCCATCCCCATCAAGCTACCAATGACTTTCTTCACAGAATTGGAAAAAACTACTTTAAAGTTCATATGGAACCAAAAAAGAGCCCGCATCGCCAAGTCAATCCTAAGCCAAAAGAACAAAGCTGGAGGCATCACGCTACCTGACTTCAAACTATACTACAAGGCTACAGTAACCAAAACAGCATGGTACTCGTACCAAAACAGAGATATAGACCAATGGAACAGAACAGAGCCCTCAGAAATACTGCCACGTATCTACAACTATCTGATCTTTGACAAACCTGAGAAAAACAAGCAATGGGGAAAGGATTCCCTATTTAATAAATGGTGCTGGGAAAACTGGCTAGCCATATGTAGAAAGCTGAAACTGGATCCCTTCCTTAAACCTTATACAAAAATTAAGTCAGGATGGATTAAAGACTTAAATGTTAGACCTAAAACCATAAAAACCCTAGAAGAAAACCTAGGCATTACCATTCAGGACATAGGCATGGGCAAGGACTTCATGTCTAAAACACCAAAAGCAATGGCAACAAAAGCAAAAATTGACAAATGGGATCTAATTAAACTAAAGAGCTTCTGCACAGCAAAAGAAACTACCATCAGAGTGAACCGGCAACCTACAGAAAGGGAGAAAATTTTTGCAACCTACTCATCTGACAAAGGGCTAATATCCAGAATCTACAAAGAACTCAAACAAATTTACAAGAAAAGAACAAACAACCTCATCAAAAAGTGGGTGAAGGATATGAACAGACACTTCTCAAAAGAAGACGTTTATGCAGCCAAAAAACACATGAAAAAATGCTCATCATCACTGGCCATCAGAGAAATGCAAATCAAAACCACAATGAGATACCATCTCACACCAGTTAGAATGGCAATCATTAAAAAGTCAGGAAACAACAGGTGCTGGAGAAGATGTGGAGAAATAGGAACACTTTTACACTGTTGGTGGGACTGTAAACTAGTTCAACCATGGTGGAAGTCAGTGTGGCGATTCCTCAGGGATCTAGAACTGGAAATACCATTTGACCCAGCCATCCCATTACTGGGTATATACCCGAAGGACTATAAATCATGCTGCTATAAAGACACATGCACACATATGTTTATAGCGACACTATTCACAATAGCAAAGACTTGGAACCAACCTAAATGTCCAACAACGATAGACTGGATTAAGAAAATGTGGCACATATACACCATGGAATACTATGCAGCCATAAAAAATGATGAGTTCATATCCTTTGTAGGGACATGGATGAAACTGGAAACCATCATTCTCAGTAAACTATCGCAAGAACAAAAAACCAAACACTGGCATGTTCTCACTCATAGGTGGGAATTGAACAATGAGAACACATGGACACAGGAAGGGCAACGTCACACACTGGGGACTGTTGTGGGGTGGGGGGAGTGGGGAGGGATAGCATTAGGAGATATACCTAATGCTAAATGACGAGTTAATGGGTACAGCACACCAACATGGCACATGTATACATATGTAACAAACCTGCACATTGTGCACATGTACCCTAAAACTTTAAGTATAATAATAATAAAATTAAAAAAAGAAAAAGAAAGAAATACAAAAGACCTAAGATAGACCAGAAAACTTTCAAAAAGATAAAGTTGGAGGACTTACAGTACCTAACATCAAGATTGATCTAAAAATTAGAGTGTGGTATTAACATCAACATGGGCAAATAGATCATTGAAACATAACTGAGAAGAAACAGATCCATATAAATATGGTCAATTGATTTTCAACAAAGGTGCAAAGACAATTAAATAGAGCAAGGACAATCTTTTCAACAAATGGTGTTAAAAAGATGGGCGATTCATTGGCAAAAACTAAACCTCAACCAATACAACCGTATACAAAAGTTAACTCGAAATGAATTACAGAGCTAAATGTAAAACCTGGCACTCTAAAACCTCTAGGAAAACGAACAGGAGAAAATCTTTGTGAATTTGTGTTAGGTCAAACTTTCCTAGATATAATACCAAAACATGATGCACTAAACAAAAATTTGATAAACTGGACTTCATGAGAAGTAAGAAATTCTGCTCTTCAGAAGGCAATGATGAAAAGACAAGACATGGACCAGGAGAAAATATTTGCAAATCACATATCTGATAAAGAATTGAAATCTAAAATATAATGAGAAATCTCAAATTCAAACATCTTAATATTTTAGTGGGCAAAATATTTGAACAGACACTGCAGCAAAGATGTATGGATGACAAAAAGCACATGAAGATGCTCAACATTATTAGTCATTAGGAAGCTGAAAATTTAAACCATAATGTGATACTACCATACCTTTTACAATGGCTAATATTGAAAAGACCGTTCATACCAAGTGTTGACAAGAATGTGGAACAACAGGAATTTTCATACACTGCTGGTGGGCATGTAAAATGATACAACCACTTGAAAACAGTTTGACAGTTTCTTAAAAAGTTAAACATACACTTACCGCATGACCCAGCCATGCCATTTCTATACATTCACCCAAGAGAAAAAAACCATATGACTAGACAAAGACTTAATAAGTGAATGCTGAATGGAAGCTTTATTTGTAATAGCTAAAAACTAGAAACTTAAGTGGCTACCATCAAGTGAATGAATCAACAAATTAATGTTTATATAATGGGCTATCACTAACAATAAAAATAGCAATACTTGAAATAACATGGATGAGTTTCAAAATAGGTACACTGAGTGAGAGAAGCTAGAGAAAAAAATCTTACACACTGTCTGATTCCATTTATATAAAATTCTAGAAAATGCAAATAAATCTATGTGAAAGAAAGCAGATCAGTGCTTTCCTGGGAATCACTGGGGGATAAGGTAGGGGGTAGGTGTGGAGAGAGGTGGGAGTGAGAAATGAGAAAGGGCTTGAGGAACCTTTAGGAAATGATGGAGAGGTTCATTATCTTGATTATGGTAATGATTAATTTCACAGGTTTGTATGTGTCAAAAACTATTATACTGTACACTTTGAATACGTGTAGTTTATTATATGACTTTTGTACCTCAATCAAGCTGTTAAAACTTTATTGTAAAAGTGTTTAATTAGAGGAATAGTATGTTCAGTTCATTCAGTAAGTATTTACTGAATCCTGTCTATGAGTCAGGTGATTTAAAAGTAAACTTTAGGAATATTAACCAGGCTGGTTATGTGACAGATTTGATGTTGAAGAGACTAAAAAGGGAGGGACTGAAGGAAAACACATACATTATGGAGTGACAAGGACCTAGGTTCAGATCCAGGCTCTTCCACTTAACACCCCTGTGGCTTTTGAAAAGTTAACCTCTAAGCTTCAGTCACCTCATCTGCAGGAGGAGACAGCACGTATCCTAGAGTCAAGGCAATTTGTCTGGAAATCATGTAAATAAGTACTTTCTCCAGGGTAGCCACTACTTTACAAGACAGCAGGTATTAATAGTATTTTCTTAACAAATGAGAAAGATATTGCTTTTGTTCAGACTTGACGTTACAGAGGCCAAAACCAAGGAAAGGAAACAAAATGACCCATGTGAAATAATTTTGTTTTTCTAATAAAAAGACAAGAATTGGTGGTTGATTAGGTTTTGGAAGCAAGGGAGTGGCAAGTGTCCACGATAAATAGAAGAATGATAGCTTCATCACTAGTCGCTGTTTTAGTAATAGGGAGGGAAGATCAAGAGCTGTAGGATGACGACTAGTATAGTATAAACTAGCATTACAACCATGTGGATAGGTCCTGACAGTGGTTTTTGATGCAGGCCCGAGGTCGAGTCTTTTATATATCATTAAGAATTGAAATCCCATTTTGGGAAGCTGAGACGGGTGAATCACTTGTGGTCAGGAGTTTGAGACCAGCTTGGACAACATGGCGAAACCCCATCCCTACTAAAAATACAAAAATTAGCCAGGCGTGGTGGCGTGTGTCTGTATCCCGGTTACTCAGGAGGTGGAGACAGGAGAATCACTTGAACCTGGGAGGCAGAGGTTGCAGTGAGCCGAGATTGTGCCACTGCACTCCATCCTGGGCTACAGAGTGAGGCTCCATCCCCACCCCCCAAAAACAAACAAACCAACAAAAAAAAGAATTGAAAGCCCAACAGTAGATCAGTCAAGACTCAGTCAGGAAACCACCAGCCACTCTGTATATTTCACACTTAAGGGCACAGAATTTGTTATGACAATATCAAAAGGGCTAGAAGAGCAACAGATGGGGTTGCCAATAGCCAGAGGATGCATGCATTGAATGTGCCTGAGCTGGAGCCTTCAGCTTCACTGGCTTCTGTGCTATTGGAAAAGCTATCAAAATTTAGTTCCAGACTCACCATTGACAAGGGCTGGAGCTTCTGGGAAGACACGCCCCTGCCTAGGCTTCTGGAGACTAGAATCCCCTACATTCTGTTGTGCCATGGCAACTACCTGTCCCTGTGAGTGACTGCCAACACTGCTGGAGTCAGGAGAAGGAGGTTTCTAGTTTCTCCTGCCTTCTGACCTTCCCCAGGTGCCTCTACTGACAGAGCCAAATGGCAAACCAGCTGGCGAGTGAACCCAAGGAAGTAAGAATTTGCTAACTCCCAGTCTTGGCAGCATAAAGCAGAGCATAAAATTCAGGACTGAGGGGCAATAGGCAGATTACCAGCAGCGTCTATAGGAATAACTGCAGAGAAAGAACAGGCATGCCCGCCGGTGGAAATTCAAGCAATGGAGAAAGAGACATGGTTAGAAAGAAGAGTAAGAAAATTTCACAGCTCTAGAAATCAAATGAAGAGAGTTCAAAAAAGAGATGTATTCAGCTGTGTTCAATGCTAGAGAGAGGGCAAGTTCTAAGAGAAGGTCACTGGATTTGACAATTAGCAATCCTGTCCACCTTGAAAATCCAGGGTTAATTTCTCTGTGTTTGTAGGAGCAGACACCAGATTTCAGAAAAAGTCAAATGACAGAAAATGAGGGGTGAGTATCAACTTATTGTTGCCATTTGGCAAGACGTGAGAAATCAACTGACATGTCACGCCTATAATCCCAGCACTTTGGGAAGCCAAGGCGGGCAGATCACTTGAGGTCAGAATTTTGAGACCAGCCTGGCCAACATGGTGAAACCCTGTCTCCAATAAAAATACAAAAATTAGCCAGCCGTGGTCCAGCTACTCAGGAGGCTGAGGCAGGAGAATAGCTTGAACCTGGGAGGTGGAGGTTGCAGTGAACCAAGATCATGCCTCTGCACTCCAGCCTGGATGACAGAATGAGACTGCTTAAAATAACAACTTGGACCTAGCAGGAGGACCAACACATCCTAGTTTTTGCAGGACTTTGACAATTTTACTCTGAAAGCCTCTCTGGTCCCAGAATCTCTCAGTCCCCAACAAGCTGAGACAGTTTATCACTGTAACCCTGTGTGTCTTAGAGAATGTTCACAAATTAGCTACATTCAGATTTCAACAAAGGATGCAGAAGATTTGTTACCTGAACGTACTGATGTACTTCCAGAATAACCATTGTTCTGCTCCCCGGTTCACTAATAGTGCGGTCATTTCACGTAACTTTAAATGCGATTCTTCTTCATCCGGGTCTCACCCTCTTTAGTCCGTCTGCTGGCCGCAGAGATATCCCAAGAGTAGCATTCTCCTACTTGGCTTTTTCAGCTCAACCTTCTCACAACACCCCAGTTAATTAATACCTGCCCTGGGTCAGCCTGGAGGAAAACGTGTTGAGCTTGGAGATTTCCATTGTAATGTTGAACTCCAGAAAGGAGCAAAGCAAATTTATACCAGTGGGTCTAATTGCTAGAAAGGTAATTCTGCAAAGATGGAAATCAGCTGAAAGATTAACACTGCTATACCACCTTGAGTGCCCTGGCTAACAGAGAGAAAATAATGTTTCAATTAAATGAAAGGATACTGAATTAGGTAGATTACTCAGGAGACTGGTAATGGAATACAGAGCCTTTCACCTCCAGGTCACCATTACTAATCTGGTCCAGGGCAGTTCTAGACCATAGTTTTGAGGGGCTGATGGCTCACCCCAGCCCTTGCTGTCTGCAGCACTTGATGAAGTGGTCTCCCAAAGCACCTGCATCAGCCTCTAAGGTCACTGTGGTGCATTGAAGATGTAAAAGGAAGTGAAGCCACCTTTTCTCAGAGGAGGGGCTGGGCATGAGGATAGCCAAGGGCTGAAAGCAGACAACAGAACCCGCTGCAGGGAAATTAGGATGGGGAAAATGATTCAAAATGGTGAGCCACGCGAGAGAAGGAAAATCACATGTCAATTTATAGCAGCTGGCGTTCATTGTTTCACCTGAATTTAGAGTTGGGATGGGAGAGAAAGTGGTGATTAGGGGTTTGTTCTTTGTGTGTGTTCTGAGGGGGTGGTATGGGAGGAAGGAGATTTGCATTAGAAGTCAAATAGTCCATGTTGAGCAAAACTGACTTATAAAATCACTTATCACTCACATCTGAATATATTCCAGGGCTTATCTTATTCCACAAAATATTACCACAAACAGATAAAGTCTGATACAAAGAGATTAGCTTAATTCCCAATGCTGCTGTAACAAAAGTCTACCCCCATAATGGAACCCATATGTCAGCTGGGGTCTCCCTGCCCTTTACAATGGAGATAAGATAGTCACACGCTTCACATTCCATGCTTTATGGGAGCCTGAAAGAGTCCCTGAGATTCTTGCAAATTCTCAGAAGTGGTGTTCTCATAGTTACCTCTGGATTGAACTTCTTCCTTTTCCTAGATCAGTTCAGGGTTTGGGTGATCTTGCCATTCTGTGCCTGCTGTGCCCAAAGAGCACCTAAATGGAAAACTCAGCTGCTTCCTCCAGCTCTACAATCATTGTATTAACACAATACACTTGTGTGCACAGAGACTTCATTCCAGCTGAGGTGTGGCATGCAGAGAGCAGCAGGGTGTTTATGTCACAGCAACACAGACCACCAATGGGGGCAGTCCCTGTTCCTAGAAGTCTCCACAACGGCACAACACTAGCCCCTTCACCCTAGCCTGTTATTATCCAATTGCTTCTCTTTCTTCTCTCATTTCTCTTTTTCTGTTGACTCACAAGATTGCTCCAGAAACTCCATATTCTTCTTAATTTCCTTGTATTCTCCCCTTCCAAATATCTCTGAGGCCCCCTCATTGAGTCTCTCATCAAAGCAAAAATCCTGAGGTCAAGAACCAACCCTCTGATGGAGGCGATTTGGGTTTTAAGATACAATTTTTTCTCTCCCCACTACAGTAATATACTAAAGAACTATTTCAATAGCCCAGGAAAAGGAACTTCCTATTTGAGTTCATGTCTTAGGATATAAAACAGAAACATGGGCATGTTTTAGTGTTCAAATACAAATTTTCAGGTTGAGTTTCCCCAAACAGAAGACTTAACTAGAATTCTGGCAATTTGATGAAGAAGTACACCATAGAATATTGACCAAGCAGGAGTGGGCTGTGGCCATGTGAAAAGAAACAAACAGTCCCACAGCAATTCTAAATGGATGAACCCCCTCAGAACCCATACCACCACCTCAGAACACACACAAAGAACAAACCCTTAATCACCATTTTCTCTCCCATCCCAACTCTAAATTCAGGTGAAACAATGAACGCCGGCTGCTATACATTGACATGTGATTTTCCTCCTCTCGCGTGTCTCACTATTTTGAATCATTTTCCCCATCCTAATTTCCCTGCAGCATTGTACAAACTTCGGTTTGGACAGCTTGGGGAAATTTGGTGTGAGGGGACCTGCTTAGGGTCTGAGTGCCTTGGAATATGTTTCTGATAGTGGTTGGAAAAAAAAGGATTTGTTATCTCACTATAGAGTGCAGGTTTAACCTGCACCAACTGCAGAAAAACCTGTAGGCCTCAAAGCTGTAATTGTGACAGTATAGTACATGTTTTTTCACTTTACTATTAAATGTTATAATGATATACCCTAAGCATAAGATATAGCTTGACATGCCTTAATTTTCATTGAATACAAATTTTCATTGTACAAACAAGGAAAGTGAGGCCCTAAGAGGTCGGTGGCCCTGGAGCAGGAAAGGAAAGCTTTTCTCCATGTCTGTCCATGTATCCTCCCCGGGGTCTCATGCATTAATACCTTGTAGATTTATAAGAGCAAAATGATGTATAAATCCTGGGGAATGACAACAAGGAGAATTTTTTAGACAGATGTTTCAGTCCTCTATGCTCTCGATTTGGTGGGAAATGTAAGCAGGCAGGAGAAAGTCGACCTATAGGTCATTGGTGTAAGCTGGCTGGGTTAAATAAGACAGCTTTTCATTAGCTGGGTATGTTGGAGTAGCCAGGGCTATTTTTATTCTGGTAATGGAGAGACAGATATGGCCTCTGGGAACAGTTCTTAGAAGTCATACTTTCTCCAGATGCTCATTTGGGTGTGGAACAAATTGACTCCAAGGCCAAGAGCAACAAATATTACCACAAGCCCACTGGTCAGAGAGCTGAGGACCTTCAAAGTTCTGGAGTCTTGCCACAGGACCCATGGGTTTTGTCATTATTCTCTACAGCAACCTTAAAATTCTTTGGACAGCGATAACCATCAAAGTTGATGGTCAGTGGAGCCTGCTCAGGCGGGAGTGAGCCATAGTTGGTGAGCTCTAGGAGTAAATGTCCCTCTGTAGATACTCACTCCATCTGGTTGCAAGACAGCCATTGAGGGAGAGTCAGTTATTTACCTAATGGTCCCCTAGCACTCAGTGGGAGGTAATAAAGTTCCTCCTACCCCAGGCTGCCACACTTACTGGTAGAAACTGGCTGAATAGAAAATATCTGTGAGTATTTTTAAGTATATAATCTGGTCCTGAAAACTGTTTATCTCCATAAAGGCATCTATTATTAATTTTCATTGAATGTTCTCAAAACATTGCAAATCTCAATTTTGGAGGTGGGGACGGTGAGGAAGTCAAGACATCAGAAATGGATTATATCAGCAAACACCGACATCGCCAATAGACAGGCATCAAGGGTCCACACTTTGGAAATACAGATATAGTATGGAAGATGTAAAAAATCTTTACCCACATCTGTATAGCAAGTCTATGAAGAAACAGACTATTTGCAAGTCCATAGAAATAGGCTCTATGTAGAAAAATATACACTCACAAAATATGACAGTATAGTGTCAAAATGCCAACAGGTAAGAACTGCCTACTTTCTTGCTTGACTTCCATATGCATCAAACTTTCGCTTATACCATGTAGACACTTACCATCATTGGCAAAATCTGAATTACAGAATTGGTTGAAGAAGAAAAGCAATTTTGCTAATTTCAAGAATGTACTTATTTGTGTATTTCAGTAAACTTATTTGTAATTTGAATTTTAAAGTAAGATGCTTGTCCTTATATACAGATTTACTTCAATATGTGTGCCTATAAATAACCAGCCATTGCATAATCTAATTTAAACTTTAGTTTACTCTTCAGTGATACAAAAATAAGTCTCAGCCTATCTCCTAATCATAGACATGTCAATTCCACTGAATTTCCTTCTCTCCCTCAGTATGATCATTGCACTTCTAAATGAATAACTTTTGTCGCTCTACTTAACTTCTTTCTTTATTTTCCTTTGTTTTTTGTTTGTATGTTCATTGTTGTTTGTTTTTGGAGGTCTTAAAATTGAATTGCAATGAATTAAATGAAGAATGTCAAAGCCAATTATGAATTAACTGGAAGTGACAGACAATTGAAAATTTGATAGGTATGATATACAGGAGGTTTCTTTCACAAACAGCATGCAATTTTTCCAGTTGTTTCCATTGCAAAGATGGCACAATAGCCATATTATTCATTTATTTTATAGGCAAGACCATAAGCTAAACTTAAGGACTGTTTTTATCATTGTCAAATATTCTCCTGAAAAAAAAGCAAAGAGCCCTGATCAATTGGTTTGCAAAAGAAGCAGATATGTGATTAACACTTAGCTTGGTCTGATGGGCCAGGTGTAATAAACACTGGGCCCAAACTATTCTAACAGTGAATGCCCAACAAATGAAATGATTGCATTACCATTCCTAGGCTCTGCATCAAACTCCATCATTTAGCAGAAGCCTAGGAAGAAAAGGCCACTCATTGCTAAGGACTGTAAACATTAGCACACACCAGCATGTGCAAACATAACCAAAACATTTGGTCAATGGGTTCATCTAGAACAGAGTTTCATGTACCTAGGATATATTTCATTCATCCTAAAGCTTGGAGGTCTTAGGAAGTGTGGCTGAAACTCAGAAGTCTGCATCCAGTCTGGCTCTGCCAACACCTAGTTGTATTACCTAGATTCAGTAGAGTATACACCTCCAGGAGTTGCATACATGACACAACTACTGAGAAACAGAAGGCATTAGTGCCCAAGAGATGGAAATTTGATTTCCCTTTCTGGCTCTTGCTTTGTCAGAAAAAAAAGATGATCGTCATTCTTGACCCTCCCATGTGCCTCTCTCTTTCTCAGTTTCACCACCTCAAATCCTTCCTTTGCTATCTATAAACACAGAATTCTAAAGAGATAGGCTTTCAGGATATATTGCACTAATACATTGTCAGTATTGTCATTATGATGTATTAACACAATGCATCATCATAGACCTGTCAGATTCATGATTTATGACTCAAAAATGTGTTGTGGTATAGCAAGGCATCAGGGGCCCTATTGACCGAATGCTTGTTTATTTTTACACTTAAGGGCTTTGAAAGTAAGCTTCAGACTACTTTTCCTCAAAGAAGGACTAGGGGAAGATTTTAAAACAAGGACTCCATTTCAAAACACTGGAGGGGCCACTGGGTCACATTTCAGATATCAAGGTTTATGCTTTCCCAGACTACTTTAAGTTCAGAATCAAACTTCCACACTCCAGGTCATTTGGCTCCCACTGGAAGAATTTGGCCTTTTCCATGTCTTTCCATGCCTCTATTTAGAATTCCCTTAATAGTTAAGTGTGTGAGGTGTGGTAGGAAAGGTATACATTAGAGGCTTTCTTTTACTGACAATAGTAATAAAGATAGTGTTATATTTTATGAGAGTAATAAATGTGATTATGCAGGGAAAATTTCCTGCAAGGTGGTTGGGTGCTGGCTTTCTACATTTTCTCTTTCTGAGCATTAAGTTCTTTCATAATGCCCTCAACAAAGTATTAAGCACATATTGTATAGATAGCATTGAGCAGTGCCAAGAGCAAGGCAGAAGATGCGGAGCCATCATAGAAAAAGAAAAACAAAACCTAAGTAGCAATATAAACCAAGTTGAAAGCAATATTGTATCGTTCCAATTGGAATAACCCTATGAAAATAAATAAGATGGAAGTAGATTCGTCAGGAAAGGCCTCTGGAAAAAGTTAAGTCATGGGGAAAATTTGGAAGGATGTTAGCGAGGAAATAAGAGGGACATCTGACTGCTCTCCAATTTGAGGATGACAACTCTTTCCCTAATGCACTTTCCCTCACTTGTTCACCAGACCCTGGTTTCTCAAGCAACTTTAAAGCTGGAGTCTGAAAACTTGGGTCAACTCAGGTTCTTCCAGCTTTCTCTGAAACACCCACCTCTACCCTTCAATTTTTCTAGCCAGGAGCATTATCACTTACATTAATGAAAAAATCTGTAATGATCAGAAAGGTAGAAAGTGTCTTTGGCTAAATGTTCTCTATTATTGGATCCAAGAACCTGGGGCATAGTCCAAAACTTGGCAGGTCAAAGCAAATGTCACCTTAAGGATATCTTTATGCTCTGACACACTTTTTCTTATTGCAAAAAAAAAAAAAATGCTTAATGTAATTACAGCCCTGCCTGGTTTTTCCAGGCTTAATTCATCCCCATGTCTGGGGAGCCGGAAATGTAACTAGTAAAGAATTCACTAACATGAGAGGCAGGGAATTTGCCAAGAGTTTGTTAATCTGAAGGTTTATTTTTTTATCCAAATATAAAGGGAGTTTGCAAACTGGTTCAGATTAACCAGGTCAAGTTGTATATTTTATTAACTTTAGAACATTTTTTAATCGTTTTCACATTAAAAAATGTACATAGAGTAAGACAGGAGTGGTGGGGGTGAGGGGAGGTTGTCTGCTCAATGAAAGTTATAAGGAGATATGTGTCAGCTGCTTAATTTTCACTTTCTGGCTTCAGCCAGACACAGCTGCACAATATCTACTCTAACTCTAGTCCTTTATGACTTTTACTAACTTCTTATTCAAAAATGTCTTTTATTTATTTCCTAAGGAATCTCACTAAAGAGAGATCCATGGAAAGAACAAAAAACACTTCTGAACACTTCATGCCACAATTACCACCACAGATAAGTCAAAATCTTCAAGATAGTTTGGTTATTAGCTTCAGGCATTTCTGTTAGCCTACTATGTTTTCCAGAGAAGCAAAATTACTTTGTTTTCCCATATATACCACATTATAATGATTGAAATGGCTGCCATAGTTAAAATTCATCTGTGATTTGCCATTGTCCCCAAAATAACATCTAAACACCCTGGCATGAATTCAACTATCTTCATGAATCAGCCTTTCTTTCCCTCTCCACTTACATCCTCCACAATTTGCATGTCTTAAATTCTAACTCCTTACCATACTGAGCTATTGACTGTCCCACGCTTGGCCAGCCTCTCTTGTTTCCAGTCCTTGTACATGCTGTTCCCTCCTTCCTTCTTGCCCCCTCCCCTCCACATTTGGCCTGGCTCACTCCTTATCCACCAGGTCTCCCTTGGGCATCTCCTCCTCCAGAATGCTTTTGTTATCACCTCAAGACAAGGTCTAGCCATCGACCTGTGTGCTTTCATGGTAAAACTTGCCCGGATAACTGATTTTTCATAGTCCTAATCCCATTTTACTGGAAGCATCATACTGTACCTGTGTTCTTTATCAAAATATTGGCCCTTGGAGTTCAGACTGCCTCTGTTTCTCAGTGATATCTCCCAAGGTCTAGCATGGTACCTGGAATATTCTGCCTTCATATAAATTTTGTCAAATGAATAAACTAATAAATGAGTATATAATACATATATCAATTCCATGTCCTGCTGCAAAACCTCACATTAAATTACATGGTTTTGTGAATATATTCAATTACTTTAAGCCCTTCGTATGTTAGCAAGACCCTTTATCTCCACCCCAGCACAAGGCCTTGGACACAGCAAGTGCTCAGAAAGCATTGGATGATTGATTAATTAATAGAAACTCTTTGAGTACAATGAAATCATTGATATCTTTATCATGCAGAGGCTGGGATCACATGGAGCCTAGTCTAACTAACAAATAGTTGTTGCTATTTTGGTCCTGCTGGAATTCTTTATTACTGAAACATTAAAGTTCCCTTTTTTGTGTGTTCCAATTAAGCCAACTTAGACATATGCACCCAGACATTTACTGTCTTGATCAAAAATTGGTTTATCATCAGGAAGAATTTGGTCTAGTAGAGGATAAATTTTAAGAGACCCAGAAAGGCCTAGTTGTTCTTTTATTGCCCTTCTTAAAATCACTATCCTGAAATGTCTTATCAGTTTTACCACTTGAGCTCAGGGCTTTAATCCCCATTAAAATGTTGATAGCCCTGTTAAAGAGGTGACCTTGCTACTTAATCCTCAAGACCCTAGTGCCTGATATCTGCAGCATTACTCCAAGCTCTCTCTAATGCTCTTGGGTGGATTTGTATCTCAGTTAAAATGTCTGGTCTCTTGGAAGGCTAGTTAACTAACCCAGCAGAAGGCTGCTGTGTCTGCAAAGCCATGACCACACATCACCACCCAGCAGAGAGCAGAGTCTTAAGAAAATGAAATTTGGGACAAGTAAGTCAGGAAGGAGTCCATGAGAACTGTTCTGATAAGATATGGTGCTATGGAACTCATGAGCATCTAGAAAGCAGTCTGGAGATACTGATGCCAGGAGTAGAGTTTGATCTTCAAGTGGGCAAAGAATGAAGAAAGGGGAAAGAGAGAGAGAAAAAAAGAAGAACCAAACACAAGTTGCCCAAACTTTACAAACTTTCAACTGTGTCTTGACCAGAGGTTGGCCATATAACAATTCTAACCCTGGAACCACCCTTAGCTAACCTAAAGGTCTCTTAGTATAGACCCTTACTTCAAAGAGTTTGGACATGAAAGAGTGCTCATTGGAAAGAGTGTGGACACAGGAACCAGAAAGATTCAGGCTCCCATTAGGAGTTAAGTAAATTTGGGTAAGTCATCTCAAAGACTCAGTTTCTTCATCTGAAAATGGGAATGACAATGCTGACCCTGCAAGGCATTCTGAGGATTAGAGTTAATGTATGCCTGACATACAGTAGGTTTTTAGTAAGTTTCTTTCTCCTTCAACAGGATTGCAATGCTTTTTTTAGTTTGGCATTTGATTCACAGTTATCACCATTGACCAATAGACTGCCTTCAGGACCTACTGATAGCTGAGGAAAGAGAAAATAGGGAATATCCATCATTGAAACCTCTTAGATTTGGAGGTGCCTGTTGTCTCCATATCTAAGAGGGATAAGTCAGCCTTATCTTTCTTATGTCGAAGCTACTGGAAAAAAAATGAAATTTCAGCCAATTATTTGTAAGCTCTATATCTCTAAATATCCAAGTATTTAGCTATGTGGGAGAAAAAGCTTATGACTTGCTTGCTTTTTCATCTGTCATCCATGTGGTTTGGCCTTTTAGAGGTAGAGTCATTGATATAGATACTACTTTCATTTTAAGTCCGCAGGTTTTCTGTTCCTCATCATCCTGATTATGGCCAAATTATTGGCTCACTCTGCTTCCCAAGATGGTCCAGGTATATTCCTTTGTTATTATGCCAACGAGACTTTGTTTCCTCGATTTCTGAGCCGGGTTCTTACAAACAAGAGTTTAAAACTAATTTAGATTCTGTTAAGCAGCAATTAATCTGTTTTTCTAACTTCAGTTGGGCTACTTAAAAATCCTCTGAATGATAATTTTTAAATTAACGTCAATGTTTTTAAACTCAATTTGTACTTTATTAGTATGTTTGAGGTGTCTCTTGCCAAATTGCATATAGAATTGACAACAATTGAACAGATTTTTAAAGAGGTGAGTCAGAGAGAAATGAATTAAAACCTTTCAGAACCGAAGGCACTTCAGATTATCTAACCCAACCCTTCACTTTATGCAGATGCAGTTGCAGCCCAGAGTCATGAAAGGATTTGCCCAAGGTCACACAAGTAGGTTATGGAAAACCTGGGCTAACATGCAGATCTTCCAAGTTCAATGTCCTTCCTCCTAAAACAGATGTCCAAAAGGTTTGAAATAAGCTAGTACGGTCATGATTGGCTACTGAAGGAAACTAGGATATTGGGGTTCACCATGTAACCATGAGCAGCAATTTCAAAGAACATAGCAAAGGCTTTCAGCAATATGTAACGGTGGAATGAAAAAAGGAGCACATCTGACAATTCTAGAATTCTTATTGTCTCTCATACTAGTTCACTGATGCTCAACCACAGTCTATGTTGTCTCCCAAGGGACAATTTGGCAATGTTATAAGACATTTTTGGTTGTCTTAACTTGAGGAGGACAGGGGAGGAGGCTGCTACTGGCATCCAGTGAGTAGAGGCATGGGATACTGGTGAAGATTCCACAGTGCACAGGATAGATCCTCACGACAAAGAATTTTCCAAATAGCAGAATAGTGGTTACTAGAGGCTGGGGAGGGGGATAGGGAGAGATTAGTCAATGGGTACAAAGTTACAGTTATATAGGAAAAATAAGTTCTGGTGTTCTATTGCTCACTAGGGTGACTGTGGTTAACAGTATTGTATTGTATATTTCAAAATAGCTAGAAGAAGTTTGGATGTTCTCACCACATAGAAATGATAAATGTATGAGACGATGGATACGCTAAACACCCTGAGTTGATCACTGCAGAACGCATACGTGCATCAAACATCACACTGTATCCCATAAATATATACAGTTATGTGTCAATTTAAAACAAAATTTTAAAAATAAAATAATTAAAAAATTTAAAAAGCAACAAAACAACAACACAAAAGAATATTCCAGCCCAAAATGTCAATGGTGCCAAGGTTGTGAAACTCTTAGTGGCTCTCGACTGTATCAGAACCAGCATCTCCTTGTTATAACCCCTTTTACTCTCCTGAAAGAAAATAAATAGGAATTGTAAGCTGCCAACATGCATAATCAAATATAAAGGAGCAATGAACGTAAAATAGTTCATAAGAAAATAATCTCTAGTTCAGCATGTCATGCTCAGAGAGAAGTCCCCTAGAAGTTGCTTCTACGTGTTCTTTGAATCATCACTAAAAATGCTACACACAGAGCGCTGGTGGTGGAGTACATGCCATAAATGGTCCTGCTCTCAGTGACATGACATTCTCAAATAGGAAACAGATCTCAATAAAACTGTGAACAAAATAAAGTTAAATGTCCTGCTAATGTTTAGTGTCAGTGTACATTTAAGTCATGCAAAAGATACTTTGTATTTATGTATAACACAGAGTAGGTGTCTAGTGGGACATCCACAAGTCCTGCAGGTCATGGGTGATGGGTTGTTTGAAGGACTTTCTAGAGCATCACAGGACATGTAGCACCCATGCCCCCATTCACTAGTTGCCAGTACCACACTGCAAACACTAACAATCTACAAGCACCCCCATATGCTTCTAAACTGCCATCTGTGAGGACAGTACTGTCCCCTTGAACACCACTGACTTACACAGTAATGTAGATGTGCATACCACACAAGTAAGTTTAATAATCTACTAGAATATAAAGTAACCTTTTATAGAATTACTTTTACACAGCCAAAAATAGACATTGTTATGCATTCTATTAGACTATAATCGGAATTCTATAGGTGGTGAGTCCTTATTTGTTTTTAGCAAATGCCAAATTGACTCCTAAAATTATCCATACCCATGTTCTTTTTGTTTTCCTTTGAAAAAAAAAAAACATGGGCCCCTATTTCACAACAATACAATAATAAAAAAGTGTGATTTTAAAAATAATCTTATTTCCAAAGATACATCTTCTCTAAACATTTTTTTATTTTTCAATTTATTTATTAAATAAAGAACTTCAGATCTTATTTTTCATGAATTCCACAAAGTTTAGTTATGGATATGACAAGCAAAGCGAAACAAAAGAAACAACAACAACAATAAAATAAAGCTATCCACTTTCTGAAATCCTATTTCTTAAATGACGGATGAGCATAGATGTTTTCCTCCCATTAGAATGAAAGAATGTGTGCTATAATAATGCAGGGAAGATCTGTATTTCCATGCTAAAATAAGATCTTACAATAGCATAACCTCAGTGGTTGACTAGCTTCTGTTTTTCAAGCCAAGACACCATTTAAAAACACCAAATTGTTATTAATTCTCAAATTCTTAACTGATGTATGAATTGGAAGATTTAACTGTATCTTAAAAAATGAGTTAGTGAAGGAAAATATTTTCCAGAACTGTTTCTTATTATTTACTACATGGGATTTAAATGTTACTAAAAATAAATCATTTACAAGGTCTTAAGCCATGGCTCAAATATACATATGTGGTCTACACAAGTGGTTGGGGATGGGAGACTAGATGAGCCGTGGGGTTTGAGGGTTACTTCTACTCATGGTCTTTCACCTAGAGCCACATCTGTTTTATTTATTTGTATGCATCCACAACATTTTATTCTAATGAAAGTTTTCCCCATCTAAAAAATTTTGAAAACCACTGCCCTAAGGGAAATTAGGCAGCAGATGTAAACAAGTGTAATATAGGTCAAATTTCATCACAACAAATACTTTAGTGACAAAAATCTCTATATAGAAAAGATTTTGGAGCCCTAGACAATAATCCATTTGTCTTAAGAAATATACAATACAACACAATAAAAGAATCCAGGCAATCTTTTTATTATAATGGCCTCTGACCTGTATTCCTTGCTTGGTAGAAGAGTCTTTAAGATGGAATTCAGTGTTGTTAGTTTCCTCTAGGTATAGCCCCTTTTCTTTCAATCCGCTTGCTGTCTGACCAATGTTTACAGTGAAATAAAAGACTTGTGTAGTTAGAAGAGGCACCTAGAAAAGTGTTCCATAAACCTGAAATGATTACTATTCAACCTTGATTCCAAGAACAAGGCAACAGTAATCATAAAAGTAATATCGAGTCCTTCTGTGGTAGGGTCAGCTAGTGGCTACCCAATGCCGGTTCTCTTCTTCCTTGTTTTCCAAAACCTGCTCTTCGCTTGTACACATTGGCATCTGAAAACTAGTCTACCTTCTCCACCCTCCCTTGCCATTAAGTGCAGCCAATGAAATATAAAAATGTCATGTGGGTCTTCAGATAAGGCCACTTCAAAGGCACAGTCTTAGCAGAAAGGGGTTGCCATCCCCCTTCCTGCAGTCTAGAAGTCAATTGTAATGGCTGCAACTCCGTCTGTCATCTGTGAAAATTAGTTATCCTTGAGGATGGGAACCATGTGTTGTGAGGCAGAAAAAATAGAAGAACCTTGAGTTCCTAACACTTTTGGAGAGAGCCACCCAACAGCCTTGGAATGCCTATTTCTGAACTACTACTGCACGGAAGAATAAATACTTGTATGACTTATCCACTGGTCGGTATTCTGTTCCTAGCAGCCACACATAATTAACACATCTTCCTATCCTAACCAGCATACCCTTCTCCGTGCTGTATTCTGGGATTATATGGCTTCTATTTAACAACTTGTTCAAAATATACTGTGTACCTTTACTATATACCAGGACCTGTGCCAGCACCCGAGGTTTTAGCAATTGAGGTAAATAAGACGTACATCTTACCTTCATAGAAAGCTTCTTAATTCCAGGCATTCTAATAGGCAAAATGACCTCCTTAATTTCTTTAAAATTATAATAGAGCTAATCATGTGTTAGTTTTATTTTGTAACAATTAAAATTTGTGTCACCTTTATTGAGGTATAGTTAATACAATAAGCTGCATGTTTTATGGTATAATTTGATAAGTTTTGAAATATGTGTATATCCATGAAACCATCACCACAATCAAGATGGTACATATATCCATCATGCTGAAAAGTTTTCTTATGTCCTTGCGAAGCCCTCTCTTCTGCCCTTCCCACTTCCCATCCCATCCTCAAGCAGCCATTACTCTGCTTTCCTTTCCTTTAGATTAGCTTGAATTTTTTTTTACAGTTTCATATAAATGTACCAGTTTTTGATCAACAATTCTGATGGAAAAGCACATGGCTAAATATAAGCATGTTTTTTCTCAGTCTAGAGACCTAATCTGTTTCCCAGATTTTGAAGATGGCAAACTATTCTGCTATTGTTTGTTTTTTCATAACTTACAGGATTTTATCTGGATTAGCTACATATAGATAAGAAAGGAGTCCCTTGATGTTCACCCTTTCCATTGTATCCTTGATCAAAGAAAAATATTTTTACTTGTGGGTATGGATGGATGCCAAGCTGAGATTTAAACATATTACAGGATTGCTGGAACAGAGAAGTTACTTTAAAAGATCCCCATTTAATTCAAGATAGTTACTGGCTTCTAGACTCTCTATATGCATCTTAGGGAATAAAGAAAGAACACCCCCACACCCCCCCCCACAAAAACTTTGAAAAATTTCAAGTGTTCCAAGTATTAGGAGTTTTTATGTTACCATACATTTTTCTGTAATGATCTCAACTGATCTTACAAGGCAGTTTCAACTTAAATATACTATAAATGTTGATACTTTGTAAAGGGTATGAGCAGGGGCAGGATTACTAGATAAAATATAGGACGTCCAGCTAAATTTAATTTTTACATAAACAATACATAATATTTTAGTATAAATATGCTTCAAATATTGCATAGAATGTAGCAATGCTAAAAGAAAGGATTTTTGGGTTTTTTAACCTGAAATTCAAATTTAACAAGGTGTTCTGTATTTTCACTTGGTAAATCTGGCCATCTTCAGAGTGTGTGTGGTGGGGGTTGGGAGTCGTGATGAATTTGGGAGATATGGCTGGGCAGAGAGGAGAAAGAAGGAGGTCTGAGTGATGGCCGAGATTGGGATAGATGCCCTGTGTGGAACCTATTGAATGGATCCACTTACAAAACTAAAATAAACAGTTTCTAATTGTTACGGCCTAAAAGTAAAAAGTTGTTTATAACCTGTGAGTAGGATCACTTTATGTCAACTTTAAATGATTTTAGAAGCCTGATGTCTGGATCCGGAAGTTGCCCTCCTGGGAAACTCTTTGGACTTGGGTAGTTCTAGCCCTGTGGTTTTTCAGTTGAGTGTCTTATATACAAACTAACCCTTGGTTCAACTGATAAGAAGTTAAACATTTCAGTAAACATGGGATAAAATTTCCCAAGACATCCTTGGGAAAAGGTATTTTTTGGAGGAAAGATCATGTCTAAGGAGGCTTTTATATACATTACACCCTGGAAATTGAAAGACATCTAATTCCCAGAGGTTTCTAGCTCCAGATAACTTGCACAATGCTAAGTTACAAAACCCTATCTGTATGAATGTGACTCAAGCTCATAAAAGTTTCCATCCCATCCAACTGGGGAAGCAACTTCAGAAAGCCTCCTTATTAGCTGCCAAAAATCTTCACCACATACGACCCACCCCCACTTTCTGCTTCTTCCAGGTCATTCACCACTAATGACTGCTATTAATGACTAAGCTATGCCAAAGACAGTATAAGAGGGGGTGGGGGTGGGGGGGGGGGGTTGCAGAGGACAAAAGTAAGCTTTAGGAGTCCCTGTTCTCAAATACATTTCCTTTCCTACTCTTGGACACCATCCTGAATTCCTCCAAGCAGTGCTGTTTAGATGTTTGGATTAGACTCCCAGTTTGCCAACTGCGCATCTGTTTCTCCCCCCACTAAGGGAATCAAGTGCAGGTTGGAAACAGCTCATGGACTATGTAAGAAGACAGGCCCCTGCAAATCAAGGCAGAGCCAAAACCATTAAGTCATTAGGTCTTGTGTTCTCAGGTTTTATAGCGCTCTTATTCACCAGCCATGGTGGAAGCCTTTCTGACGTGCTTCTGACCGCTCAAAGATAAGGTCACATGGCACCTCAGGCCTGTGTAGTGAGCACACAAGGCTCTTTCTTCCTTCCACAGGCAGTGCTGCCTGCGTGATCTGGGCTTATGTAGGAAATGAACTAGATGTTGTGATTTGAGTAGTACTGGGAAATTCTCTCCTTCCTCCTTCCTTTGCCTCCACCCAGCCACCAACTTACCCAAATATTCCAAATATCTTTCAGGTGACTGATATCTGATCCCAAAGCCATCTTGAACTGTCAAGAGTGCAAGTGAAATTCATGTTGGGGGATGTTCACCATTAGTTTAACATGACTCTCCCAGATTAAATGAAAACTCATAGGTTAAGAAAATGGCGACTATAACTCTTAAAGCTGTTGGTGTTTCCTAGAGAATCATCCACTGCCACTTCTTTAATAATTTCAAAATGCCTTACATTTATAAAGTGATCAATAATTATTTGCTTATTTGACAAAAAGAGATATAAAAAGAATGCAATAAAACATGCACTGGTAACCTCTCATATAGGATGGAAGACACATAGGTACTTACTTATTTCCTGACCAAATAAATATCAAGTATGTTATTTGACCAAGTTTGCCCAAAAATCTCTTCCCATTAATGTCTTGCCCTAACTCTCTTAGTGTTTCTGATATCTTTCATGTTCCTCTTAAAGTTTAAACAAACATCTCTGATTGTGTCAGCACCCACATGGGCAAAATAATTTCAAAATTATGTTTTAAAAAAATCTCAAAATTATTATTATTATTATTATTTGAGACAGAGTTTTCGCTCTTGTTGCCCAGGCTGGAGTGCAGTGGTGCGATCTCGGTTCACTGCAATGTCAGCCTCCCGGGTTCAAGCACTTCTCCTGCCTCAGCCTCCCAAGTAGCTGAGATTACAGGCACATACCACCATGCCTGGCTAATTTTTTTGTATTCAAGATTATTTTTTAAAAAACAATTTCAAATTCCTATTTGAGAAACAGAATAAGTTACAGCACACTTAAGGAAAAAACAACAGTAAAGTAGTGGGAGAAGTGGATCTGGAGAGCAGTCTTAGCCCTGCTGCTGCTGCTGCTGCTGCTACTGTTGGTGGTCGTGTAACGTATTGTCTAAACCAGACACTTGTGAGCGTGAAAGGAAGGTGCGAAGGCAAATTAAGCTGCAGCGACAGGAACTCAACAAACGAGGGTGCGAACTCACCCTCCAAGTCAGTTTCTCTCAGAAACTCAGTTTCATGGTCTATGAAATTCAGAGTAAGACAAAATGCAGTTCCTTCAACTCCAAAGCCTTTAGCTGAGAGCCAATTCTCATTTCTTCTTCCTAACTTCACATCTATTTTAAAATAGAAATGCATACTTTGTTTATTCATGTCTCCTCTCACGTCTCTGTTCAATGAACATTTCCGGCCACACAAAATCATTCTGGAGATCAATTTCAGGAAATTCAGTCTTCCTAATAGTCTTAAAGACAGCCACAGCTTTCAGCACTCTGTCAGAAATGCTGTTACTCAAAGGGATGTGTGGACCACTATATCTACTCACTCTTCCTTGGATATAATTTTCCTTTTAATTAGAGCAGGAAAAGAGTGATGGACAATGATGGGAAGACCAATGCAGAATACTTACTCTTCATAGCTGAACCCATTTTCTCCAACTGCCCCATTTTCATTCACAGATCTCCTTTTGCCACACGGCTGCATTATACAGCTTCATTCTGAAATGGCCAATAGATTACACATGCCCCTTCTTCCTGGCTAACAAGAATAACAATTTATTACTGATTCATGTATTATTTCAATTGATCCTCATAGCCATTCTTGAGAGATCTGTATTTGATGATTCAGATAGGACAAGTGACTTTTATAAAGAGACGCAGCTAGCAAGCATCAGGAAGAAGTGGAACCCATTCCAACTTTATTATGCCACACTTTCCCTCAGAAATCCTATCATTAATGAAGTGAAAAGACTAACAACACTGAGTAACAGTTGTGTTTTAATATACTTAAACTACTTAAATACCAGAAGTAGGATGGCATCAACACTGCAGTCAATTACATGTCCATGTATGAAACTCTTATTCAACATTTGGCATGACTGTCCTTAATCCCCAGCTAAGGGAAAGTTACGGATTATTCTTTCTGAAAAAAAAATCACAGGATGCCCAAATGTTAGAGCCAACACTTGTGGATTGTTCAATGATTTTATGTCTTGATTAAAACGACAACCACAAAAACTCATTTCATCTAGCCAAAAAGAAATGGACAGTATGAGAGAGAGTATTCTTAAAAGGGGTATCCATAGAACAGGTCTCAAACTTTGCTTTTAAAGGACAAAGTAAACACCTCATTTAAAAATAGTGAGCAACTCAAAAAATCTTACATGCTTATTATGAAAAAAAAGTTGATGGGACTAAAGACTCACCGGGGGAAAAAACACTCAGCTATTTGGAAGTGTCCTCTTATTCCTTAATATGACTGCCACTAAGTTAACCACCCCCCAAAAGACCTAGGATTGGATTTCAAAATTTAGATGCTCTAAATAATCCCTAAGTACTCTTGAATCCATGTTAAATGCTGAAGTATTTATAAATATTTCTTTTAAATACACAAAATTTTAAGTTCATCCAGGCAGGTGCAGGAATATATCATATGCCAACAAACTGTCAAAACTTTTGACAAAGAGTCAACAAATTGTGGCAATGTTTTTAGAAGAGCACACGGCTTTGTGTGACATAAAATTCAATGCCAAGGAAAATCACCAGCCCCATCTGCAGTAACTCATTTAAAAAAAAAGATTTAAAAAAATTCCCGTCTTTCTACAGATGTCATTTTCCTTGCCAAGGAATTTAGTCTTGTAAACTATTACTATGCCTGACTTAGCCTTAAAAGCCTTTGGACCTAGTAACTGATCAAGGTGTGGGAACCATAGTCTAAATTCTGGTTCTCAAAGTTGAGTTGAAAGATGATGACAAACCTCAAGCAACCTTTGCCAGAGAACAATGAAGCTGCAAAAGGGATTGGAGTCAGAAAAGGGAGGATGCCAATGCTTTCTTAAAGAGTCACAGTTTAAAACAGGAAATTAGAATAATTTTTTAAAGTGCTGCTGAACCATTACCTTCATTACATACTGGTAAGTAATTTCTCTTACAAGGTGCATTTTGTTTATGCACTGATTTTGACATTGTTTTCTGAATTTTTTTTCGTTTTAATAGAACAATGAGAATCAGAAATAGATGTGTCTGAGAATGATGAGTAAATTTCATGTATATCAAAAAGCAAATATCCATTGTAGAAACAATGAAGGCTAGGCTCTCAGCTAGGAATCAGAGGGTTTTAACCATGTAACAACAACAGCAACAGCTACAGTGGTGTGACCCTTGTCTTCAGAGTCCATCCTGTAAACGGGGAGATCAGATATCTACACCTACCAAAATAACCAACAACTGCAAGGTAATAAAAGAGAAGTGCCTGATGAAACAAATAAGTAATAAAGGACAGGTCATTTCAGGATCCAGAAAATCTTTATGCAAGAGGAAGAACTGAAAGTGTGCTCTGAAGACTACCTAAGCATTAAACAGACAGGTAAGGGTAGAATTTCTGATAAGGGAAAGAGCTGGGTAAATGAGCAGAAATGAGTAACTATGGAATGGGTGGAGAGTGGCAAATGAGTTTCAAAATAGAGCAGAGGGACCATCCTGGCTAACACGGTGAAACCCCGTCTCTACTAAAAATACCAAAAAAAAAAAAAAAAAAATGTTAGCCGGGCGTGGTGGCGGGCGCCTGTTGTCCCAGCTACTTGGAGGCTGAGGCAGGAGAATGGCGAGAACCCGGGAGGCGGAGCTTGCCGTGAGCTGCGATCACGCCACTGCACTCCAGCCTGGGCAACAGAGCGAGGCTCCATCTCAAAAAAAAAAAAAAAAAAATAGAGCAGATAACTTCTATTCTGCATACTGCTGGAAGTCCTAGCCAGGGCAGTTAGGTAAGAAAAATAAATAAAAGGCATCCAAATAGGAAAGAAAGAAGTGAAAGTTTCTGTGTTTGTTGATGATATGATATTATATACAGAAAAGCCTAAAGACTTCACCAAAAAAACTGCTATCACTGGCAAACAAATTCAGTAAATTTGCAGGATATAAAATTAACACTGATGAAAGAAATGGAAGACAACACAAATAAAGGGAAGTTATTCCATGTTTAAGGATTGGAAGACTTAATATTGTTAAGATGTCCATACTACCCAAAGCTATTTATTCAATGCAATCTCTATCAAAATTCCCATGTCAGTTTTCACAGAAATAGAAAACAACTGTGAAATTTTTATGGAACCACAAAAGACCCAGAATAGCCAAAGCAATCTTGAGCGAGAAGAACAAAGCTGGGCAAATCACATTACCTGACGTCAAAATATACTTCAAAGCTATAGTAATCAAAACTGCATGATACTGGACTAAAAACAGAAACACCGACCAGTAGAACAGGGCAGAGAGTCCAGAAATAAACCCACATATTTACAGTCAATTGATTTTCAATGAAGGTGCTAAGAATACAAAATGGGGAAAGGACAGTCTTCAATAAATAGTTTTGGGAAAATTATATATCCTCATACAGAAGAATAAAACTGAACACTTATCTCACATTATATACAAAAGCCTACTCAAAATGGATTAAAGACTTAAAATTAAGATCTGAAACTGTAAAACTACTAGAAGTAAACATGGGGGAAAGTGCCAGGACTTTGGTTTGGACAATGATTTTTTTGAATAAGACTCAAAAGCACAGGCAACGAAAGCAAAAATAGACAAATGGAATTGTATTAAATCAAAAAGCTTCTGCACAGCAAAGAAAACAATTAGCAGAATTCGTAGACAACCCATGGACTGGGAAAAAATATTTATAGAACAAACATCTGATAAGAGGCTAATATCCAAAAGATATAAGGAAATCAAACAACTTAATAGCAAGAAAACAAACAACCTGATTTTAAAATGGGAAAGGGGCCTATATATGTGTGTATGTGTATATATATTAAAGCTCAACATCTCAAATCATCAGGAAATGCAAATTAAAACCACTGTAAGATATCACCTCACAACTGTTAGGTGGCTATCATCAAAAAGACAAAAGACAGCATGGATAACACCCACATTGGTGAGGATTTAGGAAAATGGGAACCCTTGTAATGTTGACAGGAATATAGATTAGTACAGCCATTATGAAAGACAGTATGGAATTTCCTCAACAAACTAAAAATAGAATCACCATAAGATTCAGCAGTCCCCCTTCTGGGTATATACCCAAGTAATTGAAATCAATATATCAGAGATTATCTGCACTCCCATATGCATTGAAGCATTATTCACAATATCCAAGATACGGAAGCAAACTAAGTGTCCATCAACAGATGAATGGATAAAGAAAATGTTCTTATATACAATGGAGTATTATTCAGCCTTTAAAAATGAAGGAAATTTTGTCATTTGTGAAAACATGAATGAATCTGGAGGACATTATGCCAAGTGAAATAAGACAGTCACAGGAAGACAAAAACTGCATGATCTTATGTACATGTGGAATCTAAAAAAGTCAAACTAATAGAAGCAGCGAATAGAATGGTGGTTACCAAAGGTTGGAGGGGAAGAATGAGAGGGGAGATGTTTATCAAAGTGCACAAAATTTCAATTAGACAGGGGAAATAAATTTTAGTGATCTATTTCAAGCATGGTGATTGTAGTTAATAATAATGTATTGTACATTTCAATTGCTAAAAGAATAGATTTTAAATGTTCTTAAGAGAAAAAATGTATATATATTATGAGGGAATGAATATGTTAATTAGTTTGATTTAATCATTCCATAAGGTATACATTTATCAAAATATCACAATGTACAACATAAACATAGATAGTTATTATCAATTAAAATTTTTAAAAAGCACTTATCAGCCTTTGGCTGAGATTAAGTATAGTAAAAATTTTTTAAATCATATAAAATAAAAATAGAGGCAGATAATCTAAGAGTTTTTAATGAGAGGTTAAGCAGTCTGTACTTTATAGGCATTAAAAGTCAGTGAGTATTTCTGAGCTGAAGAAAACAAGTAATGTAATATGTATATGTAATGTATATATGAGATACATATATACACATTACATTATATATAATGTACATAATATATATGCATATATATGATATGCATATAATATACATAATATGTATAATATGTAAACATTATACATATACATTACATTATACATACTGTAAACATACATTATCTATATATTGTCACATGAATATAATGTCTGTATGTACGTATAATCACACATAGTCAGGAGCCACGAAATGACATTTCAGTCAACAATGAACTGCATACATGACAGTGGTCCCATAAGATTATAATGCTGTATTTTTCCTGTTCTATACTTAGATATGATTAAGTCATGCTCTATAGGTTTGTAGCTTAGAAGCCATAGGTTATACCATGTAATCTAAGTGTGTAGCAGGCTATGCCACCTATGTTGTGTATGTACACTCTAGCATGTTCACATGACAAAATCACCTAATGATGCATTTCTCAAAATGTATCTCCATCATTAATATATATTTACACATTTAATATATAAATATATGCATGACTATATATTTAGTCAGGATATGAGGTTCAAATTGGATTTAAGAATAAAAAAGCTAGAGTTGAGGGTACAAGGTAAGAGCTTATGCTGAATCCTAATTTGAGGTTATAATTCGAAGAACCAAAATTATTGAACCCCCAGGATATCTGAAATACAATGGCAGGTGTCATAAGACATAAAAATTAACAAGAGAGAATTTTGCTTGCTTTGAAAATTAGAAAAAAATGTCTGGTTATTTCAGTAAATTATGTAGTGTGCTCATTTGAGTGCAAAAACACACAAATTCTATGAAATAAGAGACGAAAAATATTTAAGAATGGAATAGACTAAAATAAAAAGGCAGTACAATGAAAAGAAAAGAGGGATTGGTACAATAAGGACAATGCCAAGAAAATTAAAAATACAATAGTAGCAAAAAGCATTTTGAAGATTAAGAAAATAGTATAAAAAATAAAAACAGAAAATTAAATTTATAAAATGGAACAAAAATTTAATAACTGAAATGATTTTTAAGAAAAAGATACACTGTAGAGTAAAACTTCAAGAATAATATTGATTGCAAACACCAGATTATATTAATAGACTCCAAAATCCAAAAATTGGGAAGACCTGGAAAGAAATAAAAGCCTGATAAATGTCCCCTCTTCTATAGTGGGAGATTTTTTTACTCTAAAATTGAAACAAAATAGATTAAAGAATGCTTTTGAAACCTTGGAAGGTAGTCAGTAATTGAATGAAAACAAAATATATTGGTATTATTACACTAGAAAAGGATATAGCAAAGAAAGCATGACTTACATTGTAAATTCAGAAAACAACAAAATAATAAGAAAGTAATACTAACAAAACTATAGAAAGTGACAGGCGTAAGGCTAAATATATCAGTAATAACAATAAATATAAAAAAATATTATTTTTTAAAAAACACTCAGGTTGCTTTAGAAGATACAACTTTTTCAGTTTTAAAGAACATATCCAAACGAAGACAACACATATAAGTTAGTAGTAAAAATCTAGATAAATATAAATAACAGTAAATAAAAATGCTGCTCTCTCGGCCTTAGCACCATTTTCTTGGAAACCTCTGCACCATGAGAGCCAAGTGGAGGAAGAAGCGAATGCGCAGGCTGAAGCACAAAAGAAAAAAGATGAGGCAGAGGTCCAAGTAAACTGCTAGCTTGTTTCACGATTCAAGAGGATCAATATCAATAATGGGGAAGGAAAGGAGGCAGGATTAGACAGATGTAGTACAGCTGTGATATAATGACCCTTTCATACCATCCAAGGTTCTGGTGACAGAGTTAGGTTGTAGGCCAAACATATCATTCATAGCAATAAATATAAAAAGGGTTAAATTGGCCTTGGGTCACCAGGGAAAGGAATGTGGCATTGGGTAGGGTGGCTCTTCAGTGGAGGCAATTCCCAAATGTTCTGATAACTGAGGGCTATCTACCTGCTGCAAATGCAGCAGAAATGAATATATATTTTATTCCTGAAAGAGAATCTGAGCTGTGCATCATAATAATCACTTTATTGAAAATGTTAGAAATAATTAAGGTCACATTTTCTGACAGGAAAAGAATAAACCACAGATTAAAAATGAAAATATAAATTAGTTTCTAAAACTGGAGTACTAAAAGTCTTATTCTTCAGTAACTTTGTATTTAAAGAGAAAACCTAAGTTAAAATTACTTTATGTTAATTGTGAATAAAAAAGAATAATCTACATGCTAAAATAGAAAGATATGAAACATTAAATAAGATACATATTTTTAATGTCTTATTTAAAACTTAATTATTATGCCAAAATGTTAAGAAAATAAATAGAGCAAGCTGAAGCCAGGAAGGAAATATTTACAATACATTCATCTAACAAAGGACTTGTTTCCACAATATGTAAAGAACTCCTACAAATCAATAATAAAGGCTACCCAATTTTAAAAATGAGCAAAATATTTGGACAGAC
The DNA here is from genome assembly GCF_000001405.40 of Homo sapiens. Classification (NCBI taxonomy): domain Eukaryota; kingdom Metazoa; phylum Chordata; class Mammalia; order Primates; family Hominidae; genus Homo; species Homo sapiens. The sequence continues at coordinate 66,880,309 of NC_000002.12, read as the reverse complement.
ACCTCACAAATGAAGATAAATGAATGACCAAAAACCACATGAAATGATACTTTAATAAAATTAGTCATCAAGAACAGCAGCCCCCAAACTTTTTGGCACCAGGGACCGATTTCGTGGAAGACAATTTTTCCTTGGACCCAGGAGGCGATGGTTTCAAGATGATTCAAGTGCATTACATTTATTGCAGACTTTATTTCTATTATTTTTACATTGTAACATATAATAAAATAATTATACAACTCAACATAATGTAGAATCAGTGGGAGCCCTGAGCTTGTTTTCTGCAAATAGATGGTCCCATCTGGGGGTGATAGGAGACAGGGACAGATCATCAGGCATTAGATTTTCTTAAGGAGCACACAATCTATATTCCTCACATGAACAGTTCACAATAGGGTTCACACTCCTATGAGGATCTAATGCCGGTACCAGTCCATGGCCTGGGAGCTGATCAAGAAAATGCAAATAAAAATCCCGACATACAGTTACACCCCAACAATAATGGTAAAATTAGAAAGATTGACAATACCAAATGTTAGTGAGGTGTGGAGCAAATGAAGCCCAGATACTTTGTTGATAGGATTGCAAAAGTTACAACCTTTGGGAAACCGTTTAGCAGTTTTTTATAAAGTTGAACTAGTTAACTACCCTATAACCCCAAAATTTTACTATTAGCTATTCAGCTAAGAAGAATAAAAGCATAGAGCCATGAAAAACTTGTATGAGACTTGTATTAAAATAAATTTATTTATTCTAATAAAAAAACTTTTTAAGAGCCTACAAAATTACAGACTCTTGCATAAATAGATAAACAAATTGGAGTATGTTCACACAATGGACTACTACTTGGCAATACAAAGAAATGAATCATGGATATACGCAACAACATGAACAAATCTCAAATACATGATTTAATTTATGTGAAGTACAACAGACAGATGATAAACATCAGAACACACACCTTTGGGATGTGCGGTGGAAACTGACTGGCAAGCAGCATGCTGGACCCTTCTGCAGGGATGGCAATGTTCTGTATCTTGCCTTGGATGTGGGTTACATGAGTGTATGCATTTGACAAAACTTACTGAGCTGTCCATGAAAGATCTGTCTATTCCATTTTCTGTAGACAATACTGCAGAAACACACACAAACACACACACACACACACACACACACACACACACGATGTTTGTTTTTTGTTGTCCTATGTGGTTTAAGTAATTTCAGAGCACCAAAAATAGGAAAATCTCTCTGATTTATTTCCAAAAGTTTCTATATCACTGATTACAAAAGTCAGTAATAATAGGGTATAAGTAGAGTAAAAAGAAACAGAATACAAACAGTGTGAATAAAGCAAACAAACAAAAAGACCCCTGGCAAATTGAATCTAACACTATGCTAAAAGAATAATAAATTTTGAGAAAATTATTTTTATTTCTGGCAGATGAATTGTATAATGTACCACAGCAACGTCAAAGTATTTAAAAAAACACTACCAGTTGAGAGGTGTTGTAAAAGAATTTGATAATATTTAATAATCCAATTCCTTAAATACTAAAAACATCAATAACAGCACACACAATACTTAATATCATAATAAATGTGAAATATTGGAATCATTTTCATTAAATTCAAAAACATAATAAGCCTAATGTTTAATAATTATTTATTTATATTCTAGAGGTTCTTATGCAATAATACATGTAAGAAAAAGGAGCATAAACAATGAAAAATTTGAAAGTGTATACCATGTAATAACTTGCCTATAAGTGTAATAAGGATGGATTACTCTATAAGTGGATGAGTACAATTTCCTAATATTTAGAAAAAATAAATTTCACAGCATACTCCAAGTACATTAGCAGTAAATTAAACTTTATATTAAAAGTAAAGAAGCATAAAGCCACTCAAAATAATAATAGGTCAAAATATATATAATTTCATGGTGATGAAAAATTTTGTAAATTCAAATCCATAGAAAAGAACTTTAAAAAACTAAAATTTAGAACAACTAGAGATCTCTAAAATAATTAAAATTTATCAAATATTCTATATTCCTAATGCATAAAACCTGTTGAAAAGTGTAGACAAAAGACAAATATATAAATACCAAAAAATGAGCAAATGTCATCAGTGAGAAAACTGCCAAAGAACAAAAATAGCTAAGTTTGTTGTCTGCAAATTTAATTAGTTAATTACTGCTTTTACTAGACAAGTAAGATTGATAACATTTGAAATAAAAATGACAAATATTTATATCTAGGGTTTATAGATAAATGAATGCTGCTCATAGAAGAGTAAATTGGAAAAATGATTTTGGAAGATTGTGCAATATCTATTATAAGCTTCAAAGTTTGAATGCCCATTAATACAGCAATTCCACTTCTGGAAATTTATTCTCAAGAAATCATTATTGAGGCTGAGGCAGGAGAATGGCATGAACCTGGGAGGCGGAGCTTGCAGTGAGCCGAGATGGCACCACTGCACTCCAGCCTGGGCGACAGAGCGAGACTCTGTCTCAAAGAAAAAAAGAAATCATTATTGATATCTGTAGGTCTCTATGCAAGTTATATAACAGTTTCTAATATGCAAAATTTGGAAGCCATATATTCAACAATATAGATGGATTAGGAAATATTGTACATCCCATAAAATGGAGAAAAAGTTATAAATATATACTCTAGTAGAAAATATGTTTTACAGAAGGCAATGAAGAGTATGACCCCAATGTTTTTCAAAAAAGACTGTCTAAAATTATGTATATTAAAAAGATAGAGAGGATTGCCAATATAGATATTGATATAAGAAAAGTAAATATTTTTGAATGATAAATTTGTGGTGCAGTTAAATTTCTTTATATTTTACATTTTCTAAGTTGAATACAAGAATAATTATTTTAAAATAAGGAATATGGAAAATTAAATGAGTTTTTTTGTGTGCAGTCAATAACCAGTTAGAAATATTTGAAGAGTCCATACAAATTAGCAAAAAGTTTAAAACGCTATAAAATAAGTTCAAAGAAATGTGCAGAAAATGAAATTTCAAAAAATGAATAGCTATGACATATTGCCAGATTGACTCACTACATTAAAATATCAGTTATATAAAAATGAATGTGTACACATAATGAAAATCCAATCACCCCTGTACATACTTTTGAAACATCACAAAACAATTATAATATTCATCAAAAAGAATAAATTGGAGAGACTAGAAAATACTTTTTAAGTATAATAATTAAGAAAATTTACTTAGCAAAACTTTAAAAGTAATAATATATGTTATACAATTAAATATGGATAAAGAAAAACATATTTCACTATATAAAGAAATAATTTCTTTAAGTAAAAATAAGTTATAAAAATTTAAAGGTCACATTCAAATTGGAAAATTTTTAGTATATATCACAAATATATACACCAAAACATTAATATCTTTAAGATGTAGGGATCTTCTACAAAGCAGTAAAAATACAGCTATTCCATAGAAAATCAACTCAGAATTTGTACCAGTGAGAACTGAAAATGTTTTAAATGAACAAAAATAGGTAATTGGGTATACAAATTGTGATACAGCTGTGTCATGAGATAGATACTTCAATTATAATCATGTTGTAGAAGAAAATATCATGTGAAAATACCGACAATTACTGTTTAGTAAATAAAATAGGCTGCCTAATATCTTGTGCAATTTAACATAATTTTTGAGACTACAGCATATACAACAAAATATTTAAAACATTGCTTTCTCTGAGTAATAGAAATATGAATAATATTTTTGCATTTGTGCTTTTCTATACTGCCTAATTTGTCTACATTAAAGAGAAATACATTTGTTTGCAATCAAAAGTGTATAAACAAATTATATTGATGTGTGCCACAATTTTTAAAGGAAACAATAACCCTTTGTTATTGTTAATGCCCTAATTTCATTTTCTGCACATTTCTGAAGGAAGGAAGGAAGGGAGGGAAGGAGGGATGGAGGAAGGAGGGAAGGAAGGAAGGAAGGAAGGAAGGAAGGAAGGAAAGAAGGAAGGAAGGAAGGGAGGATGGATCAAGCTAAGCACTGAGCATAAGATAGACTAATTTTTATTTTGGAATTTAATGGGTTCCTAATAACAAGAGTCAGAATGACAGTAAGTTTTCAAACTTAATTACTGGTGGTGTCACTCTCTGACAGGAAGGAGGAGAATAAGAAGATAGCTACCCAGAGTTAGATCCTGTAGAAGTACGTCTCCCTGAAATATAAGTAGCAGATACATTTCATTAAGCTGAGTATCATCAGCTGCTGTGAGTCAGTGAGAGTTAACATAAAGCATAGTAGTGTAAAACAATCACTAATGTTTTGAAAACATTTCGCCCTGGATCCAAAATGGGCTATCAGTATAGATACCTGTGCTGGGCTTAATTTTCTGTTGGCACTGAAAAGTAGAAAAATATTCCCTGAAGCTCTGGCAGTGTTTGCAAGGTGGTAAGTATAGAAAATAGGAAATAATTTAATGTGGTTCAAACTGGTACTCCTGAAATGTCTCTAAAAATAAATCCTTTCTGACTCTTCATTATGTGGCACAAATGAGAGGTCCAAAAATTATGGCTTGACACCCACTTTACATTCAAGGTCAGATAGGCAACAATCAGGCGATGATATTTTATTCTTCTGCACATATGAAATTCTGTTTGAACTCATCAAATTGAATTTATAGATGTCCTAAAATTGGTTGTAAGTAGGACAAGTTCTCTACTTGGTTTCTTAATGCAAGTGAATTACAAGCCAGGCATGATTTTATTTGGTATAGAGGAGAGAAGTTAATAATTTTAGCCCCAACCTTGACTATAATACAGGTCTCCATTTTTAAGAACAGCCAATTTAAAGACCTTGGCAGTGATCATTCAGGAAAATTTCTGAATAGGACACATTCACATAAAGCTTTTTTCCCCTCTGCCAGCATCTCTATAACTACTAAGAAACTTGTGAGGAAGAAAACAAAATATTTGAGTATAAACCAAATGAGAGTTTTTATTCACTAAATTTAAATCTGAAGAGCTGTTCTTCTAGCATTGAGGGTTTGCTTGAATCCCACAAAACCCAGCAATAGTTAGAGCTTAAACGGATACTCTGTCCTTAGCTCACCTCCCAGTATCAGACTTCTGTGGGTGTGTGTAAAACTCATCATGTCAAAATGAAATTTAACGTCTTCTTTTTGGTTGAAATCATATTGTATTTTTAGTTAGAGGTTTTCTTCTTAATATTTTAGAGGTGTTAGTTTATATATTCCAAAATATGCCTCCCCTGGGGACAGGAAGGAGGCACTGAACAGGGCAATGCCACAATCTTACAAAAGGAATAAAAGGCCAAAGAAAATGTTTAGTTAATCCTTAATAGCAAAACAATAGAAGAAAGATTTGAAGATACCCCATATAATTAATAGAGTAGAACTAAGCATAACCTGCATGCTTCCAGGAAGATCACAGAATGCACTGTGGAAATAAGCAATACAGTAGTTAATCACTTCAGATAAATCATGCAGAAAGTACTATATGTTCCACATCCAAGATAATGATCAAACCTCTTCAAAATCATCCCATCTGGTAAATCTTTTCCAAAGCTCAAATTGCGCCAGGCCATCCTTAACCATCTTCCACCATAAGGGGCAAAACGCTAATGTGGCTGTAGTCTGACTGCTTCAGCAATTATGGCTACATGCAAATAAACATTATCATCAAAAATAAAATCCTGTGGCACATCTAAAAGACTTAAAAATGTTTGTAAGCTTAAGAATGCAACAGGCCATGGGTGACAAACCACCAGCTGGAATTTTCAGGAGTAGAGGGAGGCAATGTGTTTCAGATTATTCTGAGAGCACACCCAAACTGTGATTTCTTGCAAAAGGAAGGTGATACAAACTCAAATAAGAACCGTGTCATTCAGAAAAGCACTCTCAAGAGCAATAAATGATCTTTTGGAATAATTATAGAAAGAGCAACTGCATTTGAGTCATGTTAAATATTTACATGTTTAAGAAACAGACTTTTCAGGCTACATTATTGGTTAAGCCAACTGCTCAATTTTAAGAGAGATTGTATGTCTCTTTCATAATTCCTGAAATCTGTGCTGATATCCAGTGTTGTCCAAACTCATAGGATTGAGCTGTTATGATTTTAATTAAACTTGCAAAGTGGCATATTAAAAGCAGATCTGACCAAAGATACAATGAAGCAAGAGGGTGAGGCTTAAAACAATATTAACAACTAGTGTTTTGTGGTTCTCTTCAAATACCAAAGGAGGTTGAATTGGAGTGAGGGAATATTGGTTAATAAATTTCCAGAGAAAAAAGAAACCACCTCTATTTTCAATCTTTAAGCACCAGGGAGAAGGAAGAACCTTAGTTAAGTATTGTTTACAATGTTTCTCTAAGTTCAATGCAGTGCAATGAATTTGTTGACACCTCAAGCAAAAAATATTTTATGTATAGAGTACATACTTAGAGCTGGATTTTCAAAAATATGCATAAAAATTTTCAGGAGAAAATGCTGACAGATTCTTAACTTTTCGAAGGCTAGGGAGACACCACCGTCTACTTCAAAATATAGTATGTAAGAATTGTTAAACAAAAGGTTAATAAGTCGATTTTACTTCCTTTTTCCTGGAGCTCTAATTTAAACAAGTTGTACACACAAGTGATGCTACACGCATAGGGTTTTGCATTAAGTTTGCAATGTCAAGTTTGTTTATAAAAACCATATTTTTTAACAGCTTGCCCCTTAGCTCTGTTCTGAGCAGTTACAAGCCCTAGCCAATTTGGTATTGATTTTAAAGAGACAGCTCTCATTTCTATGAACTCTTTAATGGAGATATTTCAGACCTTGGAAAAAAATTCTTGTTTTAGACCTTCCATAGTCTTACAAATGTACAATTAAGTTTATTTACTTAGCACAGAAAGAGTACTCCTGTTTGCTATGACTGGCGGGTGGCCCCTGCCAGCTCTTGGAAGACCTGCGGAGTTTTTATTCCTTCTCTCCTAGCATCATTTATGTGTGCAGCTTGTTTTAATTTCATCTCTTTCTCTCTCTCTCTCTGCTTGGTCTCCACTACTGTGAAGAAATTTCCACATAATGCCTTCGAGGGCATTTACCACATTTTTGTTCCTGTTTAGAACTTTTAACTCCATTCATAAACCTAGTGGTCACACAGTAGTTAATAAGGGAAAGAAATCTTTATAGACTTTTCCACCGTGGTTGAAATCCTGACTTCTGTAATTTATGCCCAGCCATAACAATGCTCGTAAGCAGCTGTGGAACAGAAGACCTCCCACTCATGGATTTGCTGCCACTTCAAGGAAAATGCTGAGACTTTGCCGAATATTTATGAGAAAAAATTGAGAGTATTTGCTTTGTAGTTCATTCGCACGTGACAATACTATAGTAGTTTTTGCTTTGTTCATACCAGAGAACCTTAACCTGACATTTTTCTCCAGCCATTTTTTTTTCTTTTCAGCTGAAGAGCACCAAAACATAAAGTAAATGCTATCATTATGAGGTTCTAGAAATACATTGTAGCTGGGCTTCCCAGATAAGATATTCATTAAGAGGCTAACCTCTTATGGTATGAAAACTATGTGGGTTTCTATACTATGTCTTGAAACGTCAATATAGTTCGGGGGCCAAACAGCAATGACCCTCACGGCTAATTACTCATGCTTCATCCAGGAAGTACCATTGTTTGCAATGTGGCTTAGGCTTATACAAACTTAGTTCTTTGATATCAAAGAAATTATCCTGGGCAAAATTGTGTGCTCAGTGCAGTTCAGCAGGGCAAGCTTTTTGCTTGAGTTCACCCAGGGAAATAGGCAGAATGAAGACCTTTCTCTGGGCTGCTCTCAAAAGTACTGCTCTGCCACCACACCTCTTGTTGTATTTCTCCTAAAGCCCCTTCAGAAAATGGCAGAAGTTACCTAAGATCTTGACCAAAAAGAAATGTCATTTTTATATGGCAATTTCTATGAGCTCCGGGATTGAATTGAGTCACATTTGGCCGTGGTAACATTGAATGAGGCAACATCTGTGACTTCACAACACTGTAGTGTCAGTCCTCAGAGATGCATAACAGAATCACAGCAGTGGGAAGGCTGACAGAAGTGTACCTAAGTCCTGGAAGGAATTTCCCTAAGTATGGACAATTGTGTATCATCTTAGAAAAGATCAGATCATCATCCATATTATCAATACCATTACCGCTTTCAGCCGTAGCATCAAAGACCATTCACACAGTGCCTAATTTTGATAATACTGATAATACTAGGATAGCCCTCTTAATCAAAATACAAATTCACTCCTACACATTCAAAGAGCCCAGTCTAAGACATTTTAGCTGACATTTGTAATTTTATTTTTACAATTTTTTTATCATGGGTCTATTTCTTCTCTGATAGCTCTTGGATTTCTTTGGGATAGTTATCTCATTCCCTTTGTCAGTAGTCTTAGTGGAATAGTAAAGCATCCCACTTGAGAGCTGAAGAAGTCTTTGGATAATCTTTCCTCCTTTATTCTCCTGGATTTTGATAATGGTCACATTCCACACTAATCTCCTTAGGTATTTATAGAAAATTTTATCACCTCTTGGCGATCACCATGCTCACTTGTGATCCAGTCATCCCCAACATCCCAATGCTCATAGTCAAAAAAAAAAGAAAAAAGAAAAATCAAGTCCTTTCAATTGCAGTCTATAATATTTCTTTAATGTCTTCTTCATCCCCTCTTCCCCTACTATCACAGTTTGGGTCCTTGGCATGTGTCTCCTAGCCTCATGTGATAGTCTCCTCACCAGTATGCCTGCCTCCCATTTCTCTCCATCCCAATTCTTTGTAATAATAAAAGTAACTCTAAATAATTGATGCCTTATGATGACCTAGTTATTATGATAAACACCTTTTTTTATTTGCTTGTTTGATTGTTTTTGTTTTTTAAGATGGAGTCTCACTCTGTTGCTCAGGCTGGAGTGCAGTGGCGTGGTCTTGGCTCACTGCAACCTCCACCTCCCGGGTTCAACTGATTCTCCTGCCTCAGCCTCCCGGGTAGCTGGGATTACAGGCACCCACCACCATGCCCAGCTAATTTTTGTGTTTTTAGTAAAGACAGGGTTTCACCATGTTGGCCAGGCTGGTCTTGAACTCCTGATCTCAAGTGATCCACCTATCTTGGCCTCTCAAAGTGCTAGGATTACAGGCGTAAGCCACATCGCCCAGCCTTAAACACTTTTTAAAATTTAATCTTCACAGCTCTCCTGAAGAAGATACTTGTTTTTCCCAATTTATAAACAAGGAAATCGAGGCTAAGAGATATTAAGAGACTTATATATGATCACCCAGCAAATAACTATTCTAGGTGGGATTTGAATTCTGTTCTATATGACTCCAAATTCCAGAGGAAGTAGAAACAGCTACCGCCCCTCACACTACTGGCAGAGTAATCTTTCCAAAACACAAATGCCACTTTCTATTTCACTGCTCATAACTCTAATGGTTCCTCCTCTATTGTTATACAATAAAGTCACCCACAAATGAGGCTTTCCATGCTTTAGCTTTTCTGGCCACCTCTTGCCAATCACCATGCTCACTTGTGATCCAGTCATCCTCAACAGCTCGGTGTCCTTAAAACAAGCTACATTCTCTGGTGCCTCTTCCTTTGTGATGTGCTGCTCCTCTGTGAGTCAGGCTTTTTCAGTTTCTTGTATCTGAAAAATCCCTGCTCAATCTTCAAGATGCATCTGACATGTAAATTCTCTGTGAGACCATCCTTGGATCCCCTGGCTAAGCTCATTTCCACCTCCCTGGTGTACCCATTGAACTCCAACATTCCTCTTCTTGGGTCCTCATTACACTGTATTCAAGCACTTGTTGCCCCTTCTGTTTCCCTATTAGATTGTGGCTTCTGCAAAGCTCTGTGCTTTATTGGTTTTCTATCTTTTCAGCTTTCATCCCACCCCACCTTATTTTGCATATTGTAATATATTTGTTCATATTCCTTTAGCCAAAACTCTTCAACAGTTTTCCATCATATTTAGAATAAAATCAGGAAGACTTAATATTGTCCAAAAGGTCTCATGTGTCCTGGCCACTTCTGACCTCATCTCCACCTTCTGCAAGTTCATTCATGTGGCCTCCAAAACCATTCCTTGAACAGATCACGGATATGTCGACCTGAAATCTTCACGCTGACCATTTCATCTGCCTGAAAGGCTTTTTCCCCAGAGATCTGCCGGGATGTTCCCCTTTCTTCATTCAGGTCTTTGTTCAAATGCCAGCTCCTCAGAAAAATTTCCCTGGCCACCCATATGAAATAGAAACATAAAATCACAGCCACCAGCATGCCTGTTACCCTTCTTCCTATTCATAACACTGGCTATTATCTGTTGCTGTCTTACACACCTTGGTGTAAATTTCTTTATTGTCTCCATGCCCACTGAAATGGAAGCCACATGAGGGCAGGCTTCTGCCTGCTTTCTTCAGTGCTATCCCCCCAGGGTTTTCACTTGCAGCTACTTAATAAATGTACATGAGTATATGGACCTCTTTTCCTGATTTCCAGTGTTTACAGCATTTTCAGTTATACTGCAGAACCTCAAAATATGCTTACTATATCCTGAGCAAACTGTGTTATAAATTAGAAGGAATTGCCATGGAATTTCCCCCTCATAAACTTGACAGGTTAAAGAAACATATCAAAAGTTCATTAAATGGCAAGAGGGTGCTAATTTGACAAGTAGTGAAGCAGGAAAGAAGAGAAGGAAGAGAGAATTCCAACATATAATTCGTAAAATTATTTAGTGACCTTGCCTTGCCCTAATATAGGATGCTTTCCTGACCTTACTCCTTCTGCAGTTCCCTCCTCATACTTCAAGGCCCAGGATGAACCTTTCCACCTCCAGGCCCATCCCTGAGCAGCCTCACTCTTTCTGAACTCTAAGGGCTCTAAATGTTGGCCACAACCACATGACTCACATGACTATTAATAGGATCATTCACCACATCCTTCTGTCTCATCTAAACTCATTGTTCCTATCTAATCAACTCCATAGCAGCAACTCAGCCTCTGACATTTTTTTCCATTTTAGCCCAGTCTGAGTCCATAAAATGAGCCACCAACGTACTCAATACAGCCGTTTGTATCAAAGACGACAAAGCATTTATATTCTGATGGAATTAACCCAACATAAACTCCTCCTCAAAATGAGCTGTCAGAAGTGAGAGTCTCACACTGGATAAAAGGGAGTAGGGTGAGTGGACCTACTGGAGGCTCTCCTTCTTGCATGAGCAGCAGGAGGCCAAGACCTCCTGTGCATCCCTGCCTGGACCTGGAGATGGTTTCAGTAGTACCTAGAAAATAGGACCCAAAGCAGCTGTCAACCAACAGCACAGGGTGGCTCTTTGATACCCCTTTTTCATCAGTTTTCATCTGGGTCCCCAACCCAAGAGGTTGCAGAATGAACTGTGACTTATGGAAGAAAGGGGCACTTGTGGAAGAATGCTCCAACACACTCCGTCTCTTCATGGTCCACTTCAAGATTAATTGTTTACCCATTTCCTTAGCTCAAGCTTACTCTATACCCAATCTATCTAGGTGCTTCCTTATTCTTTTTTAACTCAGTCCAGTAGGAAAAGGCTCTAGACCATTTTGACCCCCCAGGAGAGTCTCCCTCCTTAATCTCCACCTATCCCTTGTGATTAGAATGGTCTGTCTTTCCTCTCCTCTCTCCTCTTCTCTAGTTATTCCCTTTCTTCCACTCTCCATCTCTTTTCTCTCCTCCTCTCCTCTTCTCTACTCTCTTCTATTATTTTCTGTTTTTCCTCACTTAGTCTTTCCAGCTTGTTTAACTCCAAAGACCACTTCAAGAAATTCTTACTTCCTAGCTCCAAACCCAACACTCTTTTAGCTCACTTTCAGTACAAAGACAATTTCTTCAGAATGGCATTGATTAAACTTTTGTATGCCTTTCCCACCTGTTTGTTGAGTTGCCCACATTGGACTGAACTCACCTTCTGTTTTCTTTTGCAACATTATAACAGACACACAGGGTGAGACGAATGACTTGGCAGCAGCCCCCACAACTCGAGGAGGAAATCAGCTAAAGACTGGCTCCTACCAGCTGCTCTCTCTATTGACCCCATTCACCTTGACATCAGGACACTGGAAGAAGAAAGAGGAGAAAAAAATCACACGCATGGCTGTGTCCTTACATACTTCTGGGAGGGAGTGTGTCTTTGTGTAGTGGGGGTAGGGGAAGATTTTTGTGCATAGAGGAGAGGGTTATGCAGTAGGGAAAGAGATAGCTGTCTCTCAGTGGTTAAGAAGAAAATAGAGAGGAAATATTCCACTCGAACTATCCTGTACTTAAACTGATGGTTAATTCTATCCCATAAGCATTAAGTTGGTTCATTTTTGCTGGGTTGTAACTTTAGAGGTGTGGGCATGCAATTAAGATTTTCCTAGTATCACCCTACTTAACCCAATGACATTGGGGAGCAGGATTTCCCCATTTTAACAGCTAGTTCAGAGCTCAAGAGGCAGCCCAACAGCAGCCACAGTGAGGAGAGGCTGAGTGGCAGTTCTAATTGACCATTTCTACCCATGTTCCTCTTAGAAACATACAATAAGAGCTGTCACAGCTTCCTGCCAATCACAAGAAATCTGACCCAGACAAAGCACCATCTCAGAGCGAGGGCTGTTTATATATCCAGTAAATTCTGTTTCCATCGCATTATCTTATTTTTAGGTCATTGCAGAGAAGAGCATGCCTAATCATATCATAAAATCATGAATTTAGTAGATTATAGATGATGACTTCAAATCTAATTATGTCCTCTGGCTGCCCAAACAAGACACCATTTAGCATTTGACACCATCAAGTCTTGAAGTTGCAAGTTTGTTCTTTGGGGATACTCTGGAGCTTTTGCAGAATAGAAGCTTGTCAAATACTTAGGAGGCATTGCTGTTTTATGACACAGAGGAAAGAAAACAATGAATTTCTGTTCTGATGTGCAATGAACAGAACTTCAGGATGAGCTGTTTTATTGCATGAAGGGTTGAAGCAACAGAGGAGATTTATGCAGACAAGTTACATGCCACATTTGCCTGTTTTTTCTCCTTTTACAGTCGATGACAGATTTTCACTCTGACACAATTTCAACAACACTCGTGTCATAAGCAATGGAAACTGGAAAGGCAAACTAACTAGACAGACAGCAGCTCATCAGTGCCACACACTCATGCTCAGCTCCTGTGGAATGATCTTGCCATAATAAGGCCAGACATGTGGATTTTAAATGCCTCTACAAGTGGTTAGTTAGCAAGGTGGTCACACATCCATAGATGCACTGACAGAGAAACTACATGAGACAACATGGTGTTTCAGCTTGCAGCTGCCATCCCCACTCCATCAGGGAACACAGCTGGTGCCTTCTCTCTCAAAGATAGCAGGGGGCTGTGGGAAAGATGACAGGGCTTCAGATTCCCCATCCAACTCAGCAGGAGAAAGAAAAGGTCCTCAGACAAAGAAATGCTGATCCAAATTCTGCATCATGCATGGGCACACACAGGTGTTCTCCCATTTTTTAAGTTTACATGGTTCAGCTTGTTGCTGAACGGTGATTAATTCCACAGGAAAAGGACCATGAAAGCTTATAATACTGAAGGTTGAATGAAGGAGAATTACATTTCTCTCCTCTATTGGTGGGGCTTGGCCACAGGACTTTCTGCAGTCAGTAAAATATGCAGGAAATATGTGTCGCTGACATGCAGAAGCTTTGAGAACCAGTATGTGGTTTCCAGGCTTTCTTTTTCCCTCTGCTCAATGACCAGCAATGTCCCAAAGAGAAATTGCTCTGTCAACTGGGCTGTGGAGTAAACAGAACACGGAGCAGTACTAAAGTAGACCCAAGATGGCTAAGAACAAGAAATAACCTTTTATTGTTAAGGGACTGAAATTTGGGAGTTGTTACTGCATTATAACCTAGCCTATTCTAACTGATACAGTCACTTTAAAATGCTATTGGACCATCTATTATAAATCTAAAAGTGGGTGGCATCCTTGCTTGAAAAGTTCAAGTATTTTCTTTCTCTTGCCATACTCTCTTTTTTATCTGTAGCCTCTTTGTGTTTGAACTGGTTCCATCTTTGATTTGTTTATTAGCCTCAAGGAGGATATCAGATGAGGCAGATCTCTGAACCACAGATGTGGATACATTTTAGGCAGATGATGTTATGGTTAATTCGGTAGGAAGAGGTGAGCATGGATCTAACAATTACAGAACATATTATCCTCTTTCAAAATCAGTTTGTTGCCTTTGCAATAGACATATTCATCTAGCATTACATGAAAGTGTGTAGATACTATCTCCTAATATTAGAAAGACTTGGTCATTGAGCTATATGGCAAGCAAGACCTGTGATAACATATTATAATCCTATTAGAGACTTCACATAGAAAATGAAAAGTGTCCCAAACTTAAAATATTTGAAAACCATAACAGTGTTAGAAGACATACAGTAAATGCTGAATTTTTAAGGCATGAAATCCACTACATGGAAGGATACTTTATTTTGTTAAATTCAATCACTATACATTGATTATCTTCTAGGGCACAGCATCAGGGTTTTGCAGAAAATAGTTTTGAGGCTCAACCATGTTCCTTATTTGTTAGTGAAAGGCAGTATCTACCTATGTATCAGCCAAAAACCTTGAGTTTTTATCTCATTCTTCTCCTTCAGGTTTTAAGATCTAAGCACCTCAGCAACAGAATCTCTAGATCTGAGTCAATGAGAGTTCCTCCAGATTGTCAATTAAACCATAAACTATAAAGAAGAAGGAGTGACAGGGAACTTTTCTGATTTGACATTACAGTTAGGAAACAACATTCCAGAACCATGAAATGTTGGATTTGAATAAGAGAAAGCATCTGGGATCCTTATGCCCAGTGAAGTTTAGAAATTCACAAACAGCAAGTCACAAATAGAAGGGGATCTGAGATCAGACCTCTGGTGTCCTCTTTAGATGTTAGTCCTCTCCTTATAACTGCTTGTTAAGGATGGGCTAGACCATCTGAAATGACAGAAATTTATTTTACAAAGAATGTAGACTATGGGAGAATTAGAAAGATAGAAATAATGAAGACCAACCATCTTCCCCAAATGAACACTCTATTTAAGAAAACCCCAGCAACTTATCAGCCTGTGATTGAATGCCTCCAGTGACCGGGAGCTCACTGCCCTCTGAAGTGTCTGTTCTGTTGTGGGAACTTGCTGGATAGTAGTAATAAGGTCCTCCTTGGGATCAACCAACAGCATCCTTGTGGGCATTTCCATAAACTAGTCATAGTTCTGCTCTGTTCTATAAGATTAATCTAGTCCAGTGGTTTTCAAACAAAGGAATTGGCTCCTAGAAGACTCCCAGATTTTGGGCTCTCAGAAGACATTTGGTAAAGTCTGGAGACATTTTTGGTTGTTACAGCTACCAAAAATGCTACTGAAATATAGAGTATAGTGAGGCCAGTGGCACTGTTAAACACCATATAAGTCACAGGACAACACCACACCCCCTTAACAAAGAATTATCTAACCCAACATGTCAGTACCACTGCGACTGAGAAACTCTGACCCAGTTCAATCTCTGTTTGACACTATAACTCCTCACATATCTGAAAGGGGCTATGATATTCCTCCCAAGTTCTCTCTCTACTGAATATCCTCAGTTTTCTTAGTGTTCTATATATGACTTAGTTTTACTATTCTGAAGTAATTCTGCTAGTCATACTTCAACATGTCCATCCCTCTTGTTAATTGGCTCAACCAGAAGGATACACTACCCTCGAGATCACACATAGAGCTTGGGACTCTTAATTCCCATGATCAAAGCACCTCATGTGCTTAGAACATTGACAAGTACCAATAAACTATCGCTGGAAGAATAAAAAGAGTCTGGTGTCTTAGATGAGAGTATGGATTCAATAAGAGTTCATGGTAGTTAGATGATGGTAGCAATAGCTATAGCAGCAAAAATAACACCTACTCTTTATTGAGTGCTGGTGATATATGCCTGCCACCCTTCTAAGGGCTTTATATATATATATAATCTCATTAAATCTGTCTTGTAATTCTACCTCATAGCTTGTGTTACCATCATTTTACAGATGAAGAAACCAATTCTTAGATAGGTTTAAAAAACTTGTCTAAGGTCATGGAACTTGTGATTAGATTGGCCAAACCTGCCTAACCTCAAAATCCATGCTCTTAATCCCACAATGTGTTCTAATTCATCCTCTTCAATACAGGGATAACATGGTGTATTTTTCATAACAGTAACAAACTACAGTGAATTAACCAATGCATCGATCGTAACATGCATGCACATATCTTGGCCACAGTTTCATTACTTTGCAACCTAAGACCAGAACCAACTTTGCAAGTAAATAAAGTAAATAAAGCTATTAAGACAAACAGGCCTCACACTTAAGTTTCCAAAGCTTTGTTTTTAAGGGTCTCTTGGATAAAACAAATCAACAGCAACATGAACAGAGAAGATTGATATTTTCATGGCCCTCTGTTCAAGAAAGTTGTCCCACTGAAAATTGATAACCCTGGTTTGGGCCATCTCAGACTCATGAGTGTGCTGGGACCTTACATGGGTGAGTGATGGCTACAAATCTTTGTGCCTTCAATACATTGGGTTTCTTCCAGTTTTGAAAGAGTTTGGATATTTTCTTCTCAGTGCTTCTACATTTGCTGCCTAAAGGCTGGAGATTTTAGGCCTGTGACTCATGGCTCTTTCCTTAGGAGGAGGGGAGACTATATTTTTTTCTTTTGGCAGCTCTTAAATTATTAGTCGAGTTACCATGTAATCTTTGAGTTTCACCAAGTGGCTTCACGGATTAGATACTGAGAGCTGGAGAAAAGTTCTGGGATTACAAACTTGCACTGTGCTGCAACTTGAAGGGGATTTTTTTTTTCTTTCTCTTATGACCCAGGAACATATTTCTGCCGTATTTATATAGTACTTTCCTGAAGACAAGGAAAACTCCACTAGCAGAAGTAAAGGAGGAGTAACCTGACATTTAGAAGGAAAAGTTCTTTTGGCATGAGAGCTCGCACCGAAACTCATCATAATTTAACTTTTTAAACTTGAGAGTCTTTGATACTGATCTCTATTTGTCAGCATAAATGTCTCCTCTTTCCTTACCCTTGGGAAGACTCCAGTTCTCTGCTGCAGCTGGAATATTCCTGTCATAACTTTCTTATGACGCATTTGAAAAAGAATGCCTCTTGCTTATACCATTTATCTGGCCTCACACCTCCAGATGTTTCTTAAAGCTGGCTTCTCCAAATGTCATTTCTACCTGCCCTGTAGGGAATGAATCTTACCCTTTCAAAAATAAGGGCTGGATCAGCTATCATGTAAGGTGGAGCTGATTCAGCTTGGAGCCATTAATAAAGGCAGATCAGAAGATCTCCATCTCCCCTAAATAGCCCCATCCCTTCAACTTGCTCAGTGGGATTGAGCACTCTATAGGCATCAGAAAACCTCCATTTTAAATGCATGCTGAAGATGAGACTGGATGGATATTGCTCTTGGATCTTGTGGTCTCTTTTACCTGTCCTGATACCCAAAAAATCAGATGGATTTTTTGATAACTAATTAAGATAAGGGTATAAAATCTCTTTAATCATGGTAAAGCAACTCAAAAATTTAAAGGATGAATATTATCACTAGATGTGAGGCCTCAGCAAATAAAAAATAAAAATAAAAAAACAAAACCCTGGCTGGGCGCGGTGGCTCATGCCTGTAATCCCAGCACTTTGGGAGGCCGAGGCCGGCGGATCACGGGGTCAGGAGATCGAGACCATCCTGGTAACATGGTAACATGGTAAAACCCCATCTCTACTAAAGATACAAAAAATTAGCCGGGCGTGGTGGTGGGTGCCTGTAGTCCCAGCTACTAGGGAGGCTGAGGCAGGAGAATGGCGTTGAACCCAGGAGGCAGAGCTTGCAGTGAGCGGAGATCGCGCCACTGCACATCAGCCTGGAAGACAGAGCGAGACTCCATCTCAAAAAAAAAAAACCCTGTCCAGTTAGACTTGGAAAGAAGAAGACACACAAATGAAACACATTTCAAATGCATGAAACAAGCATTATCATCTCTTGGGGACTGAGTATTTCCTGAGCCCCCCAGATTTTATTGAATCCCTCTCCTCTTGATTTTCCCAAGTTCACACAACATTCTGTGTATATCTTTTAAAGCAGTGACTGGTGATTTTCTTATCTGTTCCCCTCTGCACTGAAAGCACCTTACAATAAACAGGAAGTTCCTTTGTTTCTATCCCCAGTGCCTAGTCTAGTACCTGGTACGTTACAGAAACGTAACAATGGTCATCGAATTAATTAATTAATTAATTAATTAATAATTAACAATACAAGTCAGTACATGCTGAGTGCTAAATAATAGGTAGAGAAAAGTGGCCTAGGATTCAAAGCAAGGATAAATAAATATAAAATGTGTTAGTAAAGTAAAAGCTTTCTGTAAGAGTTAAGGTTGGAAGAAAAGCAAGGATGAAATCTCTCTGTCCATCCATCCATCCATTCAGTAAGTATCGCATTTTACTTTATGCCAGGGCAATGCATGGTCTAGGAGATGCAATTTTAGGAAGGGGAGATGGTCAAAGCCTTAAAGAGCATTAAATATGAATATAATTATAAAGGAATGAGCTGAGAGGATAGTCTGGAGTGGAGAAGTTAGAAATTAGGTTTTAGAAGCAGGTTGATGTCAGATGATGCTAGGCCTACTTTACTCTATCAGCAAGGAAGAGCTAGTGTGTAGAGAGATGTGATAGATGAGTTGCAGAGGACAAGACCTGGAGGCAGAGCGACCTATTAGGAGGCTGTTGTAGAAATTCACATATGAGAAGATGGCAGTATTCACTATTAGGCTACTAGAGAATTATCCCCAAAGGGCTCTGTCTCTGCCCTAATTTAAATTGTAGATGCTCCTGTGAAGATATCAGGCATAAATTGCTTTGTAAGGTGACCTAGACAAGAGAAAGAGAAAGAAACATGTGAGTATCAGAGTTAAGCATCATCTACTTCAAGGTTTTAGACTCTTTCAGCTTTGGGGCCAGTTTCACTCAAGTGGTTGAGGAGATTGCAGCCTGTTGTATCTTCTTCTAGAGTTCTCCCCTCATAACCATGAATTTGTGTTTGGCAGGACATGGTGCTTACATCTGTAATCCCAGCACTTTAAGAGGCCAAAGTGGGAAGATCTCTTGAGGCAAGGAGTTCGAGGCTGCAGTGTTGAGCCAGTGAACTCCAGCCTGGGCAACAGGGCAAGAAAAGAAAAAAAAAAAAAAAAACTTGTGTTTTAAAAAGATAGTGCCAAACCATTTACAATTATATCTTTATCTCTGATTGGAATTAGATTAGAAATGTTCCAAAATATAATTCATCTACTTGCTAATTCATGCATTCTCTACTGGGATGACGAAGATGAATAAAACATAGACCTACTAAATTCTTAAGTTCTCAAAATTTGAAAAACAAGAATTGATCCTAATGAAACACTGACATTATTATTTGTAGGATGAAGTTTGTGTATACCCAATTAAAAATTTTTCTAGGATATTGAGATTCATTCAAGAAGCTTTCAATATATTTTAAAGAAACCAGTTTTTTCTTCCACTAGCGATCAGGTCAAGTGACAGAAATACCTAAAATCAAGTGGCAATCTTATCTTCGCAAACATTTTCCAAACGGCTCTTCCATTTTGGGTCCAACAGCAAGCTATCTGTGACTAGTTCTCCCCTGTCATTCCTCCATTCCTATTTTTACTTTAAATGCAAACTGTTTTTGCTGTTTCCCACAATAGTTTTAGCCTTTCTTGGCAATCTGGTGCCCCAGCCAATTTCCTGAGGTAAAGCTGTGTTTATATAAAAATTGCTATTAGAAAAACAGCTCAAGCAATGAAAGAAGTCAGTATACATTTTAATTGCCAACTACATAAATAGGTGGAGTCACATTTGGGGGGTTTTGGATTGTTATATGCATTTCCTTGTTCCCTTGCCTGGACCTAAGAATTGACTGTATGTACAAAAAAACTTATCTTGCAAATGTTTATTGAGAGCCTACTATGTGGTAGGCCTTGTGTTAATGAACCTACAACAAAGAGCAAAACTGCACAATACCATGACATTTGCTACTTGCTAACTTATGCTTTATCTACTGATACACGGGGCTTACTTTCCCAATTGGATTATAAGCTCTGAGTGGGCAGAGACCATGCTTCATTCATGACTTACTCATTTTTGCCCATCCTGGGCCAGGTATAGACTAGACATCAACCATGAAAATCAGAAAATTTTCCTCCCTGGTAATATATCTTGCTTTGAATTCCTGCAATATGTCCACACGTACATGAATGATCAAATCTAGGCCTTGACACGGGAATTCAAGTTGGTTATTTGAACTTGCAGGACTCCAGCTTTCTCATGTATAAAATGTGTGCAATTCTATCTCGTGGTTATTCTTAAGTTCAAATGAGAGATATGAAAGCCCTTTGTAAACTCTTCATAACAACACACATCTAAGGGTTTATTATATTTACTCTAAATTGTGCTGTTGTTTCAGAAACTAAGGTCTTAGCTCTTTAAGTTAAGCACAAAGCTATTCAAAGAGCCCCATGTTGCCTAGGACATGTCGGGCCTATAACGTAAGGAAGACAAGGATGAATGGATAAATGCAGAGCATTGGTTCCAAAGCACAGTCATATCTAGTGGAGAAACACATGCATATTGTGCTACTGACAGGAATATAAGCACATGAGGAGAGCAAAACAGAGGTAGTGAAATCTATCATCTGTCCCATCCCTTATGGTAGCCATTAAATACATGTGGATTATTGAACACATAGAATGTGGCTAGTGCAACTTGAGGAAATGAATTTTTAACTTCATTTACTTTTAATTAATTTAAATTTAGATAGCCACATATAGCCAGTGACTAACCCATTGGGCAGGGAAGTTTGTGGGCAGATTTTTGCCCTTGGTTAGGTACTGTGTGACCCCAGGAATGTCTGTTACCTTATCTGGCCCTTAAATTCTGTCAGATGGAGAAAGATTAATATCTTAGGTCCTCTTTTCAGTAAAACGTTGTATCAAAATCTAAGACTATCTGATAAGACATGGGAGCCCAGTTCTGGCTTCATGCTGATTTAATTCTCCCATGTAGCATGTGTAAACATGTAAATGCTAGCTCTTAGCCTCTCTGTGTTTGAATTCCTTCTTCTATAAAAAGGAGATGCTCTCTAGATTCCTTCTCTCTGGGCAGGGCATCTCTGAAAGAAAGGCAGCAGCCCCAGTCAGGGGCTTATAGATAAAACTCCCATCTCCCTGGGACAGAGCACCTGGGGGAAGGGGCACCTATGGGTGCAGCTTCAGCAGACTTAAACATTCCTGCCTGCCAGCTCTGAAGAGAGCAACAGATCACCCAGCATAGTGCTTGAGCTCTGCTAAGGGACAGACTGCTTCCTCAAGTGGGTCCCTGAACCCCGTGCCTCCTGACTGGGAGACACCTCGGAGCAGGGGTCAACAGACACCTCATACAGGAGAGCTCTGGCTGGTATCTGGCAGGTGCCCCTCTGGGACAAAGCTTCCAGAGGAAGGAACAGGCAGCAATCTTTGCTGTTCTGCAGCCTCCACTGGTGATACCCACACAAACAGGGTCTGGAGTGGACCTCCAGCAAACTCCAGCAGACCTGCAACAGAGAGGCCTGACTGTTAGAAGGAAAACTAACAAACAGAAAGGAATAGCATCAACATCAACAAAAAGGACATCCACACAGAAACCTCATCCAAAGGTCACCAACATCAAAGACCAAAGGTAGATAAATCCATGAAGATGAGGAAAAACCAGAACAAAAAGCCTGAAAATTCCAAAAACCAGAATGCCTCTTCTCCAAAGGATCACAACTCCTTACCAGCAAGGGAACAAAACTGGATGAAAATGAGTTTGATAAATTGACAGAAGTAAGGCTTCAGAAGGTGGGTAATAACAAACTCCTCTGAGCTAGAGGAGCATGTTCTAACCCAATGCAAGAAAGCTAAGAACCTGGATAAAAGGTTACAGGAATTGCTAACTAGAATAACCAGTTTAGAGAAGAAAATAAATGACCTGATGGAGCTGAAAAACACAGCACAAGAACTTCGTGAAGCATACACAAGTATCAATAGCCGAATCGATCAAACAGAAGAAAGGATATCAGAGACAGAAGATCAACTGAATGAAATAAAGTGTGAAGACAAGAATAGAGAAAAAAGAATGAAAAAGAACGAACAAAGCCTCCGAGAAATATGGGACTATGTGAAAAGGCCAAACCTATGTTTGATTGGTGAATCTGAAAGTGACCAGGAGAATAGAACCAAGTTGGAAAACACACTTCATGATATTATCCAGGAGAACTTCCCCAACCTAGCAAGACAGGCCAATATTCAAATGCAGGAAATACAGAGAATACCAAAATGGAAGAGCAACCCCAAGACACATAATCTTTAGGTTCACCAAGGTTGAAATGAAGGAAACAATGTTAAAGGCAGCCAGAGAGAAAGGTTGGGTTACCCACAAAGGGAAGCCCATCAAACTAAGAGCACATCTCTCTTCAGAAACCCTACAAGCTGGAAGACAGTGGGGGCCAATAACCAATATTCTTAAAGAAAATAATTTTCAACCCAGAATTACAGATCCAGCCAAACTAAGCTTCATAAGCAAAGGAGAAATAAAATCCTTTACAGACAAGCAAATGCTGAGAGATTTTGTCACCACCAGGCCTGCCTTACAAGAGCTCCTGAAGGAAGCACTAAACATGGAAAGGAACAACCAGTACCAGCCACTAGGAAAAACATACCAAATTGTGAAGACTATCGACACTATGAAGAAACTGCATCAACTAAGGAGCAAAATAACCAGCTTAGCATCATAATGACAGGATCAAATTCACACATAACAATATTAAACTTAAAAGTAAATGGGCTAAATGCCTCAATTAAAAGACCCAGACTGGCAAATTGGATAAAGAGTCAAGACCCATCAGTGTGCTGTATTCAGGAGACCCATTTCACATGCAAAGACACACACAGGCTCAAAATAAAGGGATGGAGGAATTATTTACCAAGCAAATGGAAAGTAAAAAAAAGCAGGGGTTGCAATCCTAGTCTCTGACATAACAGACTTTAATCCACCAAAGATGAAAAAAGATAAACAAGGGCATTACATAATCATAAATGGGTCAATGCAACAAGAAGAGCTAACTATCCTGAATATATATGCACCCAAGACAGGAGCACCCAGATTCATAAAGCAAGTTCTTAGAGACTTACAAAGAGACTTAGACTCCCACACAATAATAGTGGGAGACTTTAACACCCCACCCCCACTGTCAATATTAGACAGCTCTATAAGACAGAAAATCAACAACAATATTCAGGACTTGAACTCAGCTCTGGACCAAGTGTACCTAATAGACATCTACAGAACTCTCCACCCCAATCAACAGAATATACATTCTTCTCAGCACCACATCATACTTATTGCAAAATTGACCACATAATTAGAAGTAAAACACTCCTCAGCAAATGCAAAAGAACGGAAATCATAACTAACAGTCTCTCAGATCACAGTGCAATCAAATTAAAACTCAGGATTAAGAAATTCACTCAAAACCACACAACTACATGGAAACTGAACAACCTGCTCCTGAATGACTACTGGGTAAATAATAAAAGTAGGGCCGAAGTAAGTAAGTTATTTGAAACCAATGAGAACAAAGATGCAACATATTAGAATCTCTGGGACACAGATAAAGCATTGCTAAGAGGGAAATTTTAGAACTAAATGACCATAGGAGAAAGCAGGAAAGATCTAAAATCAACACTCTAACATCACAATTAAAAGAACTAGAGAAGCAAGAGCAAATTCAAAAGCTAGTAGAAGACAAGAAATAACTAAGATCAGAGCAGAACTGAAGGAGATAGAGACAGGAAAAACCCTTCAAAAAAATCAATGAATCCAGGAGCTGGTTTTTTGAAAAGATTAACAAAATAGATAGATTGCTAGCCAAACTAATAAAGAAGAAAAGAGACAAGAATCAAATAGACGCAATAAAAAATGATAAAGGGGTTATCACTACCAATCCCACAGACATACAAACTACCATCAGAGAATACTATAAACACCTCTACGCCAATAAACTATAAAATCTAGAAGAAATGGATAAATTCCTGGACACATACACCCTCCCAAGACTAAACCAGGATGAAATCGAATCCCTGAATAGACCAATAACAAGTTCTGAAATTGAGGCAGTAAATAATAGCCTACCAACCAAAAAAAGCCAAGGACCAGACGGATTCACAGCTGAATTCTACCAGAGGTACAAAGAGGAGTTGGTACCATTCCTTCTGAAACTATTCCAAACAATAGAAATAGAGGGACTCCTCCTTATCTCATTTTATAAGTCCAGCGTCATCCTGATACCAAAATCTGGCAGAGACACACACACAAAAAAGAAAATTTCAAGTCAATATCCTTGATGAACATTGATGCAAAAATCCTCAACAAAATACTGGCAAACTGAATCCAGCAGCACATCAAAAACCTTTTTCACCATGATCAAGTCGGCTTCATCCCTGGGATGCAAGGCTGGTTCAACATACACAAATCAAAAAATGTAATCCATCACATAAACAGAACCAATGACAAAAACCACATGATTATCTCAATAGATGCAGAAAAGGCCTTTGACAAGATTCAACATTCCTTCATGCTAAAAACTCTCAATAAACTAGATACTGATGGAATGTATTTCAAAATAATAAGAGCAGTTTATGACAAACCCACAGTCAATATCATACTGAATGGGCAAAATCTGGAAGCATTCCCTTTGAAAACTGGCACAAGACAAGGATGCCCTCTCTCACCATTCCTATTCAACATAGTATTGGAAGATCTGGCCAGAGGCCCAATTCTTTGCTGAGTTTTGAGTAATGGATGTGAAGTATCGGCTCAGAGGACGTAGGGGATCCTGTTTCCTGTTTTTCATGCTTTTCTGGGAATTCTGAACTCCTTTCCATCTTGAAGTCTCCCAGATGGAGTCCTCAGAAGTACCAAGCCTTGAGTTTTGGGGATTGTTTAAAAGTGGAGGAGTCCTGACTTATTCTTCCTCAGACAATGGGTCTATCTTAAGGGAGGGTCTATCTTAATGGGTCTATCTTAAGTGGGTGAAACAGATTGCACACTTAAAAATGTGGGGTCATGGTGGAAATGAGGGTGCAGGGGAAAATGAAGAAGCATTGTCATCTTCAGGATTACATGTTCCAAGCTGATCCCTGCATTTCTCTAGCATTTTCCTGGACTGCTTTTTGCTGACATCAGTCAATGCCTGGAGGAGAAGTCTACAGAGGAATGGAGGTAGTTCTGTCAGATACTTTTTTAAAAAACTTACTTTGTCCTGTATACAGGCTGCTAATAACACAGCGTCATCATCAGCCATGAGAACCCCCTTTTCTTGTCCACACTGAGCATAAAGGATCTCCTATTGTGATGTTTTCCTCTTCTTTAAAATTTAACTTGAGGTTCATTCTAGCCTTATTTTCACTGCATGAAAAGACTGGGGGATCAGTGGGGTCACACATCCCTGAATGATGATTCCTGTTATTCTTGAGAGGGCTTGCAAGTATTCAACCCTCAAAGTCTATGATAAATCAACAAGGAAGTTTCCCCGGAACACCCAGGGTTAGTCTGTGGTTAGGCAGCTGCCTGAATAATAATTTTTCATTATTCATGAAGCAGCTTTACTATCCAGAGCTAAAAGGATCCCAGGCTGCCCCGATGCCTGTAATGTCACCATTGCTTCTTCCTTTGGACAACGGCATTGAACACTTCTGAGAAGAAGGGAACCCTGCCTGAGGAGGGTGATCCATGAAACCCCATCAGATACTCAGACATCAGAACTGATTTATCCTCACGTCTCAGCTTTTTGGCTAAGATCAAGTGTATAACTGATTGACCAGAGATCCACAGACAGGGAGACAGGGAGAGTGAGGAGCCCAGGAAAGTATTGAAGGGCTGCCCAGCGTGGGTGCTGTGCAGTGAGAAGTGGGTGGAGAACTGTTTGAGAGCTGTAGGTCCTTTGTGGGCAATGAGTGCTGAGAATTTAGGTAGGGACAGGTATGAAAAGCAGAAAGAAAAGGCAGGGAAGGAGAGAGCAATCCATCTCTAATACCAGCACCTTTACTGTTTTGCTAAGGGAGAGATTAACTGAGTTGTTACGGAAAGAACTGGTCAGGGTAACCCCATAATTCACAGTTTATTTTCCCTTTCCGAACATTGCAGTTGCGAACTTTGGAGATTTGGCAACATCAGGCAAGGATGCTGCCAGCAAGAGGAGAGATCCAGGACAACTGTGCGTGGGTCATCCCTTGCTCAGATCTCACAGCAATCTTGCCTTGTATGGCACTGGAAAAATAGAGCCTCTTTCTTCAGATGAAGTCTTCTCTTAGTGCCTCTTCATTATCTAAGCTGTGCACTCCATGAATGACTATCATGGCTGCTCACAAAGTGTTTAGACAGCTGTGGGGCCGTGACTGAAAAGCACGTTCTCAGGGCTTGTGACTTAGCAGAGGACTCACTCTCCTCCCTGAAAGCTCTTGGCTGTCTGCTGGCTTGCCGCTTCCTGAAGTTTGGGGTCCTCTCTGAATGTCACACAGCATCCCTCTCCTCCACTATTTGGATAATTTAGTAAATTCTCAATGGAGCAAACATGGCTCCCTTTAAACACCTACCCTTTGCCCTCAATAAAACAGTTTAAGAGAACAGAAATTTCTCAGCAGACACTTGTAGTTAAACAAAGCATTTCACAAACTTCTGGAATAAGGATATTTATTTATTTTTCATTATTCGTGAAACAGCTTTAATCTGAAGGCTGATGTTTGGAGGAGAAAGCTCAGTTGCAACCTGGCATAGCTCACGCTGCATGGAAGCTGAAGATGTCACCCACGATAAACATGAACTGCTGTGACAATGGGAAGCGGAAGGTGAAGAATTGCCTCTCCAAGCAGGGTGGGGGTCTGAATGCGTGAGAAAGGGAAAGATGCATTTGATTGTGTTTACAAGATTCATTCACAGCACAGCAGGCAGTATTCACACTATAATACTCACCCTAACACAGATAATTTGATTTTCAACCTGGTTATCATGCATTCAGACATAGCAATACATGAAAATATATGCTTTAGCAGTGCATTTTAAACAAGGTTGCACACTTTAAGTCGGAATATATTAGAGGTGAGTGTTAAAGTTAGCAATTGTAGAAGTCCTAGAAATCTCCATTCAGCACATGGCATGTGTTTTGAAATTACTAAAAAAAAATGTTATATTATGTTCCAGCTGTTGAATATATATACACACATGATATGCAGTGAAAATGATAAACTTGGTTGCTCCTTAAATTTTTCACGATTTGAAGAAACTTTAACTTTCTTTAGACTCCTAAAGAAAAATGGAAGCATAACTCCATCCACACACACTGAAATTATAACTATTACTATTATTGCTGAGCAGAAGATAACAGATTATCTGGCCCAATCCCTCATGAGGTGTGTGAGGAAACTGAGTTGAGAGCCCTTTGGTGACTTTTTCAAGATCACACAATTAATCAGTGGAGAGTTGATGCTACATTCTATGTCTCCTGTATTTGTTTTTTCTGCCTTCTCCTCTCATTGGAATTGAATTAAGTAAAATGTAGGAAATAGTCTACCTTATGTTAAAATCAGAGTTTTTCTGGCACATATGGAGCAGGTGGGGATTCCTACCAAGGCTTTGCCCATCCTGGTCTCCGGTCCTCAGCCAACATGTGTGAAAGATCAATTCACTGCAAAGGTTTCTCCTCCATTGCCCTCATTCTTCTCCCCCTTATGTTATTAGTCAATAAGGAATATTTCTTGGCTATGGGGAAGTCATAATGGATAGCATTGGTCTTGGAACACCTTGGTCTTTTAATGCTAGAGAGTGACCTTCTGAGCCTTGGTATGACTCCCAGAGAAATACCAAGTTAAGTTTCAGTAGATTGATTTGTCTTTTCATTGGTGATAAATCCCTTTGTCAAGTGTGGTAACTAAAGACTTTGATTTGGGCCCTGGGTCAAACAGTGACACTCCATAGGCTGAAGACAATTGCTCCCTGATGCTAGTGGAACAAATGGATACCTGGGACACATTAGGATAGCAGGCAACTCCAGAAGGAAGCAGACAACTAGAGGTGGGAGGAAGACAAACATATGGGGAGGCAGCCTCAACTCTCCTCATGCAAACCATTCAGGGGGCTGGAAATGTGTCCTTGCTTTTCCACACTGTGCCATTCCCACATTTCTTGCACATCACATCAGCAAACAATTTTGCTTACAGAGTTCTGAGCAGTTCAAAGTACATAGGACTGGAAATCACCCAGGGGACTAGGATAGCCCCTGAAGTATGTGAGAACCCAGTTAACAAGAGGTGATGACTCAAAACCTCCCCTCTCCAGGATCCTGAGTAAGACTTTTAGGAGAAAGCACTTAGGCTTCCTGAGAAAGAGTTGCCTACATGTTGGAAGCATGTACTTTAGAATTGCCTCATCATGAAATGTTTACAAATGAATTCATTTCTAAACCGATACAAGCATGGGATTCCAGCAGTCTGGGATGCAGCCTGGTTTGCCAGCTCTCAACCCAGATGGCCCTGATTCACAGCCTGTCTCCAGCACTTGCTGGCAATGTGACCTTTGAGAAGTTACTTAACCTCTCTGTGCATCTGATTTTTCAACTGTAAAACTGACATATCTCCCTTGTAGCCTGGTGAAGATTAAATTACTTAATTAATAGAATATACTTAGAATAGTGCCTAGCACGTACTAAGCACTCAGTAAAAGATTCAGTTCCATTTCTGATTCTGCTTTGATGCAAACATTAAGCCAGAAAAAAAGATGAGCGATTCCCTTGTTGTTACTCAATTATTCATAAATTGTTTTAAGAAGCAGGCTCTGATATTTCTTCTGGCACCACCCCTCAAAATAACCTGAGATTCTCTAGAATGGCATCAGCTGCTGAGAATATAGGGAATCTGTGTATTGGGAATGAGTATGCTGTTTGCCTTGCACCACATGATTAATTGTGTTTAAAGACCATTTTTATTAGGACCAGAATGGTGACAATAAAATTAAAGGAGCGCAGATTCAACATCTCCTTAACCAAAAGGAAAAATGAAAACGCCACACACAAACACAAAACGCAAACACACGCCCAAATGCAGAGGCAAAAAATAAAACCTTTCCCCTTTCCTCAGGCTTTCTCCATAAGCTGAGCTCTACCCAGACAAAGGCGAGAACTGCTCTGTGTAAAATGATGATCTCCATGGCTGCTTCCACAGAATGCCCTCATTTTTCTAGAATCCAAATGCTGGCTTAGCCAAGCCACAGTCTGCTCCCGAAGAAGGATTGCTGCAGCCCGAGGTCTCAGGAGGTCAGCAGCGGGCCCAGGCTCACTTGGGCTTAGGCTGCGCTCCTGCAGCCTCCCTCCCATCCCCCAGCCTGGGCAAACCTTGGCAGACTCCAGGTTGCAAGCCTGTGCCTCCCCACTGATGTGGAAATCATTGGACTCAGTGGTGGTTTAAGTGTGTTGTTGATGCTTTCATCAAAGCGTCGTGCTCCCACCTCATGCTAAGTAAAGCAGCTGGTGAATGTTATGTCGTGCACTGCAGATGGATTGGTGGTGGCAGGCCCAGAGCTCACCACATCTACTTAAACAGGTGTTTGATTCTGCATTTTCCAGGTAGCCAGAAGGAACCTGATTATTCGGTGAGAGTAGGAGCCACGCGGGAGAGGAATTGCTCCCCAGCATTGGCAAGGCAACTAGCCAGCCGCTTGGCTTTAATTCATCTGTTCACCAGACATGGTCTTAAAGCCAGAATATTTCCTTTTGGGGCCCGTGCTTACTTTGAATTTTAGTGGACAATAAGGGGATTCTGCTCCCAGCTCATACTCTTTTGTTGAGTGTGGTCTTTTAGTCTGGGGTGGGTTAGAACTAGGTCACCAGAACCAGTGGCCACTGCAGTTTGCAGTCAAGGCATCTCTGCTATACCAGCCCTGCTACCAGGTACAGCATGAGAAGCTGAAGTTGCTTCACAGTGTTGTATTTCTCCAGAACCACACATCCACCTTCATGAACAGAGGGCAGTGTGAGGGATCCTTTCTAGTCACCGGGAATGACAGACATAATCAACAGTTAGCCAGGAAATCACAAATAAAACAGCTACCCCTAAGAAGGCAGAAACCAAAAAAGCATCAAAGCAGCTTTTTGCAGCAAGAAGATCCACAAGTGAGTTTTCCATACAATCTAGAGCAAAGGAAACTGAAACCCTCCATCCACTGGGGCTTTTTATGAAATGAGCCTCAATGCCAATGCAGTGTACAATGATACTTCTAAAATGAACCCAAGAAACTCAAAAGACTTTAACGGGAAAAAAAACAAGGGAAAATAGCACAATACTAAGAGGAAAAAGCACACAACTGTAGAAACCAAGACTAGAAGAAACCCCGGCAAGGACTTCCCAAGAGAACACAAAGGAGAAAAAGCAAGCTGTTGCACTCCCCTTGTAGCTTGGAGCTTACAAATCCCCGAGGAAACCCTGCGAATAAACAGGGCACTCTAAAACGAGCTACAAGCGGGGCGGTGGAACCATTTCTCAGCAGTCTTGGAGTGAATTGAGTAAATCTGTCACAGCTTATAACTGGGGGGGAGTAGTGGGAAGGGCCCTCCTCATGGGGCCACCTGCCCCAGAGCTGGCACTGCGGGGCTGCTGCTCCTTCTCTTGGCTCCTGTGACCCTGCAGACTTCAGGGGGCAGGAAGGCAGCTGTCAGCTTTCACATGGCACTCGCTCCTGGCAAGCAAGCAAGTCCAGTGGCAGCCAAATCCTTGTCATGTTCCAATCAGCCCCACAATGGTGGAGCCTCCACTGACTGGTGGCAGGTCACAGGAGTGTGGGAGCTCATCTGCCTCCCACATCTGACTCCCTAAACCATACTGCCTCCCCTCCTGAAAGCCTGAAGAAGCCTATATAGGGAATTTCTTGTGCAGAGACCCTCTACACAACAAGTAACAGACATCACAAGGATCATGGATGGGTGTCTTCCCATGATAGTTTACTTATAATTTACCTTCTAAATTGTCCCAAACGACACCAAAGAATAATAAAGGCACATATACACATGTGTGTCCACATTTTAGTCTGGTTAAAATGGTTTCTAACCCTCGGCACTATTGAAATTTGGGGTCATGGAGGGGCTGCCCCATGAGTTGTAAGATGCTTAGCAGCATCCACTAGGTTGCCAGCAGCAACCCCACCCCGAGTTGTGACAACAGAAACATCTCCCGACATTACCAAATGTTCCCTGGGTGGGGGGTGTGGGGCATAAACAATTGAGAATTGCTAGGTTAAAATAAAGATATAATATAGATGTGTGTCTCTACACGTGTATAATAAAAAATTATAGAGAGAAATGGAGAGTCTAATGTTTTCAGAAACTGAACATTATATTTAGTCTGGGCAAGTTCTGAATGATGGAAGCCAGGGTAGGCAGTAGCTTTGCTGTGATAGTCCTGGCATGGTTGAAATTTATTGAGGGCATCCCAGGAGCTCAAAACTGTGCCCAGGTTCAGTGCAGTTTCATGCATGAACTCATTTGGTCCTTATTATTATCTCTACTTTATGGCGAGAAAAATGAGGCTGACAGAGGTTAACTAACTTTTCTGAGTCTGTACAGCTAAAAGGCGAGAGAGCCAGAATATGACCAGTGGGGTGACTGTTAGCCGCTAGAATTGTGCCCCCACAACATGATAGCCACGAACCACGTGTGGCCATTGAGCACTTGGAATGTGACTAGTTGGAACTAAGATGTGCCATGAATGTAAAAATACACTCCTGATTTCAAAGACCTGGTTCAAGAAAGATAATGTAAAGATATTTTATTAATGTCTTATGTTGAATAAATGTTGAAATTATATTTTGGTACATTGGATTAAATAAAATATATTATTGAAAATAATTTTCTGTAATTCTTTTTATGCTTTTAATGTGTCTAGTAAACATGTTTAAGATCTGGTGTGGTGGCTCATACCTGTAATCCCAGCACTTGGGGAGGCTGAGGCAGAGAGATTGCTTGAGGCAAGGAGATTGAGATCAACCTGGGCAAAACAGCAAGACCCAACTCTACAAAAAATAAAAAAGTAATTAGTCAAGCATGGTAGTGCATGATTGTAGTCCCAGCTACTCTGGAGGCTGAAATTGGAGGATCCCTTGAGCCCAGAAGTTAGAGGCTACAGTGACCACTGCACTCAAGCCTGGACAACAAAATAAGACCTTGTTTCTAAAAAAATAAAAAATATGAATTTTCAAAATACATATCTGGTTTGCATTAAATGTGCTAGATAATATAATACTATCTCCCCTTGCATCATTTTAAAGAAAGGCTAAAAAGAAAAATAATGTATGTGGGCCAGGAAAGAGATACCCTTAGCAATGAAACCAGTATTATCATCTTATATACAATTAAAATCAGATAAATACTTTTGGAAATTAAGTTATGTGTAACGTTCATAAAGGGCCAAGTGAATTCAAAATTAAACATTTCAAAGTGTTTATATTCAAATTCATATGTCAATCAACACAATTATTCTCTCCACTGGCATCAAGTCATGATTGCTTGGTTCCAGGCTCAGCCCTGAGTGGACCTGCAGCTGTGACAGCTTAGACATGCCCTTCTGTCCCTCTTCCTAATCACTCCACTGGCCTTACTCGCCACCTATGCCTTGTTTCTGTGCATTCAGTTGGTCCAAGGCAAAGGATGATTTCTAATCATCTTACAGTTCCAGATACTGGCCTTTCCCGAAACCTTTACTTGGATTTTTTTTTTTTTAATTTCACACAAGTTGTCATCCAGAATGCTTCTCCGAGTGCTTTCTGGCTGCCTGTTCAACCCACAGTGCCCCTTGTGCCTCCTCCCCTTATCTAGAGATACTATCCTCCGTCAAATTCCCACCTCCCTTCAAGGCCAGCCACATGCTCAGTAGGTCTCATGTTGGTAGCCTGGGGGCCTGAGTCCATTTTCTCACCTCCTATCCATGTGATCATGGACTGGATCTGAGAAATGTGCTTGATAATATTACTGACCTGGTAGGGTTGTTGTGAGGATTAATAATTAACCCATGCACAACCCTTGGAATACTGCCTGGAGCATGCTAAGTGCTTCATAAACTTTAGCCACTGACATTTTCAGTTGTCTTTGGATTTAACATAAGGGGCCACATCTTGTGCGTGAGGATATTCTTGTTTCCATCTGACCCATGTACCTGTGCCTATCCTTCCTCTCAACAATTGGTGAGGTCAACTGCAGACACTTGAGCTTGGTGGCACCCCCCAGGGATGGAGCAGGTGGCACAGCAGTGACAGAACAGCAGCAGGAGGAAACCTGCTTCTACCACATTGTTATTAAGGCTGATGAACAACTCTGATCATCACACAGTTGAAAATTATGGGATTCAGGACCAAAGCTAAGGGATTTGTTTCAAATCGGTAAATCCCCACAAGAGGAAGTCTCTAAAGCAGACTCCAGGAGAGCACACCCAGAAGGTGCATGCAACAGGCTGCAAAGGGCTTTGTTTGAAAGGGGCTGGGAGCAGGGAAGCGGGGACGGTGGGGTGGGCTGATGCTGCACTCCATTCCAGCTTGGTGCTGAGCCTTACAGGATAGAACAAAAGCAGGTGACAAGCTGGAGACCCAGGGAATGGCAAAACACCCCCTACTCTGGTCAGTAATTGGAGATGGATGAAAGTACCCGCTGAATAACCTCACTTTGCAACTTTTATTCAAAGGTTTGACAAATGACACCAGCAAAGTTACAAGAAAGTGATTAAAACCAGCCCTTGCAAGAAGGCAGAGATAACCATCTTGGGGTTTGAGTCTCCTTTAGTTCCCCCATCCAATCCCCTCACCCCCACCACTGCCTTGAGTTTTATAGAGTTTTCCGGAGCTTTAATATACTTTTTTTCATCTGGTCACGTTCTTCTTTCCTCCCTTTACCCTTCTCTGATACTTGAGCTTGTTCTTTGGGATCATTTTATCCAGTAGACTTTGTTCATTTAAAGAGTCAAAATGCTCATCAACTTGCTGTCCAGGCAGGAATTTTTGGCACGTAAGAACTTTCCCCAAAATCCTTACAAAGTCCCTTTCCTGTTGAGGAAAATCACTGGGGGCTCCTAGTACAGCCAGATTCTCAGGCTTCAGAGGAGACATTCTGAATCCGATTTTCTCTGGAAGAGGTCAGTCTTTGTATGACCAGGTGAATCTTATCATCAGAAAAGCCAGTGCAACTGCCAGGCTTTCTCCTGCCACTTGGCTGGCGAGTGGTTGCAGTGCAGGGTGGGGAAAGTCAGTATTAGTTCTCTGATGGTTATGCTTTGCCCCTTACTTGGCTGAATGCTTCATCAAAACATTGATGATTCAGGTGGTGACCCATTAAAGGACCAGCTCCATCAAAAGCAAAATCACAGGGCCCCAGAAACTCCCACTTGCTAATGTCTGAAGCTAACTGAACTGGGCCAGATCAGAGCAACTGTAGTCACACAGGGCTCTGTCCCCAGAGGCCCCGGATATGGTGAGAAATGTCAGAAGGCATTAGTGATGTCAAGGAAATGAATTATGCTCGGAAATAGCAATACTCAACTTGGTCTTAATCTCCCCCTGCATTACTCAGAGCTATGAGGAAATGTCACCATGCCTGCTGGTAAAGATGACAGTCTATAGTTCCTTCCACCACACTCATTGGCAGAAAAATAATTCACTCAAGCCCCATTTTTGAGCATGTCCCAACCAGCTTCCTGGTGGAAGAAAGACATGGATACAGGATGCATGTAAGCACCTTAAGAAAATGCACTTAGGAATCTAGGCCTAAAATAACAAATGAGTTGACTCCAAATAAATGTGCAACATGTCAGAAATCAAGTCCCCTCCTTCTGCTTACCCTGAGTAAAAGAAAATATAGGCTAACCTTAGTAACCCGTTTTTTTCCAGTCAGTGGGTCTTTGAAAACCATCACTGCACTCTGGCGCTACGTTTGCTACTTTTATGTAATAAAAGTAATACACCATTTCTATTATTAATAAATGAGTAATTTATTATTAATAAATGACCGCTATTATTACTATGTTTATTACTTCCTGCATAAACATGGTGGATGATTCTCAGATAAGCCATAGCTAGGTTTACCATGCAATTTGTTGACACTGGCTCTTAAAAATAAATAACAAAGTGACCCTTACTAACAAAGTGACCCTTACAAACTCTACATTTCTTGTTTCCAACCATTTCCATATGCTTTACATATGTTGTATTAAACAAAAAACAGTTACTATTATATAAAATTCATGCCTGATAAACCCATGTGGAAAGAGGCAGGAGGAACAAGGTGGCCCTCTTTCAGGATGGCATGTGGAAAATGATGAGACCATTAAGGCATTAAGACTAAGGGCCTGTGAGATAGGATTCTCTATAGGCCCCCATGACTGCTACCCTTTGCGTCACCTGTGTATGATAGCATGAAGAATAATGGAAAGATAATACTTCTGAACCCTACAAGGCAGGCCAAACTCATTTAAAATGACAGCTGTCATTAATACAGATGTTTATTGACTTGTTGGGGGAGGGGAGTGACACTAAGTGTTGGGTGGGGGGCAGAATGACCTGGAATATCTAACAATAGCAATATGTAGACCCTGACTCTACTCTATGCACAAAAGGACAGCCATGACGTACATCACAATGAGAGTCACAAACGATCACCCAAAGAAATCCAAAGAAGAAAAGCTCCAAGGTAGAAAAAATGAGCTTGGTGTTACCTGTCTAGTTTATGACCTTTTCCCTTTTTTTTTTCCTTTTTTTTTTTTTTAAACTGTCCTTCAAGGGGGCTGAAAACCAATTTTCATGCTATAGCTCTAAATATCAGTTTATCCCTCTGACAGGGTTCTGAGCATGCCCAGTAAGAATGATTTAACACTGTGCTGATGACTTGCAACAGAAGAGCGTCATGTGAAAAGGTAGTCTGCCACAGCTAATGGGCTCTTGTTTCAAAGGGATGCTGTGTGTACATTACCAGCGTATGGAGAAGGTGCAGAAAGGCCCAGGCAGCCATTAGGAATGGAGTGTTGTTGATGATGAAAAGGCACTTTGCCGGTGAGGGAATGGTGGGAGAGAGAAGGCTTATCTGTCTTTTTGATTAGAAATGCATGCTTCCTTTCATCATCTGAGCTGAAAAATTGGCTTCTGCTCTTGGTTTATGAAAACATTTTTCTTTTTCCTTTCTTCCCAGGTTTGCAAACTGCTTAATAAATTAGTTACTGTGAGATGCTCAGGGGCCACAATAACCTTAGAGGCTTTTCCCAAATGCATCCTTAATATTTTATAAGTATTTAAATAGATTTACTCAATTTGAGCTGCCTGATTTATTAAAGCTGGCATTCTGGCATGAAAAGGAGGTTCTATGCAGATTAAAGCTGATCAAAAGAAAGAAGCGTTTCCAATTCATATGAAGTTTTTTAGGAATTAGAGCAAAACTTTTGGGTAAAGCTAATTGACCAAACAGGGTAAAAAAAAAAAAATCTGATATCATAGAAGCTTGAAATGGGAGCATCAAGTCTGTGGTCACACAGATATCTGAAAAACTCACTTGTTCATTCATTCATTCATTCAGTGAGTCAATATTATAGAGACTGTTGGGAATTGTGCTAGCTACTGGTGCCTTTCTGTCATTCTGTTAGACCCAGCCTAAAAAGATAATAAGACCAAAATTTACGTGCCTAGTTAGCTCTCAACCCAAGGAAGACAACAACAAAAGTCAGATAATCTTATCAAAGTTCTCATTCTGAATTGCAAATAAAAGAGTAACCCCCAGTCTAACAGGAAGGTGCAAGAATTTTGGTTCTAAAAGTTTGTTCTTATCTCCAGGGAAAGTGACTGGGTCCACAAACAGTTCCAAGGAGGTGACTCCTGTATCAGCAGTTCTGGAGAGGCTAACCAGACCAGTCATGCCTCGGGGATCCATGAGACTCTATGCTGGGACTACAGCTTCTAAAGACCACCCTGAGCTACTAACCATTCGGGCAGAACTTCAAAAAGTCAGATTCCAGATTCCAGTGGCATCAGACTCTCAGAAAGAATCCCTTGCCATGTGCCCAAGCAGTCCGTGAGAAGCTAAATTCTATTCTACTGGATAAAAAAAGTGAACTTGGAGATTTAGATCAGGTCATGAAAGCGTCAGAGAAAGTACTTGGAATTAAAGAGAACATAAATCACCTCCTCAAAATATATTTTTTCTTATTTACTGGATTTCTACATGCATAATATTTGTCAAGTATTAAATCTAAATAGTCAGACATCCAATCCTAAAGAGGATGAAATATGTTCGAAAGTACACAATAATCAATGTCAGGCGACATAATAGATAATGCCCCAGTGATACTTTATAGAGTATATGAACAATTAAGGTAATTATCAATACTAACTATTTCATAGAAATGTGCTACCAAAAACAAAATTATACTAGGGTCTAAGTGATAAGAAAGCCGCAGCCATAATGGGAGTCTTTCTAAGGCCTTACCTTTTCTTTTCTTCACTACTAACTGTTTGACTAAGAGAGCTGAAAATTATACCATTTGTGTTAGAATCAAATGCAAATGGAATAATTGTCCCTTTTCTAATCAAAACACATTTGTGGATTGAAATACCACATGGGGCAATTTTCAGTTAATCATGGATGTTAATAAATATGACTCTAAGCTCATAAACAAACATTCCTTTGGCTAATATAGGAAATTATTGTTAAGCTTGATCAGACATGTAACAAAAACTGAACTTTGCAGAAAGTCAGCAAATTAACCATCTGAAAATAGAGATGAGCATCAACAGTAATAAAAGATTAGATTTAGCTAAAATGCTTAGACAAATCAGGCATTAGCATTAGGAAATATTTAAAGCTAGCTTTGCTGAAAATGGAGAATATTAAGTATTATGAGAGCATTAGCTTCTCTAATGAGAAAAAACTAGATGCTTGGCGATTAGAGATTTTAAAAACTAGAAAATCAGGTTTATCAAAATCAAAATTACCCAGAGCCTAAATTATATCAGAGCCTCTAACAATGAATGGTGTTTTCAAGTGATATAGAAATATTTGGTACTCATTCTATTTCCATTACTGAGCTTGTAAACAAATTTGAGATTCCCTCCTTTAGCCTTGCCTAAATATAAACTATATATTTATTTTGGTGACAAAATACCTGAATAGCTATAAAAGTATTACAATCATCTACAAGACCAGGGCTAGATCAGGCCTGCAGAGGCGCTAAGCACAGAAACGCTTAAGGCCCCACCTTTCCCTCCTGCTGTGCATTTAAAATAAAAACACCAGTCTTAAATCACAAAACTAATATGTGTGCTACAACTAAAACATCTTCTCTCAGATTTACTCATTTTGGAATTCTAATATGTTTCTCAAAGGTGAGCGTTTCTCTTTCACATGAGTGAGTGGGCTCGCTTCCATGTGCTTTCCGGGTACCCTAAGTGAAGTCCGCTCTTCGGCGACTCCGCACTTTGAAAAAAAAAGCCTTGAAATGAAAGCAGTATAAGTTAATATCATCATCCAGGCTTTAAGAAGAAGAATATTTTGTCGGTTTTTGTTTTGTTTGATTCTTTGCTTTGTTTTTTAGTCTGTAGGTCAATCCGTAAATATCTACATCCCAATGCAACCTCATGAAGTACAAGTGTGAGATCGTACTGTAATTTAAGCATCTAGGAAACCCAAGCTTTCATCTGAAAAATTGCAATAACAAATGCAAAGATCCAGCACTTCCTTTGGATTGTTTAGTTAATTGTCATTCTTCCCCACTTCTACTGAAAATATACACCTAAGTCTAGAAAAGAAGAAATTTTGAGTAACAAGGCAGTGTGTTCAGACTCAGGGGGCCACTTTTCATTACGTACGGGACTTTTTTATGATCTACTTTCTACTTTTCTAAAGCTCCATTCAATCAATAAACATGGCTAGTGAGAGTAATAATTGTTTCTATTTATGCGACACTAAGTACTCATCAGTCTCTTATTTATGTTGTCTTAACTTCTTAAACTCTTCCAACTATTCTGTACAGTAGGTACTATTTTTAATCCTCATTTTCTAAGTGAGAAAACTGAAGTTTAGAGAGCGTAAGAAACTTATCCTGGTTAATGGTATAGCTGGGATTTGAACCTAGAAAGACTTCAGAACTGCTGACAAGGATTAGCGAAAGCAAACGTACTTTGAGTGTTCTGAATTACTTACTTTAAAATATTCTGTGTAAGCCAAGATTGCGAAATGTCCCTATTCTAGATTGTGTAAGAAAAAATAACTACTCCTATTAAAGAATAGAATTTCTCCTTCTAGCTTTAAGTTCATAGCTTGTTGTTTCATTTTCTCCATTATCAAGGAAATAGAGTAAAAAAAGTACTTATTGTGCAGCATGCGGGTCCTTGTTTGAATCTACTTGCCCTTCTTCCTTACTGAAAACCAGACTAAACATTTCTGAATGTCTGCATTTAAAAATTTCCAACAGTAATGAATCGACTGTACTTGGGTTGCTCTAGCCGGATCCCCTCACTGTTAGCAGGTCTAACCTTCTACTGATATAATTGCATCACCACACTCATGGCCTTTCTGGTCCTTTCCTTGGATTTTCCAATATAATTAAAGTCCATGTAAAGCACTGGCTGTTCTTAAAATTGTTGTTGGAAGACTGGCAAGAAGGCAACGAACTCTCAAGGCATCATATCTTAAAGGAACCTATAAATGAAATAGGTCAAGGATGAGGCACGTAAGTGGCTGGGAAAAAAAAAAATCTCCGTTTAGTTTATACAACTTCAGCTTCCCTGTCTGTCCAGATTCCATATAAGGAATAGCAACTTTTTGAGCCAGCAGGCCTGGACATATTTCTTGGCCTTATAACTCACAGTTCTAGACATTCCAAGGTAGAGGGTCATTCAAACTGAGTTGTAATTTCTTGTGTATATTTATTTCCAAAGTATCTAATGCATAGTTTCCCAGTGAAATCATAGATGAAGGCTAGGGGAATGCTAACTGGGTTGTTTTTCAAGCGTGCCTACAAGAGGCAGTCTAAAAGAACTGCTCTGAGCTTATCAAGCAGAAGTGCCAGATGAGAGCTGGACCACCATAGCAGGAGCTCTCACACCACTTTGCAGTTCACCTGAACTCCAGCTTTGTCTGGGAGATGATATAAGAAGAGAAGAAGGAGAAAAGACATTCATGAGATTTAAGGAATAAATTCCCCTATTGTCACTAGTAGAGTGACATGCATAACACACTAACCAGGTTGATAGGGTAGTGTGATAGAGTCCAACAAGAATGTGCTGGGAGGTCAACCATCGGTATTTAGGTGTCTCTTCCAAATCCCAACCACTTATCAGCAGAGCAGTCCTGAGCACACAAATGGCAACTTAGTGCTTGGATTGCCTTGTGTGTGAAAACAAGTGGGACAGAGGAAGATGGCAGCACATTCTCTTTGCATCTGACAGTCACCAAAAATTAGAAGTCAAATTTTTCATATTTGAGTTTTTTTTTGTACTTGCAAAGTGAACAAATAGTATATTTAGTTTTACATCTTTAGGTGAAAATTAGGAAGGCAGGACAGATAATAAAATGAGCACAGTTTTTAAAAAGATCTAGAGTTGATCGTTATTAACTTTAAGATAATGAGAATAGTTTAATCAAAAGCATTTCTTAAACTTTCTTATAAATACTGAATTATCTGAGAAAAAGTTAAGTTACCCTCTAGTCATTCAACAAATATTTTTTGTTGTCTGTTAGTTCATTCATTCAGGCTTTACTGAACAGATGCACTTCTTGGTACTTGCAATATATCCATGAATAAAAGAGATGGATCCAGGCCCTCCTGGATTACATTCTCCTGGGGCTGGGGGGAGGCTCAATAAACAATAAAGATAATAAATGAGAAAGTTCTTCTACAAGCTAAAACATGTTATGTGCTAGGGAAGAAAGAGAAAATTTAGTAGGCTAAGGGAGTCAAGAGTTAGGAAGCTGGAGTTGGGGACTAAGGTAGCTTGTCTTCTTAAATAAAGCGATGAGGGGCCAGGCAGGATGGCTCATGCCTATAATCTCATCATTTTGGGAGGCTGA
Source organism: Homo sapiens (assembly GCF_000001405.40). Classification (NCBI taxonomy): domain Eukaryota; kingdom Metazoa; phylum Chordata; class Mammalia; order Primates; family Hominidae; genus Homo; species Homo sapiens. Next base: position 66,838,963 of record NC_000002.12, on the reverse strand, counting down.
AGCTGGCAGCTTCCTCGAGCTCAGGAGTTCAATACCAGCCTGGGCAACATAGTGAAACCCCTTCTCTACAAAAAATACAAAAATTAGTCAGGCGTGGTAATGTGCTCCTGTGGTCCCGGTTACTCAGGAGGCTGAGGTGGGAGGATCACTTGAACCCAAGAGGTTGAGGTTGTAGTGAGTTGAGATCATACCACTGCACTCCAGCCTGAGCAACAGAGAAAGACCCTATATCAAAAAATAAAATAAAAAGTGGTGACAGTAGACCTCATTGAGAAGATGACTGACATTTCAGCTAAGATTTCTAGGAGTGAAGATGTGAGCTATGCAGATATCTGGAGAGGAGCAGTATGTGTTCAAAGAAAGGCAGATACCTCTAAGAACTGAGGCTCATTGCCCCAAGGAACATGAGAGGTCATCATAGGAATTTTCCCAGAGGAGAGTCACAACCTGTTTCTAAATTCACAAGTTGTACTAAAATCCATAAAGATTTTCTTTATGTTTATTAATGTATTTATTGTACTGCTTAGTGAACTCCCAGATAATTGGGAGTACATATATGTACTCAATATTATAGCTATGTACACATATGTACCCAATATTATAGCTACAATATATTCATATTATAGCTGTGCATTAAATATATCAATTTAACTTTACAGTTAAAATAAGTATGTATGTAAGTACAGTCTCCTATTCTAACTAATGCTCCCAAACCACCATCAGGCACTGAGTGTTGGTGTTCTAGTTGGGAGAATGGAAAAGTGTTATTCTATATAAATGTATTCACCCATTAACCATGAAGCGTAACTCAAGCATTTGTAGAATTTAATTCTACTGGCATTTATTCAGTGCTCACTTCTGTGCCAGAATATATGTTAGGCAAAATTGGGAATGAGGAGGCCCCAGTGGGGAGGAGTACAAAGCACAGAGTTTGGTCACTTAATCTTGACCAAATTCACCTTCTCATTTTCAAAATAAAAAGAGAATATCTTCTATTGCTCAAAGTTTTGGTGGGGATTAAATCAGGAAAGGCATCATCTACCTACAATAGTGTTGGTCACATATTTTGTATTCACATAACAAATACTGCTTATCTCTCCCCTGAATTAAATAAAGATGTTATTATTTTTAAATTAACTAAGATGAAGCCAAGGGGGAATATCAAGTTTGCTCCTGGAGAAGTTTCCCATCAGTGTACAATCAGCAGAAGATAATTTTTTTAAAATAGGATTTTAAAATCCCATTTTGCGGATATAAAGAGTACGTATACATAATGGAGTACTATTCAGTCATTAAAAAAAACTGAGATTCTGTCATTCGCAACAACATGGATGGAAATGGAGGTCATTATGATAAGTGAAATAAGCCAGGTATGGAGAGACAAACTTACATGTTCTCACTTATTTGTGGGAACTAAAATTTAAAACAATTGAACTCATGAAGACAGAGTAGAATGATGGTTACCAGAGACACGGAAGGTTAGTTGGGGGTCAGGGAATGCAGGGAAGTGGGGATGGTTAATGGGTACAAAAATATAGTTAGAAAGAGTGAATAAGACCTAGTGTTCAGTAGCACAATAAGGCAACTGTAGTTAACAATAATTTGTTGTGAATTTCAAAATAAAAGAATGAAACTGGAACATTCATAGCACAAAGAAAGAATAAATGCTTGAGGTGATGGATACCTCATTTACCCTGATGTGACTATTACTCATTGTGAACATCTCATTTACCTCATAAATATATACATCTACTATGTACCCCCAAATTAAAAATTTAAAAAACACAACAACAACAACAAAATAACCTGGCATTTGAAAGCTTGGTTTCAGCCACTTCATTTTTGCTGTTACATTGATAAAATTACGTAACCCACTGAAGGTTAGATACCAGTGCCTGGCATGTATGAAAAAATGCTTAGAAATGACAATTGCTATTGCTCATTGACTGCTTTGTGCCAGGAACTGCTCTAAGAACTTTATATTGTATGAACTCATTTAATAACCAAAGTCACTACAAGGGAGGACCTACTATCACCCCATTTTACAGATAAAATACTGAGACACAAAACAGTTAAGTGATTTGCCCACAATCACAATGCAGTAGTTCTAGAACCTATACTCTTAATTATTTAGTTAATAAATTACTTAATTACTTCTTTACCTTCTCTCATTCCTCTCCTTTTTCTCTTTCTTCTCCTTCCCTTCCTGTCCCTCTTCTTCCCCCATTTCTCCATCTTTTCCCTCTTATTTCCTTCCCTCTTCTCTTCTTTTTTCTTTTGGTGAAAGTTGAAATAGGGGCTGGGGTATGGTAAGTCTGGGACTGGGACGTATGGTCTGAGACGACCACTTGCAAAGTCATGAATTAAGAAAATTTTCCCTTTGACTATCTCACTCTCTTCCTCAGTTTCCGATGCTCTCATGCGTCCCCTCCCAGCATCTCCTACATTTCCTATTGGCAGGGACTTGCTTTCATCTCTGCAAACTGTTAATTATATCCATCTGAGATACTCTCAAAAGCCAAGGCATTAAACATCTGGGATTTGAGATGGAGAACAATCTAGCACAAACTGAGGTAGAGATATATTTAGGTGCAGAGGATTCTCAAAGTTCTATCACAGAAAGCAGCTACTGCCACCTTCTAGTAAGGTCAACCCAGAACAGGAGGAGCGATAAAAGGGACAGCACAACAGTTGCTCTGGACCCCTGAACACTGGGCCCCTGGCCACTCAGAGACCTAGCCTTGAAATTTAGGGTTGGGTGCCATATTATCAGCTCAGCCACAATGCAATCCACTTTCTACATGTGTCTGGCTGCTCCACCCACCACTTCCACCCTCCAACCTCACCCTCACGTTGCAAGGCCTGCAGGATCCAAGCTAAGAATTCTAGCTTAGACAGATCTATAAGAGGGCTGCTTTGCCTGAAAGCAAGGATCCACTGGAGTCTGGAGTACAATAGCTATAATACCCAATTAGCTGGGAGTTCATTTAGCAAACACAGTTCCCTTTATTTGATGTACTTTCAGTGTTGCTTATGAGCTATATTCTACTTAAGAGTATGAACTCACCAATTATTTGCCTAGCATTATGAATCATTTATCTAGTCAATCTAATATTCTTCCCTTATGCATCTTAATACCTCAATTAACTATTATGAGTCATTTGTTATTTGTATACCAGAAAACTGCTTTCCAAGCGATTACTTATTGGTCATAATCAATTAGGGAAGTTTTTAGACTATGGCTGTTTTATATAAATACACTGGTAAAGTTCAGCTCCTATGATTTCTGACAATTAAATTGTTCTGTCACTTGGGGACTCTCATTAATCTCAACTTGTCATCCTTGTTTATGCAGGTTATAATGGGCTATATGTATAAGTGAAATGAGATGCTAAAAGGCTTTGGCTTTTTACCTCTTTGATGAAAGTAAAATTGAAATAATTTATTAAAGTGGTGACTTTGAATTGCACAGTTTGAAGGAACTGTATTCTGGACAGTGGCCTATGAACTTCACCATAACCCACAGCAATCTTTGTCTTTATTCGCAATTAAGAAATTAGAAATATGTGAACTAGCTCCTGACACCCCCACTAGATTCTTAGTATTTGTATGTCTGGAGAAGAAAACCTCAGAGAAGAAATCAAATTGTGTTGCTTTCCGTGCTCTCCATCTTTACCAATCAACTTTTAAAAGTTCTGGATATAACTATTATATAATTAAGTAAAAGAAAAGAGACATCCTAGTGGTCAAAAAGGTCCTGGGAAAAATTTAGATGTTAAGTGCCATCGACAAGGATTTGATCAATGGCAGGGCTTTAAATACGGGGAGATTTTATAAAGAGTACTTCGGGATTAGTATTAAGATGTAATTTACTGAGCATCATTATTTATGATGTGAAATATGCAAACAGTGCATTAATTAAATTCAGGTGTCTCTACCTTTAGCAAAACCTCTGACGATAATTAAATCATACAAAATAACCCAAGTCAACAGATTAGAAATCTGAACAGAAATCTAGGAGCCTTAATAAAGTCATAAATCACTGTAAAAGGAAATGGTGGGTATTCTTATTACATTGAGAGAAAGTCTGAAAAGACTGTGCAATAATAGGGCTGATTAAAAAATGTATCTGAAATACGTCTGGAAGGAACAAGGGGAGCTAAGGTACCCAGATGAAGCTGCTGAACAGAAACTGATTTAAGAAAAGATCATGGGACAAAAATATATTTTTTAAGGAGTCCAGATCAACTTGACTTGCCAAGAAGATTCAGGTGGTCCCATATTGTTGAGCTACATCTGCCTGTGGGGTGCCAAGTTGAGAGGGTGAACAAGTTCATTCTTTAGAAAAAGGCTTTAGTAACTTTGAGTCTTCTGAGTGGTGCAATATCTTGGGGCCACTCTCCAAAAGCAAAGAAATCACTGTTGACAAGGACTTTCCTCCAAGGGTTGAAATAGGGTTACTACTTGGCATTAGACATCCCTTCTCATGATTCCATGATTCTGTTTTTAGTATTCTGCTGTCTCCTACACAATGCCACTGGTGCCTTTTCTGTGTAAATGCAGCTAACATTGACAGAATGCTTGTTACATGCCAAGCATTGTAGTACATCCTCATTTATCTGCACAACACTAGAAAGTAGATATTATTATCAACCCTGTTTTATGCATAAATAGCGGTTCAGTAATGTGCTCAAGGTTAAGGGAAGGATGTGAGCTCAATCTTCCTCCCCTTAGACCCCAACTTGAACAACTCCACTGGTTTGTCTCTCCCTTTGAGCTTCAATGTCCATGTCAGACCGTCTCCTCATTCACCCCCTTCCCCAAGTGAATCTGAGAACTGTAAGAGCAGCTAGATTGTCTATGGTATCAATTCCTTGACAGCAAGAACTGCATCTTGTTTACTTTTCAATCTCACACAGAGTAGGTATTGATGGTACTGGATGAAGACAGTGAAAGAAAGAGGCAGAAGGAAGGAAAAGAGTTGCTGGACTCAGTGACTTGTCATACCCATCCAGTGTAGGCAGTCATGTGATAGAGAAATATATGGAATGCCAGTTAAGAGACATGGTTGTTTGTCCAGCTGTATTGCTGGTTGGCTCTGAAATATTGAGCAAATAATTTAGTTTATCTTAGCCTTTGTTTCCTCAGCTATGAAATGAAGATTTGGCCCAAGTGACCACTATGATACCTTGCTGATTCCACATTCTCTGATTTTATATTCACGTCAAAGGTGTTTCTTTCCAGTCCACTAGTGACCATGATAAACCTGTCTTGCCCCAAAACCCCTTCCATGTGCCAAGCACTTTGTATGCATTATCTTCCTATGAGCCTCATAACAACCCTGTGAGGATGGTACTGTCACCCCCATCCAGCAGAGTAAGGAAAACTTAAAAGGTTTACAAGCTTGAGGTCATGTGGTTAGTAACTGGCAGTAAGGCAGATTCTGGTCTCATGCATTTAGAAATTTAGATGTCTACTAGAGCTTGAGAACTGTTGAAATTATCAGCTAAATAGCTTCTTAGAAAGCACAAAATACTGTCCTGTGACCTTGAAATGTTTCCAAAGTGATTTCCTCAATCAACAGGGACTTGGGACTTGAGAAAAATGAAATCGTCACTGAAATGTGATTTTTGGAATCTGCCATGTTCGCAGTCACAACTGCATCTGTAACCCTGGGCAAGCATCTCACAAACGCATCAGATCACTGCAAACCTGTCAACACTTGGCTGTCTCTGCCATCTCTCCAAAGGCCGGCCCCTGGAGCACTTTCTGTCTGTACCATTTGGTTGTCACTTAATCAAACACTCCCTCATCTAGCCTGTTGCTTCATGTGCCTTAGCCTTCCCTTGCCAACACAAACATAAGTTCCTTAAGTAAAAAACTGAGCTTTGTGTTTCTTTCCAGACTTAGAATTATCTATAACACAGTTGGACCCATTAGGTAACTCTCCCTTTCATTCAACCTATGCATCCCATTTTCAGCAGAGGATCAATCAATGTGCTCTTTCTCTGCTTCAATTCTACTATCCTAAAAGTATTAGCCATCCCACAGTTCTACTGTATTCAACTGAAAACCACAGAAGGGTCTTCAGTACCAGAACATGCTAGTAAGCCTGGTATTTGACTGCCAAAGACAACATAATTCCAAGGTAAAGAATGTGAGCAGAGATGCTGCCTGCCTTCTGGAAAGAGGCTTTATTTTAACAGAGCTCTTCAGATGATAGTTCCATGTCAACCCAAAGCAAGTTTAAAATCAAACCTAAGAGAGATATAGGATGATAGAATCTCCAAGATCTTGAGGAATCTTGCCAACTTCTTCCCTTCCAGATATGCTTATACCTGCCCCACTCCTATCAAAGAAAGCTGTGAGCATAGAATTAAGATTCCTTCTTACTCAGCAATATGGATGACATGACTTTCTTACTTCTGATTTAAGAAATCCTGCACAGCAGAAAATCTTTCAGAAAACTCAAGACTATAGGACCCAATTTAAAAACAAAAACAAAAACAAAACGTTATTCTAAAAGTAATTATCTGCCTGTAGAGCAAATGGGGCTTGGGTAAAAGGTCTTGACATCCCTTTGAGGACCCGTGGACTTTGCAAAGCAGAGCAAAAAGCATTAATCACTGGCCCTGAAACTCATCCATCTTTGCAAGTCCTACCTTCCAGAGTGTGAGCTCCAACCCTCCCAGAGTAAGTTGCACTATAACAGTAGATAGTTGAGTCACTTGAGGCGAAGTTGTTTGGTTTCAACAACTAAATACAGGGATATCTTCAGGATACATCCTAGAGTATTAGAGATTCTTTTCCCCCCACATCTGGAAAGTTGAGGTGCAAAATACTAAAATTCATCATAGTCATAAGATCCTTTGTATTTTTATTATCTAAAGAAATAGGTTCCAAGTGAAGATGAAGAGATAATAGTAGAACCAAGAATATCCGGCAGTAATAGTTACTATGTTCCAAGTACATACTGTGTATTAATACTAAGCACCTTTACTTTTTTTATTTAATATTCACAAAAACCCCATGAAATAGATGTATTAGTCTGTTCTCACACTGCTATAAAGATACTACCCAAGACTGGGCAATTTATAAACAAAGAAGCTGTAACTGACTCACAGGTCCACATGGCTGGAGAGGACTCCAGAAACTTACAATCATGGCAGAAGGGAAAGCAGGCACCTTCTTCACAAGGTGGCAGGAGAGAGAGTGAGCAAGAGAGAGAAGCGAGGAAGAGCCCCTTATAAAACCATCAGATCTCATGACAACTCAGTCACTATCATGAGAACAGCATGGGGGAAACCCCCCCTCATGATCCAATCACCTCCCACCAAGTCTCTCCCTCAACACCTGGGGATAACAATTCAAGAGGAGATTTGGTGAGGACACAAAGCCTAACCATATGAGTGAGACTTATTCCCATTTTGTGCATGAGAGTAATAATCTCCAGAGAAGTCTAGTAATAACACGGTTATTAGGTGGCAGAACTTGGATTCAAATCCAGAGCCCTCCTATTCCAAGTCTAGGAAATTAGCCACTGAACTTTAGTTTATTTGTCTATCCTTGCAAATGGCTGGACTTTCAGGACTGATCTTGGAGTTTGGTCTGTGTGATTAATGAAGTTGGAGGAATTAGAGACAATTGCTGACTTGCGTGGATACCTACACTTGGGCTCTGCTGAGTGGGTGCACTGGGTCCTTCAGGTTTGCTAGTTAAGGGACAGTGTCTCAATATAAGGCTGGTGTCAACGGGGAGAGTAAAAGTGCTGACTTTGAACATAGTCTTTGGAAGTAGTGTTATTTGAAAAAGCTGTGCAGCGTCAGAGCTGACCAAGAATCCAGCTGTGAACAGCACTCTAAAGAGTGTTGATAGAATCTGGGCTGTCCAGCTGTGAGGGGCCCGGAAGTGCCTGAAGAGGTGACAAGTGCTGGAGACCTCCTTTACCCCTCCCCAGCAGCTGCTGCTGCTAATAGCAGAAGCTGCAGAGACTCACAGCAGCCAAAAGTCACAACCACTACACTACACTCTCAGTCTTAAGGCATCACCACCAATCATGAGGGATGTAAATCAACTGCCCCCAAAGACAATGATGCCCCTGGAAGCTGCAGAAAAGAGCTTGGACACTGGGCCACAGTAATGACCTAGCCCCACTAAGGGCAACAGAGGAGCCAAACCAGAGAAATTCTTCCTTGATCTTTCCCCACCTCCTCTACCATAGGCAATGGGTAGAAGTTGAAGCTAGAGTATGGCTTATTAGCCAGGGATAATGTAGAAAATGCTATCAGCATGATGTAAAGCAATCAGTAAGGGCTTTGGAGTCAACAGTACCTAGATTCAAATCCTGATCTTTCAGTGGACTTGCTATGCAATCTTGCTAAGTTAAATAAGCCCTTCAAGTCTTTCTTCATCATTAAAGAGAATAATAGTAATTTCTGTTTAGAGTTATGGCAAACATTAAATGAGATACTTTATAACTTGAGATACATAGTGGATTTTCAAAAATGTTAATTTTCTTCTCTCCTCTCATACATCCACAGAGGGATAAAAATAGCAATTTTCTGCTAAGAAACCCCATGAGGTTGGACGCCCAGAAATGCCAGGTGAAAAAGTAAGCCAACTATAGAGACTTTGAAGTGCAATGTATATTGCCAGTGGAGATGCCACCAGGGAATGTGAGTGGGTTCCAGCAGGAAATATGTTAAAATGCTCAGACATGCCCTTTCCAGTTTTGATTATTTTTTATTCCTACAATGATGTAAGTGTCTGCGGGCAATGTGACGAACACAGAGAGTGCTTCCAACTCCAGCATCTTTTGAATCAGTATTTTAACCCAACTTGAAAACTGTATTCAACACTGTAAGATACAGAAGTTTGTAGGTAAATAAAAATGTTTGGAAGCCATGATCCCATCCTTACCTGTGAAGATACTCTCCTCATTCAAGTCCAAGTCCCACTGCCATATGCTTTATCAACATTTCTGTTGCAAGTAGCAGAAACCTCAACTTAAACTGGCTTAAGCTAAAAGATATATGGCTCAGGAAGATGAAGAGTCTGGTTTAGCTTCAGTTCCAGACTAATGTAGACCTGAAATTATGTCAGCAGGACTCAGGTCCTCACCGGTCTGCTTTGTGTTGGCTATATTTGAGGATCTGCATGGTGGCCCACAATAGCTTCAAGACTCCTTTGTCACAAAAACCCAGTATAACAGAAGAGGGAAACTGCCTCTTGGGTGGCACAAAGAAAAAATTTGAGATCCAGGTTAGGGTTTTATGATTATTAGTAAACCCAACTTGGTCAGGTGGGTGGACTGGGAGCATTATCTTGGCTTGGAACATGAGATACCCCTGGGAATAAAGTCAGTGCCATCGTGAGTAAATGGGCTAAGAGTAAAGAGGTATGGTAACCCCAAAGCAAGTTGGGTACTCTCGACATGTAAGCAGCACGGATACTACAGAGCAAAATTTCCTCTAGTACACTCTAGCCCCTAGAACAACAACCTTTACGTCCCTTAAACTTTACCAACTTCCTTTATGCCACTCATTTAGGGCTTACCGCAGGCAACTTTATATTTCAGGTTAATGATTAGTGCCTCAAGGGCAGAAGGTATCTTAAATCTTTGTCTCCATCAACATTGTCTTTCATAGTGCTTTGCCCATAGTGAGTAAATTAAGGGAATTTAATAGAAATTAATGAATTTAACACATGCAAGCATTGAAAATGAGTAATTGAAGTCAAAAGTTGAAATAGTTGATCTGGGGAAGAGATTAAGAGAAAACTATGTTAAAATTATACAGTTTCCAGTTGAGTGGAAGAAAAGGAAATCAGGGGCCCTTTATGCAAAAGTCGCTGTCAGAGACTTTGAAGTGTAATGTAGATTGCTGTCAGAAATCCCTAACTGCCTTAATGTGTCTGCTCAGTCGTCAAGAGATTGAGAGGACACATTGCTCATGTGCACCGAAACCCCCATGGAAAACAAGCCTGAACTTTTCCAGTCAAACCAGCAAGAAACATTTCCTAAAAGATGAAGGAGGCAGGAGAATTAATTGGAGTGTAGAGGATAGGGAGGAGGCAAGGTCTCCACAAAGAGAAAAATGGTTTTCCGGTAATTCTATCAAGAATTTAGGAGAAAAAGGCAAAAGTCCAGATAGGAAAATTCACTATCAAAATTACCCAAAAAGTCTGTCTTCAGGATTAGGCCTGTTCACCATCAAATCTGGAGAAAGTCTTCATTGCTACATAAGACAGAAAAGTTGATTTAGTCTTTTAAATACAATCTTTCTCTTTTAAAATTAACCTCCAGGCTTATCAGGGCATGGAGTGTAGATTGCTTCTATTTTATTAAGAATTGCCCATTTCACCTTGTCAGGAATGCACAGCACACACACAAGTATAAGAAATTTATTATAACCCCATTGTTGAGAATGACATTTCAACAGAGAATTTCCCCTTAAGAGAAAAAGCTAAATGTGTCTTTGGGTCAACAGGACATTAGACAACTTAGAACAGGAGGTGGCAAACTATGGCAAGTAGGCCAAATTCAGCTTGATGTCTGCTCTTGTAAAGTTTTATTGTCACACAGCCATACCCATTTCCATACTGTTGTCTAGTGGCTGCTTTCTAAACCCATAAGAGTAGAGTTGAACCGTTCCAATGAGAATTGTATTAGCCATAAAGCTTAAAATATTTTAGCATCAACGAGAGCCCCTGACAGGAAAGATGTGCCAACCCTGACCTAGAAGAAAGAGGATTCTAGCCCACGAGAAACAAGGGTGCTTTTTCTACCAGTTCTCAAAGAATCAGACATGTTAATGGTAAGATGATAGCATGGTGTTTGTCATCATCAGTGAGGACTTACAGACTGTGAGTAAAGAAGCCAGGAACAGAGAAAGACAGAAGTGGAGTAGCAGGCCACTCAGGAATCCAGAGGGGCGAGATAAAGGAGGGCAGAGGTGTACGTCAGGCCTCCATGGAGCAAGAGAGAAAGACAGGAGCAATTAGCAGAAAAGCATGCCGTGGCTTTGTCTGCCTCAAAATGTTTCTTTCCCCTGCTACTGCTGCACATTTCAATGTTTTATTTCTCCAACCCTCTGAGCATTACCAAACAGTTATCTGAGCTTCTAACAAACAATTATTCCAGCTCCTAATTTATATTTCAATCATTTTAACTACTGATCTTATGATCACATCCAGGCTCTGATCACATTAGTGTCTATTAACTATGCAGCAACCAATAAAATCTGCATGAGAGACTTATTCCATATATACTCCCTTAGTACAATTTATTAAAATAATGTAGACTATTAACGTTTAAACTAAATGTAATATATATATTTAATATAAAAATTCTCATTACTGTGATTAATAAAATTTTTGGTGTAAGCTGATATTTAGTTAGAGAAAATGAACAAGATAAGCCAACTGAACTATTTCACTTACATTAATTTAATTAAATATGACTTTTACATTATGTAGGATCACATACATACCACTGATAATTCTAACATATTTAAGGAATCAAAAAGTAGACCCACTATCAAAATTACAATTAAATCACTAATGGTCTTTCTTTTTTTTTTTTTTTTTTTTTGAGATGGAGTCTCGCTCTGTTGCCCAGACTGGAGTGCAAGTGGTGTGATCTTGGTTCATCGCAACCTCTGCCTCCTAGGTTCAAGCAATTCTCTGCCTCAGTCTTCTGAGTAGCTGGGATTACAGGTGCCCGCTGCCACGCCTGGCTAATTTTTGTATTTTTAGTAGAGACAGGGTTTCACCATGTTGGGCAGGATGGTCTTGAACTTCTGACCTCCCGCCTCGGCCTCCCAAAATGCTGGGATTTCAGGCGTGAGCCACCGCACCCAGCCACTAATGGTCTTTCTAGATAAAGCATACTAACCTCTCTCACTTTACTAGATAGGATCTCAAGAATTAAACAAGTTGAAAAGTAATACAGTAATACTGCTTGGTTTTCCTCCTTAAAAATCTCATTGTTTCAGTTTTTTTGTTTGTTTGTTTTTCCTTTTCAACTGCACTAGGGCTGTGTGTGTGTGTAGGGAAGAGACAGGGGCAGGAGGTCAGAGGCAGAGAGGAAGAGAAAGAGAGAAAGTAACAGACACAGAGAAAGGGAGAGGCAGATTCCATGCTGTTTCTGTGCATTATCTCTCTTTATATAGAAATCTTTCCCCAAATGATTTCAGGATGAATATGCTGGTCACATTCCACTTTCTTCCTTCTGACCTTGTGTCTCCAGCTGAGCTGACATACCTGCCCTGACAATTTCTAACTTTGTGACCTCTGGTAGATAAGATAACTACTTCAGCCTGGTTTCTCCATTAGTAAAATGGCAATGGTGTTGGAGGTGGCTTTGTAAGGGTTAAGTGAGATGGGTAGAAACAGTCCAGCCTTCAGTTGCTACCTCTCAGAGCTGGATGCCTCTGCAGCTGCCTCTGAAAATGTTGATTGACTAGTTGTCTTCAAGCATTAGCACACAGCCAGTGTGGCCAAATTATCTTCTACACTTCAAAAGTCTTCCCAAGACCATGGCCTTGAATCCACCCTATTGCTCTTTTCCGCTCTCCTTGTCTTCTGTGCTGATGGCATTCTGCTGACCCCTACGTTGTGCCGTGATGGTTAAGGACTAAAAGGTGGAAGAGGAGAGTGAATTGAGCACCAGTACTGGGGTCTGATGGATCTGTGCTTGAGTCTCAGCTTACTGACTGCATGGCACTGGGTAAGTATTTAGTCTCTTTAAGTCTTAGCTTTCATCTCTACTAAGTGGGATGACCAATAATTGTACTTACTAAAAGGGTTTTTGTGAATACTAAATGGTTACTGCAGATAAAGTGCTTACAAGTGTCTGGCCCATATTAAGAGCTTAATAGCAATACCATCAACAACAAATGAGACAGTGACTCCTAGAACAAAAGCACTGCTCTTTGGTGGCTGGATTATGCACTTGTGGTGAGTTTAGGACTTGGGGAGACCCAGAAACATGTCTGCAACTAGCAGAGTAGCTGGCAGTGTGAAGATTCCATTTCTGAGAAGAACAGAGAACTTTTTCTATATTATCCTGCTTCCCACAGTGAGGTAGAAAATGGGACATGGGAAGACTCCAACTCCATGTTCATTTTTTGACATTAACTCATTAAAAGAGAAAAAATCTCCTAAACCAACAAGTAGTGCCAAGGAAAGTCACTGATGCTCCCTCCTTAGGCTCTATCGGGTTATTTTTAAAGGGTCTGCTTGAGAATGACTGAAGCTACAAGTATAGCCAGAAACACAGCTACTTTCAGAGGGCAAGATCGAAGTGAAAAGATGAAAATTTGCCCCCTAAAAGTAGTCACTCTCTGAAATGCACCAAGAGCCCTGATGTTTGATAATCTGGTTTCATACCCCAAAGCAAGGTACTTCTGCCTCCATTGCTAAGAAGGGACAAGAATGAACTGAAAACAAAATGATGACTTTTGGGCCTACGATCAACACTAATTTTTGTAATTCTTAAACCAGGAGGAGAACCTGAACCCAGCCTGAATTATCGCCCAATCTCCTTAATAAATGTGGACAGGGAAATCTCAGTAAAGGTGCTGGCTAATAGGCTGGAACAGATATTCCCACACCAAATCCATCCCAATCAGGTAGATTTATTTGGAACAGACAGTGAGGCAATAATGGGAAGCAATTATTAAATGCAGTACAGTGAACTCCTGGAGACAGAGAAGGGCCCGTGGCTGCCATTCCACCTCCTTCTCTGAAGGGCCTTTGATCACCTAGCCACTCTGCCCCTCCCCTTCATTCAGCAATAATTTGGACTGAAGGCAGCATTGTTCAGGGGGAGCTCTCAGGACTCACAAGTCCTCCCCGCCCCTCTCAGTAACAAACTAGTTAATAGGACTTGCGTCATCACCTTTGTCAATTTCCCTTGCCCCATGACCCTTATTTCATTTCAAAGTTATGTTAGAAACCTGTAGAAGAGGCTTACTTCCTCTGTCAATAAACCCACTACTTCTAAGAATCTGTCCTTTCTTTGCATTGTGAGGTGCTATTTCGGGGTCAATAGCATGGGCTCTGGAGCCAGACTCTCCCTGATTTGAATTCTGGACCCAGTAAGTATCAGCTGGGCATATGACTTAGACTTCCTGTTTCAGGATTTTTTCCTGTGAAATGGGGATCATGTAGAATGAGCTTCACTGAGGTGTACAAATCAAACAAGCTCACGCAAGTCAAGAGCAAGTTAGTTAAGTTAGTGCCTGACACACAGTAAGTGCCCAATAAATTTTAGCAAGCATTATCATCACCATCCTCATCATTTTTGCAGGAGTTATCCATTGCATCTGAGACTCCCTAGTTCCAACTTCACAAGAAATTGATTTCATTTTAATAAATCATTTAATTTTAAGAAATCTCTCTTCTCTACTTTATTTTCTGAATTCCACATTCCTGAGTAAATCTTAGGTAAAACTCAGCTATCTGTGATTTTTTAAGTTATTTTCACTTGTTCAATATTGCCTCTAAAATTTGTTCAATGTCTCTTTCCCCCTCTTCTGGAGTATTCTTGGGTTATCCCCTAACAAAGCTTTATTGAAAAGCCTTAAGTTGCATCTATTTCATGCCCAATGATTATATTATCTTTTTCGCACTTTCCATTAGCTGATATATATATATATATAATCATGCCCGTGTCTCTATCATTTAACTTCTGGTTAATGTGTCAGTTCCTCTGCATTTGCTCTTCCTCCTGTCAATATTTCCTTTAAGTACATTCTCAGTTTCAGGTATGGAATCTGTGCCTCAGATTTCTGTAAATTGCCCCTACTTCTAAGTAAAGAGTCTTCTTTGGGTTTAAGAATATAGATAGATGGATGATAGACAGATAGACAGATAGATAGATAGATAGATAGATAGATAGATAGATACATAGATACATAGATACATAGATACATAGATACATAGATACATAGATAGTTTTCACTGATTTCCTGACAGGAAAGAATTGAATTATTGATGGCCCTTTTAGTATATGTTTAATATACTTCCACTTTTATATTTAAGAAGAAGAAAAGATAAATTTGGAAATATATATGCAATTTCATTATAAGGTGCTATTTAAGGGTCAATGGCATGGGCTCTGAAGACAGACTCCCTGATTTAAATTCTGGACCCAACATGTATCAGCGGGGCATATGATTTAGGCTTCCTGTCTTCAAGATCCTTAGCTGTGGAATGGGAATCATGTAGTATGAACTTCACTGGGGGGGTTGTACGAATCAAACAAGCTCACACAAGTTAAGGGCAAGTTAACTAAGTTAGTGCTTACCATATAGTAAGTGCTCAATAAATTTGAGCAATCATCGTCATCACCATCCTCATCATTTCTGCAGGAGCTATTCTTTATATACTTTGTATACATATATAGTATGTTTTATATACTTCCACTGATATCTTTAAGAAAAAGAAAAGATAAAGGTGGAAGTATATAAAGCATATACTAAAAGGAAAAGAAAATCACAAATTCTTTTACCTTCCAAAAATTCATTGACTTCTAAAAACTTACTGCATTTTAAAATAATGTATCTGTTGAAAATGATAACTTTAATAGGGCCTTGCAGATTAACTAAGTGCTTAGTAAGTTTTCTAAAGCTTTACAATGAACTGTACTGAGTCTATGATAAGTTCCAAGACTTTCTTCGTGGAAGTAAATAACATTCAAGTAAGGTCTTGAAGCATCAAGTGTAGGTGAGAAATGCATTCAGGGCAGAAGCTAAATGACCATGGGCCCAGAGGAAAGAATAATTTAGAGGCCTTTGGCAAGTCAGAAGTCCTGAGTAGAGCTAGGTATGTAGAGGTTATAGGATGAAGATTCTTTAAGGTAAGCCTGTTTTGCTTTGTTTTATTGTATATATATTTAAGCTGTACAAATGATGTTTGGAAACCTACACATAGTGGTTGTATACACTTATATATAGTGGTTAACCACATCCAAGCAAATTTACATATCCATAATCTCATATCTTTTAGCCATGTCTGAAAAGTTGGATGATGAGGTTGTGAAAAGCCTTGAGAGCTATGCCAAGGAATTTTGACTTCATCCCAGTATCTGGGTCAGGAGAGAGTCATAATCAGAGCAATCATCTGAGAGGATTCATCTGGATTAATAAGGGAAAAGGTAGGAGCAAGAGAGGAGACCCATTAGGAGGCTTCTGAAATGAGTTAGACAAGAAGTAATAAAGGTTTAAATGAGAGTAGTATCAGCTAGAAAGAAAAAAAAAAGGCATCGCATCTCATAGGGGTGAAATTGAAAGGACTTGGCAACTAATTGGATGTGGAATTCCAAGTAAAAAATGCTGAAGATGCTGAGCTGGACCTCAGAGGGCTACACCTGGCCTCATGGGCTGAGAAGAAAGGCCGAGGTCACTGCAGTAATGAATGCTATGGAAGAAAACTAGGGCTCAGAGGAGTCTGCAAAGGTGGAGGAGGCCAGCCCTGCTGCTGTGCGGCAGCCCAGCAACCCCACATCCCCCACTGTCGTTACCACACCTGAGCCTGTGGGGACTGAGGCTGGGAACAAGTACATCAAAGCAGGTGACGATGAACCAGAGTACAAGGACAGCTGGGGCTTTGGCAATGGGGAGCTGGTGTGAGGAAAACTGCAGGGCTTCTCCTGGTGGCCGCATTGTGTCTTGGTGGATGACAGGCCAAAGCCGAGCAGCTGAAGGCACCCACTGTGTCATGTGGCTTGGAGAGGTGAGTTCTCAGTGCTGTGTGTAGAGAAGCTGATACCACTGAGCTCCTTTTGCAGTGTGTTCCACCAGACCACCTATAATACAACAAGCAGCCCATGTACCACAAAGCCATCTACGAAGTCCTGCCGGTGGCCAGCAGTGTACAGGGGAGCTGTTCTCAGGGAGCCATGACAGTGATGAGAGTGACACTGCCAAGGATACAGAGGTGCAGAGCAAGCAGATATTCAGATGGACCTTTGGGGGGTTCCAGCCTTCTGCCCCCAAGAGACTGGAGCCACAAGAAGAGGAGAAGAATCCCAGCAAAGAAGTTTATGCACACGTGAGGGGTGACCCTGAGGCAACTGCTTAGGCACCACCCCCACCAGCCAAAGAGCCCCGAAAGAGCACAGCTAAGAAGCTCAACATGGGACCAGGCACAGTAGCTCACACCTGTAATCCCAGCACCTTGGGAGGCTGAGGCGGGCGGATCACGACGTCAGGAGATAGAGACCTGACATGGTCAGGCCAACATGGTGAAACCCCGTCTCTACTAAAAAGTACCAAAATAGCTGGACATGGTGGCATGTGCCTGTAATCCCAGCTACTGGGGAGGCTGAGGCAGGAGAATCACTTGAACCAGGGAGTCGGAGGTTACAGTGAGCCGAGATAGCACCATTGCACTCCAGCCTGGTGACAGAGCAAGACTCTGTTTCAAAAAAAAATAAAAAAAAAAGCTCGACATCAAGGAGATTGTTGATGAACACAGAAGAGTAGTTAGTGTACAAAGTGAGGAAGAAGTGCCAGAACATCAAGGACCTTTGTGTCTCTTGTGAGAGCCTCAATGTCACTCTGGAACAGCCCCTCTTCATGCTAGGAATATGACGACATTGCAAGAACTGCTTCCTGGAATATGCATACCAGTATGATGAAGAAGGCTATCAGTTCTGCTGCACCATCTGCTGCTGTGGGCACGAGGTGCTCATGTGCTGGAACAACTGCTGCAGGTGCTTTTGCGTGGAGTGTATAGACCTCTTGGTTGGGCCAGAGGTTGCCCAGGTGACCATTAAGGAAGATCCCTGGAACTGCTACATGTGTGAACACAAGGGCATCTGTGAGCTGCTGCAGTGGCGGGATGACTGGCCCTCTCAGCTCCAGATGTTCTTCCCCAATAACCCTAACCAGGAATTTGACCCTCTGGAAGTCTACTCGCCTGTCCCAGCTGAGAAAAGGAAGCCGCCCATCCAGGTGCTGTCTCTTTTTGACGGGATTGATATGAGGCTCCTGGTGCTGAATGGCTTGGGCATTTAGGTAGATCACTACATGTCTCAGAGGTGTGTGAGGACGCCATCATTGTGGGCATGCTGTGGCACCAGGGGAGGATCATGCACATCAGGGATACCCGAACCATCATACAGAAGCACAACCAGGAGTGGGGCCCATTCTCTGCAATGACCTCTCCATTGTCAACCCTGCCCACGAAGGACCCTACAAGGGCACTGGCCAGCAATTCTTTGAGTTTTCTCACCTGTGCATCATGCACAGCCCAAGGAGGGAGATGATCACCCTTCTTGTGGCTCCTTGAGAGTGTGGTGGCCATGGGCACTAGTCAAAAGAGAGACATCTCACAATTTTTTTATTCGAATTCCATGATGATTAATGCCAAGGAAGTGTCAGCTGCACACCAGAACTACTACATCTGTGGTAACCTTCCCAGTAAGAGCAGGCCATTGGCATTCACTATGAATGTAAGCTGGAGCTGCAGGAGTGTGTGGAGCATGGCAGAAAAGCCAAGGTCAGCAAAGCGAGGACCATTACTACCAGGTCAAACTCCATAATGCAGGGCAAAGACCAGCGTCTCCCTGTCTTCATGAATGAGAAGGACACCTTAGGTGCATTGAAATTGAAAGGGTATTTGGACTCCCTGTCCATTATACTGACATCTCCAACATAAGCCATTGGGCAAGGCAGAGACTGTTGCGTGAGTCATGGAGCATAGCAGTCACTTGCCAATTCTTCCCTCCACTGAAGGGGTATTTTGCTTGTGTGTAAGGGACATGGGGGCAAACTGAGGTAGTGACACAAGTTTAAACAAACTAAAAAAAAAAAAAACAAAACAAAACATAATAAAACACTAACAATGTAAGGAAAGAGAGAAGTATCAGCACCCAGAAGAGAAAAAAAGAATTCAAAACAAAAACTACAGAGGCAGAAATAACGGAGGGCTTCGCCTTGCAAAAAGGGTTGGACATCTTCTGATTTTTCAATGTTTTTCTTCAGTTCTATTTAAAAACAAAACAAGCTCCCTCCTCTTCCTCCTCCTCCGCCCTCTGCCTTTTTTTCTTTTTCTTTTTTTTTTTTTTTTTTTTGGTAAGAACTTTTGTTTTCTACTATTTTCCATCTATGTTGCTGCAAAGGACATTGATGCAGTTGGAGGCCATTATCTTAAGCAAATTAATGCAGAAACAGAAAATCAAATACCACATGTTCTCACTTATAAGTGGAAGCTAAGCATTGCGTATATATGGACAAAAAGAGGGGAACCACAGACACAGGGCCTACTTCAGGGTGGAGAGAGGGAGGAAGTTGAGGATTGAAAAACAACCTAATCAGGTACTATGCTTATTACCTGGTAAAATAATCTGCACACCAAACCCCTGTGACACACAATTTACTTATATAACAAACCTGCATATGTACCCCTGAACCTAAAACAAAAGTTAAAAAAAGGATGGTGGGATGTACTATGTCTTTTGGCTCCGAACCCACCTTTCTATGTTAAGCTTTGGGATGCTGGGCATGGGACTCTACAAACATCATTTCTCCTTGGCTAGCTGGCTTCCTACTGTGTTCTACTAATGGGAGTGACAGAAAACATCAAGAGGCAGAAGGGGCATGCTTCTTCCTGTTTGCTCACTGTTCTAGTCGGCATCACCCCAGCTACAGCCCTTCGCTTTGGAAATGGCAGTTATTTCCAATTTCCAGTTATTTTCCACTCCTAAAATCAGTCTCATGTTGCACCCCTTCAAGGTACTAGACGGGGCTCTTCCCAGAGGCCCAAGACCCAGCTTTGTAAAGACTTTTCTCCTAGTCTGTAGCTTCTAATAATAACAACCTTCCTCTTGAGCCTCAGATTGTTTTTAAGATACCTGACTTTGTAAACTGTACACAAAGTTAGTACACAGTAGTTATTAAAAGGAGAACAAAGACTATTTTTTTTCTAGTTGAGAATCAGGACAAGAAATTAGGTGGGTTGGATCATATTCCAAGGTCTGTACTTTCTTCCCATCTTCTCTGTGCTCAAAGCACTCATTTGCTACCTAGGCTCGAGAATGTCACCTGTACACATGATTTGGGGTCAACATGGTCCACATTGTCCTCATTTTGTCTATGCCTTAACTATTGGAACAGTTAAGAGGTAAACCCACCAAGCTAAGTAGACCCTTCCACCAGCACATCCAAGAGCAAGCATCTTGGTGGCACTCTCTTACTTAGACTTTCCTCTTCCAGTCCTTAATGGTGTCAGGCTTCCACAAGACACTGCATTCAACATTTGAGTTATTTTGCAAGAGAAAGTTTAAATCAATTGAAAAAAGCAGAATCAACTTCAACAAGAAATACAACAGGAAAGAGGAAAAAGGACTCTGTCTCAGTAATAATTAGGCTCGTCTTAAAATAAAATCTATTTTCTGAATGTACCATAATTTCTGAGGTTGGCAGACCTTGTTGCCTGTGCCTCATTGTTCTATCTGTCAAACTAAAGGCCATGAAAAGCTCTGAACCACAATGGAAAAAACACTTCAAGATCTAAAAATTGCTACCAAAGACCTCTCTGGGGGACACCATCTTCATGGAATCTCCAGAAAGAAGCCAGTCTGAGTCTTTAAGAAACTTAAGAAAAATTATGCAAATAACTCAACCTCAGCTCCAGGGACTTCCTCTTACTAAAATCGATGCTGACTCAAACACATAAAATGATTAGGACCACCTTTTCAGTATATAATACATGGTTTTGTTTCATTAACTAAAGAGCCCTGTGTTGTCTGAAACAACAGAGAAATTAAATTGATGTGAGTTGCTGTTTGGGCCTGAATTTTGAAAAGCTGTGCCTCTTAATTCTACCCTGAGTTTAAAATATGGCACACCTGGACAATCTGGTTTTCTCCAGGGAATGTACTAACTCTGGATTTTTTTATCCATCTGAAGTCCACCATATGGAACAACTGTGTCATTAAAATGGGTGTTAAAAAGATTTGTTCACTCAGCTACATTTAGACAGATAATAATATTTGGCAATTTTATATAGTGCCTTTCACCTGTCCATCTCAAAGTAAGCAATTTATAAACACATATTGTTATAAACTTTTTATAAGCCAGAGGTATGTCAGCTTTTCCCTCTGCAGAAAACAGCTCCTGCATGCCATACACTAAGTCCATACCAAGTAAGAGATGGCGCAAAATCAAAAAACAAAATATATACACCTAATCTGTACTCATAAAAATTAAAAATAAAATTAAAAAACAGTCCAAGAATGTTAAGTACATAATAGCTAAAATAGTAACTACAATTTGTCCACCCTGAGCAGGGAAAAACAGAAACACTGCATGTATGGAAAATATTTGTTTTCTTTTTCCTAGCCTTGGATCCACAAAAACAGAATTTTTCATAATAGTTATAACACTGTTACTTAAATAACTGTGAATGAAATTGGTTAAAACCTCATAACCACTTCACTTTAGCAATTTGGTGTCTGGCAATAAGAATTAATAGTCTCCCTATGCAATTTCAATTAGGTTTTCCATAATTGCCATCCATTTTCATATCTAGCTCTTTAGGTCTATTTCTCAGTAGTTCAGAACTCAGAGATGTAGAAACATAGTTCATTGTTCTTTACAGACCACTAACATTCCTTGGCACATAATATATGCATATAACTTATTTATATTTCTCTTTTCTTCCAACCTCAGTCTGTCTATTAAACAATGCGTACCTTCCTTTCCATACCACCTTTACTCTGTGACTTCTTCACTTGTGTAGCACAAAAGATTTCTAGGGGATAAATGTCACATACTCAAGAAAAGAATTGAGCTTCAGACTGTTTTCATTTATCAAACATGTTGATACAGATTACAAAACATAAATATGGATTAAAAATATATCTTACATATACATACATAACTTCACAAAAGTTTGTCAGATAGGGTAGGACAAAGCTCATAGTGTCAAATTCTGCTCCTGGGAGGTGCAAAAGGGCCAATACTGTGAATAGAACATCCAGGCAAACATTCCACAAGATATGAATGCATTGTTTGCAACTCAATGGATAAATGCTTGAGGGGATGGATTCCCCATTCTTCATGATGTGCTTATTTTACATTCCATGCCTATATCAAAACATCTTATGTACCCCATAAATATATATACCTACTATATATGCACAAAAAATAAATAAATACTTTTTTAATGATATGAATGGATGAAATAAGGCAGCCAGTTACAGACTGTCTCAAGTGATCAAAAAGATTCCTGTCAACATAGTCCGGATAATATATGCTTAATATAAGAATATCTTGTACTAACGATTCCCAGATGATAACATTTTAAAGTATCAATTTTTAAAGAGTTTACTTATTATGAGCATGTTTTCCATAATGTTTAGGAAAGATTGGAAACTCAAACAGTTACAGGAACTAGACAGGTAACATTAATGAGTGAAATATGCAGGTGTATAATAACAGGGAGGAGTATATAATAACAATAGTTTGTTGTGATTTATATCCTAATGGAAATTCTTTTATAAGCACATAGCATATATGCTTACATATTTATTGATAGGTGTATATGTAAACATGTGGAAAATAAGTGCATACACACACATGCACATACATATATGTTCCATAATTTTTAAATAAATCTGATACAACCCTATTAAACTGGACACACATGCACCCTTTGAAATGGGTAGCTGCCTCTCAGCTCAAGGCAATCGCTTTCATGCAAGAATGTAGACCCTATAAGGACAGATATTCTGACTTCTCAACAAGAACTGCAAGTTTTCACTTTTTCGAAAGTGAAATATTTTAATTTTTAAATGTTGGCTCCAATTTTCTTTAAACCCTCACCTGTCAAGTAACAGCATGTCAATTAGTCAAATCTTGTTCCTTAGCAACAAGCTTGCAATCATTAGCGCCCAGTAAAGCTCGTATTTCATGTCTGGGAAGAAAACTAGGGGAAACCATACATTGTTTAAAGTTTAGTTTTTGGCATCCACAGAAATAAAGATTTATAGTATAAATTAAGTTCACTATTTGAATATAGTTATATTTCTTGAAAAATTGTGTTTGTGAATGAGATTTCTCCTCAACACACAAAAAGCTTTTTTAAATCAGTAAGAAAAATGGGCACAAAAAGTTATGTATAAAAAAAGTGTAAATTATATGAACATGCAAATGTTAGAAAGAAAAAGCACATGACTATTAAACATAGAAAAGGATGGTTAACCCCAGTGTTATGCAACTCACTAAAAATTTTTTAAGGATTATAAATATAATTAAAATATCAAAAAACATGAATTATGTAATATAAATAAATAAATTTATATTAGATATAATTATATAATAATTATATATGTATATAAAGTAATAATTTTTATAATGCTTATATATAATTATATATTATATATGCTAAAGCATAGCAAGAGTGACTTTTACTCCAGTTCCCAATAAGTTCCTCATCTGCTTCCGAAACCACCTCAGTCTGGACTTCACTGTCCATATGACTATCAGCGTTTTGGTCACAACCATTCAACAAGTCTCTAGGAAGTTCCAAACATTCCCTCATCTTCCTGTCTTCTTCTGAGCCCTCCAAACTGTTCCAAACTCTGCCTGTTACCCAGTTCCATAGCTGCTTCTACATTTTCAGGTATCTTTATAACAATACCCCACTCCTGGTGACAATTTTCTGTATTAGTTCATTTTCACACTGCTATAAAGAACTACCTGAGACGGGGTAATTTATTTAAAAAAAAAAAGGTTTAGTTGACTCACAGTTCCACAGGCTGTACAGGAAACATGGTTGGGAGGCCTCAGGAAACTTACAATCACAGGAGGAGGCAAAGGGGAAGTGAGCACATATTCATGTGTTAGAGCAGGAGAAAGAGAGAGAGAAGGGGGAAGTGCCACACACTTTTTTATCATCAGATCTCTTGAGAACTCACTTACTATCATGAGAACAGCAAGGAGGAAATTTGCCCCCATGATCTAATTACCTCCCACCAGGTTCCTCCCTTAACACTGGGAATTACAAATCAACATGAGATTTGGGTGGGGACACAGAGCCAAACCGTATCACAATCTGTGAGTAAATAAATGGGAAGTAACTGAAAACAAGGAAAAGAAGGTATTTTTCTATACCAATAATAATGTTTTTTTCTGCATTGTGATTACTAA
Source organism: Homo sapiens (assembly GCF_000001405.40). Lineage (NCBI taxonomy): Eukaryota > Metazoa > Chordata > Mammalia > Primates > Hominidae > Homo > Homo sapiens. The sequence goes on along the minus strand of NC_000002.12, from coordinate 66,814,802 downwards.
AAGCTTTAACTCTACTATTTGTCTTTATTTTCAATTGGTTCCCATCTTACTGTTCTCTCTTACAAAGAAAAAAAATCACCTTCTCTGGTGCCCCCTTATTAATTATAAAAATATATTTCTTGTTGTTCCTTTGTCTTGCATGTTTCTTCCCAACTCAAGCATTTTACTCAAAACTGACCTGAGCTCAATGTCAGATTTCTTTTCAACATTTCACCTGCCTGGATTATATCTGACAGACTCCTCTTTCCAGCTAAAGTCGTGACTGTTGAAGACAAAGGCAGGCCAATGAATTTGGGGACATGGGGAATTATCTTGTTTTCTTACATCACATTCTACAACTAGAGGCAATTACTTTGTCACTGCCCTTGTCTTGCTTCTACTCATTTTTTGGTTTTGGAAAACACCATTTAACCATGTCTTGAACACCTTAGGCACTACTCACAGATGCACATCTCACTTGTTTCTTTGCTGTTGTTCCGAGCTACTCATGCTGTGCTCTGCCCATATGCCCCTTCCCATCAACTGGCATCACTCAATAGTGATCTGAGCCTTTTTCTTTCAAAGCATCTTCCCATAAAACAGAGTCAGAAAATTCCTCTTAGTCATAAACTTGCTGCTGTGTCTTTTCTCTTACTCATAAACTCTGACTGCTGTGTTTTCTGTCTTCAAACTCACAGCACGCTCTATCCTTCCTCTGCCAGGAAAAAGTCATACAATCAGAGACCCTGCCTGACAGACCCTGTTTCCACCTATTATCAGCATACTTAAGATGAAATAAAATAAAAACAGCAATACATTTCCAACTTCAAACAAGAAAAAGAAGGTACATTTTTCCCTATTCCTCCCACTAAGTACAGCTAAAACCCTTGGATTTTATATATAAAGCAAGCATAAGAAGATTGTAAGAAGTAGAGAAAAGAAAACTAACTGGGAAACTCTGGACTCAAGAACAGATGTGGCAGTGTGTTCTCTGCATTTTCATTTGCTTTCTCTGTACCCTAAACTAGGTACTTGAGAAGGCTGTAATATATTACAACTATTTTGGAAAAAGTTCTGGCAGGTTCCTGTAAAACTATATATAGACTTACCCTATGACACATCAATTTCACCCCTAGATATTTATGCAATGGAAATTAAATCCTACGTTCACAAAGTACATAAAAATAACATTCATGGCCATTTTATTCATAACAGAAAAAAACTGGAAACTGCCCATTGTCCATCAATAGAAGGGATAAAAAAACTAATATTTTAATACAATGAAACACTACTCAATAAAAATGTATAAACTCTCAATACATGCAAAAACATGGATAAATCAAAAATATTAAGCTTAACTAAAGAAGCTAGATACAAGAGTAGAACACACTATATGATTCCATTTATATGAAATTCCAGAACATGCAAACAATGCTATAGTGAAAAAGATCAGAATTGTTATTGTCTCTGAGGAATGCAACAGGGAATGACTGGGAATAGACATAATGAAACTTCCTGATATAATAGATATATTCTATAACTTGATAGGGGATTATGTTAGACAGGTGTATGAATTTCTTAAATTTCAGCAATTGTAGCCATAATTGTATATTTTATCATATATGAAGTTTACATCAGAAGTAAAGAATTGTAAAGAAATATTGAACTCTAGTTAATGTTATTCATGCTGAAATATTTAGGTTGAAATGTAGTCATGTCTGTAATTTATTTTGGAATACACAAAATATGATAGATTAATGGATAGATACATATACAATAAGCAAGCATTATAAAACAATAATGGTAGAATCTAGGTGGTGAATATATTCACTATAAACTTCTTTCAACTTTTCTTTATGTTTGAATTGTTTATATTAAAATGTTAGAGAGTAGAAATGGCCATACAAATGTAGTTCTCTTTCAAGACTCTATTTTGTTGGAACATTTCTTTATTTCATTACTTGTTTATCCTTTAGCCAGTGCCACACTTTCTTACTTATTATAGCTTTATATTAAGTTCTTCTCCTTCAAGATTATCTTGACTATTTTTGACCCTTTACTTTTACTATAAATTTTAGAATGAACTTGTCAATTTTCACCATATTTCCTCTGAGATTTTTATTGAAATTGAATTGAATCTATGGATCAATTTATATGGGAAATAAACACCTTTACAATATTGGATCTCCAATCCTGTTCCTCTATTTATTCAGATCTTTTTAATTTATTTTAATAATATTCTGAAGTTCTCAGTACGGTAATCTTAAATGTCTTTTTGATCTTTTTTTCTTAAGTACTTGGAATTGCTTTATTCTATTAAAACATTATTTTTTAATTGATGGTTGTATATAAAAATACAATGAAATGAACCAGAGATCCTTGGAGAAATGCCTAATTCTAGGACTGGAGCATTTTAGAGAGCCAGAAAGTAAGAAAGTGCTCAAAAACAGTACAAAAAATCACACATTGATGAGAGTATGTCAAAGGGACAAAGGTGTCAACTGAAAGAGCTCTCAACAGTCAAAGCTGGAACAATTTGCACAACAAAATAAAACAAAATTGTATTTACTGGATCATAAGCTAAAATATAAAATAAATATCCATGAGTCAATACTGGTATCAATAAATTATTGAATAAATAAATACAGGGAAAAAGACACATCTCTCAAGTAAAAGAGTTAAAAATAATTAAATGGATACCCATCCCTTAACAAAAGGGAGCATAAATTCCCACTTTTTCAGGAGGGGCTGCCCACAGTGACTCCATGTAAAGAGTTTAGTATAGAAGGGGAGGTAGGGCAGAGTAAATGGAAAATCCTGGCAAACATCAGCTCAACCAGGTGATCAAGGTCAACATCAACAGTGATAAATCATGCCGATAGTGTATGCCCTTTAGATGACATGATTTGAATGGCACTCTACCTCTATGGTCTTTCTCCCAAAAAGCCATAACCACAGTCTAGTCATTAAAAAAAATCAAAATCAAACAAATTCCAATAGAGAGGGATTCTACAAAAACCTAACCACTACTTCTCAAAGTGTCAAGGTCATTAAAAACAAGGAAAGTCTAAGAAATTGTCATAGTCAAGAGGAGCCTAAAGAGCCATAACAACTAACTGTAACATGGTATCTTGGATGAGATCCTGTAATAGAAAAAGGGCATTAGATAAAAAACTAAGGAAATCTGAATGAAATGTGGACTTTAGTTGATAACAATGTATAAATATTGGCTTATTAATTGCAATATTAAAGGAACTGTATTTGTTGAACTTGTATCCAGAAACCCTAATAAATTTACTTATTGTTTCATAGATTATCTGTATACTCTTTTGAATTTTCTGTATAGACAATCATGTCATCTGTGAATAATCACAGTTTTATAATTTCCTCTCTAATTCATCTATCTCTTTTTTCCTTGCTTTATTGCTATGGATAGGACCTTCAGTACTACATTTAATAGAAGTGGTGACAGCACCATTTCGTTCCCATATAAAGCAGAAAGTTTTCAACATTTTACCATTAAGAACAATTTTTACTAGAAATTTCCTGTACATACTTTATTACATTAAGGAAATTCCTTTCTATTTCTAGTTAGCTGAGATTTCTTTTTTATCATAAACGTGCTTTCTGCTATACCAATTAATATAGTCATATAATTCTATCTTTGTTTTATTAATGTGGTGAATTATATTGTGTGATTTGTTTTCAAATGTTAAACCAACGTTGCATTGTTTGAATAAACAGCACTTGGTTGTGATATATTATCCTTTTTACAAATCACTAGATTAAGATTTCTAAAGATGTTATTTACTATTTTTATATCCAGATTCATGAGAGGAATCAGCCTATAATTTACCTCTTATATGATTTGTCAAGATTTGGTATCAATACACTGCTAGCTTCATAAAGTAGGTTGGGAATTGTTTCCTGTTTTCCTATTCTTTAACAGCATTTGTATGAGATTGATATTATTTCTTCTTTCAATGTATGTGAGAATTTGCCAGTGAAGCCAACTAGGTGTAGAGACTTCTTTGTGGCAAGGTTTAAATTGCAGATTCAATAGTAGTTATATATCTAGGACTATTTCTATTTTTGATTTCATCTTGTGTCAGGTGGGATATATTGTCCATTTTTAGTAATTAATTCCACATGAGTCTTCAGTCTCATTCTCAAAGTTGTTCTCTGACCTTTGTTGTTTTTGATACCTGAAGGATCTGTAGTGATATCTCCTTTTCAACTCCTGACATTGGCAATTTATGACTTTTCTTTTTTTCTTAATTAAACTTGATAAGAGTTTATTGATTATGCGGGGGTTTTTTCCCCAAAGATTTGACTTGTGATTGGCCATATGACTTTCCCCAAATCCAGCTGAATGTCTATAAGAAATATATCCTTCTCCATGTCCAGCATCATGGAATTCCCAAGCATTCATATTCAAAAGCACAACAAAGTTTTTTTAAAAGGCACTAAAAATAAAACAAAAATCAAATCAACAAAAACTTTTCTAACTCGGAGCATTATCTAATACTCTCTAAACACAGAGAGTATTAGAAGGGATTATGGTAAGAAATAAAGCTTGACAGAATGCATTTTTGAAAATAGTGTGCCTTGATGAAAGAAAGACTCACATTAAGGCAACATGCTTCCCCATAGGTTGCCAGGAGGTCCTTCTGTTCTCAAGTTGAGATGGTCTGGCCAGGCAGCTACAAAAATGATGATGTAGTCATGTTGTGAAACCAATCAATAAACTTTGACAGAGGTGATGAGGGAAAGAGAAATTTTTCTAGAAGGGCCTAAGAATAGGAAATTTCCTAATTGTTCTATCTGTGTGAAAATTGAGGACACAGGATTTAATAAATGACCTCTTAAGGTTTCCTCCAGCTTGATTCATTCACAAGTCAGCAGAACCTGGCTTAAGATAACAAAACTCTTGGATTTGTTTAAACACATGTACATTTGATTTTTGTAGTGCAACTGTCTTGAGACATTCAAAATTCTATTAATGCATTATTGCCCTGTTCAACTAGCATATCAAAATACAATAAAAAGCTCACTAAACATACTTATCAGAATTGGAATTTTAACATGTCTTATATAACATAGTTATTATATATATCTTTAAGTACCCATATGTCCTGTTAAAAATAAAAACTAGTGTTTAGGAATAGCTATTGCCTGATAAAACTACCCATTGACTTCTTTGCTAGAAAAATGCAGCTTGTAAATTGACACCTTTCAGTCCATCTGTAAGTACAGCATGTTCCACATCACAATTATAACATAGGAATCTTAACTTTAAATGAGACAAAACAAACATAAAATTAGCACTAGTGGAAACCCCCTGCCACTCAATTTGTGTTGGGTTTAACACCTTCTTATTGTATATATTCTTCCACATAAACAGTTTTATATTAGCCCTGATATGGTGCCTTCCAACAATTCAATGTTGAGCTGTTTAAAAGCACTAATTAGCAGCTTTAATGCAGAAGAGAACACATGTATTAGAAAATTCCTGTAAACCCAGAATACCCTTTGGGCCCTGCCATTGGTGTGTGAAATAACTCAATAAAAAATATACTATATTGTTAATCACAAGACCTTTCAGGAATATAATCGATCACAGAGGAAATATAAACTGTACCTTTATAAACAAAAGGAGAAAAATGATAAATCTCATTTCAGCTGAGTATAGGAATCATCACAACGAGCAAATGCGTTTATAAACTAAGCACATTTCATAACAATGATAAAACTATTACACTTATATATACATCCAATTGACATATATGCATTGCATTCAATTTTAGCACAACTGGCAACACATTTATTGAATTAACAGTTCATTTATTTCTTTCTATCACCTCCAACAATACCAAAGCCATGTTTACATACAAATTAATTTTAACAAAATAAATGATCTTGAAGTATTTTACGCTATTTTGAAAATATGGAAACACATTTAATTTTCAAGGTATTCTAGGAACACATTTTTCTATAATCTGGAATGTTCACATAACCTAATTATTTCTTTTTAGGTAACATTTAATATAGCTAGCTATTCATAACTTCGAGAAATGTTTTTCTTTCCTCCAACTTTCCATATACCTTGATCAAATAGTTCTAGTTAATATTTCTAGTACATGTAAATAATTATATTCTTGAGTGCTTTAAAATTAGACTAATTTCTACACCATTAAGGAGCAAAAATATTTCTAGTTTTTGATGCATTATAAGTGGGAGATATTAATTTCCGATGAAATTATGCATAAGCAGGGGAAAAGCTTTCTACTGAGATAATATTTAAACATAAAATGTTAAGCATCTCAGGATTTACAAATGATTAAAAGCAAATAAGAAAATGCAATCATATTGTATTTGGATTGTGGAACCCTCTCCCATCCATGCAATGTTTTAGTCCCCAAATCAAAAAGCATCTTTCTATTTTAAAGTTGTTTACTTGCCAAGCTAAATGGTTTGAACGGTAGCAGAGACTCGAAACCAAAGAAATGGCATACTTGAGTAAACATGTTTATGCTATGTCATATAAATGAATTATAAACAGTAGTAGTCTCTTTGGTTTTTTATCCTTAATACATTGTTATTTGCACAACCCGCCACTAAGCAATGTAATCTCTAAAGCAAGTTTTGAAAACTTGAAGGAAATAAACTCATGCCAAATTATAGATATTTACTAATATAGTACTAATCAAGCTTTACTATTTGGGGAGCATAGCTTTTTTAAATTATCCTGAAAGGATGGAAGTATCCCACTGCAAGTAGAAATTTCCACACAATTAGTAATTTCAATGCTTTCCAGCTTTATTCCACTATTAGAAACAGATTTAGACAAGGACCTCACATACTTGTTATGAATATATTTTAATATATTTTCTCCAAAGGAATAAAGCAGGCTGACACTTGAGTTCGTTTCTACTTTCATGTCTTGCTTTAAATGGCATTTTATGTTACGGACTAATGAGTTTCATATAGTGCACTTAATGTACTTAATGTATAGTATTTCACTAAAAACACTGAGTATTTCATTCTGGGGGGCTGCCCTGACACTTGATGAGCATTTTTGTGTATGCTTGCAGTATGTTTACAGTCATGCCATCTTTTAGAGGCAGGTTCTCCTCTTCCTCCCCTTCCTCCCCTTCTTTGCCTTCCTCCCCTTCTCCCCCTCCCTCTCCTCCCCCTCCTCCCCCTCATCCATCTCCCCCTCCTCCATCTCCCCCACCTCCTCCCTCTCCTCCTTCCCCCTCCTCCTCCTCCTCTTCTTTCTTCTTTCTTCTTCTTCTTGAAGGAGTTTCGCTCTGTCTCCCAGGCTGGAGTACAATATTGCAATGGCGTGATCTTGGCTCACTGCAACCTCCATCTCCCAGGCTCAAGCAATTCTCATGCCTCAGCCTCCTGAGTAGCTAGGACTACAGGCATGAGCCACCATGCCCGGCTAATTTTTGTATTTTTAGTAAAGACAGAGTTTCACCCTGTTGGCCAGGCTGGTCTTGAACTCCTGGCCTTAAGTGATCCATCTGCCTCGGCCTCCCAAAGTGCTGGGATTACAGGTGTGAGTCACCACGCCCAGCCCCCTTTTCTTCTTTCCAGTACGGGGTTTCATGTTACTATTTGTGACAGGCGACACTGTATTTTCATAAATGTATATCTATCTATCTTCTTTGATGGAATTGGGTTAAGATGGTAAGGAATCAGGTAAGGGAAAAAGACAATATTTCTAGTTCTTCACAGGCCTGCTATGTTGAACGATATGACTATTTTATTCATTTCCTCCAACAATACCTAGAACTGCTGTTAACAAAGTAACACACACTAGATGGTTTAAACCAGACATGTATTGTGTCACAGTGCTGGAAGCCAGAAGTGCCAAATTAAGGTGTTAGCAGGAACTTACTCCCTCTGAAATCTGTAGGGGATATTCCCACCTTGCCTCTTCCTAGCTTCTGGTGGTAGACATCAATCCCTGGCATTCCTTGGCTTGCAGCTGTGTCACTGTAATCTCTGCCTCTGTAGCCACTTGGTGTTCTCCCCTGTGTGCCTTCATATTGTGTTCTGATAGCAACAATGGGCAGATTGAGCTAAGGGCCCCCTTTCTTCAGTATGATCTCATATTTACTAAATATATCTGCAATGACCTTATTTCCAAATAAGGTAATACTTTTGAACTACTGTGGGTTAGGACTTTGGCATATCTTTTGGGGCAGGGGGACCTACTTCAACCCATAGCAGCCATTAACTAATATCAGATATAAACCTAACTTAGCATGCCTGGGCCTAAATGGCTAGCAAGGATCTTCCTTGGCATCTTCCCCTTTCCAGGGGTTCCACTGCCTGGAGATGGCTTCATGGAGAGCCACCTTTCTCCTATAGGAACCAGTCAGGCAAAAGAAAAAGGAGTAAAGTGAAGAGGTTAGGATTGCTAACACTCATTCATGGACCATCCTGGTATATGTACAAACATATGGTCTTTAATGAACATCTTTTTGGAGAAATTAAGATGTACGGTAAGGCAGAAAAAGTAAGGAAAGAACCCCCTCTCTCTTGCCACAGTTACAAACTCTTTATTTGAAAAGGTTCCATGGAAACCTATTCCCTCAGTCCACTGAGAGTGTCCTGCTTCGCATTAATTCTATCCTGTGGAGATCACTGGTCTCTAGAGTCATTGTCATCCTCCAATTCACCAATGAAAAATCTGCTGTTGTTTTTTGTTTTTTGTTTTTTTAAAAAGGAAGAAAGGGCTCAAAAACAATGTGCAGGGAGTAGATTTGCATTGCCTCCCACTTCAGCCTTTGTCTTCAAAGTCCTTTCTGCGGAGTATTAAATGGTGTTTGGCTTTTTTTTTTTTTTTTTTTTTGGAGGGGAGGAGAAGTCAATGAGATTTTTGAAAGGGCTCAGAACAGAGAGGTTACCTTTGAACAAATGACATGTGAGGCAAGATAAATTTGCATTTTGCAGACCTCATGAAAAACAAGTCCAGCTTTGTCTGGGATTCGCTGAGAAGTCATTGAAGGTAAGCATCAGCTCCCCATTGGTCATGATGGGGTAAAAACCAGAGAAACATGAGCTAAAAAGAGTTTATATGTAACTGTAGGTTGATCATCCCCAACTTTCCACAAAGGCCTTTCATTTCCATTTGGAATAACCTAGACAGGCCAGCCCCTGTCACCAAGCACAACACTGGACTCCTGACATTTGCCTAATTATCTTTTCTCATCATCAGTCATTTCTTGAAGTCTCAGCTTCATTCAGTTGCCAGGTATTTCCGAAATTAATCATGTCATTGAAAGCGGCATCTTTTCATGTAAATGGACTTTATTATCTGGATCAGAAAGCCCCCCCTTTGAGCACCAAAAGCCCATTTGTAGGGAAAGTGTCTGAAATCTGACATGCTGCCTTCCCAAGAAAGATTCTTAGTGTTGACCTCCCAGCAAGCACCAAGCATTCGTCACTGTGAGCTTGTGAGTGTGCGTGTGTGTGCAACTAAGAGCCTTGGGCTGGCTGCATGCTAATTTGCCCCATTGTTTCAGGGTGACGGCCTTTTCAGTACTTAGGAACAAAGCCTTTTTGCATACAGCTTTATGTACAATTATTTTATGTTTACTTCGAGCGCCATCATCTTATCTTTATTGCAACTATATTAGGGGATGCCAGAGCTGCTTTGTCTCCTTGTAAGGTTGCAGATTACAGACAGGGTTTAGCATGCTAACCAGTATACTCCTCTTTCATTTAAAGGCATTTTACAAACTTTTAAGGATCCTGGACTAAATCAACATGTGGCCCTGCTCAGTCTCTTCAAATTCAAGGATGAGAGGCAGAAGACACTTTTGAGAGCTGGGTGAAGTGCCATCAAATTTAATTTTTGAGTGTACAACATTTAGTTTATAAAGAATGGGCAAATAAGGAATAGAAAGCAAGAAACTCCCACTTGTGAAAATATCACCAAAACTTTAACAGTGCCTCTAAGAGAGTTGCATACTCAGGTTCACAACAATATATTGGCTGGGACATATCTAATTAGCAAGTAGGGGTGTCTGATGAAAAATCAACTTCCAGAACACACTTGCAGTGCAAAATGCCGTCTCCTCTGTGCATAATAACACATAGGTAAAGTTCGTTCTACATCTCAAACTCACTTTTCTTTTATTCTATGCTTTAACAACTGGGTGTCAGTGATAGAGGTATTTTCCCCCTTCCCCCTGGACAGATGGAAGAAGAGTAATATTAATAACTTACGATCTTTTCTCCTATGTGGAAAAGAAAATTAATGTGACATAAACTGACAAAAACCAGCAAATTAAAAGTTAAGACTGAAACTCCTTTGAGATGGCTTTTTTGTCCTTTGCTCATGGTAAATGAATTTAGTGGGAATAATTTGCTGGGGGAAAGATCTAATTGTAGAGCTCATCAAGAAAAAAATACATATTTCTGAAAAGTTTTCACCCTCTTTAATAGCAACTAGGTTTACCTGTCCCCTACTTTCTTTTATCCACTTCATTTTCCTAAACCTGAAAACTTTCTTAAACCAAAGGAAAACAAAATCCTCCTTTCATAGCTTTCAAAAAGCTAAGTAATACTTTTCCAAGTTTTCAAGACAAATTAATAGACTCAAAAAACATTGAGGGTATTCTAAATCAGAATTGGGAGACAGTACAGATGATTTGGAATTTGGAAATACATCTTCGGAGTGTTACATTAACATCCAAAGTCTTATAAGAAAAACACATATAAAAAGCAACTTTTGAGGGGCCGCATTTAGGAAAGATCTTAACCCCTCCATTCTTTGCAGTGTTTGAAGATTCGCCAAAAGGGAGAAAAGGGAGTATAAATTCAAGGAATGAAGCTCTAGGCTCTAGGCCAGCAACTCTGAACATTTATCTTCCCCCCTCACTAAAAAGAATTGTTTCTGGGGAAGAAGTTTCATGAGGGCTTGCACTTCTCAGGGCTTTCCTGAATTCCAAAATGATTGTGAACTTTACCTTCCTTTTTGCATCTGCCTTTAGTCATATTAATCTTGGATTCCTTTCATCTTTGGGGTTTACTGTTACAAACATAAATGGCTTATTCTGGTGTATTGCCATTCTTTGTGTTTTGATAAATCAACTCCACTATCTTTTTTTTTTTTTTTTTTTTTTTAAGACGGAGTCTTGCTCTGTCACCAGGCTGGAGTGCAGCAGCACGATCTCAGCTCACTGCAACTCCACCTCCCAGGTTCAAGCAATTCTCCTGCCTCAGCCTCTTGAGTAGCTGGGACTACAGGCGGCTGCCACCACGCCTGGCTAATTTTTGTATTTTTAGTAGAGATGGGGTTTCACCATGTTGGCCAAGCTGGTCTCGATCTCTTGACCTGGTGATCCTCCCGCCTCAGCCTCCCAAAGTGCTGGGATTACAGGCGTGAGCCACCACGCCCGGCCTCCACTATCTTACTTTGCAACAATACCACCACCTCCTGGGCTGCTCATGATTTCCACAGCTTTTTGCACATCGCTTACCAGGGAGTTGTCAAATTCCATACAGAACTATGAACTATGAAAAACTAGATTATAAGCTTCTTGAAGGAAGGCTTATTAAATACAATGACACATCTTATAAAATCAAAAGACCAGCCTGATACATGGTCAGAGGAAGGACATTGTTCTGATGCATGAATTTTCTAATATGAAAAAAATGCATGGAACAGTTAAAATCTGAACTACGTAACAAACTTTAGGACACAAAGTCCATGTTTGTTTGCATTGAGCCCAGTAATACTAACAGTGCTTAACCTGTCCAACTGAACAGTAACCGCCAATGAAAAATCATGTGAGATGTTCACAAAAGACCTTTCTTATCCACTAAACAATCACTGGTTTTTATCTATGTCTTAGGACAATGCCAACCAAAAATTTTCCTCTTTCTCCCCTGACCATACAGATGCAAATACACAGCCACAGATGGGTCATGTCTCAATCCCTAGCAAATGGTGAGTTAAGTCTTTTTAAAAAATTTACTCTTATTTGTTAGGCTCAAACCAAACTTGGATGGGCTACATATATTATGTTTTTTTGGAATTCTAACACCTTGGAAGTTTAGGAATTGTCCCTGTCTTGGATAAAGTAATGTAGAAAGGTCTATGGCAAAAGATGGCAAATAAGCTGAAGGTAATTTTTTTTTTGAGATGGAGTCTCGCTCTGTCTCCCAGGCTGGAGTGCAGTGGCACGATCTCGGTTCACTGCAACCTCCACCTCCCGGGTTCACGCCATTCTCCTGCTTCAGCCTCCCGAGTAGCTGAGACTACAGGTGTCTGCCACCACGCCCGGCTAATTTTTTGTATTTTTAGTAGAGATGGGGTTTCACCGTGTTAGCCAGGATGGTCTCAATCTCCTGACCTTGTGATCCGCCTGCCTCGGCCTCCCAAAGTGCTGGGATTACAGGTGTGGGCCACCGTGTCTGGTTGCCGAAGGTAATTTTTAAGGATGTGTTGCCCGCTAGGAAATGAAGAATACAGGGAGCAAAGCAGAGATCTGATCTGCTCTGAGATCAGTTAGATAAGTCTTTGGGATTCCAAAATTGTTCTGATTTTAGGTCTTATTCCTGGACTGAGGTGTTATTACTTTAGGGGTTTTTGTTGTTGTTGTTTTTGTTTGTTTTTGTTTTTTTTTGCAGGAGGCTAGGGTGTCTGCAGACACCAGCATCCTCTCTGTCTCTCTGCTACTTTGGAAAAGCAGGAATTGTTCCTACAAAATGAAGTTAAGCCATTAGAAATTGGGAGTGTAGACCTCATTCATGGTACCTGGGGTTTGAGGACCTCTCTGTGCCATAGACCTTGTCCCTGAGAGAGCTCCAGAGGATGGAATTACAAAACTTCTCAGTTCAGTGTCATCAAGGAATTCATAGTTCAGAGCTAAAAACCAATTTCATCGTTTTTGCTCCTATTTCTTACCCGTGAATTTCTCCAACTGTTTATTAAAATTAAAAACCAAACTGAACTACTATTTTTTAGAAAGGCAACAATCTTCCTATGGTATTTGGCAATAAGCTGGAAGAATCTCACTGAAGAATGTATAAGATGTCTTCAAGATTGGAGTGAATGGCATCTGTTTTGCTGCTCAATCATCCTAAAACCAGTGATTCTGTAGTTTCATTATCCATCTTAATTTCAAATGAATGATAACCGCAGACCTTGGGAGGAGGCATCAGTTACTTTGCTTCTTTTCTAAATTGGAGCAGTCAAAGCAATCTCAAAAACAATTTCAACAATTCATCCCGTCTTCTCCCCAAATCTATTCAAGTTTCAGCCCTGATTGCTGCATGAGTAAATGAAATAATTTGTTTACCTCTCAAGAAATATTCCATACATTACAGTTAGGACACCTACATAATGACAATGGGCCTGTTTGTGAAATACCTCATATCAAGGGAAACCTAGAAATATGCATCATTTTATAGCTTAATATTCCATATTTTCTGTCATGCATTTCCTTAAGAACTGCAGAGGAATGCATGTAATTTAGTTACTAGCACATTCTGGCTCAATGGTAATGTGTCTTGCTTTACATAATATATATGCTGCTAAAATATATATGTAAATTATCTCACTTTTGGTAAACTTGGTCTTGATTTTATATTTAATTGTATGGAATTTCAGAAATTATAGCTCTTCATTTTAAATAATTTTTTAGTTGCTAAATACTGCAGAGCTAATTCAAGATATTTAATTCATTGACTATTTAATTGTCTAATATGTGCACAGTATTGTGCTAGAGAAATTAGACAAGTGCTGGCCTTGAGAAATAGATGCATCAGAGGTAGAATTATAGAATAACACACACAGACACACACACGTACTCATGTCTTTTTAACAAAAACTATTTTTCATCATAATTGCAGCTTAGCACAGTGGTTCAGGGTATGGGCTCCAGAGGCAAACGACCTGCATTCCAGGTGCTGCTCTGCCACTTACTAACTGTAGGACATTGGGCAAAGTTATCTAACATCTCTGTGCTTCATTTGCCTGGAGTATATCATAAAGATAATAGTAGAACCCACATCAAGGAGGCTCCATGAGAACTATATTTGGAGAGAACAGTGTCTAGGACTCAGTGGGCACTGCATAAACATTAGCTAATATTGTTATTTTCTTGTCTGAAAATAGGAATAATAATAGTACCTTTTATTGAGACAGTATCTCACTCTGTCACCCACACTGCAGTGCATTGGTGTGATCACAGCTCACTGCAGCCTTGACCTCCCAAGCAATCTTCCCATCTCAGCCTCCCGAGTAGCTTGGATTACACGTACACACCACCATGGTTGACTATTCTTTTTTATTTTTAGTAGAGACGAGGTCTCGCATTGTTGTCCAGGTTGTTCTCAAACTCCTGAGCTGAAGTGATCCTCCCACCTCTGCCTCACAAAGTGCTGGGATTACAGATGTGAGCCACCAAGCCCGGCCAATAGTATCTTCTCTATAGGGTAGTTGAGAATATTAAATGAGTTAAAGCATTTAAGCTTTTAGATGCTGTCATTATCACCAGCATTAAAAATATATCATCAAAATGTATAAGGAAGCACAGAGGGGGTAGGGCCGGGGAAATTTAAATCTAAAGTATTGGCAAAGTTATCAGAAATGAAGTGAAATTCAAAATGGTCTGAAAAGAATGAGTAAGATTTTGATAGGCAGAGAAGAGAGAGGAGAGATTTTCTGGAAAAAAAAAAAAAAAAAGGCTTTTCTGGAAAGTATGAGTAATGGTCCTGAAAGATAATAATGCATTTGGGTCTGGAGTTCAAAGGTTGGATGTGGTGGTTTATGGGCATAGGTATAGGAGAGATAGTTGAAAATTAATTTGGGGAAGTGTGTAAACCAGTTTACAAGATAAATATAAACAACCCCATTAAAAAGGGAGCAAAGGATATGAATAGACACTTTTCAAAAGAAGACATATATGCACCCAACAAACATATAAAAAAAGCTCAATATCACTGATCATTAGAGAAACACAAATCAAATCCACAATGAGATATCATCTCACACCAGTCAAAATGGCTATTATTAAAAAGTCAAAAAATAACAGATGTTGATGAGGTTATGGAGAAAAAGGAACGCTTATACACTGTTAGTGGGAGTTCAGCCATTACGGAAAACACTGTGGCTATTCCTCAAAGACCTAAAAACTGAACTATCATTCAACCTAGCAATCCCATTACTGAGTAAATACTGAAAGGAATACAAATAGTTCTACCATAAAGTTCTACAAAGTAGAACTTTTGTAAAGTTCTACAAATAGTTCTACCATAAAGACACATGCATGTGTATGTTCACTGAAGCACTATTCACAATAGCAAAGACATGGAGTCAACCTAAATGCCCATCAATGACAGACTGGATAAAGAAAATGTGGTACACATACACTGTGGAATACTGTGCAGCCGAGAAAAGAGAGAGATCATGTTCTTTGCAGGGACATGGATGGAACTGGAGGCCATTATCCTTAGCAAACTAACGCAAGAACAGAAAACCAAATACCACATGTTCTCACTTATAAGTGGGAGCTAAGTGATGAGAAAACATGGACACATAGAGGGGAACAACACACACTGGGGCCTTTCAGAGGGTGGAGGCTGGGAGGAGGGAGAGGACCAGAAAAAATAACTACTGGGTACTAGACTTTATACCTGGATAGTGAAATAATTTGTACAATAAATCCCCATGACACAAGTTTACCCATGTAACAAACCTGCACATGTACCCCTGAACTTAAAAGTTAAATTTAAAAAAAAATCTGTAAAAGTGTGTTTAGCCCATATTATTGAAGGCTACAGCACCTTGCATTAATAAATACACACGGTCTTCATCCTGTAGACATGTTGAAGGCAGGAAAGTATTTTAAGCATAAGAATCACATGAATTAATCCACTGTATATCGTTTCAATAGCAACATGGAAGGTAAATCAGAGAGAAAAGAGGTTGGAAGTACAAGACAGCTAGAGCAACAGCACAGGTAAAAGATTAATAAATAAATAAATGGCAGAGAAATAAAAAAGAGATTGAGAGGGAGCTACGGACCAACGGACCAACAAATCGCAATGTTAGAATCTTATTTGGAGTCTGACAGATAAAAAGTATTTTAAAAAATTTATGACATTTGTAAGACAATTGTAAATGAACCCTGACTACATATTTAGTGAATTAAAGAGTTATTGCTATTTTTCAGGGGTTATAATAGTATTGCAGTGATTTTTTTTTAAAGTTTTTATCTTGTACTGAAACATACTGAAGTATGTATGGATGCAATTACATGATGCCTGAGATTTGTCTCAAAACTGGTTAGGGATGTGAATAGAGCAACATGGATTTTGGGGGTTCAGTAATGGGTACATAAGATTTGGTAGACTTTTATCTTCTTCTATGTCTAAATTCTCCACAATAAAAAAGGTTTAAAAAGAGGGAGAAAGTGTCATAACAATGGGAAAGGAAGAGAAAAAGTGGGTTTCAGAGGTGGAAATCAGAGGAGCTGGCAGCCATTTGGAAGAAGAGATGGAGAGACAGGATTTAAATTTAATCCCAGATTTCTGGCTCCCATGACTAGACAGACAATAATGATCACAAACAGGATATCACTTGTGAAAGTTTTTTTACAGTTTACAAAATGCTCTTGGGTTTGCTTTTATTTAATCTTCAGAATAGCCTTATGACATAACACTCTTATTTGGCAGATTAAGAAATTGAACCTTAATATTAGCCCTTTGTCAGATAAGTAGATTGTGAAAATTTTCTCCCATTTTGTAGGTTGCCTGTTCACTCTGATGGTAGTTTCTTTTGCTGTGCAGAAGCTCTTTAGTTTAATTAGATCCCATTTGTCAATTTTGGCTTTTGTTGCCATTGCTTTTGGTGTTTTAGACATGAAGTCCTTGCCCATGCCTATGTCCTGAATGGTAATGCCTAGGTTTTCTTCTAGGGTTTTTATGGTTTTAGGTCTAACATGTAAGTCTTTAATCCATCTTGAATTAATTTTTGTATAAGGTGTAAGGAAGGGATCCAGTTTCAGCTTTCTACATATGGCTAGCCAGTTTCCCCAGCACCATTTATTAAATAGGGAATCCTTTCCCCATTGTTTGTTTTTCTCAGGTTTGTCAAAGATCAGATAGTTGTAGATATGTGGCATTATTTCTGAGGGCTCTGTTGTGTTCCATTGATCTATATCTCTGTTTTGGTACCAGTACCATGCTGTTTTGGTTACTGTAGCCTTTTAGTATAGTTTGAAGTCAGGCAGCGTGATGCCTCCAGCTTCGTTCTTTTGGCTTAGGATTGACTTGGCGATGCGGGCTCTTTTTTGGTTCCATATGAACTTTGAAGTAGTTTTTTCCAATTCTGTGAAGAAAGTCATTGGTAGCTTGATGGGGATGGCATTGAATCTATAAATGACCTTGGGCAGTATGGCCATTTTCACGATATTGATTCTTCCTACCCATGAGCATGGAATGTTCTTCCATTTCTTTGTATCCTCTTTTATTTCATTGAGCAGTAGTTTGTAGTTCTCCTTGAAGAGGTCCTTCACATCCCTTGTAAGTTGGATTCCTAAGTATTTTATTCTCTTTGAAGCAATTGTGAATGGGAGTTCACTCATGATTTGGCTCTCTGCTTGTCTGTTATTGGTGTATAGGAATGCTTGTGATTTTTGTACATTGATTTTTTATCCTGAGACTTTGCTGAAGTTGCTTATCAGCTTAAGGAGATTTTGGGCTGAGACAATGGGGTTTTCTAGATATACAATCATGTCGTCTGCAAACAGAGACAATTTGACTTCCTCTTTTCCTAATTGAATACCCTTTATTTCCTTCTCCTGCCTAATTGCAACCTACTCATCTGACAAAGGGCTAATATCCAGAATCTACAATGAACTCAAACAAATTTACTAGAAAAAAACAAACAACCCCATCAAAAAGTGGGCAAAGAATATGAACAGACACTTCTCAAAAGAAGACATTTATGCAGCCAAAAGATACATGAAAAAATGCTCATCATCACTGGCCATCAGAGAAATGCAAATCAAACCACAGTGAGATACCATCTCACACCAGTTAGAATGGCAATCATTAAAAAGTCAGGAAACAACAGGTGCTGGAGAGGATGTGGAGAAATAGGAACACTTTTACACTGTTGGTGGGACTGTAAACTAGTTCAACCATGGTGGAAGTCAGTGTGGTGATTCCTCAGGGATCTAGAACTAGAAACACCATTTGACCCAGCCATCCCATTACTGGGTATATACCCAAAGGACTATAAATCATGCCGCTATAAAGACACATGCACACGTATGTTTATTGCGGCACTATTCACAATAGCAAAGACTTGGAACCAAGCCAAATGTCCAACAATGATAGACTGGATTAAGAAAATGTGGCACATATACACCATGGAATACTATGCAGCCATAAAAAATGATGAGTTCATGTCCTTTGTAGGGACATGGATGAAATTGGAAATCACCATTCTCAGTAAACTATCGCAAGGACAAATAAACCAAACACCACATGTTCTCACTCATAGATGGGAATTGAACAATGAGAACACATGGACACAGGAAGGGGAACATCACACTCTGGGGACTGTTGTGGGGTGGGGGGAGTGGGGAGGGATAGCATTAGGAGATATACCTAATGCTAAATGACGAGTTAATGGGTGCGGCACACCAGCATGGCACATGTATACATATGTAACTAACCTGCACATTGTGCACATGTAACCTAAAACTTAAAGTATAATAATAATAATAATAATAATAATAATAATAAAAAGAAATTGAGCCTTATGAATTTTAAAAGTGCAAACAGGGAAGCAGGTCTTAGAGAGCAAGAAAGTGAATGGAGACAGGGTCATACCGTGACTTCCACAAGCCCTAGAGGCACTTTCACCTTTATGGGCCCTTTTTCCCTGAAGAAATGTTAAATTGTATTCTATGACAGTGTTGAATATACTACTACATGCAAAAACATTTTCTTTGACACAAAAATTCACTTTTGTTCTGATTTTATGAGCCCCTAACAGTATTGCAGGCTCTTGACACTACATCTAATACATAAATTGACCCTCAATGGAGGGTGAAAGACCTTGGAAAGCTTCATGGGAAACTTAACACTTCTTAGATTCATCTCCATAAATAGTGTATAATCTGACAATAAAAAATTAGGCAAACTTGAGGGTCTCTCTTTTTAAAGATATAATTCTTTTTTTGCTATATTGCCCAGGCTGGTCTTGAACTCAAGACCTGGGCTCAAGCAATCCTCCACCTCAGTCTCCTGAGTCACTGGGATTACAGACATGAGCCTACAGACACCTGGCTTAAAGATATTCTTGACTGCTTTAAAGAGATATATGCCTTTATGATATCAAAAATCACCTAAGAATGTGTCTAAGTGCAATTGTATTAACTACAGAGTAATTGTTCTTATTTAACAGCTTACAAGTTTAATTTTTAGATGTCAAGGTGACTTTTTTTTGCATTTGAATGACAACTTCTTCAGGAATCTCTTTGTATCAGTTCCTGTCCAACCACCCAGAAACACACTGGACATCATATAAGGGAAGCTGAAAAAAACAAAAGGGAGGACGTCAAATTCAAGCTTGTTATTTCTTCTCTGGCAAGCTAAGGTTGGAGTATTGACATTCCATCCAGAGTCTAATTGGTCCTCCTAAAAATTGCATTCAGAAAATTCTTAAAAACCATTCATAGCTAACGCTCTCTGAAGATTTTTCCCTTACTACCACTACTGCAGAAGGAAACAAAGAAGGTATAAAAGGGGGGAAATCATATTATATTTCAGTAATGTTTGACTTCTGTATCAGTTGTTTTCTTCAAAATAATCTCGTTTGTGAAATTAAATCATTGTATCATTAAATCAGTTACTCATCAAGGTAGCCTACAGATTTTATCTTATTTAGATGTTCAAAATATCATATTGCTGGAACTCGATGAGTGCAAAGCTTCTTATTGCTGAAAAACTTTATATTCCCTTATCCTGAAAGGAACTATTTATTCCTTTTCCTTGTGATATTTCTCATGACTCTAAGCCACTCCCTGAGGCTTCACCAACCCTCAAGCACATACACACACACACACACACACACACACTTAAACTTTCTCTCACAAACTTCTTTCTTACTTATATTCAAAAATAAATAGCTTCAAATATCAGATAATTCTTGCATATTTAGCCAGGATGAGGGGATTCCATGAACTGCTTCTGGCTTGACAGTTTAAAATCTTATGTTCTATTCCCTTATGTAAGGTAAGGTTTGCTGTGTTGCTTTTATTTCTTTATCTTTTATTGATCAAAAGGTTTCTCCAGTTATTATTTAGTGTGTACGGGGCGAGAGCCACCCACCCCTTACTTTTACATGAGCTGCATACCATATTGTGCAGCATGATGCCCCCAGTGCATCGGCCATGACCCCCGAGACAACCGAAGTCAAGCCACAAATCTTCCTGCCTACAGTGGCAAGAATCCAGACCTTGTTATCCAGGAGCCACTGCTCGGGGAGTGAAAGAATGAGGGCAACCAGAACAGGCCTGGCTCACTCACACTAACCGTGGCTTTCCAAGAATATGCTGACATTTCCATTAGGTCAGGATGGGCAAGATCCAAGTTGGAAAAACCATCAACGTATTTAGTTCATAATTTGCAGGTTTTCAAATCTTTGCTTTACAACATAAGAAATGAGAAATGAGGGACTAGCAAGACTAACAAACAGAATATATTAATGTACATGTGTGCACGCACACACACACACACAGATACACACACACGCACACACAGACACACACACATACACACAAATTCCCAAAACTATTGCCTGTGTTGGGAAGTGAAAATTTATAAAAGAGAGACAGACATAAAAGAAGAAATTGTTTATTTGTTTGTTTGCCTTTATAAAACTCATTTGGGAGAAACATCTGAATAGATACATCAGTTATCTGGCTTGTCCCAGTTATACTGATGCTAGAGATGTCCTTTGTTAGAAATTAATGTGTGTAATAAAGTTTTACATTTTTCATATGTTTTGAAGTATATGAGCTATATTTCTTTTGACTGCATAATTACTTTTTGTATACAAGAAAAATGAGGTGCTTAGCCCTAAGTAAATAACCTAAAAACAAACCAAGAATAATAGTTACATTCTTTTCATCTTCTAGGCTACATACAATAAATATTACTAGAAACTTTTTAAGTTACATTATTGTGACTTAAGAAAAAAAACTATATTGAATCAGAACTAAGTTCAGACAAAAATGTGTTCCACCCTCATATGGATATTTTGTTGTATGTTTGTTGATAGTATAGACTAATTACAGCTACTAGATTTTTTCCTAGGTTGTATTAATTTCCAAAGTGTTTTCTTTTTTGACTCTGAAGGTATCTTCTACTCATAATAAACCTTTGGGGAAAATAACACAATGGATTAAAGGCATTTTAAGTCATTTCTCTTTCTGGAGAGGTGCTTTAATAACTCCTAAGTTCTTGCTGAGGAGAATGTATTCAACAAGATTGTATGTTGCATTGATTACAATCCCTTTTCTTTGGATAAACTGTATCTTTAAGGCTAAAGCATTTGACTGCTTCTAAACAATGGGACTACCTTTTTTAAGCAAAGGGAACAAGTTCTGTCATTCACATCTCAAAGAACCAATTTGGATCTTTAAAAATATTTATGTGGAGGCTGTAAAATCTCAAATTGGTGTGCGAGGAGACAGTGGTGCAAATGCTAACAGACTTATTAAAAGATCCCTAACCCTTTTTAGTAGCTGGCTCCACAATAATTATCAGCTGGTCTGTTTTCTTTTCCTTCTCCAGTAATACTTATTATGACCTTGATTTTTTTTAAAAAAGTATTAAATTTGGTGAAGAAGCTCTAAGTGTTGCCAAGCTTGAATAAACCAGGAAAATACTGATATTTTAAGTTGCTCATAAAGGACTCTATATAAATAACACAGCAATGTCATATATTTTCCTACATCTTGAGTAATAGTGACTGCAAATCAAATTTTGTCTAAAAATGCTTAGGAAAATAAAACAATTTTTATATCTCTTTGATTCCTAGATCAAAATCTGAGTATAGGAATGTTTGTGTGTGTGTGTGTGTGTGTGTGTGTGTGCATAGAACAAAATAGTAGATGCCATACATCCACATATTACCGATCATTACCTCTGTAAATTCGAATTCTCTTTGATTTTATTCTCCTCTATTGAGGAGAATAAAAATCAAAACCTGTGATTTGATTTTTTCTGCAACAAATGATTATGATTGCATAATATGGAAAGTTATTAACTTTTCGAAGATTTTTATAACTAGTAAAATTTGAGAAATGAGCTAAAGGGGGTTTTTACACCTCTGTGAAATAAAAAATACTATCTTTCACTGAGAAACTGTATCTGCTTGGAGGACAGTGGAAACAGATGGGTTGATCTCCTAAGATCAATAAAGTAAACATAAAAACTCAGTAGTGGCCCTTGCCAGACAGCAATCTGCCTGAGAATAGTTGGAAAAGAGAGAACCAATATAAGTAATCAGAAAGGATTGATCTGAATAAATGAAAACCATATTGACAGAAAAGAGGCTGTTGTGAGGAATGATGGAGGGGATATTTTATTAGCTCACGAGACTTGTTTATTTGTTCATTTATTTGTTTGTTTAAAGAATTTGCCTGTAAAGATTTATAGTACAATACCAGCAGCAAACATTGGGAGGAGTGGAGAAACTAAAAAGAGATGGTTTCAAGTTTTCAAGCACTGTGAGTTTCCAGAAGGATCATTCTCTGCACTCACTGACAAAAAGCCTTAAAATTAACCATCACTCCTAGAGCGTGTAATCCTATGACTGTCCCTTGAATATAATAACCTCAGAGAGAGAGAGAGATGGAGAATTATAGAGATTGACTCAGTTTCTTGCATTTGTTAGTCAGTATCTACCATTGACACAGAAATTCTTCATCATTCTGGTGGGTTATAGATGGTCAATAGGCCACGCTTTGTTCCATGTACCTTTGCTAAGATACATTACTGGGAATAGGGAGCTTGGATCTTGGACTTTCAATCTTGCTAGAAGGTGTCACATAACTCTCCTGTCCACATCTCACGTGCTCATTTTTAGATATTGGTATAAAAGTCCTCAGTGGATTCCCATTACCACTAGAATAAATCCCAAGCTCCCCACCTAGCCTCTGTCTTCAAAGCCCTCACCACTCCCCAACACAAACCTCTCTGCCTGCAGACCAACTTCCCTCTGCATTCAGTGTCACCTTCTCAAGAACCATAAGTACCTGACATGCATTTCTAGCTTTTCGATTTTGCTCATCTTGCTGGAGGTACTTTTTCTAGATTCATCTGCTCCCTACCTTTAAAGATTCCATGGAAGTCCTACAAAATCCCATAGCACACTGAACATTTTCTTCCCAAAACCTTCATAGCCTAGTGCCTAAACTCCATCTATGAACTTTACTATGTCCAGGCTTTTAGTGCAGACTTCTTACCTCTCTTCCTAGATCTGGATCTGGTCTCTTGGGAGATGAGCATTGCCAGGACAGAGAGAGGGCAGAGAGTGTGGATGGTCTACAAGGACACATAATGTGAATTACTTGGGGGTTTTCCTGCTTCCCTCTCATCCTCATATCCTGCAACCATGTAAGGGAATCAGAACATTGTTCCAGAACTGTGACCTAAGTGTTGACATCTGGCTGACCTGTCTTTCCAGCCTGCAGCTCTGCAAGCCTGGAGCATTTCAAGAAAATTAAGCTCAAGCTCTCTGCAAATGTGCTCTCTGTTTCCTCTTTCCTTTTCTCACCTCCTGTTCCCACCCGCATGTCCCTTTACCCTATTCCAATTGAGATTGGAACCAGTTTACACAGAGGATTTTTCTTATGTCTTAAAGCAATTCAAAAGCAAATAAAATAAACACTGTCATTCTCCCTCATAATAAATACATTCTTCTTATTTCTTTTAGTAAGAAAAAACAAGTTTCACACTTTAGATTTGTTTAGCTGGATAGAATCCAAAGACAGAGCTCTAAGTCAGAGGACAGAGTTTAAATGATGACTTGTCTGTTTATAGATGAGTAATTGGACTTGCTGCACTGGAGCTGTGGGATGGTGACTTGCAGGTCTGATATTTATTTACATAATTCACTGAATGTAACAGATTTTGAAATATAGCTTATAAATATTTAGAAAATATTGTTTCTAAGTACCTGCAGCATCTTTACAGTGTATCAGGCTATTTATTTTGAAACGCTATCTCTTTTTATTGAGAGGTAAGGTAGATAGCTGAGCAGAGATGCATGCAGAGTAGAATATAATTAATATTGTGGGGGAGAAGGAAAACGAAATGGCTATTAGATGGCGAACAATCAGTCCTCCCTCACAGAAAAGGCCTTTTTATGCAGATGAGGATGTTGCTCCTAGATATGCATTTGAGCTTTCTACATTTAGTTGCCTTGATTTTATCATGTTTTAGTAGAAAAGGAATCTGTACAGGATCAGGAGGTCCTTCAGGGCAAAACAATAAAGGCTTGGTGATAGATTTCAAAAGTGGCCACAAACTCTCCCATTGCCCAGATTCATTTTCTTAAAATCAGACTTTGCTGCTCCATCCTTTTAAAGGTGAAATCTATTTCTCTATCACTTGAATCTAGGCTGCCATTATGGCATGCTCCAGCCAATAGATTGCATCAGAAGTTCATTGTACCTGTTTCGAACATATGCCTCAAAAAGCTTTCCACTTTCTGCTCTAACTCTGAAATACTGAGCATGTGCAATGTGGAGCTTGGTCTGGCTTGCTACATGATGAGAGACACATGGCTTAGTCAGCCCCATCACCACAGGTGACAGTCAGCCAACTCTGGAAGCAGAGCCACCTAGCTGACTCAAACCTGACGACAGACGCATGAGTGAGCCTAGCCAAGGTGAAAAGAACCACCCAGCTTAAATCCCAGCCAAAACTGCAGACCTACAGAGTCATAAGCTGAGTAAATATTGTTGCTTTGAGCCACTAAGTTTCGGGCAGTCATTTCAGCGGCAAAAGCTTAACTGGCACAGGTTTACAATGGCTCTGGGCATGCAACCACCCAGAATAGCACTTATGGGTCATAACCAATGTCCATTGCCTCCATTGTGGCCATTAAGTAATCTTGCATCTATGTGAAACAAGCAAGTCATTTATTTAACCAAAGTCTATTGGGCATCTAGTCTAATTCAGGTACTGTTTGTTCAAGGTTGCTGGGGACACAGATCAAGTTTCTGCCCTCCTTGAGCTTATATTCTAGTGATGAATAAAGACAATAACAAACGAGCAAGTGAATATATAATATAATGCAAGCTAGCAAAAGTGCTATAAAAATAAAAATAAAGCTAGTAAGGTGAGTAGAGAGTAATGGGGGAGGCTATATTTGATAGGGTAGTTGTAGAAGCCTTGCCAAAAAAAAAGATATGAGCAGAAAATAAAGTGCAGAAATGAGCCATATAGAAATCTAGACAAAGAATACTTACTGTTTCCTGGGGCATTTTAAATTAAAATTATACTCAAATGACTCCCTCAGTCCAGGATTCCCTTTGTACCTCTTTAAAAAGGTATCATAATCTGGTCTAGTACTCATACCTATGTCATGATCAAATTTCATATTTTAAATTTAGTGATGAGGTCGCATGCTGGGGGGTTAAAACATTTTCTAATGTTGATTTGTTAATGGTAGGCAAAATCATATTTCCATAATTATATAAATGTATTCCTCTCATGAAACATAAGTTATTTCTCCAGTAATCTTTCATTCAGTTTTTAAAAATATATGTAATTAACTCTCTTATCCTTAGCAAACTAACACAGGAACAGAAAATCAAATACCGCATACTGTCACTTAGAAATGGGAGCTAAGTGATGAGAACACATGGACACATAGAAGGGAACAACACACACTGGGACCTTTTGGAGGGTGGAGTTTGCGGGGAGGGAGAGGATCAGGAAAAATAACTCATGGGTCCTAGGCTTAATGCCTGAGTGATGAAATAATCTGTACAACAAATCCCCATTACATAAGCTTACCTATGTAACAAACCCGCACTTGTATCCCTGAACTTAAAAGTTTAAAAATATATAAAATAAATTTTTAAAAAACTGTCTTCCTTTAACTCCTCAGAACTACCTCTAAGGTAAGGCAGGGGTTTTTGTGGTGGCTGTTGATGTTTTTGTTTTTTTGCTTATTTTAATAAAAGTATTATGTAAGTGAGATGTTGTATAATGATGTATGTTTGCACCCATATGTTTATTGCAACACTATTTACAATAGCAAAGACTTGGAACCAATCCAAATGCCCATCAATGATAGACTGGATAAAAAAAACTGTGGCACATATACACCAAGCAATACTATGCAACCATAAAAAAGAATGAGTTCATGTCCTTTGCAGGGACATAGATGAAGCTAGAAGCCACCGCATGTTCTCATTCATGAGTGGGAGTTGAAAAATGAGAACACATGGAAACAGGGAGGGGAACATCACACACTGCGGCCTGTCGGGGGTGGTAGGGTAAGGGGAGGGAGAGCATTAGGACAAATACGTAACGCATGCAGGGCTTAAAACCTAGATGATGGGTTGATAGGTGCAGCAAACCACCATGGCACCTGTATACCTATGTAACAAACCTGCACATTCTCCACATGTATCCCAGAACTCAAACTAAAATAAATTTTTAAAAAGATGTATGTTGTCCATGGTGAGGAATAAATCAAGCAAGACATAGAGATAAAACTTTACAGCTCTTGTTCTGTGTTCGATTATTAAACAGCAATATTGAACCATTTATTTGCAGAATTCTAAAGACATCTAGCAAAAAAAAAAGCAAGTATGTTAACTTTCAATAGGGATGAATACACCCATTTAAAAATTGATACAAATCACCCTCCACAAGGGAACTAAATCTGAACAGGAATTCACAGAATGGTTTAATAGAAGGTGAGGTTTAGGCATACAGCAATGTGGCAAAGACTGCTGACAGTTCACTAAAACCAATTTTTTTTTTTAATTTTCTGGGCATTGAGCTAGACTCTATTTTCCAGCCTACCTTTCATTTATGTGTGGTCATGTGACTAGGTTCTAGCTAATAGAATGTGAGCAAAAGTGTTCCGTGCCATAGCAAGCTGTGGTCCATAAAATGACGACAAGAAATCATCTGTTCTCCTTCCTTTCATTTGGCCAAATATTGGTACTACAAGTAACCCTGTAAGTCTGTATTAAAAATAGCACAACCTCCATCAGTCTGGGTCCTTGAAAAGCTGCAGGGAGCAAAGCTTCTGTTTGCCCATAAAATTAGAAAATAATACACTTGTTTTGTAAGCTGTTCTATTTGGCAGGGGGTAGAGGATGGAGGGCTATTGTTTCTGCAGCCTAGCATGTCTTAATCCATGCAGTATCTACCATTCTGCCATGCCATCCACACCAGAAAAACAAACGTACAAAATTCTTCAGTGGTAATATTAAGGCAGGCAGCTGATGAATGAAAACAACTGCAAAAGAAATAACAACAATGAGTTTTATCAACACATACATCTTAAAAGATCTTGTTTGTAAATAGGGATTATGTCTTCTTTATTTTTGAATCCTGACAGGTGTAAAAGGTGTTGACTGCATAGTAGACTCTCAGAAAGTATTGAACAAATAAGTGAGTGAATGAATGAGGTAGAGTGTCAGAAGACTTGGCAATGTCAGGAGACAGAGAGTTTAGCAAATGTTTCACTCTGACATGGCTATGTGAATTTAGATACGTTTCTCTCTCTGAGCATTAGCTTCTTTCTTGTGAAATTATGTGGTTGGTCTAAATCTCTCCAAGCTGGGACATTCTGAGCCCTGTTTCTGAAGGTAACTGGTCTTTCCAATAAATACATGAGCAGGACACAGAAGGTCTGAGACTTCCACACTATGAGAATAGAGTCGTACAGGCCTACAAGCAATGTCTCTTAGGATTCAAGCCACAGTGTAAGCTGCCTCTTCTGCTTCTGGGGTGTTCAAGCTTAAGTACCTTCAAAAAATCATGAAAAGGACTATTAAATCTAGAAGAGGCCCTAAAGAGTATGTGGTCTGAATTCCTTCCCATCACAGATGAAGAAAATTGAGCCTCGAAGGTTAAGCCACACAGCCACTCCTCTTAGCCAAGGTTAGAACTTAGATTTTCTAACTTGCAATCCAGGTTCTCAGTTAGTCATACCACACATTTGCCTATGCTTAGCCTGATCCAGGCTTAAAATTATGTATATCCAGCCCTTGTAATGAGAATCTGCTGTATTTTGTTGGTTCATTTTGTTGGTTTAAAAGATTATTTTGTGTTATCAAGATCTTATGTATTTTTTTCTTTATCAACTCCACTGTAGTCCTCTAAATCAACTCCACTTGTTTTCTCCTGTAATATGCATATTAAGTATGTGTTCCATAATACACTAATCTGGAAGCTTTTCTCTACCACACTTCATCAGGTTGGTACTAGCCACCCAGCTTCCAAATCCCAGGACACAAATTTGCTACAAATTCTGGTATAGTGTGACTTTAGACAGAAAAGCAAAAATATCTGAAAGAAAAACCAATGTGAGAGATAATAGTTATTGAGAATGTCATGTCTAAGAGGAATGATATCACGAAGACAGAGTGAAGGATGCTGAACAAACAGAAAACACACTGATGGAATCAGAAACCCTAATAGAGGAAGCTGATATGGAAGAAACATAGAAGAAAAGTACCTAAGCCTTTAGCCCATTCATTCACTCCATGAATGGAGTGGAGACATTCTATGCCAGGAAAAGCAAGGCGGGTACCCTTGAGGAGCCCACTGCTTACGGTAAAGTAATTAAGGTCACTATCAAACTGGATTTAATCCACTATCCACATCCACAGGCACACACACCCCAACTCAGCTCCCCTTGGAAATCTTGAAGCCATAAGTAAAGTGACCATTCTCTCTGTTTTGCCCTGGACAACTCAAGGTATCCCTGTTTTCCTGGAGTAATTATTACTAGTACCCTCATCTATTTAGGTTCATAGTAAAATTTAGCAGTAAGTACAGCGAGTTCCCACGTACCCCCTCCCCCAACATATGCACAGCCTCACCCACCATCAACAGCCACCACCAGAGTGGTACATTTGCTACAATTGAGGACCCTACACTGACACATCATAATCATCCGAAGACTACAGTTCACACTAGGGTTCACTCTTGGTGTACTTTATGTGGGTTTGGACAAATGTATAATGACATTACTGTATAGTACTATACAGAGTATTTTTACTGCCCCAAAAGTCCTCTGTCTCTGCCTATTCGTCCATGTGGAAGGCTGGAATGGGCTGAAGCTATTTCCCTTTCCCCAGATCGGTTAGGCTCTGATAACACCTGCATAGATGAGGCTCTGGTGAAATAGCTTCTGCTGAGGGCAGGCCTCGTTAAGAACAGAATGCTCTGGTATATTTCAAGAGGGTCACTTTTTCCCTCTCTGTACAGGAAGCCCAAGGGGATTATTTTTCTCTGATCCTCACTGTGAGAACCTGCCTGATAGAGCTTTTAGAGATAGAACTCACAAAATTGTGAGGGCTCCCCCAGTAACTGGATCCACCTGAAATGTTTACCTCTTAAACTTGTCCACACTGAGCCTCCAGCAATTTGTCAATTATAGTTCAGGTTTTCCCACCCCAGCACTTGTTTCTATCTGGGTTTCTCCTCCTGTAAGGTGTATTTGCCTGTCTCTCCAATTATGGGGGCAAGGATCTGAGAAGAGTTGTTGATTTTTTGTTTGTACAGCTTTTTACTTGTTATTAGGATGGAGTGAAAACTTCTAAGCTCCTTACGTTCTGGACCAGGGAAATTTCTTTTTACCAGAATAGCCATTATGATCAAGAGAGAGAAAGTATAGATGAGTAGCCAGAGCTTGGTACCTGGGTTCAAAACCCACTGTCCTCTCTTGCTTGTTACTGACGAGGGGTCAGTTTGCTCCCCCTGTTCGAGTCCAATTTCATCTCCTGTTAAAAAAAGGGACTCGATTGTAGTTTTGAGGCCTTACACATATATGCATATTCTAGTCCAAGATCTGGTGAGTCATAAATCTTCAATAATTGTTCATTCCTTTCTGCTCCTTCCCCTTATCAGTTGCCACAATAAATCACTTAAGCTACCTGAGGCTATTCCTTCATCTTTCAGATAGTGATAATGATGGCTAACCTTATATAACCTCACAGGATGTTTTTGATAATCAAAGAGTCGATGCATGTATGGCACTTTAAAAACCAGGATAAGCTATTAAACAAAGGCAAGGCCTGAATATTAACACCTCATAATTATTATTGTTATTATTACAAATATTCAAGGCTGCACCTGGCTCACCTGTCTTTATGAAGTTTAACATTAAGTCATAAAAGTCTTACAGGACAATCCAGCCTGAGCTATTTTTCAAACCAAACTGGTCATTTAACTTGCTTAAACGTTTTTTTCTTCAATAATCAAAGCTTTTGTCTCCAAGAATCTATAAGACATGTCAAAAGAGTTTTCGATTGCGATTCCTCAATTTCATGAGCCTGCGCTATAGAGGATTACAAACAAAAAAGTTATGGTTTTCCTCACCCTCCCACCCCAAAAGTAGAATCTTTTAGTCTTATGTTCAAAAATACCAATACTTTGCCCACTCTCTACCGCCTACCAATTCAGATGATGTTACATCATTAAGCATATAAGTCATCAACTCTTCAAGACTATGGACATGACAGTGAATATTCTATGCCTTGTAAAGCTAGAAGGCGGGAAAGGACCTCAGAAGTTACCCAATGTTTTTCTTTATCACTTTCATTGCATGGGTATTTCCTGCAAAGCTTCCCATTTTCCACAATATCTCACTCAATATTTTGACCCAGCCAGGCTTAAGTGACCAACCAGCTATTTCCAATATTGCAAGACTTTTTAAAAGTCATCCTTGTCTTGGCTGGGCACGGTGGCTCACGCCTGTAATCCCAGCACTTAGGGAGGCCGAGGCGGGTGGATCACGAGGTCAGGAGATCGGGACCATCTTGGCTGACACGGTGAAACCCCGTCTCTACTAAGAAATACAAAAAATTAGCCTGGCGTGGTGGCGAGCGCCTGTAGTACCAGCTACTAGGAAGGCTGAGGCAGGAGAATGGCGTGAACCCGGGAGGCGGAGCTTGCAGTCAGCCGAGATTGCGCCACTACACTACAGCCTGGGCGACAGAGCCAGACTTCCTCTCAAAAAAAAAAAAAATTCATCCTTGTCTCACCACTCAGTAACTTCATACTCTATTCTCCTGGAGCTCATTCCCTCAGGCCCCACCCAACTATGTCTTTGCCCGGAAGGTGAAGCCCAAAGAAGCCACAACACAACCAGCTAATGTGTTCTCTTTCCCTGCATCCTTTTCTGCTACTTCAAATAAAAGGGCCCTGCACCGTCAATTGATACTAAGCATCTTGCATAATTACTTGTCACTACATTATAGCCATTAGTCTGTCTTTCTTAACAAAAAAAATCTCCTATTGCTTGAACTTATAGAGTCAGCAGTTTTCTTTATGGCGTTGTTCATTACTGTCCTCGAACTAATCCTATGCACTGTAATCCCTCCCCAGTCTGAGGTTTCCCCTCCTCTTCATATAGTTTGCTTTTCACTGTAGCTGCTGAGCAGCATAAATCAATACAATGCGCACCATAAACACCACAAGTGCTAACCCTGCCAATTGGCTCTCTTTAATTGGTTTCAGCTAAAAACCTGTAAACCTATTTGAAGTGAAAAGGCAGACAAATCAAAGGCAAGATGAATGACCTGGAAGGCCTTGCTGAGCCAGGGGTTGCAAGCTCCAACATAGCATTTTTCATCTCTGTCGTGGGTTTTTTTTTTTCCATTTCACTCTAGATCCTTTTTACTTCCCAGGTATTATGCTTCAGCAGCCTCCACAGTCATAATTAGGGAAAGGAAAGTATAAATACTCCAGAGGCCAAACGGTGCATTTTAGCGATTGTGCTAATGGAGAAAGCAACTTGAACAGGATTAATATCCCCCACAATTAGTGTTACATTGACAATTTTTCATGATTATCTTCTTTTCAAGTAAACTCAAGTCCTGATGAATTGCCCCTCAGATGTCACACACAAATGACAGATTTGCTGCACATTTTTATTTATCACCATGCTGAGCTTTAAAAATCTACGGCTTTGTCTTGTTTCAAAATATGCGTATACTTTTTGATTTGCATTGCTGCAGGGAGAGCCTGTGGTTCAGATATTGCAGTTTGTTTCTCCACAGTGACAACAGTGCCTCAGGACTGCTGGGTTCCCCAAAGCCTATCATTCAGGGGAGGCTAATCAAGGTGATTGGAGGAGGCCATTTCACCTGAGGGGTCCCGGTCAAAGGTCTGTGCGAACGGCCTCTCCACTAGACTGGTCCTGAGTTGGCCACACTCCACTTTCTTCCCTTTGCCTCAGGTGGATGCTCTAGTCAGGCAAATTAGTCGCTAGTTCATGATCAGAGCCACTGAGCCTGGAACCCCTTTTCTAGAAGGTTCCAAATCTTGTCAAGCATGCAATGGTATTTGAAAAGGAGAGGTTGTGTTCAACCAACAATAATAAAAAATGTATGCTAAAGTAGTGACAGAAAAATCCCCTGGGTGGAAACATACCAAGATTGACACTCGTTAAAGGGCTTGTCAAAGAGTAAGACATCTGTGTATGCACGC
Source organism: Homo sapiens (assembly GCF_000001405.40). Taxonomy (NCBI): domain Eukaryota; kingdom Metazoa; phylum Chordata; class Mammalia; order Primates; family Hominidae; genus Homo; species Homo sapiens. Next base: position 66,782,078 of record NC_000002.12, on the reverse strand, counting down.
ACACACATGCAAACACACAACACTGGAGGAAAGGCATTTTCATTGGATGTGGGCTCAGATGTGCAGGCTGTCTCACAGGCAGAGTCATCTCTTAGGCAATTGCCACATCTAAATTAGCATTTCAATAACACAATCATTTCATCACACTCTTGAAACCACTTTTATCTTCCATTCTATTTCAACAGGTGCTACAGCCAAATTTTAGGAGAGGCTGCGTGCTTAGGCAGCCCCAAACACGATTCATCTTACAGCCAATTCAGTGAATATAAATGCAGTCATCTGGCATGTTCATTCAGATCTTTCTTTAGTGTTATTATATGATTCTCATTAGCAGCCCCCTAAAAGCTACCAGCTCAGATTTCAAAGATCACTGTGAGGCTGAATTTCTAGTGATACCTTCAGAATGAAGCTGGTGGTACAAGGTCTATCCTGCCCAGGAATTAGATACTAGAAGATACCTACCAGGGTATTTTTAAACCTAACCAGCCAGCAGGGCATCCCTCTGATCCTGGACTCAGAATGGGATACACAAAACGTCTCCTTGTAACCTGTGCAAGTCAAGGTAAAGTAATGTTGTAGTAATAAGTCCAGTGCTTCTGGTTTTGATTGATGTCATCAATCTTATCTCTCCCTGAGTTTTTGCATCCTGTGATGGTGCTCATCCCTCCCTCCTTAACTTGCTCCTTAGGTAACACAGGAACAACTTCATTTACTGTAGGCACCGATTTTCCCCATTTTAAAATGACTCCCCAAAACTGTTTTCAACCGAATGGATCACAAAATGACCCATAATACTGGTATGTTATTTGTTATAAAGTTTTTCCCAATCTATGAAGTTGCTGCTATCTAGATGTGAATGGGGACAGGTGGGGAAGCAGTTGGGTCTATGATAACTAGCAGTAAACAACCAAAGAATTAGAAAAATGCTTCCTTTTATAGCCTGTTTTACAAATTTACCAGGAATTTTTAAAAATCACCTCCTCAACCCTGTTTTTCAATCAGTTGAGCTATTTATAAGTTTATTGCCAGAGGACAGCCAGGGATTTCCCACAGGTGAGCTCAGCTGGATGTTCAGAGGACTATCAATTTTGTTTAGTTTGTTCATAAACACACAGAAACAGGTTTCCAAGCACAGAATTTCTGTCTAACTTTCTCTTCCCATAATATCCCTACCTCCACTAAATCCAAAAAATATGACTGGGCTTTGGCAAATGCATGCGATGTTGACAATCCCTATCTAATTGTAGGCTCATTTGAAGGAGATGTTGAAAGAGAAATTCTCCTGATTTACTATTCCACTTTTTCTTTTTCTTTTTTATTTCCATGGCTTATTTCATGTTTCAACTTTAAAGTGAAGATAAATCTGTACAGGAAAAGCAAAATATCCCCTTAAATACAAGTGTATAGATCGCTTAACCTTTTCATAAAAATAATTTTCATTTAGCTAAATAGCTTAAACATTAATGCCCCTTGAAAGAGACTAAGTACTAGACTGCAAAAGGTGAAATGGCTGTGCCAATTTCTAGCCATAATTAAAGTTTCACTATACCAGAGTCACCATGATGTTAAATTAGTGTAACTTGTGTTGGAATGAGCTGGGTGTATGTGCTCTGAATGTGGGGCTTATTGAGAATGTAATAGTGCTGCTTTTCTTGCTAACAGATCCCACTCATGTTCACTCTTTTTATGTCTGCCCTGAATCAAAACGAGTCTGTAATTATACAGTCAGAGAACATTTCAAAGAGCCTGAAAAACCATTAATGATGGACAGTGATATAGTTTGGATGTGTGTCTCTACCCAGTTTCTCATATGGAAATGTAATCCCCAGTGTTGGAGCTGGAGCCTGGTGGGAGATGACTGGATTATCCAGAGTGGATTTCTCATGAATGGTTTAGCACCATTCCCCTTGGTACTGTCCTCTCAATAGAGAGTGAGTTCTCCTGAGATCTGGCCATTTAAAAGTGTGTAGCACCTCCCGCTGTGCTCTCTCGCTCCTGCTTTTGCCATGTGATGTGCCTGCTTTTGCTTCACCCTCTCCCATGATTATAAGCTTACTAAGGCCTCCCTGGAAGCAGATGTTGCTAGGCCTGCAGATTCGTGAGTCAATTAAACCTTTTCTCTTTATAGATTACCCAGTCTCGGGTATTCCATTATAGCAACAGGAGAACAGACTAGTACATACAGCTTCCAAAAGACCACTGGAAACACCTTTTTATTTCCAAAGGTAAACGCATTCTAGCCAAGCAGCCCCTTCAGAGTTCTAGCAAATTCTCTTTCTCCTTCTTTAACCATATGATTTATTTGCGGAAAATTCATCCACCCTTCTTTCTGATTTCACCATTCTATTCCCATCTACTCCATAAGGTCTGGATGTTTTCAAAGAGAAAGTACCCAACCACCTTCTCTCTCCAGTCTGAGTAGTAATTCTGAGCCAAAATTTCCCACCACAGTTCAGAACAACCAGCACCATCTATGTACTTTTGGGGTTTGTGTCTTCACAATTCAAATGAATTTGGAAAGTTTTCCCACATCTCCAAACACTACTTTGCTTGTCATGGATAGGCAAATGAAAAGGAAGACTTGATGTGGCAGTCTTATTCCAGACATCTGCCTGTTCTTGTCTCCTTTTTGAATGTCAACCAAAAATATATTTTCAATAAAAAGAGTGCAGTGAAAGTAAGATCAGCTAAAATTCTGGACGGCATTCCCCAGTGGCTTCCAAAATAAATGTGTCAACATTCTCATTTAGCACCACCTGCAAGGAAAGTCTATGATCAGCATTCAGGCTCAATAATGTAAAAATAAAGGTTACTACTTGGGAAATAGGTTTCAGGATCAGGTCTACAGAGGATAGCTATAAACAACAGAAAAATTCCTCTTGCAGATAGAGTCTTCAGAATGCCTTACAAACATGCTAATTTGGAATTCATGTATTAGCTTCCTTCCCTTTTGGTCACATTCATTCTTCTAAATCAAACAGCTTTCAAATGTAAGCTCAACATCATAAATTATGGAAATCTATTCTTTAACCATTCTTCCCAACCAAGGTTCCTTGAGAGAATTAAGTCCCATAGAAAATGATTTCAGTCACTATTTTCTCAATTCTCCCAAGGAAAGTACTTAGCCAGTACTGTTCTAGATGCGGAGGAGATAGATTAATGTATTACATACAGTGGATGTCTTAGGGCATGAGGACTTAACCCTCTAGAAAATTTTGAGAAGGGCTGCTAGGTATTTCAAAGAGCACAGAAATGCCATCACAAATTAATGTGAGCAGTACTGCAAGGCCCTCCTTGTCCCCAAGTATTACTAGCCTGACCACCACTACAACAACTACTAGAAGTAAAAAGAAGGTTTAAACAAAGAATCACTTTCATGGGCTGAGTGCTGACAACTGAGGAAGCAATAGAGAAGCAGACTAGCAAAGACTGAATTTGAACCCAGAGCCTGTCTGATTCTAAACTGCTAGGAGATAGAAAAAAGAATTGATTTTCCCAAGAAAGATGGCAAGGAGTGGTAGGGCTAGGGAGCTGATAGAACTGAGGGTCTCAACCTACCTGCTGGAACAAGCAGGAATGGGGAGCAGGTCAAGATGGAAGTCAGCTTGGTTAACGACAACAACCAAAAAGGTCAAGGCACAGAAGAAAAAAAAAACGCCAGGAAGAGGACTGCGATCCTAAAGCCAGGAATTGATTCAGACCAGGCACTGGGATGCCTGGAGGAGTCTACCATATATTGGAACCCTAGGGCAAAAGGCCAAGTGAAAATTTAAGAAGCATTTTAAAACGGTAAGTAGTCCAATTTCTTCTTTCAAGGAAAGTACAGTCTTGCACCACATAATGACGTTTCCCTCAGCAGTGGACTGCATGTACAATGGTGTTCCCATAAGGTTACAATAGAGTTGCCCTGTACAGCGGTACAATTTTTAAAATCTTTTACACCATATTTTTACTGTACCTTTTCTATGTTTAAATACACACAAATACTTACCACTGTGTTACAGTTGCCTACAGTATTCAGTACAGTAACATGCTGTATAGGTTTGTAGCCTAGAAGCAATAGGCTATACCCTATAACCTAGGTGTGTAGTGGACTATACCATCTAGGTTTGTGTAAGTATAATGTATGCTGTTTACACAATGACAAAATACCTGATAAAACATTTCTCAGAATGTATCCTCATCATTAGCCAATGCATGTCTGTGTAAGGATGTGAACAAATGAAAGAAATAAAAATAAACCATCCCAAAAATTCTGTTCTTGCATTTTGATTATTTTGAGCTGAAGGCCATTTAGAAAAAGCTGTAGGAAGGACTCTTTGACTTCCCTTTTTCTCTAAAAGCAGGGCATAAATTTTCCATCAGAAAGTTGCTCTCTCTGTACAAGGAATAAGAGAGCATTCTTATCACTGGAGAGAGGGAATCAAAGCTGAGATGAATTTGTACAAATCTTCAGAGATAATCTCCCATTAGTCCTCTTCTATGTTTCCCAGTAACTTTTTCATAACTTACCATCTCTAGCCCAAACTCCTTTTTCTTCTGTCTTGTCACATCTCCACAAAAACTTTATCATTCTTTGCTAAAATGGTATATCAGCTCTCAGAACTATTCATGTTTGGGGGGGTCTTCATTTCTTATATGTGAACCCTCTGTGTACATGTAGAAATATTAACATCAAATACAACCTGTAAGCCCTTCCCTGTTAATCTGGCTTTTGTCCGTTTAATTTTCAGGTCCAAACACAGATCGTAATGGGATAGAGAAAAAGTCTTTTCTCCCCTACACAAACTTCTCTCATTCTCCTCCACTGCCAATCCCAGCCTGCTTTTGATTCCCAAGGTATAGTGTCTCCAATATGACTCTTCAGTCCTAGTGTATGGAGTATAAAGAAAACAGGGGAGCATGTCAGTCAAAAAAAAGATGGAAGCAGCACAGTGTTGACTTAGAACTGACTGCCTGGATTTGAAAGCAGTGTTCAAGATAAAAGTTCATGGCTACAAACCCAGTGATTTTCCTTCGTGTCTGGCCTAATTTCTTGTCTTAGTTTTTTTCTTCCCCCCTAGATAAGATTCTATTTCTAAAATTAAAAATAATTATAGAAAATAATTAATTTCTAAAGAGAATAAAGCAGTTGTACCCTCTGAAAGTCAAAATCAAAAGCTCTGGATAAAGACAACCATGTGAAATATCTCTTTCCCATTTTATAAAATTATTTTGATGATAGATTCAATTGTTTTGATGCTGAGAGGCTCTTTAAAATTCTTCTCAACATTGAACTTAGTGGTGTTGGATATCACAGATATGGTAGTTTTCTTCTTGTACAGTATTTTATTGAATGTAAGACTCCATAGATTGTAAAGCATACCATTATTTTCTCCACCACTAACAAAAAAGAGCCACTATTTAAACTATAACCAACCCCTAACTGTAAGAGATTTAAAAATGTGGGGAGAGAAGGAAGGCAGAGTATGTCTCAGAGACAATAAAAAAATGACAACTCCTTGTCCTTTATTGCCCCCAGCTCCACAGTCCATATACCTCTGAGGAAGTTTGAGGGCTACTACATTAAATACACCTGCCTACTGCTTACTAGGACAGCCCTGCTGAGGTACCTAACACTGTCACTGATTTTTCCTTCTTTGAATTAACCTCTCAGCCCACTGAGACGTGAGGACTGTGGTCTGTAGGTCTTGGGCATTTACTAGAGAGCTCAGCGAAGGGCCAGGCACAGAGAAAGCACTCAGTCATAAGCTTATTCAGTTTGTAAAGCACTTTTACTTCTACACTAAGGCAGCCACATGCCCTGCACTACCTGACACATGCCACACTCACGAGATAAGCAGGACAGGAGTTACTATCCACATTTTACAGAAGAATAGAGATGCAGCCAGATTAAGTAACTTCACTTGCTCAAGGTCACACCATGAGCAAGTGGTGTTGCTGTTAGGAAAGCTCACAATTTTGAACTCCCAGAGCAATATTGTTTCTTTTTCTGTTATCTGTCTTAGCAACCAGAATAAAGTTCCAAATCTAAAGTTCCATATGGTGATTTCCACCTATCTGGAGACCAGGGAGTACCATAAGCACCTGCAATCAGTCCCCCAGACGTAGCTCCTATGTGGATGCCCAAGGTCATCTCAGAGCCAATTCCTCTGGGATGCCTGTTCCCAGCTCCCTGCCAACCTAGCCTTCCTCCAGGGTGGAGCTTCCTTATCTCTTAAGGCAGGAAGCAAAGGGAGTCACAGCCATGGGTTTAGGATTGATATTCCTGGCTTCAGCATTTTCTGAAACATATATATATAAATGTATATGTATGTATAAATGTATGCATTTATTTATATATAAATAAATGCATACATTTATTATATAAACACATTTATATATAACTATATTTATAAATGTATACATGTATAAATATACATGTATATATACATACATGTATAAATATACATGTATATATACATACATGTATAAATATACATGTATATATACATACATGTATAAATATACATGTATATATACATACATGTATAAATATATATGTATATATACATACATGTATAAATATATATGTATATATACATACATGTATAAATATATATGTATATATACATACATGTATAAATATATATGTATATATACATACATGTATAAATATATATGTATATATACATACATGTATAAATATATATGTATATATACATACATGTATAAATATATATGTATATATACATACATGTATAAATATATATGTATATATACATACATGTATAAATATATATGTATATATACATACATGTATAAATATATATGTATATATATACATGTATAAATATATATGTATATATATACATGTATAAATATATATGTATATATATACATGTATAAATATATATGTATATATACATATATACATGTATAAATATATATGTATATATACATATATACATGTATAAATATATATGTATATATACATTTATACATGTATATATATTTGTGGCAGTTTTATGAAAAATGAATCTCAAATCCTTGAATACCTGGTTTCTCCTTGTGGCCATAAATAAGCAATGGCAACATCATAGAAAAGGTATGATTTTATGACCCCAATATGCTTCTCTCTCTGAAAGAAAAAAAATTAAAACACATTTTCACTGCTCTTTTCTTGCCATGAAAAGGGAAGCTTCACTAGCAGAAATCAAAACATTTAACTTATAAAGATTTAGGGAAGAGGAAGATTTCCAGGAGATCACTCTCTCTTGATTCAGATTCCTTTTACACTCCCCCACTTTTTTTCAGAAAATGAAGAAACGAATTCAGTTTTTTATACAAAGGGTATTAGGAAGGACTGTGGCCATGATGGGTGCCTCACTGTGAGGAAACACTCTGTATCCCTTTAAATAATAAAATATGCTATAGAGTCTCACAACTCCTCAGACCTGGGGGACATTAAGCCAGGCTCATCAAGCACCATCCATGTGGAAAGATGTGAATATATTTTTACCTGGCACATACATATTTCCTCTGCAGCTGCCCTAGAATCCTTGCTTCCTTGTGGGGGGAAAGAGAAGGAGGATCTAATACCCACAAAAAAACCCTCAGCATTAAAAAGTATGTATTATTCTGAATAATGTAGTTCCTAACTCTTTTTCGTTTATTTTGTTCTGTTCTCACTTGTAAGGTGAATTTTTAGGTGGCTTGCTTTTAGTTGCTACAAGCTAGGTTTGGGGTAACTTTCTGTTCTATTAATTGAAAGTAATCAGATATTTTATCTCTATCCTAATTTCATTTTTCTTTTATTTTGACACAAAACTACCAAAACCTCATGTTTATGCAGGGCCTTTTGAGGGTTATGTGTTGAAGTCAAGCAAAAATACAAATCACAAATTTCATTGCGACACCCACTAATTGTCAGATTTTTGTGGAAGACTCTAATGAAATCCCATAGGAAAAGAACACCAAGCAGTGGAAAAAGAAAAATCAGCCATTCAAACAACTCTGCTAAGAGCTTAAACTGACACAGAAGAACATCCTTAAAGTTTTTGTTTTTTTAGGCAAGAATAAGAAAAATTGGGAAGAGAGAAATGTTAGGATAGATAATAATATTCTAAGCATCTGAAAAGTAGCATCCATAAAAACTTTATGAGATGCGCTAAATTTATTCCAGACAAAAATCTTCATCGACTCACTGCCTATTAGATTGTCTTTATTGTCTTTCTTTCTTTATAGAGCTGTCACAGGGAGATTCCTCATGCTCAACCAATCACGGAAGATTTCTTAAAAACCCCAGAGAAGAAAGAGATTGGTACATCAACCTAATCTATGCAGATGAAAACCCCTCCTCCAGTTCTACTGACAACAGCTGCAAAAAAAAGAAAGAAAGAAAGAAAGAAAGAAAGAAAGAAAGAAAGAAAGAAAGAAAGAAAGAAAGAAAGAAGGAAGGAAGGAAGGAAGGAAGGAAGGAAGGAAGGAAGGAAGGAAGGAAAGAAAGAAAGAAAGAAAGAAAGAAAGAAAGAAAGAAAGAAAGAAAGAAAGAAAGAAAGAAAGAAAAAGTGTCTTTTATGAGATGCTCTTCGACAGAACAAATGATAAATCCCTCTAAACATAAAACACATTTCTCCAAAAGAAAAGCACTAAACTCAAACCACAAAGCCCTCACAAAGTTTAACAAAGAGGAGAGTTCTCTTGACTGATTGAGGCAAACTATCTTTCTCCCAGATGCAAATGTGAAAAGAGACATCAACGTCATATTCTTCATGATTTAGATGTGCCAAAATTAAAAAGGTGAACTCACAAGTTTCATATTCATACCCCAGTAACACTCACAGAAGTCGCAGAGCCAGGTCTCTGTCCAAGCCATGCTCCCTTCAGACCTGATCAAAGATGCTAGTCTTACCTTATTCCCTACCTTTGACATGATATTTCAAAACCAGCCAGGGATAGGACAAGATGTGAAGGGAGAACTGGTTCAAAGAACTTCCTGGACTTGGTTCCCCTTCTGCCTTATTCAAAGGCAGGAAAGCATTTCCATGTTATCTAAATTCTCCAAAATGAGCACTACAGCATTTTTTGCAAAATTACACAGGCCCTGGGGCTTCATCTTCCCTTCCCTGCAGATGAGCTTTCTGCCTGGTTATAAAGTAAACTGAGCCCTCCAGAAGTGGATGGACTCACTTTCCAGTCCTACCCCACCTCCTTTCTGAGACCCATTCTTCCTTCCACTGGACTTCACCTCTAGAGAAGAGCTCCCTCTTCCTGTTAGAGACTGATGTTTGCACTTGAGGTTCAGCCTCTGCAGGGACGTGACTCCAGCAACAGCACCATCTCTCACCTATGCAATGGACTTTGCCTTCTCTACTGATGCTATTTTTTTCTACCTATAAACAGACAGATCTTCTCCATAGTAAGAACTTCAACCATTATCTTGAGGTTGTACTTCTTACCATATCTATCACCCTGTTCACCAATTCCCTTTACACCTTCTTGGAAATCAGTCTGTGTCCCACAGTCTGGCTTCCATTCCCCCTCTGCAAACTGGGTTCTTGACCGGGTCAGTAGTGACCTTGACTTGCTACATCCACAGAACTCTTTACCTTCCTCCTTTCATCAGTTTTCCCTATGGGATTTGACAATGTACCCTTTCCTCCTTGTGGAACTCTCTCCTTCTCTGAATTCTGTAAGGCCTTCTGTCCGATTTCTCCCTCCATTTACCTGGCTACTTGCTGGGCTTGTCACATTCTGCGTGTTCACTCATCTTCTCATTTCCTAAGTCATTTTCTGGCTCCCTCACCCATGCCAGGCCTCCAAAGGATCAATAGGATGGCAATCCCTGTCTGTAATTTTACCATCACGTACCAGTCTCCACCATATCTTTGTCTATGCCTGAAATAACTTTCACAGAGAAGATAAACTCCATTTCACCTGAAAGCTTAAAATTCAGATAATTCTTGGAGAAGTAAAATACCAGAAATCTTTTTTTTCTAAGACATCATTTTGATGGAAGAAGGGGAAGAAGAAAAGGAAGTCAAACATTCTCTGTCTCACAATTCTTTATTTATCACAAGTGAAGTCATAACAATTGTCCTCTCTATATCAGCCTTCAGAGAGATGAAAGTGCCCTAAAAATTTTAAAGGCTGTGGTAATATTATTACTAACTGGAATAAATCCAACTGGTAATGCTGGGTAAGCTTTTATACCTCTATTTTCTTGCACTCCTTTCTAAGGCATAGTGCAACCATTTTGACTGGAATACCTCTCATAATTTTCCCTATCATCTATCTTTGAAGATCTGCTGAGTCATCCCCATCTGATCCTGAATTAACTAGAAAACTGACTACTCTCAGGAGAGGTGAGAAAGAGTGCATGAAGGCATAAAACAGGCAGGAAAATGGAAATCCCTAGAGTAAATATGGGCTCAAAATCCATTTTAGATCCAGCAGGACTACTGGGGCAAGAAACATCTTTTTTTCTTTTTCTAACACAGGATGTTTCTTGTGTTAACAAGAAAAGATATGTATATGTTTGCTTAGTGTTGCTCACTGTTCTGTCTAGGATCCAACAGCCAATACTAAATTCGCATGTTTGCAGTGGAACCTTGTACACCTTCTCAGAATGTGGGATGAGAAGGAAGGTGCTGGGATATAAATTAAGAGGCTGGCTGTCATCAAGTCACCTTCTTGTTCAAGAACCTAAAATAACTATTTTATACTAATAAAGTTCAATAAATATGTCTGGTTCATTCATACACAGAGCCTTGGAAGTTAAGTGTATCTGTGCAACTTCCTCTGGCCAGCAAAACATGAGCAAAAGGAAAATATGACATTTTCAGGCAGAAGTCATAAATGTGTTTTTACAATAGCCATGGCAGAGGAAATGCCCATTGGCATGGGTTCTAGGGTGGGATAATGTTAAGAAACACCCCCAGCCAACCCGTAAAGAATATGAAACATGAGCAAACCAGATTTTTGTAACACATGTCTGGGTCTATACTGAATTACTATCACTCTCATCAAGTCTGGCATCCTAAATGCTACCTAACTAGGCCCTTCCCTAGCTCTTGTATCCTTGACTCTTAACATGTTCCAACATAAAACAGTTTCATGAAGAGAGGTGTAGTGGCTGAGTAACAAATTGAGCAGTTTAAAACAATGCCATACATTATTTCAATTTCCATGGGTCCGGAATCCAAATGTGCCCTAGCTGGGTCCTGTGCTCAGGAACTCCAATGGCTGCAACCAAGGTGGCATCCAAGGCTGGGATTTTTATCTGAGGATTGGAGTCCTCAGCTCCTAGAGGCTACCTTTCCCCCTGGGCAGTTCACAAAATGACTGTATAATTTCTTCCAGGTCAGCAGGATAGTCTCTCTTATCTAAAGGCTCACCTCCTTAGGTCAAATGCACCCAGAACAACCTTCCTTATGATTAACTCTATGTCAGCTAATTAGGAACCCTAATTACATCTGCAAAACTCAGTTCACCTTTGCACATAATATAACGTAATCTCATGAGTGACATCCCATCATATCACAGGTCCTGGTCACCCCACTCAAGGCTGTCACTGGGGGTCATCTTGGAATCCTGCCACCGTAGAAGGCCATTCTGCCTTCTCACGTCCATATGCTTGCTCCAGCTCCTCTTGAGGCTGAACTGACACAATACCCCCTTAACCGCAAAGCCTTTTCAGTCTCCTATGACAGTCCAAGTTTTTTTTCCATTCTTTATCCCAGAAACATGCTCTTCCTCCCCAAAGTCTGCCCTAAGACTGTCACCTACATGCAGAGAACACTGAGATCTCTCTACTTTTCTCTTCTCTCATAGTCCTAATCACTATATAACCCATACACAACAGGAGGTCAACTCTTATGGCCTCAACCATCTATGAAACACATGTATCAAGGTGATAAAGATTAAAAGTGAAGTACCAAAATTCAGTACCTATGAAACACCAACGTGAAGTGCAAGATGTAAATCTGCAAAGGAAATAACTAATGAGAGGCTTCCAAAGTCAACAAATTTGTTTTCCCCCACAGGGAGAATGGAAAATAATTAGGAGAGTTGGAATTGTGAAAAAAATATTTTGGTAATAGCTATTCAGCAGCCTAAAATCTCCCCTCTTGGCAATGGGGGGAGGATGCTACCTATTCACCCAAGCCTAATGAAAGGACTTGAAGGAATAGCCTGGAACTCTCATGATGGGTCTACAGCAGAGAGTACAGAGATCCACACCAAACCCACATCTGAGGAAGTTCAGCAGCCTGTGAGTGAACTGCACTTCCCTCCAATGACTGGTTAAATGTGAGAAATCCTGTGGACCAGATGTCACTTGTCCCCAAGAGAATCAGCCTGAGGTCACTTTTAAAAAGAATTATGTCTTACAGAGGAGATGAGGGCCCCAGCAGTAACAGGCTGGCAGAGGAAGTGGAGCTAAAGGTAGGTACAAGAAAGGGCAAGTCAAGAAATACACAGCCCTGGTGTCAAGAGAAGGGCAGGAGGTGTCCAGCAGGCAATCTCTGCACAGCTCTGAACTGTTTCACCAGAAGAAAGCCATCTTTAATCATCTGTTACAGTTTCCAGCCCGGAGAAAGCAAAGCCACCTTACAACAGTACCAGTCATGAAAGAACAGTCCTGTTTCTCTTACTTTTCTCTCTAACCTCAGAAAGGCCTGAGATGAGTCCTAGAGCAGGGAGGAGGTGAACAAGGAAGGGAGAGGGGATCAGTTGGAGAAGTTGGAGAGGTAAAGACTTACCTCTGCAAGAATATAGAAACACTGCTTTGCACTGATCCTAATGACTTTTTTCCCCTCAAAGTGGCCATTGGACTTTCATCACCTGAAAGTAAATAAGAAAGCAGTAGGGCTCTGAGTTTTCATCCAGTTCAGTTATCATTGAACAGGTTTAAAGGAAGAGATGGGGACAAAAATAAAGTTGCTTGAAGGGTTCTACTCCATGAGTCCTGTTCATTCTTGCCATAGGTTCTTATTTCCTGTCTCTTCATGTAGCTGTGAGCTCTTTGAGGAGGGGGCTACCACTAGACACCAAGTAAGTCTCCAAGAAGTACTTTCGATTTTAGAATTCAAAGTCATGGATTAATATCTGTCTTGTCAGCTGCATTGAGAACCAAGATGTGGTCTTTCTTGTCTTTTCTGAGAAAAAGACCAGAGCATATTTCAGCTACAGTACACACACACACACACACACACACACACACACACACACACACCCCTACTTTTCCTACCTCCTCAGGTCTTTTTGAAAGGAGGCAGCACAATTCCTTGTACTACATCTATGGAATCATGTTGTTTCTTAAGCAGACAACCTCTTGATCTCAAATTAAAGGCTGCACGATGCCTCTCTGGTTATTCAACTTGGAAAGAGGGTCTAAACAAGAATTTCTGGGGGGGGACATTAAAGGGGAATTCAAAGTGGGGACAAGAGATTTTCTGCAATTGTGCTAACTGTGACTCATATTGTGAGAGAGTAATCTGATGGAGAAATTGCAACTTTTTCAGATGTTTAGGAAGGGAACAAAGGAAAGAAAGTGGGTGTCTTAAATACCCACCAGGTGTGTTATAGTGGGTGTGTCAGCTGTAAAGAAAGCAAGCCCCACACCTCCACTGATTTGATTGAAGAAATAAACAATAAGCTACTTCAGCACTCTCAAACAAATAATTTAGGGGCAAAAGTCAATATGTGTTTCAAAAATACCACAAAGGAAACACACACAGAGCTAAGTGTGTGTGTGTGTGTGTGTGTGTGTATTCACATAGCTATAAATTCACTTTTATGACCCCCTCCCCCATTCCATTCCACCTCTGAAAAACAGAAAATATCAACTAGTAAAATTAGACATTCTTTCTAAAATGTCGATTTCCTGGATTAAGACTTTAAAAACATGAATTTCCAATTAAAAATACAGCCAACTTCTCTGATCTACTTCTCTCTATTGTGTACATTTGTTTGGGGTTTGTTACCAGTAAATCCCAACCACTTCAGCTCACTAGATTTCTGTGTCATACCGTAAGAAATAAGCTCAAGTGATTCTTTCATTTAATGACACTCTACAAAGACATTTCCTGGTGTGGAAGCAGGCAGAGGTGTCCTCTCCTGGGATGCCCTTTCCTGAGACCCTCCTGAAGTTGGAGAAGTTCTCCGCATGACTGAAACAGCAGCACTCACTGTGGATGAACCAAGCCTTGCACTTCAATCACATCCCACTGCAATGAGAAATCTAAGCTGAAGAAAAAGTGGAAAGTGATCCTGGATACATTGGAAAACTGTTAGGTCGGTGCAAAAGTAATTGCAGTTCTGACATTGAAAGTAATACCAAAAACCTCAATTACTTTCACTTTTGTACTAAACTAATAATTGGGGAACAAGGGCCAATAGCAGATGTATTTCTTTTGTGAATTATCAGCAAAGCCCCTGGAGGTACAGCTGATAAAGTAATTCAGATTAGAGTGTTATAGAAGAGGAATGAGTCTGGGATACAAAAGACATGGAAGGTTCTATTATGAACATTCATACTTTTGTTAACAAGGCCTTAAATGTGTCTTCCTTGTATTGAAGCCTCAAAGGAGCCTATGTCATAACATGGACTTGAACAGTCCCTACTGAATCACAATCTTCTAAAAGCTGATGAATTGCTCCTTCTGGGAAAAGAAATGAACTCCAAAGTGGACATTTCCCAGGAATAGGGATTTAGAGGTTAAAAAATAATAATTAAATAAATGTTTTAAAAGTCTTGATCCAGGAGGAAACTATATCTAAATAATTTGTCACTTACTGAAACAGAATTAAAACCTTAGCCACGGATTGAGGATAGGAAGTCAGGAAACTAATAATGCCAGACACATGTGTCCATGTGTTAGTTCATTGAGCAACTGTGTCGTGGTACATGTTGTCCCTAGGTCATGTGTTAAATTTGAAGGGTGGGAATGGAAATATATAAAGGAGCAGTACACAAAGAGGACATTGTCATAGGAGACTTACATGCATTACCTCATTTAATCTCCACCTACCACTGCAAGGTAGGGTTTTTTCATTATCCTCATTTCACACATGAGGAAACCAAGACTCAGCAAGGATAAAGAACTCACTTAAGCTCAAGCAGATATTCATCGGTGGGCCCAAAAACAGTGTATTTTACCTCAACTCCAAGGTCCATGCTTTCAATTGCAACAGCATTCTGAATTTATGAGACCTCAGGTTGCAGTGTAACTGGAGTGGTGGCCTTGAAAGTGAAGGGGTCACAGAACTAGATAAAAAATTAGTATGAGAAAAGGAGAGTGAAACCATAAAATATGACGTAAGCATCATGCCTCCCTGCCATTGTGCAGGCAGATTCCTCTGCTAGAACACTCTTCCTCTTTTCTTCCTCCTAACTCCTGCCTTCACCTTGCAAGTGGGTGCTCTGTTGTCTTCATCTCCCTGCGACTCCTTCCTGTGGGTGTCTGTCACCTTGTATGTACTGTATACTTGTTACACTGTGTAGTATTACTAAGTGTGCTTTACATATGCCTTTGTCACTCGATCAAGAACATTTCAAGGGCAGAACCAATATATAGATGAATCTCAATTGCCCCTGCTCTTAGCACAATGCTAGTGCATAAAAGACATCTGTAAAATAAATAAATTAATGAATGACTATACGGAATTGGAAAGTGGATATCGCATTCATCTTATAATGAGAAAACTAATTTGGGCACAGGAAAGTAACATGAGGAGAAAGGACCAAAAATGGCATTTAGGGTCAGACTATTGAGGTCATTCATTAAGTCCAAATTAAGGCCATGGGTTTTATATGTTATGGGCAATGGGGAGACTATGTAGGCTTTAGGTCCAGGAAATGCCATGCTTTTGGGGGTTTAGTGGGTTTAAACAGGGTTTGGACAGACCTTGGCCACAGCATGGTTGGGAAGCAGAAAACCAGTAGAGAGCTCATTGATAAAAGAGAGAGAGAGTAGGTATCCCTACCACTAAACTTTAATCAACTTTACCCTTTTCTTACAACTTACAAATAATGAGCATGGGCTTGGGCATAACTCAGCCCTATGTTCAAATACTGGACATATCCACTTAAATAAGATAGATAGATAGATAGATAGATAGATAGATAGATAGATAGATAGACAGATAGCTTTCTATGAGCCAGACACTCTTATCTTATTTGTTACATATATTGAACTTTATAGCAACTTTATAACAGAGATCCTGTCTCTTTTAACAATAACTTTATAAAAGAGCTGTGTTTTCAACCCTGTCTCTTTATAACAAAAACTTTATAAAAGAGACCCTGTTGTTATTCTTATTCTACAGAGAGCTTAAATGACTGGCCTACGATCACTAGCTCAGATGGAGGGTTCCAGGGATAAAGTCCAGCCTCTACCATTTACCAGCAGATGCCATTTATCTAGGATGTATTCTAATTTAGGGGACATATTCAAACCATAGCACCTGCTTTCAAAGTACATCTACAATCTGTCCATTCCTTGCATCTTCATTGCCTCCATCCTGGTCTAAGGCACCATCCATGCTCACCTGGACAAAAACAACTGCCTCTGGACCAGTATCTCAATTTCTTGCCCTGCACAATCTGTTCTTGACATAGCAGCCAAGGTAATCTTGAAGAAATTGTAATGAGTCACATCACCACTTGCTGAAAACATTCCAGTTGCATCTCTTACTTTTCTCCATCCTGAACTATAGCACTTGGTCTTCTTACTCCCTAGAATGTTCTTCTTTACATAACTGGGTCCAGTCTCAGCTACTGTTACCTCCTTCAAGATGTCTTCCATGATCACAGTGTCTATAAAGAAGTCTCTCTGCCAGGTACTTATTATCACAACACACAGTTTTATTAAAAACATTCATGTCTACCTGAAAGTGTTTTCTGTATTTGTCTGCTTACTTTTATATGTCTGAATCTCACAACTGGAATTAAATTCCTTAAGATCAGTGGCCTTTCTTCTTTGTTATCTTCTTTTTTTTTTCTTTACTTCTTTACACCCAATTAATAGAACAGTATCTGGCATATAGTAGGTGCATTTGTTGAATGAAAGAAACCCTGACTCTGCTCTTTATTTTGTGTTTAATGTCAGATAAATGATTTGACTCCTTAAGGTCTACCCTATGGGATGGTCATGGGATTGACATAATATGAAGTATGTGAAGTATGTAACATGGTACTTTGCACATGTCAAAAGTTCAGTCTATTTCTGTCCCTCTTTCAAATACACAGAATGCATATCCATGTGTTACCCCATTTTCTATAATTATTCATTCCACTGCTTGTTTCTGTTGCTGATAAGCATCCTCCTGCTCTACCAACACTTCCCCTATGTGATGCTCCATTATGTTTCTTTTTATATTGTCTGAAACAGCACTGAGAAAAGAGGTGCTCCTGGGGTGGGTCACATGATCACAAAAGCAGATTTTGCTAGTCAAAAGTGTCCAATAAAAATGGGAAGTTGCTTCCTAAATGTCTCTGGAAGTCTGTGGTTTAGTTCACAATATCTTAACAGATTAAGTTAATGCAAATAGCAGATGTATTTTGTAGCAACAAGACAAATGTTCAGCAGAATTAAAGTTATTCATGTGTAGTCACACTGGGAATATTTGCATGATATTTTGCTAATTGCTCCAAAATCTGACTTGTGGAAAATAAACAAATGGGAAAATAATAAACCAGCAAAAATTATCCCCAGGCCTCTCTGGTTTCTCTTTCAAGTTCCCAATGTCTTTCTTCAATCACTCAACTTGTTCTGAAAGCCTGATGGCATTTCCCAGTCTCCCAGGCACTTTCTTGATCCCAATACTTTTGTGGAGATGCTCATGGTTTTCTGCTAATAATGGGATGTCTTTCAAAAGCACTTGATATATTTTCTCATCCTGAGTCCTAGTGTCCTCCTCAGATTTCAACTCTGTCTTCTTAGGTTTCCTAACTAAAGGGTCACCTTGATAGACTGCACTACTCGAAAATAGTTTAAATTTGTCAAGTTTTCTTAAACTATTTCTGGTGACTTTTTGTCAACATCAACTAGGTATATTATTTTCTGAGCACTGCGATAACAAAGTACCACAAGTTGGGTGGCTTACAACAACAGAAAATGATTGTCTCAAAGTTCTGGAGGCTAGAAGTCTGAAACCAAGGTGGCAGCAAGGTTGGTTCCTTCTGAAGTCTCTGAGTGACAACCTGTTCAATGCATCTGTCCTCACTTCTGTAGATGGCTGGCAATCCTTGTGTATTAGCCCATTCTCACACTGTTAAAAAGAACTACTTGAGACTGGGTAATTTATAAAGAAAAGAGGTTTAATTGACTCACAGTTCCACAGGCTGTACAGGAAGCATGGCTAGGAGACCTCAGGAAACTTACAATCATGGTGGAAGGGCAAAGGGGAAGCAAGCACATCTTCACATGGCAGCCAGAGAGACAGACAGAGAGTGAAGAGGGAAGTGCAACACACTTTTAAACAACCAGATCATGTGAGAACTTACTATCATGAGAACAGCAAGGGGGTAATCTGCCCCCATGACCCAATCACCTCCCCCCAGGTCCCTCCCCCAACGTTGGGGATTACAATTCAACATGATATCTGGGTGGGGACACAGAGCCAAACCATATCACCATGGTACTCCTTGACTTGTAGATATCCAACCTCTTCCTCTATCTTCACGGGACATTTTCCCTGTTTCTCTGGGTCTTCATATGACCGATTTTTTTTTTATATGTATGCCAGTTATATTGGGAATAGGGCCTACCTTACTCCAATGTGACCTCATCTTAACTAATCAAATCTGCATGTGAAATAATTAAATCAGAATGTGACTTCCAAACAAGGTCACATTCTGAGATACTGAGGGTTAAAGCCTTCAACACATTATTTTGGAGGGAAAACAATTCAACTCATAACAGTAGAGGTATCCAAACTTTTATGAACATACACACCCAAAATTAAAATATATTGTGCACATACCTCATTATGTCTGTGTGGTTATGTGACATATATATACGCGCGTATATATACACACATATATACGCGCGTATATATACACACATATACGCGCGTATATATATACACACATATACGCGCGTATATATATACACACATATACGCGCGTATATATATACACATATATACGCGCGTATATATATATACACATATGCGTATATATATACACACATATATATGCGCGTATATATATACACATATACGCACGTATATATATACACATATATACGCGCATATATATATATCTTATGTGTTTTATATATATGTTATATATATGTAATACACTAACTTACTAATATGTCATATCCATTATAAAGCAAACACAAAACTGGAAATTAAAAATAAGAAAAATGAGATTGAAGTGAAAATACTCAGTTCCTTCCTCCCTAGTGGATCATCTTATCTTCCCTTTCTTCAGTGAACGCTGCGCTTCTTGAATAATTGTGAAGGTGGTGCACGCAATGCTGTGAGGCAGAAAAAATCATTAAAAAGAGGAAAGGAAAATGACTGAAATTGAAAGATCTGGTTTTGACAAAATTGAAGAGTTTGGGGTTAAATGTGCATACAAAGTTTAAGATCATCATCATTAAAATAACCCACCATTTAATTGGAAGTGGGAATGTTGTTCTTAAAGAATCAGCATCAGTGCATTCTACCCATTCTATTAGAATTCAGAAAGAGTAAGTAAGAAAATCTCATTCCCAGTGGCAGCAGTCTTTGCTCTTCCTCTGTTTCCCTTCTTTTCCTCCAGGAAAATAGATTATTCACCAGTATTGTTTAATCATCATAAAGGATAGGAATCCCAATGTAAAAGCAAAAGTCCTGGGAGAACTTAGTTGTGCCTAGCCCAGAGAACTTGAGAAAACGACATCTTCTCTCAAGGTCCCAGCTTCTGCATCCAGGAAATGGCTAGGAATACTTGCCTTATCTCACCCAGGGTTCCCATGGACCAAACATGGCTCTAGACCAGAAAACACTTTGAACAGCAAAATGTGCCGCACAAAGACCACACTGTAGCTCCCTTCACACAAGCCAGTTCATTTGCTGACTCAGGAACTTACTAATCAGGATCCTAGGGCAGATCACACAACCACATCAAACCTCCTCAGTTTCTCTATCTGTAAATTGGGGATGATGAAGCCCATTCTATTTCAAGAGGCTTTTGGAAGAATAAAATAGGAGCATGTACAAATAAATAATAATCAATAAAAGCACACTTTGCTACAACACAATAAGATTTTATTATTAGTGAATTGAGAATGTAAATGCAGCTTTCTAATTTATTAATATACTAAAAGAAAGCAAAAATCAATCTTCAGCCTTGAGAGACCAGAGAGGAACTTTATTAGTGTGTCACTCCAGATCTAATTCAGAAACATTAACAAGAAACAAACTACAAGAGCAGTACAGCTCGGTGTCTGGAAGTATTAATACTTTCAGCTCTGAGGGATAAACCCACATCTAAACTGAAACATCCAAGTAAAACCTACAGTCCTAAATGTTCATGTTGTCACTACCTAACAAAATTTTAGAGAAAACTAGAGGAAAGCCTATCTTGTCATTAGTGCTCATTGTCTATGAGTTCATGGTCTTGCTCCTCGTTCTCTGTACCTCTCACTCATCTCATTTGATCTTTTTTCTTCTGAGGTTTATGTTTTGTTTTATGAATTCAGGATGAAGAGGGGTTGAAACAGACCTGGCCCCTCCCCAGCCATCACTGTGAAAACAGGGGCTTCCTGTGTTAAATATCTAGACGAGGCCAGGCCTCAGTCTAGAGGACAGATGGGATTCTTGTTCCTTCTGAGAGCCCTGCTCACCCAGCTTCCCCAGCTCAACACATACCTTTCCCTTGATCTCAAGCACCTCTTTGATTCCCCTTCTCTTCACCTCACACCCATCCCCAAACTTTCTCCAAAGCACTTCCTCTGGAATCATCTTGCCTATCCTCTATTCTCCCAATCCCCAGAATCCCATTTCAAAAGCCTCTCTCCCAGTGTTTCAACATTTTTGGAAATTTCCATTTTTCCCATCCACCCTTCTGTTATAAAAGAAATATTTGGAAAGCCTTCTTTAGCCAATACAGGTACAGTCATGCATCACTAAACAATGGGATGAGTTCTGAGAAACGCACTGCTTGGCAATTTCATCTTTGTGTGAACATCAGAGTGACCCACCCACACCTAGATGGTATAGCCTGATACACACCCAGGCTATGTGGCATAGCCTATTGCTCCTAGGCTACAAACCTGTAGATCATGATACTGTACTAAATATTGTATGGAAATAGTAATACAATGATTAGTATTTGTGTATCTAAACATAGTAAAGGTACAGTAAAAATACAGTATCAAAGATTAAACACCTCAATGTGGCACTTACCATGAACAGAGCTTGCAGGACTGGAAGTTGCTCTGGGTGAGTCTGTGACGGAGTGGTGAGTGAATGTAAAAGCCCAAGACATTACCATATACTACTGTAGACCTTATAAATACTATACACTTAAAGTTCACTAAATTCATAAAAATTGCTTTTCTTTCTTCAAAATTAAATTAATCTTATTATAAATTTTTTACCTTATAAACTTCTTAAATGTTTAGTATTTTGACTCTTTTGTAATAGCACTTAGTTTAAAACACAAACACCTTGCACAGCTGTACAAAAATTTTTTTTCATATCCTTTTCTATACATTTTTTCTACTTTTAAAATCTTTTATTTTTTTTTTTTTTTTACTTTTAAATTTTCTTAGTTAAAAACTAGAACATAAACATACAAATTAGCCTAGGCCTACGCAGGGTCAGGATCGTCAATATCACTGTCTTCCACCTCCACATCTTGTCCCATTGGAAGGTCTTCAGGGGGCAATAACGTGCATGGAGCATTATCTCCTATAACAGTGCCTTCCTCTAGAATACCTCCTGATGGAAATTCCTGAGTCTGTCTTACAGTTAATTTAGATGGTTTTTTTTAATCAGTAGAAGGAGTTGACTCCAAAATAACAATAAAAAGTATAAATACCATAAAACAGTGATATAACTGTTGATGATGATTATTATGTACTATATATAATTGTATGTGCTATGTTTTTTTGTTTACCTCCCTAAACAGTTTAATAAATGCTTTATGAATGCTCATTTAAAATGAAGAAAATTGTTTCACAGCTTTTTCTTAACATTAATTTATTCTTTTACATTTTGTTTTCATAGAATGCCAAGCTTACAGAAAAGTCACAAGAATAATACAAGGAATTCCCATATGTTCATAATCTAGAGTTACTAATCTATTTTATTTATTTTTTATTTTCTTGCTTTCTTTTGTTTTTATTGCTGTATAATAGATGTACATTATTTTAGAGTACATGTGATGATTTAATATATTCATATAATTTGTAAATATCAAATCAGTGTATTTGACATATATGTTACTTTCAAATTTTATTTTTTATTTATTCTAGAAACATTTTAATTATTCTCATCTAGCTATTTTGAAATCTACAACAGATTATTGTAAACTACAGTTGCCCTACTGGTCTATCTAATATTAACTCTTATTTCTTCAATCAAACTACATATTTATACTCATTAATCAATTTCTCTTCAAGTCCCCTCCCTGCCACCCTTCTTGGCTTCTGGTAACCATCAATCTACTTTTTATCTTCATGAGATCCACTTTATTAGGTCTCACACATGAGTGAGAACATGTGATATTTGTCTTTCTGTGCCTGGCTTATTTCACTTAATATAATGACCTCCAGTTCCATCCATGTTGTTGCAAATGACAAGATTTCATTCTTTTTTGTGGCTGAATAATATTTCATTCTATATGTGTATGTATCACATTTTCTTTATCCATTCATCCATTGATAGGCACTTAGGATGGCTATTGTGAAAAGTGTGGCAATAAACACAGGAGTGCAGATAATCTTTCTGATATATTGATTTCCTTTCTTTTGGACATATACTCAATAGTGGAATTGTTGGATCATATGGTAACTCTATTTTCAGTTTTCTGAAGAACCTCCCTACTGTTCTCCATAGTGGCTGTAGTAATTGACATCCCCACCAACAGCATACAAGGTTCTCCCTTTCTCCATATCCTCTCCAGCATCTGTTATTGCTTGTCTTTTTGATAAAAGCCATGTTAACTGGCATGAGATGATATCTCATTACAGTTTTGATTTGTATTTCTCTTATCATTAATGATGCTGAACATTTTTTCTTTTTTTAATTTTATTTTTTTACTTTAAGTTCCAGATACATGTGCAGAACGTGCAGGTTTGTTACACAGGTATGTGTGTGCATGGTGGTTTGCCGCATCTATCCACCCATCACCTAGGTTTTAAGCCCCGTATGCACGGGCTTTTGTTCTGATGCTCTCCCTCCCCTCACCCCCGACTCCCCAACAGACTCCAGTGTGTGTTGTTCCCCTCCATGTGTCAATGTGTTCTCATCGTTCAACTCCCACTTGTGAGTGAGAACATGTGGTATTTGGTTTTCTGTTTCTGTGTTAGTTTGCTGAGGATGATGGCCTCCAGCTTCATCCACATCCCTGCAAAGGACATGATCTCATTCCTTTTTATGGCTGCATAATATTTCATGGTGTATATATACCATGTTTTCTTTATCCAGTCTATCATTGATGGAAATTTGGGTTGTTTCTATGTTTTTGCTATTGTGACTAGTGTGGCAGTAAACATATGTGTGCATGTATCTTTATAATAGAATGATTTATATTCCTTTGGGTTTATACTCAGTAATGGGATTGCTGGCTCAAATGGTATTTCTGGTTCTAGTTTCTTGAGGAATTGCCACATTGTCTTCCACAATGGCTGAACTAATTTACACTCCCACCAACAGTGTAAAAGCATTCCTATTTCTCCGTAGCCTTGCCAGAATCTTTTTTTCCCTTGACTTTTTAATAACTGCCATTCTGACTAGAGTGAGATGGTATCTCATTGTGGTTTTGATTTGCATTTCTGTAATGATCAGTGATGTTGAGCTTTTTTTTTATACGTTTGTTGGCAACATAAATGTCTTCATTTGAGAAGTGTCTGTTCATACCCTTTTCTCACTTTTTGATGGGGTTGTATGTTTTTTCTTATAAATTTGTTTAAGGTCCTTATAAATTCTGGATATTAGACCTTTGTCAGATAGGTAGATTGCAAAAATTTTCTCCCATTCTGTAGGTTGCCTGTTCACTCTGATGATAGTTTCTTCTGCTGTGCAGAAGTTCTTTAATTAGATCCCATTTGTCAATTTTAGCTTTCGTTGCAATTGCTTTTGGCAATTTCATCATAAAGTCTTTGCCCATGCCTATGTCCTGAATGGTATTGCCTAGGTTTTCTTCTAGGGTTTTTATGGTTTTGGATTTTACATTTAAGTCTTCAATCAATCTTGAGTTAAATTTTGTATAAGGTGTAAGGAAGGGGTCCAGTTTCAGTTTTCTGCATATGGCTAGACAGTTTTTGCAGCACCATTTATTAAATAGGGAACACTTTCCCCATTGCTTGTTTATGTCGGGTTTGTTGAAGCTCAAATGGTTGTAAATGGGTGGTCTTATTTATGAGGTATCTATTCTGTTCCATTGGTCTGTATGTCTGTTTTTGTACTAGTACCATACTGTTTTGGTTATTGTAGCATAGTAGTATAGTTTGAAGTCAGGCAGCATGATACCTCCAGCTTTGTTCTTTTTGCTTAGGATTGTCTGGGCTATACAGGCTCTTTTTTGGTTTCATATGAATTTTAAAGTAGTTTTTTCTAATTCTGTGAAGAATGTCAATGTTCGTTTGATGGTAATAGCATTGAATCTATAAATTACTTTGGGTAGTATGGCCATTTTCACGATACTGATTCTTCCTATCCGTGAGGATGGAATGTTTTTCCATTTGTTTGTATCCTCTCTTATGTCCTTGAGCAGTGGTTTGTACTTTGATGTTGAGCATTTTTTCATATGACTTTTTGCCATCTATACTTTTATGTGAGTAGCAGCACAGTGGGATTTTTTACGACAGCATCACCAAAAACACATGAGCAATGTACTGCACTGTGACATTACCACAGCTACAACATCACTAGGCAATAGAAATCTTTTGGCCACATTATAATCTTATAGGACCACCATCGTATATACAGTCCATCCCTGACTGAAACATTGTTGCTTGGTGCATGACTGTACAGGCTACAGCTACCCACCTCCAATCTAATCCTTTACTCTCCCAGTTCTTTATGTATCATACCTAGCTTCAATTTGCATCTGAATCAAGCTACTGCTGCCTGCTCCTATCTTAGCTTAATATTCACTCTGCTGTTTATATGTCCCTCCACATACTCATCTATGAGAAACTGCTCTCCCTCTTAGAAGGCAGCTTAGAGGGTGGCAAATACAGTGACCACTCAGTTTTATTTCAGAGTAAGGAAGGGTCCAGGGCCTTGAATATAATAGTTGAGACTGAAATCCTAACCTTGTAATTAAAAGCTCTGTGTTTGAGGGCAAGCTATGTCCTTCTCTGAGTTTCTGTTTGCTCATCAGTAGAATGAGGACAACAATATCGACCTTGTGGGGTTTTTGTGAAGATTAAATCCAGTGAGATGAGAAGCAAAGCCCCAGCCACAATGACAACATTCAGTCAGTTATTCCCACCCTACCACTGGGGATAGCACTGAATGCTGATCTACAGGCAGTGAGCTTTTCTGATGACAAAGATGGCATTAGCAAGACTTTAGGTTAGAGGTTCACAACACTAGCTGCAGAATTAATTCACCAGGAAAGATTTAAATAGTCCAATGCCCAAGCTACATCCCACACAGTTAAGTCAGCTTCTCTCTCTCACATGGGACCCAAAGGAGAGAAGCTGAGAGGCCCTCAGCTTGCTAACCTTGAGGAGGAGAAAGGAAAAACCTGGCTCCAGAAGTGTTTATTTTAATACAATTGCACTCTCAAAAAATACAAATTCCTTGTCCAAGCACATTCCTTTCCCGGCAGGTGGTAAATGTCTAAATGACCTGTTTTTAGTCACCATATTTTATTGAATAAAGCTATCCATGGCCAACAGTGGACCTCAAGACAGTTCTTCTTTATAAGACCTCATTGAAAGCAAGCAGAAGTGTGAGTAGAAACATTGCCCAATGCCAACTCACCCCTGCCCCCAAAAAAATACACACACCTGGAAATCTAGAATGCAGTATGTGTTAATGTTTTATTTTTCCTATAACCTGGATACTGAAAAATCTCCCAAAATAAAAGTTTCTACTAACCCAAATATGCAAAGCCCAACATGGTATTTCAGAAGTCGAATCATGAAACCAAACACAGCACAACTTACTTTTTCTCTCTAAACAAAACAAAACAAAACAAAAAAAGCCCAAAATAGTACTCTTGCAGGAAGCATAAATTGTATTTGCTAGAAGTAATAGCAATCTCTTTAGAAATATCCCCTAGGACTCACTTCAGTCTATTTTCTTAAGTGCTGGGTTTTTAAAGCTCTGTTGCATACTTCCCTCTTAGACATATGGAATTGAACAGTCTAAATTCTGAGCACTTAGGATACAAGCTTGGTTGAAGATGTACCCCTAAAATGAGTCTCTTTTTCAGTCACTATTGCTATCAAAGTCCCTGGAGAAAAAAATAATTCACAAATCCACTGATCTTAATTTAGATTTTCCCATGTTGTTATACTTCCTGGTAAATTAATTATTTCTCAAATATATTTATTTCTGACCCTCTGTCTCTACAGGATAAATATATTTCTCTGACCTTAGATTCAGCTATGTAACTTGCTTTGCCTGTGGGGTGTTAGCAGGTATGATATAAACAAAGGCTTAAAATATGCCTGCCTCTGTGCCTCTAGCATCAACATGAGAAGAGCTTAGGCCCAGAATGAATGAACACATATGGAGCAGACATGAACCCAACATGCAATAAGAACCTGGACTTAGCCAGACCTGCAATTTAAAGCTGAGCCAACTAGCCAAGCCCAGACTAGATCAGCCAACTTTTATACAACCACAGTTGTGTAGGTGAAAATAAATGACATTTATTTCAAGCCACTGTGTGTTCAGAATGGTTTGTTTTTTCAGCAATAGCTGACTGGTACTCACTGCAAGACTTGGTATTCAATAAAAGAAAATAATAAACAAAACAAATAAATAATAAATAATAAAGTAAAACTTGTTTTACTTTGGCCATCTTATGGCCAATTAAAAATATATTTTTGAAGGTGGTTGCTAAGGCAAAAGATTCATTTTATGCTACAAATACTATTGCAGCTATCATTGAATGTCTATTGTTGGTACATGAAAGTAAAGCAAATAATTATTTCTGTGAATAACTGTTTCAGATGGTGCCAAATTTGTATCTATGAAGCTGAATGGAAAAGCTGGCTACAGGTTCACTGTGGTGTAAATATCAATTTTGATACAGGTTGTAAAATAGTAATCATTATAGCAATCATTCACTGAGCACTCACTACATATACTTTACTGATACCATCTCAAAACTCTACACTAAGATAGTTGTGACTATATATGTCCATTTTAGAGATGAGAACACTGAGGCTTAGAATGTTGAAGTAATTTGCCCAGAGGTACCCAGCTAGAAAGCAATAAAGCTGGGATCTGTTCCACATGTGTCTGGCTCAAGAGCTGAACTCTCACTACTGCCCCTCAGAGTTAAATGTGTAAGAAGAATGATGCAAAAAGAATAAGGTCATTAACAAGGTTCTTCCCCAATGAAGAATAAGTTATAACATAAATCTCTCTGACAAAATATGGCTCTTCTGGTTCTTCCCGTCTAGTGACCATCTTGAGTTACTGTCTCAGATGTAAATATTCAATGCAATTGAACAACTATTGTCTTGCCCCTAATAGGTACTAGGCCTTATGCTCAGGTTCAGAATAGCAGTTGAGTATAGGATGCAGTTCCTTCTTTTCAGGATCTTTCAGTCGAGTAAATAATTGATGTTTAAAAGATCCTAACCAAAAATCCCAGTGTGAGCTCTATCATGTTCTAAATGCAGAGTGAACAGATGTTCTGACTAATGATTGCTGGGGTGGGAAGAGGGTGAGGGTTGGGTAGTTAGTTACATTTACTCACTGAGAATGCTCATTCCTTTCTGAAGGCAGCCAGCAGCCAAAAAACAAGAAACATTCTAAATTAAAGGGGAGATCAAGCTGTGCAAGACTGCTGATCAGAGTGAGAGTTGAAAGATAACGGCTGCACAAAACGCAGAGCTCCAGTCTGTGGTGCATGAACCAGAGGAATAGCACACCCAGGCCTGGTGGCTTCCATGAGAGTGTTGCTGGCCAATAAGCAATAAATTAAAGCGGGAGAAAGGACCATGGTTTCCTTGAGCTTTATTAAACTTTCTTGTATGTAAGAGGATTTAAAGTTTATTAAATCTAGATAATTTGCTTAAATGAAATAACAAATTTTAATACAGTGTTGTTATGATACTACTATCCAGACAGGTCACATTTTTTGAATGCCCCAAGATTTTAGAGATCAAATCGTAGCAGATCCAAACATAGGACTCTCTTTCACCAAACAAGTTGACATTTTCCAGTCCCTCTTTTTTTCTATCCAGTCAAAAGGCAGGCCTCATCTGAGCTGCCCTCTACTCCACACCACTTAAGGAGGAAGAAAAAAGGGGTTTGCCAAAGCCATTTCACAAGTGGGATGCTAAATGTCAAAAGTGTTTATCAAGGAGAGAAAGCAACCAGTGTTACATAATTTTCCTTCACCAATTAGAAATAAACTGTTTCAATCATAATTGTTTCATACACAATTACTATCAAAGTATATTGATGTGATCCTGCAAAGGAATCCCAGTCATAGTTATCAAATTCTATATATAATCAAATACTGTATCTTTTCAAGAGAAAGTCAAATGTGTACTAAAATTCATTTTGTGCATAATTTTAATTCTAATATTTCAAATGTGGCATCATCCAGCAATATTGCTTGTTACCTTTTGCAAGTTATTTAACTAACATGCACTTCAGCTTTCTTAACTAAAATAGGACTAGGAACCCTACTGAAAAAATTACTGTAAGGGTCAGAGATATGACACACAAGGTACTTTGCAAGACACAGAGGAGAAAATCAATAAATGGTAGCTATTATCTTTGTTATTATTGACACTGCTATTTAAAATTCTGTTATTGCTTCTATATCTTACTTATTTTTGTCATATGCTTTGATAAGATAAGTCTCCTCCTAAACATAAAAGTGAGAGCAAAATGACTCTAATTATATATCGCCTTGCTGTGGGTCATACCTCCTTTCAATTTCAAGTGGGGCTGCCCTTACCTCTGATGCTATGTGTAAAGGTAACTGGATCTTATAACCTTAACACCTTCTACCTCCCAGGCTTTAGGGGGGCCTTGCCAGAATCAAGGCACTTAGTATCTGACTTGCTTAGATTTAGGATTTACTGTTCATATAAACTTCATACCAACTTCAAACTCTGATGAAGATATAAAATTTAAACAAGGCTCCTGCCAATGATAGGACCCAGAGAAATCTTAGCAGCCAGCCATTCCCCTGGGTTAGGAGAGCAGTTCTCAAATTTTTTGTGACTGGAGATCTAGTTCCTCTCCCAGTGGTTTACAATTAACTAGGAAGGGGACATGAATGTGCTCATTAACATTCAAGTCACCAGTACCCATGGGTCCAAGCCAGCACTGGGGTTGGGGCATACGCCTACCCTGGACCAGGTCATTGCCATCTTCACATCTTAGCACAAATTAACTTATTTGATTGACTATTAGCTGAGCCTAGAAAACCTCGGCCAAAAGGAATGTCACTATAGTTTAAAAAAATATAATCCAACTCCATTATTTGCTCATGATGGATTATGTTAAAAACACATTTTAAAAAATCAAACTTCTATTTGTCTTCTAAGGGAACCAAAAACGACTTTTAGCCTTTCCACCTAAGAAAGATCTTAGTGAGTCAAGGTGTTCGAAATCTGTTGTTTCCAACCTAACATCCATGCCCTCCTTTCTTTTGTTAACACCGGCTAGATTCTTTCTGGGACCATGTGCAGTCTCACTGGGACCATCGTTCAGGATGCCCTGCTCTCCAACAATGGACTCATCCATTCTATTAATGGACATTTCAGTGTTTCTGGTTTTTTTTTAATTTTGTTATTGTGGACAGAATAGCTATAAATAATCTTTTTAGGTAGCCAAAGTGGTTTTCTGTTGCTTACAACTATGAAGTACTAACTGATCAATGTGGGAATACAGAAAACCCCCACTTATCACATATCCTTATTGATATAGTTCAATGTTCTTTATTATGTACAGATTAACACAAAATTACAGAATTTTTAAGAAATTCTAAGGACACTCTAGAGCCCTATTCTGCTATCACATGGAGAAGCCATTGTACTCATTTTAGCTTTCGGTCGTCTATCACCTACCAGTTTTGAACCTAATTACAAGACTTTAATCAATTGAATTCTCTTTCTCTTCTAATGAGAGCTGAATAGATAGTTACCTTGCTAATTTAAAAAAAAAAGTCAGAGGTGACACAAATCGCTAATATATATTTGCGAAGATGCTCAAACTCATTAGCAATCATGGAGATGCAGATTAGGACCACAATGTGATACCATTTATATACTAGATTGGCATAAGTTAACACATGATATCAAAGATTGGAAGGTGTGGATTTATAGGAATTTTTATTCATATGCATTGATGGTAAG
This sequence comes from Homo sapiens, assembly GCF_000001405.40. Taxonomy (NCBI): domain Eukaryota; kingdom Metazoa; phylum Chordata; class Mammalia; order Primates; family Hominidae; genus Homo; species Homo sapiens. Next base: position 66,751,365 of record NC_000002.12, on the reverse strand, counting down.
AAAGCAAGCTGGTACAACTACTTTGGAAGAAAATGTGGCATTATGGTGTAAAATTATGGTGAAAAAATGTGTAAATCATACACATTACAACCCAGAGTAATACTCCAGAAAAACTTCTGCCCATGTACCCCAGGAGACATGAACAAGAATAATCATAGAAGTTCTGTTCACAGCAGCAGAAAACCAGGAAACAACTCCTCAAATGCCCACTAACAGGAGAATGGATGAACAAACCGTAGTATGGTCCCACAGTGGAAAATTATACAGCAGGAAAAATAACTGGACTACAAGCCCACAGACAACATGGGTGAATCTTAGAAACAGAATATTGAGTAAGAATAGCAAGTCTCAGTAGACAACAAAAGGTACACCATATTTAAAAAGCTCAAAAAAAATTAAAACAAAGCAATACACTATGTGGAGGTATGAATGTATGTGCATATGTAAATGGGTTTTAATAAAGCAAGAAATCTTAAACACAAATTCATCCTCAGGCGAGGAGGAGGGATGTGGGATATGAGAGGATTATCTAAGCAATTGCAATAATGTTTGTGGTTCTAAAATGGGGTGGTGACTTCACAGCTGTTTATTGTATTATTCTGCTTCATTACTTACATGTATGTTACATATATTCTCACACCAAAGACTACAATAAAGGAAAATTATCCAGAAATAATAGATTCACCCAAAGGCATGAAAAGAAGGAATTCTTGCGTGAATCTTACAAGGAACACTGTAGATATTCGGGGTATTTTCTGAGTTTCCACTTACTCAATAACGTCTCTTGCTCAATTCTTTTTTTGTTCATTTGTTTTGTTTTTATTATCTAACTCATTGTATGTCTTTCATAGACCTCTTCTTATTGGAGCAGTCTGCAGCATTCTAACCACTTACTAGTCCTATAAACTAAGATAAGTACAGTGAGATGGTAACCGATCTCTTATGATTTTGCTAGTCACACATGTTTAACGTGTGCATTTTCTTTGTAATGGAAGAGACCATTTCTATCAGAACCACGGGGTTAATATATTTCCTTCCTTTCCAATCTCCCACTCCCATACACTAACCAACCCCTTTGGGAAAAAAGCTTTTATCTTATCAGAGACCTATACTTTGGGGATAATGCAGCAATATTTTATTATTGCTGCTAATATGTGCATGTGGCTATAGACGGAACAATAGGCAAAGAACATCGCTTTGTTCTACACAGGCACAAACCTACACTGACCAGTTAAGTGGCTTCTTTCCTTCAGCAGCTGCCTTCTCAGAGGTCTGGAAGTTCCTAGTCCTGACAGAAAGCTTTTGGAAGAGATTGCTGCCCACTAAACAGAAGAGAAAAGAAAGACAGCTCTGCAACTAAAACAAGTGCATGCTTTTCAAGAGTGTGGGAAGAGCCTTAGTCTCTCTAAGTTTAAAAAGGTGACAAATTGTTAACAATCATAATGCCTGGGCTTAAATCTGAGCCTAGAAATGGATGAAGCAGTCTGACACACACAAAAATGTGTTTTTTTCTGGCTAAATCTTCATCTCAGCTACTCCTCCACTTATATCAACTGTACTTCTTGCAATAAAAACTTGGAGTGAGTGCTAATCCATGTTTATATTATCCTGTTATGTTGTATTAAGTTATGCTGAAAGCAACCCAATTTACTAATAGCTTGTTACTCTCTAGCTGCATTTCCCCCAGGCCTAATAGCATTCAATTCCTTCTTAGGGTTGCTTTCTCCAAGGAATGCTGGACTGCCTTTAACACATTCAATTTCTAAAGTATTCCTTCAAATGCGTTCTTCCTTGGGAATAAAATAAATAGAGAACTACAACAACACAAAGTAAGAAGACAGTACAGAGTATATATTGTATCCCAGAGGCATACAAATATACAACCATTGACTAAAATGCCAGGCCCATGTGTTCACATGAGTCTCTGAAAACTCACTGATTGTTTCTTGATAGAGCCTACTCTCACCATGAAGAGTTTAAATAAATAAATAAATAAGCCATCTTAGACATACTGAATCAGTCAGGAAGGGCCAGGTTACACTGCAGTGACAAATGAAACTACGTAGCCCAGTGGCTTAAAAAAAACAATGGTTTATTTTTTGCTCTAACTACATATCCTGCACAAGTGGGCTGAGAGCTCTCCTGCACACCACTCCACTTTGGAACCCAGATTTGCAGAGCCCATACTATTTGAAATGCTGCTGACTGTTATGGCTGCAAAAAGAGGAAGTGGTAGAGGGAATTTGCACGTGGGCTCTTAACACTTCTTAAGAGAAGTGACACAAACGTTCCTCTCACATTTCAGTAGTCAAAGCAATGGCAATTTCTAACATAAAGAAAGCAAGAAAATATACTACCAACTGCCTAGAAGTAGAAAAAGACAAATATTTGATGGACAACAGACATTGACAGAGATCTTTTTAGGAGTTCCCAGACATGTAATCCTCCCAGGATGGAGGGTGGGCATGACTTTTCAAAGTTGGACTTTTAATGCTTACTAAAAAGCACCTACTCAGTGCTAATTTTTAAAAGTATGAAGCATATGGGGATACTCACTCAATGAGAACTCAACTCTGGAGTTGCTATCCTGAATGGATGGTTACTACTGCCAGACTCCTAAGTAAGATTCTCAAAGCAATTTAATGATGTGAACCCAATGATATAGGTAATTTTAGAATTCTAGCTATAAGACTTTTCATTTCTAATATTCAGACCAAAGTGAGCATTTTCAAGAGAAATTTTATCTTCTGAATTAACACATAACAAAATATCTCAAGCTATGGGTGCAGAGCAAAATTATTCATTATTTTTAAGGGGCCAAGGAAAGAAAATGTTGTAACTGGGAACTTTAAAAGATGAATGTGAAAAGCCAAAATGCTATAAATGTACTCTATATGCCAGAAACGCCTGAACTTTCCATTTTTGCTAAATTACATCCAATGTAAGCACTTTTGGCCTTTTCCTTGCTTCCTCAAACTATGATATTCCAATCAAACTGTTTCAATATAAACTAAATCTTGATTCAATACTATTATCTCAACGAGGAGCTCATTTTGAAGCAATAAAATCTTTAACGAGATATATGTACAATAGGTATGAGTAGTGATATAACTAAAAAGCTGCTTTCCCAGAAAAGGAAGATATATTTAATATATTATCCTAGCATCGTCTCACATTCCACTTGCCAGGGAACTAGGGCCAATAGTCTATCTGAGCTCTCAAGGTGTGGGTAGCCCTGCCATGCATGTCTTCTTCTTCCTTCTTTCTTTTACACAACACTGGGATTTCTAGGAAGAAAGTAAAAGTACTAGGTACCATGAAACATTATCATAGCCTTCCCTTGGCACTGAAAGTAGGCAGAAGGAAGAGAGAAATAGGCTCCAGACAGTGAAAACTCTCTCCCGCATTATTACTGGGCAAGTGTCCTTGCTTTAGGGCAGGGATCAGAAAACGTATTCTATAAAGAGCCAGGTAGTTTATTTTCTGCTTTTGCAGGCCATAAGGTCTTTAGGTTAACTACCTGATTCTGCCACTGTAGCACGAAAGACACCATAAACTATGTGTAAACAAATAGGCATGGTTGTGTTTCAATAAGACATTGTTTAATAAAACCTGGAAACTGATCATATTTGTTCCATGGACTATAGTTTGCTGATCTCTGCTCTAGAGAAGAAGTACAGCCTAGTGCTCAAATCCTAAATGTGGCCAGCAGTCTGACTCGCTTCTCATGTTCTTTTGTGTACACACTACTTACTACCTCGTTTTTGTTTTTTTTTTCTTTAATCAACTCTCTACCTTGTGTCTCTCTTCAAATATTTCTCTCCTTTTACAACCATGATTGACGTTGAGTTCCATAAGTGAAATTCCAGGAAGAGTTTGTTTTTCCTTTAGTGTCTAGAAATGGATGCATATTTACCTGAAAATCCTATTAATCAGCATCACTTATTAGTTAATTATGTGTGGAAAGCTCTATGCTAGGTCCTGAGGTCAGTAAAAACGGAAGTAGCAATCATCTTTTTGCTTCAGGCAGGTCACACTCGCATTGGAAGTGTCATGAGGAGAAGTAACTTTGCATTTTTTGACAGAAACAAGAATATGTGTATAATCATTGGTGAAAGAAGGATAATGACAAATAGGTGTTCAGAGTTAGAAAGGTAACCCGGGATGCTTAGAACTCAAAGCAGCAGGAAAGCCCAAAGGCTGGAATGTTCCTAGAGAGCCTGGAGAGTGAGGGGATTTGCATGGAGAATGAAGTAAATCCATCAAACATGTTAAATGCATGAATTCATACAGACGTTTGCCCAGTAAAAGTATTCGTGTTAGAAAAATAAGAGAAAGCTGAATTAAACAGATTTCTTTCCTGTGGGATTTCTCAAAGCTATTAAAGTGTGTTGTAAATCTTTAAAAGAGACGATATACCAAATTTCATCAATTCTAAGACTCATGTTTGTTTTCTATATTTTAACATCTGTGTAATTGGGCTGCATCTTCGAATCAATAGCATGACATAGTTTAATTAGCAGTGCTTTTCCTTCCTCAGCAGTCCATAAAAGAATGGTGCACCTTATAATCAAAGTTTCTTAGATCCTATGAAATAAAATATCATACTTGCCCTTCCATTTATTTGGCTACTTTTTTTTTTTTTCCATAGGACACATACTAATGGCTCTCAAAACTATATCTGAATAACAACAGTTCAGGAAATGTTATATTTGAATAAATGTACAGGTCACACATTTACTTTCAAAATCTCCCTGAACTCCTCTAACATGTTGACTTTTCATTTCTCCACCTGAAAAAACACATTCCCATTTGCCTTGTTGGTTGTGTTGATGTTCTTTAGTTGGTGTGTGTAACCTACATGTTTGTATTGACTTGTTTGCATATTTGTTTGTTTGGAAAGAGAAATCCATAATAAGCCAGGCTAATTCTATACCAGTTAAGAGGAAAGAGGTCTCCCTGTAATTTATTTGGTCTTAAAACCTCTTTGGACAAATTTTATCCCTCATATCTAGGGAATAATTGCCCCAGCACATAATGTTTACTATCTGAATTTGACCTCAAACATAGAAATACCCTCTACAGGCCAGGCGTGGTGGCTCACGCCTGTAATCCCAGCACTTTGAGAAGCCAAGATGGGGAGGATCACTTGAGGTCAGGAGTTCAAGACCAGCCTGGTCGACATGGTGAAACCCCATCTCTACTAAAAATATAAAAATTAGCTGGGAATGGTGGCACGTTCCTGTAATCCCAGCTACTCAGGAGGCTGAGGCAGGGGGATTGCTTGAACTGGGACCTGGGAAGCAGAGGTTGCAGTGAACTGAGATTGTGCCACTGCACTCCAGCCTGGGCTACAGAGAGAGACTCCATCTCAAAAAAAAAAACACCCACTACAACCTAAAAGCCAAGGACATACAGCAAGAAACATTTCTGGCTATTTGTCTAGGGCAACTCTTACTGTCTCCTATCCTATTGTGGGCAGTGACCGCATTCTACACTTTATTTTTAACTCACTCCAGGCCTAAGCAGCCTTTTAAAGGTGGTCATTTTTTACTGACTGACTGATACAATTCATTTGCTATTGAGATTTCCTTTAAAAGGGTGCATTGAAAGTGTTGGCTGGAGTTACTATCTTCCTTCTTTTAGAAGTTTCTGCTAATGTTATGACACTCTAGGATCTAAGAGACATGGCTAATGAATTTTTGAATGGTGCCTCGGTCATTTGGTCCAAAATATGTCACCTATCACAAGGCCAGCTTGATGATGCTGGAGAAAATTAAGAGGATGTAAGTTCAAATTTTGTGAATTCATCAGGAAGAAGGAGAAAGGCATTTTCAAATAGGGATCTAACGGATATAGAAATAGGGCAATAAAATCAAAGCAGTAGCTTCTGACACACAGCCCGTGTATTAGTCCATTCTCACATTGCTATTAGGAAATGCCTGAGACTGGGTAACTTATAAAGAAAAGAGTTTTAATTGACTCACAGTTCCACATGGCTGGGGAGGCCTCAGGAAACTTACAGTCATGGCAGAAGGCACCTCTTCACAGAGTGGCAGGAGAGAGAATGAGTGCCAAGCAAAGAAGGAAGCCCCTTATAAAACCATCATATCTCCTGAGAATTCACTCACTGTCATGAGAACAGGATTGGGGGAACCACCCCCATGATTCAATCATCTCCACCTGGTCCCTCAAACGACTCATGGGGATTATGGGAACTACAATTCAAGATGAGATTTGGGTGGGGACACAAAACCAAACCATATCTGCCAATAATTATAAAAGCATACAGACAGAGCATAAAGGAAACATCTCTACCACCTCTCCTGCCAAAACAGGCTCCCTAGCAGCTGACGGTGAGGCAGTCAATAGTGCCAGCCACAGGGCCACTGTGGAAACAACCGAAGCTTTTCTTTTGAAAAGTCACAACTAGGAAAACATTGCAGAGCATTTTTTTCCCCAAACCATGAAACTAAGTCAGAAACTCCTACCTAGCATGAAGTATGGACTACTGCCACCAGTGTCTGCTCTTGGCTGTGGATAAAGAAGGAGAGTCTCTTAATTCCATGCCAGTTCTGGAGATTGGAGAAAGAAAGAATGAAGAGCAGTCTCTGTCTTCATCTCTGCTCATCAGCAGTTATAATTCTATACCTTGGCAAGTAGCCCCAGAGCAGAGATGCAAACAGCACCAGGGAAATCTTTTCTTTTTGCTCCTCTTTCTCCTTTTCCCTTTTGGCCTGTCCTCTCTCCTTTCTGATTTCCTCCAAACTAAAACAAGGGGATAGGAAATGGTATGAAGGAATTGAGATAAATGGCCAGAGTTGGTGGAAAGATGATTTATTCCAGTTCTTTTTCCTACTTTAGTGCCTGTTCCAAGAAAAACCTTTAAGTTGAATTTGGGGAGAAAATGCAAACATACAGTGAAGAAAATGTGAAACAGGGAAAGTATACTGAGCTAAGAGTCTCAAGTTTGATTTTCAATTCCAATTTTCCATCAGGACCGAAATTGGTTGATATAAAAAAGTGTAAGTATGCCCTGGGCAACAACTTTCTTTTTATCATGAGCACCCTTCTCCCTCTACATGGCCTCACAGAAATCATCTTCAGAGTGCTGAGAAGACCTGAAAACATTCCCAAGAGTTGGCCTGCAGATGGACACCCGTGTGAGGTAGCCTCAGTATGCCCTGTAGCAGTGAGGCATACACACCTGCACAGACCTGGAAGCCAACCCACGGTCACTGAAATAGGCAATCCCACAGTTCTAAGTGCCTGGACCTGAAGCATGTCAAGAAGAGGACTGGGCTGTATGTGGGCACATGCATTTGGCCCAGCAGACTCTTGCCCCATAGGAAGGACACAAGGAGAGTTGGAGGGGGCCCTCTAATGCCTGGGACCAGGCCAGAGCCTGTCCTTCTCTCATTTCAGGGAGATGACTCAACTCTCTGATCCCCTACCTCCTAAACACATGTTTTCTAGAAAGTCTCCTAGGCATCATAGACAGAGGTGAATTCTCTCCCTCTCTCTCTCTCTCTCTATTTCTCTTTTCACACTCCCCTTCAAGATGAGCATCACTTTAGCAGTTTGCTCATAATTTCCTTGAATTTAGGAGCAATGCCCTATCCCTTTTTGAATCCTTTACATTCTCTAATACACTCCCAAACATATTAGCAGGAATAAAAATACATGTTAATGGAAGTTGATTTTGGAATGCTTTTTAAAAATTATTGGACATATTTCTGCTTATCAGTTGTAAAAATTGCATCGTATACCTGTATATATATTAGATTATAGACCAAAGTGAATAATTTTAATCCCGATTATTGGGTTGGTCAATATGCATACTCTTTCCTCTCTTGAATCAGCTCCCTGCTGGATCCATGCCCAATACACCTTGTTACTCTTGTTCCCTATTTTCTCCTATCAAGATTCACAGAGTTACCTAGTACTTTAAGAGCATTTGAAATTGAGTGATTTCAGTTTTGCAAGGGTCTCAAATGCATGAGTTTATGTACCAATAAGAAGAGCTCATGGTTTCTATATTTTCTGGTTTCAAAGCATAGCATATTGGTTTCAATGAATAATTTTGGTTTTTACCAAATTGATCTTTTACTTAAAAGCTTCTTCATACATAAAACTCCAGAGAACTGTTTGTGGGAACAGAAATGTGCCAGAAAACACAACCCTATAAATGAGGGGGAAAAAGTCATCATGCTGATAAAAGAAACACGTATTTCTAGGTTGAATATCTGACTGGAAGGCAGAAATAAAATAAAATTCTTCAAGGCAAATCCCTGCATTGTGGACACTAGTAAGCAAATTCCCAATCACCAATGTTTTATGCTTTTGGTTCTTTTTTTTTTTTCTAATAGGTAGAGAATCTAAAGGCACTGAGGCTGTTTTCCCATTACAAAGTAGAATTAACTATCATCCTCCTCCTCCCTCCCCCCATTAACCATCTCCTCAATGGCTACACACAAGAATCATTTATATTTACATTAAAAATGATTTGGCCTATGTGCATGGCATTGTTTGACAGGAAAGATGGATGTTCACTTATAATTAAGTTTCGACATAAATGACATCATTCAAGAGGATAAACATTCCCTGTTCCCTCTCTGCTGGTTTTCTCATATGTTACTCTGAGTTATATGAAAACTCAGGTGATTTTTCTAGCTGTCTCATCAGTGGGTAGTTTTGCAGCCACTCAGTTACCTTGGAAAATCTGAAGGAAATTTTTCCTATCTAATTCACCAGATATCTCTTGGTTCTTTGCTTTCAGGCAAGAAGGAAGGGAGATAAAGCCTCGTCACTCAAAGTAAGGTCTGTGGACCAGTAGCACAGCCAGTATCTAGAAGTTTATTAGAAATACAGGATTTTGTGGTCCTACAGACTTGTGGGATCAAAATCTGCATTTTAAGAAGATCTCTAGGTGTTTTTTTTTTTTTTCTGCATATGACTGTTTAAGAAACACTAATGTTAAGAACCATCATCTGAACAATGGTTAGCTTTGTGGATAAGATGTAGTGTTAAGTTGTTATCTGTCTTATACATCAGACTTTGAGAGTTAGGTTTTCAAACCTTAATATATTCCTTTCCCTTACTACAGCAGGAGAACTATGAAATTCTATTTTGTCTTAAATAATTCTCGTATTACTCCATGTGTGTAACCTAACCTTCTCAGCCAAGCTATAGGGCAACAATCATACCAAAATAAATGATTCCACCTTTATTGGGTACAGAATGCATTTAAGCCACTGTTTCTGACATTAAGGAGGTGGTGTTAGAGAGACGTATAGGTAATTTCCTTGCCAACAGTAAGTATTTGTTTGGCTTTTGTTTATTTGTTTCACTTGTTTCTTGTCTCTCATTGTCACTAGACTGTTACCTTCTACGGCGCATAGATCATGTTGTTCACTGTTTCACCTGTAGCTCCTACCACAGTGCCTAGCACATAGTAGATGTTCAATAAATATTTGTTTAATAAATAAATGATTTTACAAAACATAAATGACTTTACAAAACATTTTTGTAATTTTTTGTTTAATAAATAAATGACTAAACAAAATAAATTTGTTTAATAAATAAATGACTTTACATATTGTTGAAAATAAGATGCATATTCAAATATCTAAAAGCCTGGCATAAGTAATTAGTGCCTTATAACCACATTGTTTAGACTTTTCTCCACTGCTGTAAAACTGATCTGCCTAAGAAAGAATTAAACCAATCCTTTGGAAACTCTTACAAAAAAATGGAAGGAGTGAGAACAATTCTTAACTCATTCTATCAGGTCCATATTACCCTGATACCAAAACCAGGCAAATCAATTACTAAAAAAGAAAGAAAACTATAGACCAATAGGCCTTATAAATACAGACACAAAAACTCTCCACACAGTGTGAGCAGACCAAATCCAACAATGTGTAAAAAGGATTATACAGCATAAGCAAGTGGGATTTATTCCAAGAAGACAGGTCAGTTCAATGTGTGAAAATCAATCAATGTAATATTCTATATTAATAAAGTCATGGGCAAAAACTTTATCTTAAGAATGCAGAAAAGCATTTGCCAAGATATAACAATATCCTTTTGTGATAAAACACACACACATACATATATCACACTAAAGCCTTTCAACAAGTGGCTTTGGGACAACTGGATATCCACATGCAAAACAACTTGGGCCCCTTCCTTATATCATATGCTTCAAAATGGAGGGATTAAAGACCTAAGAATAGAAGGAACTTCCTCACCTTGATAAACGGCACCTACAAAAGCATAACGCTAATTTTATAATTTCTTCTAAGAAAAGGAACAATACAAGGCTATCTGCTGTCACTACTTCTATTCATTGTTGTACTGGAGATTCAATCCAGAGCAATTAGGCAAGACAAAGAAATAAAAGGCATCCAGTTTGGAAAAGAAGATATAAGACTATCTCTATTTGCAAATGACATGATCTTGCTTATTGAAAAGCCTGAAGAATCTACAAAACAGCTATCAGAACTAATAACCAAGTTCAGTGAGGTTGCAGAGTATAAGATCAATACACAAAAATCAGCTGTATATCTATACACTAGTAACAAACAATCTGAAAATGGAATTAAGAAAGTAATTTCACTTACAGTAACATCACAAAATAAATAATTTAACAAATATTTAACAAATAAAAGTGCAAGACTACATACTAAAAACTACAACCATGTTGGAAGAAACGACACTTTTTGAAAAAGATATTCTGTGTTCATGGATTAGAAGACTTAATACAGTTGACCACCAAACAACATGGGTTTGAACTGCATACGTCCACTTACACACAGATATTTTTCAATAAAATGTATGTATTACACTGAGTGTGTCTGCCTCACCTGCCTCCCCACTTCCACTCTCTCCACCTCTTCCACCTCTGCCACTCCTGAGACAACAAGATCAAACCCTCTTCCTTCTATTCCTCAACTACTCAACATGAAAATGAACTTTATGATGATCCACTTCCACTCAATGAATAGTAAATAGATTTTCTTTTCCTTAAACAATTTTCTTAATAACATTTTCTTTTCTCCAGCTTACTTCATTTTTAAAATACAGTATATAATACATATAACATAACGACATATGTGTTAATAGACTGTTTATGTTATCCATTAGGCCTCCAGTCAACAGTAGACTATTAGTAGTTAAGTTGGGAGAAGGTCAAAAGTTATACATGGATTTTCTACTGTGTTGGGGGTTGGTGCTCCTAACCCTCATCTTGTTCGGGGTCAACTGTATCATTAAGATGGCAATATAGGCAGGGCATGGTGGCTCATGCCTGTAATCCCAGCACTTTGGGAGGCTGAGGCAGGGGAATCACAAAGTCAGGAGATGGAGATCATCCTGGCTAACACGATGAACCCCGTCTCTAGTGAAAATACAAAAAAATTAGCTGGGCATGGTGGCGGGCCCCTGTAGTCCCAGCTACTCAGGAGGCTGAGGCAGGAGAATCGCTTGAACCCGGGAGGCGGAGGTTGCAGTGAGCCGAGATCGCGCTACTGCACTCCAGCCTGGGTGACAGAGCAAGACTCCATCTGAAAAAAAAAAAAAAAAGAAAGAAAGAAGAAAGGAGGGAAAGAAAGAAAAGAAAGAAAGAAAGAAAAAGAAAGAAAGAAAGAAAGAAAGAAAGAAAGAAAGAAAGAAAGAAAGAAAGAAAGAAAGAAAGAAAGAAAGAGAAAGAAAGAAAGAAATTGAGAAGCTATGGCAAAAATTCGTACAGAAAATGCAAGAGACCCAGAATAGCCAAAACAATCTTGAAAAATAACAAAGTGAGAGGACTCACACTATTGCAAAACTTGATATAAAGCTATGGAAATCAAGATTGTATGGTACCATTAGACATACAGATGAAAGGAATAGAATTGAGAGTCTAGAAATAAGCCCATAAATGTATGGTCAATTGATTGTTGACAAGGGTGCCAAGACAATTCAATGGGGAAAAAAAAAGCCTTTCAACAAGTGGCTTTGTGACAACTGGATATCCACATGCAAAAGAACGAAGTTGGGCCCCTACCTCATACCATATACCTCAAAATGGATGGACCAAAGACCTAAATATAAGAGCTAAAACTATAACTCTTAGAAGAAAACATAGGTGTAACTCTTTATAACCTAGGATTAGACAATGGTTTCTTAGACATGTCACCAAACACACAAGCAATAACAGGAAATAATAGGCAAATTAGACTTCATCGAAATTTAAAACTTTTGTGCATCAAAGGACGTTATCAATAAAGTGAAAAAATAAATAATCCACAGAATGGGAGAAAATATTTGTGAATCATATAACTGATAAGGAACTTAGATCTAGAAAATATAACGAATATGTACAACTAAACAGTAAAAGTACAAATAACTCAATTAACAATAGGCAAAAGATTTGAATAGACAATCCTCCAGAGAAGATATGGAAATGGAAATAAATAGATGTTATAATATCACCAACCATTGGGGAAATGCAAATCAAAATCACAATGAGATACCACTTCATGCCCACTAAGATGGCTATAATCAAAAATCCAGAAAATAATGAGTGTTAGGATGCAAAGAACTGAAATCCCCGTACATGGCTGGTGGGAGTGTAATATGCTACCTACACTTTGGAAAACAGTTTGTTAGTGCCTCAGAAAGTTAAATATAACAATTACCACATAACTCAGCAATTCCACTCCCAGGCAGATACCCAAGAGAATAGAAAACACCTCCACAAAAAGCATGAACGTTCATAGTAGCATTTTTTCCTAACAGCCAAAAAGTCAAAACAACCAAAATACCCATCAATCAATGAATGAAGAAAATATGATATATACATACAGTGGAATATGATTCAGCCATAAAAAAGAATGAAATACTGATACATGCCACAACATGGATAAACCTTGAAAACACTGTGTTAAGTGAAAGAAGCCAGGCATAAAAGGTCACATGGTGTATTGTTCCACTTACTGCATATGAAATATCCAGAATAAGCAACTCATAGAGACAGAAAGTACCTTAGTGGTTTCCAGAAACTTGTAGAGAGAAAACTATGTGTGGCTGCTAATGATTATAGAGTTTCTTTTTGGGGTAACAAAAATAGTCTGAAATTAAATAGGGATAATGTTTGCACAACTTTGTGAAACTACTAGAAACCACTGAATTGTACAATTTTGAAGTGTAAATTTTATGATATATAAATTACATCTAAATTTAAATAAAAACTCATATTTTAAAAAACCTCCCCTTCACAGCTGTTCCTCTCCTACTTTATAAAAGAATGGCGTCTCTCACCCATCCTATTTTTTACAGTGCACTTCCCAGGATGCACTGCCAAACAAGGAATGCTTCAAAATATTGGTGTCTTGATAAAGTTAATGACCCTAATACATCCTTTGATAAGAAAGCAGGTTTCCAACTTTTTGTTATCAATAAAATTGCAGGAAAAACTAATCATGTTGTCAACATTCCAATAAAAATAATTTTTGATTATATACCACGATATGATTTTTAACACGACTCAAAATGATTTCAAGAAACTGAGTGACACTGCTATTTAAACATTTCTTCTTCTTACCTACTTATATGAGCAAATTTTCTCAAAATTTTCATCTTTAACAATGAAAAGTAAAAACAAAATTGATCCTGAAACCTTTCTCATTCTGGTAATATTTTTCCACAACATATGAACTGAAAGCTGTGTCCCTTTCACTAAGAGATGTGTTTCCAATAAATTTTTCTCTTCATGTTTAATAATAGTTTCTTAAACTTTGAAATATATTTTTATTATTTTTGATCAATTGAGTGTAATAGGTATATGTAACATTAACTCAATCCAGAATAAATATTTTAATGCTTCAAGGCTTTTGGTTACAGGAAATTTAAAAATTAACAAAATAAGTGTATATGCATATTTTTGTGACAGAGAATCATGATTGAATAATCAATAAAAGACTTTAAATCATAACAATATTAAAATTCTGTGAGAAATGAAATATAAATATAACTTCTAAGAGAATAGTAGTAATATAAAATTCTTATTGTTAAAGTTATGCTTGTTCCTATATTTTTAAATAAAATTTAGATTGTATTAGGGATATAAAAAGGTAAAGCAAAAACATTTATTAAAACTTTTTATTATGAAAAATTTTAAGCATAAAAATGCTCTTAGCCTGAGAGAAAGGTTTGGGCTAAGACTCTATGCGTTTAGAAATTATCGTAAGGGCTCGATGCAGGCAGTTTATTTTAGGAAGAAATTCTAAGGAACAGGAGAAGGACACCAGGAAGACTGTGACAGGAAAGGGGTAAACGCTCATCTAAGAATATATTATCAAGCTGATCACACTGTGGGAACTGGGGGTGCAATTCTTCTAGGGACTGTCTAAGGGGCTGTGTGAGATATCCTTCAGAATTGTCCAGCAGCTCCTCCTCCCCACGAGTCAAGAACTGTCCCAAGGGGTGTTAATTTCCTCATACTTTCAAAATATATTTCTGCATCATAATGATGGTAGGTTTCTGCAGATGTCCCATGAGGCAGGAGAGATACTTGGAGTAGCTGAGGCTAGATATTGATCCGGGTGTGACTATAGCATTGGCTGAGTGGACCCAAAGCCTGCATAGTAGGCATAGAAGTCATCCAATGTATAAACTAAAGGAAACCAAGTGATATAATGAACACCAGTGTGCCCAGCATCTAGCAATGAGAATTGCATTGCTTCATCTATACCTCCACCTATATCCTTAATGCATACTCTGTTTTGCAGTAAATCCCAATGATCTTGCCATTTCAATTATATATATATAATATATATATAATATATATATATACAATTACATATTTTTTTTCAATAGGACTGTCTAAAAGACAAGGACTCTTTTTAAGTATAACCTCAATCACGGCAGCGTTAGGAGATTTTATTTTCTATGGCCTCTAGATGTAATATATTATATTATTTGTAATAATTTTTAAATTTTCCTCTTCTAGAATTTCTGAGACTAACAATCCAAACTAATCAAAAGCTAGTCCCTTAGTTTGACTTCTGATCTTAGTTTGACTTGGCCTGTTAGTTCCAGAGAAGAAAGGGGGCAAAAAAATAAACAACAATGAAAACAACAAAAGCAAAAAACAATGACAATAGACACTTGAAATGGAAGAAAATAGACATTTGAAAGGGAAGAAATAGAAAAAAAGTACCATAGACCACATTCCCATTTTTTCCCCCTAAAAGCAATTGAATGTTTCTCATGATTATTTTTAGCCAAATCCCAATATTTAGGAATTGTTGTTGAATTGTTGTTCAAATATTTTTTTTTTGGTTACCTACTTGAGATGCCTTTTAGCCTTCCAGTTCTGATTCGAGGGAACATCTCTGCATATGTACTCAAAATAAAATATAATCAAATTAATTTTTAACGAATTGTGATGCATTCTGAGATTTTTCTGGTGTTTTTGTTGACATATATCTGACTTTTGCTTTCTCTATCAAGCCTCAAGCTTCCCCTGGAGATATCCAACTACCTATTAGGGATGAGAATATGTATTTAACACAAGTTTAGAACCCACTAATACTCCATAGGTATAGGATTACAAACCAACTTGAATCTTCTGGTGTTCAACTTTGTTTATTCTTGGCAAAGTTAAAAAAACTTAACAGGGTTCAAAAGATTTCCTGGACATGGGCTTCAAGAAAAAGCATTTTGATGAGTAAAGCATAAATGAACCAGAACCCATATGGATCAAATTTTTCTCAAAATGCACATGGGTTTAATAATTAATGGAAAAAGTGCTGCTAGTATGTATTATGGGTTTTATCAAACCCCACATATTTGAAAAAAATAGTTTGATAGGTTCAAAGAACCCAAACCTTGGTTTGACACACCCACATTAATATCTCTTGATGCTGAATAAAAATGAGAACTATTTACATGTAATAGAAAGCAGAAACAGAACTTCTTCAAAAATTACGTGAATGAAAGAAAATAACAATTCTACAAAGGTCATCTTTGTTCATATTTGTTTTCTTAAATCCTCCTTTTGGGAATTTCCAACAATCTCTTAACTATACCCTAGTTCAGCATATTAAGAGTTTTGAAAAAAATTATTGATTGCAGTTGAAAAAGAAGAACTGAATGAAATCCTTTGAGATGTACAACGTTTCATGAAATTTTTAAGTTATTTGCAAATGTTTCCACTACAATCAATAAATCCCTAAAATTACAGAATAAATTGTGACAAGTAAGGAATGGTACTATGTATTTAGAAGTTTCTGGAAGCTGTGTTTTTGAATTCATAGTAGGGCTGCTCTGTGTCTGAGCAAAATTTAATGTTTACCTCTTTTCCACTAAGAGTGTTACATTCAGTTGTAGGGCCATTTTCTCAGCAAAGCCTGAACATTTAGACTTTATGTGATTTTAGAATGTTTATATCTCAAGGAACTACTATAACTTTGAAAAAAGTTATCTAATTTCTATTGAGTATGTGAACCTTTTATAAATCTTGAATCACTCATTGAAGATAGCATTGTGTTTTCCTTACGTAGGCTTGACAGCCTATATAGAAAATAATTATCAATACATTTTTCAGACAACGAATGTGGAAACTTAACATAAATTTCAGCTAAATATGACTAGGATACATCAGACCAATATAATTAATTCTGAGTTATCTCATCCTTCAGACCCTTAAGAAGCTACTGAATTTTGTCTCACAAATATTTTATGCTTCATTTAAATTCCACAACAAAATAATGATCTCTCCTTTTCATTTACATCTGTATATCTGTAAAAAGTGGCATAAAGGCAATAATTTACTACACCAAAATACCCTGAACTGAAAGAATTGTCCAAATAAAGCACTTTAATTATGTGACAAAAATAAAAGAAAATGTAGTTTTGTCCTTACTGTTTTAAAAAATGAAAAGTAGAGAGAAGGAAAAAAAATTACCATGTTTCTTAATAGAAGCAAAGCTTGATGTCTTGGGAAGAGTTTATATTTAGGTATTTTTCTGACACTTTTTCTGGCATGTGGACCAACAAGTCAGCGTGATGAGCCTTAAGATGGAATTCCTTGGAAAAGAATTCCCTGAATATGGAGGAAGGACCAGACTCCATGAATAAGGTAACACTGAGTTCCAACCAAAAACAGTTGCTTAGAACCATTTACAGAGGAGCCGTAAATGGAATTGAATGCTGTCTCCACTCCAGCTATTCTTTCTCCTCATGCTCCTGCACACACACACAAAACTACTGTAGAAGGCAGCCGTGTAAATTGCCAGAAACCCAGCAAAGCCATATAAATGATATGACCCTTTATGATAAGCGTTTATTTATATTCAGCAAAGTAGGTTACTGACAATTTGGTCATTAATTTGCTGTTTATAAATCGTCTTTTCCATGTGTAGTAACCACAAGACTTTGACATTCACAGTCGTGTTGAAAGAAACAAGTTTATTAAAGAAGGCAATGGGGAAAAAAGATTGGTCCTTTGAAGTTCACCAAATTGCTCATGTCAGCCACTAAATAAAATTCTGCCCTTGAAAAATAGCAAAATACTAGTGTATGGGAAAGGGAATGGAACATACCGTGTGTATTCACTTCACATGTGAAAGGGAATCAGACCAGCAAAGAAAAGTCTTAAGTATTCCAACCCCTAAAGAAACATAATCCAGAGTTTATATCAGATGGTTTATGGGAGTTTATTGGAATATACAACAGGGTTCATGTCATGTGTCACGAGGTGAAGCCTGTTCATGGGTGATTTACAAGCCGCATGTGCCAGCATTACTGTAATTTATAGAACACAGATGGTCCTGGGGTGCCCTGCTGACTTGTAGCTGAATCAGGACCTAAGACCCGTGTGTCATCTGCTCTGAATACCTCAGGCTCACTTCCCAAAATTACGCAGTGCCGTATTCCTATTCTCAACTGGAAGATTCCAGAGACCTTTACCTTGTAATAAATGCAGCTTAAAGAATGTGTGACTGCAGAGATGTGGGGAAAGATTTAGGCTAGAAAGACACATAATATTTTCCCCCACTCTTGCCAAAGAAAGGGATTCTCAGTGTCTTAACTTCCTTAACTTCCTTTGGGTAGTTTCAGTTGATCGATTTGTCACTATTATATTGGTAATAGAGAAACAAGATGCTACATTCCTCTTTTTTAATAATATTTTTATTTTATTTTTTAATTGACACATAGTAATTGTATGTATTTTGGGGGTACCTCATGATGTTTCAGGACATGCATAGAGATCAGGTCAGGGTAACTGGCACATCCATCATCTTAATCATTTATCATTTCTTTGCATTGGGAATGTTCAATATCCTCCTTCTTGCTATTCGAAACTGTATAATATATATTACTATAGTCCTCCTACAGTGATAGATAACACTAGACTTTAGTCATCCTATCCAGCTGAATTTTGTATCCTTTAACAAATCTCTCCCTATCCTCCCTTTCCTCCTAACTTTCCCAGCCTCTAGTATCCTCTGTCTACTTTTTACTTCTATGAGATCATCTATTTTTACTTTCCACATATAAGTGAGAAAATGCAGTGTTTACATTTCTTTTCCTGGATTATTTCACTTAACATAATGTCCTCCAGTACCATCCATGTTGCTGAAAATAACAGGACTTTATTTCTTTTTATGGCTGAATAATGTTCCATTGTATATATATATATCACATTTTCGTTATTCAGTCATCTGTTGTGGAACACCTAGGTTGAATCCCTATCTTGGCTATTGTGACTAGTGCTGCAATAAATATGGGGGTGCAGATGTCTTGATATGCTGATTTCCTTACTTTTGGATAAATGCCCAGTAGTGGAGTTGCTGGATCATGTGGTAGTTTTATTTGTAATTTTTTGAGGAAACTCCATAATGTTCTCCAGAGTGGCTGTACTAGTCTAAATTCCCACCAACAGTGTATAAGAGGTCCCTTTTCTCTGCATCCTCACCAGCATTTGTTCTTTTATGTCTTTTATAATAATAGCCATCCTGAGGTGAGATATTAACTCATTGTGGGTTTTTGATTTGCATTTCCCTGATGATTAATGATGTTGAGCATTTAAAAATATTTCTTGGCCATTTGTATGTCTTCTATAGAGAAATATCTACTCAGGTCATTTTCCCATTTTTTAATCAGATTGCTTATGTCTTTGCTGTTGAGATGTTTGAGTTTCTTGTATATTCTGAATATTAATCCTGTCAGTTGAAAAGTTTGCAAATATTTTCTCCCATCTTCTAGATTATCTTTTCACTCTGTTGATTGCATTCAGTTTTGGATGTGTCAAAACTATCTATCTCTGCTACCTCCCCACACACACACAAAAAAAAAATTAAAAAAGGAAAAGAGGAAGACTAGGCTATTTTTAAATTTTTTGCCTATTTCAGATGTAAAGTACCAAAAAGCCCTCACCCCTAGCCACCTTCAAAACTATTATATAATTATGTCTTTATTACAAATCCTTTTCATAACCCACAAAGGATGTGGTTCAGAAAGATGGTGTAATAATGTGAGACGGATGTTTACAGAATCAAATGTAAATGGATTGACCTCTTCAAAAGATTGTTTTATCAGCCCTTTAATTCACAAATTAAGGCACACTTGTTGGTTTTGAACTCTTTTTCAGTACTTCCATTTGAAGTTTCTAGCACTCCTCATTCTGGTGCTCACATATTTCATGGTGTGTTTGAACCTCTGTTGGCCAAGGGGCAGTTACAGAAGAAAGGACCCTTGAAGCTCCAATTGTGCTGCTCCAACATCTCCCTTTGAGCCATTTATTGAGAAATTGAGTTGAACAATCCGGCAATTATAAACATATGCCTTAATAACACGTTCCAGTACCCTTGCACACTGCCACCAAGTGCTCCTAATTCCTCCCTGCTGGTGAGCCCTTTCAGTTCTCAGGATGGCAAAAAGGACAAGAAAAGTATTTCTAGTGCATCTTTTCATAATTCAGCAGGCTATGCAGCACCTCACCTCTAGACCAGCACTGCCCAATAGAAATACAGCATGAGCCACATGTCCAATTCTAAATGTTATAGTAGCCATTCTAAAACAAAAAAAAGTAAACAGGTGAAATTAAATAATGTATATTTATATATATAAATATATAAATAAATATATATATATTTACACAACCCAATATATTCAAAATAATATCACTTGTCAAGCAATCAATATAAAAAGTATCACTGAGCTGTTTCTTACATTCTGTTTTGTACTGCATCTTCAATATCTGACATTATTTTAAACTTACAGCGCATCTTCCTTGTGACTGACCACAGTTCGAATGCTCCATAGCCACATGGGGCTGGTGGCTACCATATTGGATGTCACATTTCATACAGTTTCTCCTCTCCTCTGATCAAACTGATCTAGAAAACCTGAAGCAGGTAACAATTCTTGTGACTTTTTCCATAAGCAGTAGCCACTATGCAGGTTTAAATACATTACAAAGCGAATATGTACATAGTGTGTATGTATATATTGCTTTCTGATCAAGCAAAGTAAAAGAAAATGTCCGAGAAGAGAAACAGAAGGAGAGCTGTAATGGAAATAAAATTGACAGCCTCTCAAAACTCAGGTGGCACTTTCCTTTTCCAGTTAATTACGGTTTTAATTACATGGCTTCTTGCGACTCCTTGATACCTAATAAACCAGACTCTGTGGGGCAGCCAAGTTGGTTTTGCTTGAACTGCAGGTGTAAGACTCAGCACGAAACATAAATCAACGTCTTAAACACGTTCCCAGGGTGTGTTCAAGCTTTTTCTTCCTGTTTGCTTGTAAAGTCACATCTTTTCACCATTGTTGGTAAAGAAATGATTGAAGCAGCTATGGGCTGAATAATAGCTTTGTGTTTTTGACTCACTTGGCCTGGCATAAAACATTTTGCCTCAGATGAAATAGAATAGCAGAATGCAAAATGTGGGGGTTTTTTCTTTGCCTTCTTCAGTCTTATGAATAATATATACTCCTAGATATTGACCATTTCATTTAGAAAAATAAATACCTGTTAGGGAAAACAAAAATGAAGGCCCTGGGATTTCTGGCTTGAGTATTTGGAACCCATAAGTTGATGGGAGTTGTATTTATTTTAAGAAAGTGCTGCGTGAGGTCAATCAAGTTCAAACACAGCAGTGTGTGCTGACTTTGCACGCATGGTGGCATGGGGGCTCTACTGTGGTGGAAAACAGGGAGGGAGGAAAGTATTCCCAAAGTTCTCATTGGCTGGAAACCCAGCAGCATCTGATGGCATTATGAGCAGCTTGCAATTTAGCCTCAGCAGCAGGAAAATCTGCAGTTGATCAGCTCTGCCGTAACTAGCAAACGTCACCATGGTAAACGTGGATTTCAATGGAAGGTTTTGCAGTGCCTAGTGATAATTCTGCCAGTTCTCTTCCCCTCCCTCCTCCATCTATAAAGAAAAAGTGCAACATATGGTATTTGCATGTTATCACAAAATATGAGATACTGGGTGAAATAAATTATGTGTGAAGGGGGTTTAGCCCATAATTTTCCAGTAATTTCAAAAACATGAAAATGGCTTTTGAAGTAGAAGAGAAGGCTTTTCTCCTTGGGGAGAACTTCAAAACACATCACATGTTATATAAACACAAATGCATTTACCTTGCCTGGGCCTCCCTTTTTTCTCATTGGAATCCTGGCTAATTGTCAATGATGTCCGTGTTCTAACAAGAAGTTTCTTTTTCAGACATGAATTATTTCAGTTCAGTCTCTCTAATAGTGAAGTTCTTCTGTGAGTAAGTAGGTTTGTGGGAGAGGGCAAGTTGGGGAGGGCTGGGAAGGGAAGGAAGTTGCTGCATATGAATCATGGTCTTTCTATGAAAGAAGATCCAAAGTTGGTTCATGATCTGTCACTCCTCTCAAGTTCTCATCAATAATGCTAAGTCCTAAAAAAGATATCTTTGTCTTGTCTCCAGAAATCTCCATTTGTTCTGCTTCTCCCATTAACTTTCACAGTCTTCTGCAGATGCCTGGAGATGCAAGGATCAAACTCATAGACCCAGGATAGAAGGCGTGGTGAAACTCTTAGAAAACACTCATGTCTAGCTCCTACTGGCCCCCTGACCATTGATACATTTTGGAAAATATGTCCAGGAAGTGTCTATACTAACCTGGGCAGGCAGTCACTTTTTTTTCATATTAACAATATGAGAACAATATTAACAATAGAGAACAAGAAGCTAGTATTTGTAGGATATTCTTGTGATGGCAGCTGTTGGATTTAGTGGATATAAGTGTTTCATTCACCGACATCCTTTATTTAAAATAAGTTCTCATGACTGTGCACAATAGTTAGCTAACAAGTATTTGCTGTGTCTGCTCTACTGTAAACTCCAGGGGACTGATGAATTCCCCTGAGCACCTAGCATACAGTTGGTGTTCAATAACTACTGGTTGAACAAATAATGAATTGAAATGGAATTAGACTTTTCCATCTTGTCTGGACAGGTGAGAATGCAGTGAGGATTTCTGAATCCCATTTCAGAGTTGAGTTAGGACCTGGGAACACTGAGTCCAGTTGCACAGAATTAAAATGCTCATCAAATTGTGGGAAAAGGTTGGTGGAATCCAACTTAAACCTTCCCTGAATTCCTCAGCCTTCCTTCTCAGTCAGTGCTCCCGGCCAACCAGAAATTCCAATGAGATTATTTGCCCTTTAATGACAGACATCTTCCCTGAGGCAGTGGGCTGTGGGGGAACTGTGTGGAATAGGAGGAAGAAGGTGATTATCAAGAAAAGTCCCCCATAGGAATCACCCCTTGAGAGCTTAGAAAGCACTTTCACAGAGAGTTAATTTGCATAACACTCGTGTGACAAACATCATCGTCTTCATTTTACAGGTGAGAAAACTGAGAAATAAAATGTCTTGCTTAAGATCATGATGCCAAGAAATGATAGACCCTAGATTGATACTCAAGTTCTGAAACCAAGAATAAGTTCTTTTATAAGTAGTATTTTAAGTGAAAATGTAGTATATATGCTTGTTTTTTTAAAAATCAATTAGTGAAAATGTCTTTGTCTCAATCAGACCTCTAATTTCCTTCCCCAGGTAATTACTGTCTACAGATTCTCTAATACTCTTAAAGAAATATAAGCTTAGCTACATATAAACATACATACACACACACACACACACACACACACACACACACACACACAATGATTAGGGGCATAATACCATGTTCTTCTAAGCAAAGCTTTCTTCACATAACCTGTAGCTTGATGAACATTTATGTAAACATTTCCATCGCAAATGGAGCTATGCCATTGTCCTAATGTTGCAATATAATGGATTTTACCATTTCCTCATTGGTAGGTGTTTAAGTTGTTTCTAGGGATCTGTCATTATAAAGAATGCTGAAATGAATATCCATGTACATGACACTATTTTCTTACAAGAGTCCTAATAACTGATTAGGGCTCTTGTAAGAGCCACTAAATCCAATGGCTACAGTCACAAGAATACCCTGTGAATGCCAGCTTCTAGTTCTCCATTGGTGTGTTTTGTTTTGTTTTGTTTTGTTTTGTTTTGTTTTGTTTTGTTTTGTTTGAGACAGGGTCTCAGTCTGTTGCCCAGGCTGGAGTACAGTCATGTGATCTCTGCTCACTGCAACCTCCACCTCCTGGGCTCAAGCGATTCTCCCAGCTCAGCCTCCCCAGTAGCTGGGACTACAGGTGCTACCACCATGCCTAGCTAATTTTTGTATTTTTTGGTAGAGACAGGTTTTCACCATGTAGCCAGGCTAGTCTCCAACTCCTGATCTCAGATGATTCTTCTGCCTCAGCCTCCCAAAGTGCTGGGATTACAGGTGTGAGCCACCATTCCCGGTCTCCATTGTAATATAAGAACAAAGTTCTTGCCTGCCCAGGTTAGTATATACACATTCTGGACATATTTTCCAAAATACGCCATGTTCCACTGGTGCCTTAAATGAAGCATGGGGCTGAAGTGGCAGGTCCAGTTCCAAGACTGCCACACACTAGCTGTGTGACTTTTCCAGATGTAATATCAGAAAATAGAGGAAGAGCTTAAGAGGCAGAGCTGCGCTGAATGGGGAAAAGAGATCCAATATACCATCAGGACAACTATGTTCTGCTCCTAAGTGTACCAATAACAAGCTCTGTGATACCAGATTTAAGACAGCCTCTTAAAGTCTAGGTGACCTCTAAGACCCCTACCTCTTCCAAAACATTCTACAGGGGAAATCACAAGTCCTAAGCTACACTGGGAAGGGTAACGTTTGGCTCTAGTGCCCTGCCTTGTCAGAACTCACGTCCCATAGAGATACACAGATTTGCTGGTGGTGCTTTAGGTGTAATTAACACTGTAATTGATGCTGTGGTCTCCTCCTCATTATTCATGCCCTGCTTCCCAGGATATCCACATTCTCCTTTGTAACCCCTGTGTTTTGAGAGAAGCTGACATCAAGTTAGAGCTGGTGACTAAGGCTTAAACTTATCAATTTTATTCCTACTTCTAGTTATAGCTTTGGGGCCTGGGATGAATATATAGGCTAAATATATAGGCCAAGTTGGATCAAAGAGACACAGGGAGCTTCTAGGAAAGGAGAGTTCTTAACGTTTTCGAGAGGCTCCTGGAGGGGGAAACATGTAGACCCAGGAAGTGTTCACGGCCACCTCCCAACCGCAAAGAGAAGCCAGCCTTAGGATAAAGCTAACAGCAGAAGTAAAGTGGGGAGAGAAAGATGGTGAGTGGGCCTTGATGATATTACCTTACCACACCACTGAAGCAAACCAACCTGGAGGCCTGACTAACTCTGCTTACCACTTATGTGAGCCAATGAGTCTCTGTATGGTTTCAGCCTTTATAGTAAAGTTTGAATCAGATTTTCCTGTTACAGGCAATTCAAGACATATTAAGAGGCACAGAATTAGCTATCGATATAGTATTTATGTGAATATACAGTTTATTGATGTTTATTGAGTACAGGCTGGGTACTGTGCTATGTACTTTATAAACATGACTACTTTTAATCATTATCATAACCCAGAAAAAAAGATACCACCATACACATCTGGCAGATGAGAAAACAGCTTCAGAAATTTTAGCAACTATTCAGGCTGTGCAGCTAATCAGCAGGGGAGGTAGAATTGCATGGTTCCAAAAAACTTGCTTAAAACCATCTACATCCTTCAGTCATGACTGGTAAATACGTTTTCATGATATACTTTCCCCAAGAGCACATTTGGTTTTACCAGAAATCTTTGAAATCTTCACCCAAAGGAAACATAAGTGGAGAACGGTCCAGGTACCAGTTAGATAGTCCAGGTACCAGATACACTGGAAGACGAGTAGATGTGATTTTCAAACAGTACTACTTAGGAGATAATATTTACCACTGGTAAGTTTGTAAGGATATCAAATTCAACGTTTTATTAACTGAAAATTGATAAGTTCATTCAAAGTCTGATAGAAGTTTAAAAATAGCTGATCTAAAAAGATAAGCAATAATAAGTAAGAGAACGACATTGCCATTAACAAAACGTCAAAAGTAATTAACCCTTCACTGGGCATGAATGCGCCGGATTGTTTATAAACAAACAAACATAAATACACACACACACACACACACACACACACACATACACACACTCAGCAACCTTTTTTCCTTCTTACCTGTTAATTCATAGACAAATATCAGATTAGCTATTGCTGTCCATTCCTTTGTTTTCATTTTTTCACAGCTTAAATATTTTTAGGGAAGGCCTTTCATATAGCATTGTTCTCATTATTGTGTTTTGTTTGTGTAAACTGAAGGAAAGAAGAAAGGAATGAATTAATCAGCAAAAAGAGGGAGAAGGGGGAAAGGAAAGAGCAAGGAAGAAGAAAAATCTAGCTAAAAATTAATAATCAATTGTTTAAACATACTTTCAGAATAAAAATTAAAAGCTGCAACTACATTTATTAATTTTCTTTTCTGCCATAATTTATACTACAGCGTTTTATTATGTTGATTACTAGGAAGAAATAAAAGGACCTCACCAATAATTAATTAATTGTGCAATTAAAATCACACACCTGAATCTTCCACAAATGTTTAAATAAATCATTTTTAAGAGAATTAGTATATAGTTGCTTTCCCAGATGTTCCAAAGGCAAACAAATGTGTTAATCAGCATACTTTAGGACTTGAACTATACTTCGTTCTCCTCCTTATAATTTTGCCTTTTATTTCCAACTCTAAATTCCTCAGGTAAAAAAGGTCAAAACCTGGCTTGGTACCAATGATTAATGTTAGGAGAAAGTAAATACATATTTTGTGAATCAGTAATTAAATTTAAACTGCAAATAGGCCATGTATTATTTGCATGAATTGAGAGTCTATCAAAGTAAAAATTAGAAGAAAATCGACCTGCTGAAATAACAATGAACACATTTTGAAATCTCTAGGAACAGCTTTTGACATGTACTATCTCAAGTAATCCTCACAGTGCCTCTGTGGGGAAAGTCCTGTTTGTCATTCCCATTTGCAACTAAGGAAACTGAGACCGAGCAATCGCTTAAATTTTCACAGCTAGGGAGTTGCAGAAGGAGGTAATACTGGAATCTGAAAACTCTGAATCCCATGTATGCTCTTTTCACAACACAACTCTTTTCTCCCAGGAAGTGAGGATTTTGATGTTGGAAAAGAGTTTAAGAAAGAGATGTCAAGGAAGGCAAACAGGGAATGTTCTTATAACGTAGAAAGAGTCTGTAAGAGATTACTCGATGAGTTATGGAAACCCAGTGAGCATGTGTTTGGAGTAACATGGGAAGGATGAAAAGCTGTGAAGCTGTGAAATAAAATTTATTTTCTGGTGAAACAAACTGAAACTGAGCCATATTAGCAAGAAGTACTTGACGGCATGACAAAGTGAAGGAAAAACACCAGCAGAATGAGATCTGCTGCCCACAGTGCCGAAGAGCAGCAAAGTGCTGAGGAATCATAAGTAAGCCACGGATAGGAGGACGCCTTGTTAGTTTACAGCAATGCAAAGTGCTATTTCCTTCCAGTATCATTTCATTAAAAAGAACAACAACTGGGTTGTTATCAGAACAGAAGTTGCATAACAATTACAGTAAGTCCTCACTTAACAATATTCATATGTTTTTGGAAACTGCCACATTAAGCAAAACCAATTTTACTATGAGCTAATTGATATAAACAAGAATTAAGTTCCTACGGCCTATGTCTGGTCCCCAAAATATCACCAAACTTCTAAAAAAGTCCAAACCAAAACACTTCTAATGTTAAACAGTGAAATACACGTGAGATATAGATACTTAAAAAAGATTAATAGAAACAAGATAATTACCCAATTTTTTTGGTGAATCAGTGAGTGACAGCAGTCCTAGTGATGGTGGATTGAACCAAGCAGTAAATGTTTGCAAAGGAAAAATTGTAAGGAGTACCTACCACCACCATGCAGTTTACAAACAAACAAGAACAAATCTGGCAGGCTTACTGAGCGCGTTCAGAATGCATTGTTTACTGTGGTGCATTTGCATTATTGTTGTAGAAGTTTTGAACTGTTATTTTACAATAATGTGTATTCATTCAATCATTCTTCATTCACTTATTTTCCAACCCTCTCATTTCAGTTCAGCATCGCCAGTGGCTGGAGCCTATCCCAGCAGCTCAGGAGGCAGGGCAGAAATCGGTCCTGGAAAAGCCGCCATCCCATCTCAAAGTGCACTCACACACACACACATCTCCACACTCCCTTACACTGGGACCATGTAGACACGCCCATTCACCTGACATGCACATCTCTGAGATGTGGGAGGAAGCTGAGTACACCCAGAGAAAACCCATGTAGACATAGAGAAAACATGCAAACTTGACAAGAACTGTGGCTCCAGCCAGGAAGTGTTTTTTTCATCAACGTTATAACAAAAGGACATTTAATAAAGTGTCACTCTTCAAGGAGCTGATGTATAGGCATACCTCTGAGATATTTTAGGTTGAGTTCCAGACCACTGCAATAAAGCAAATATGACAATAAAGGAAGTTTGCCACATTGAATGATTCTTCCTTTCAGGAAAGATGTCTCTAGCATGCAAAGCTGTTTAGTAGCATTTTACCCACAGCAGAACTTCTTTCAAAATTGGAGTCAATCCTTTGAAACCCTGCAACTGCTTTATCAACTAAGTTTATGTGATATTGTAAATCCTTTGTTACCATTTCAACAATATTCGCAGAATTTTCACCAGGAATAGATTCTATCTCAAGGAAGCAATTTCTCATCCACTCAAGTTTCATCAGGAGATTGCAGGAATTCAATCACATCTTCAGGCTCCAATTCTAATTCTAGCACACTTGCTATTTCCACCACATCTGCAGTTACTTCCTCCACTGAAGTCTTGAATTCCTCAAAGTCATTCATGAAGCTTGAAATCAACTTCTTCCAAATTCCTGTTAATATTGATATTTTGACCTCTACCTATGAATCACAAATGTTCTTTACGGCATTTAGAATGGTAAGTCATTTCCAGTAGATTTTTAGTTTACTTTGCCCAGATCCATCAGAGGAATCACTATCTAAGGCAGCGATAGCTTTATGAAATGTATTTCTTAAATAAAAAGACTTGAAAGTTAAAATTACTCCTTGATCCATGGGCTACAGAATAGATGTTGTGGTAACAGGCATGAAAACAACATTAATCTCCTTGTACATCCCCATCAGAGCTCTTGGATGACCAGCAGATGTGCTGTAATATAGACTTTGTGGTTCCATTTATAGAGAACAGGCAGAGTAGATTTAGCATAATTCTGAAGGGCGATAGGATTTTCAAAATGGTAAATGAGAATTGGCTTCAACTGAAAGTCTCCATCTGCATTATCCCCTAACAAGAGAGTCAGCCTGTCCTTTGAAGCTAGGCATTGGCTTCTCTCTAGCTAAGAAAGTCCTAGATGGCATCTTCCAATAGAAGGCTCTTCTGTCTACATTGAAAAGCTGTTGTTTAGTGTAACCACCGTCATCAATGATCTTAGCTAGATCTCCTGGATAACCTGTTGCCACTTCTATATCAGCACTTGCTGCTTCACCTTGCACTTTTATGTTATGAAGATGGTGTCTTTCCTTAAGCCTCATCAACCAACCTCTGCCAGCTTTGAAATTTTCTTCCGCAGTGTCCTCACCTCTCTCAGCCTTCACAGAATTGAAGAGAGTTAGAGCCTTGCTCTGGAATAGGCTTTGGCTTAAGGGAGTGTCGTGGTTGGTTTGATCTTCTATCCAAATCATTCAAACTTTCTCCATATCAACAATAAGGCTGTTTTGCTTTCTTATGATTCATGTGTTCATTGGAGTAGAACTTTTAATTTCCTGCAAGAACATTTCCTTTACATTCACAACTTGACTATTTGGCACAAGAGGCCTAGCCTTCAGCCTATCTTGACTTTCAACTTCCCTCCTCACTTAATCATTTGTAGCTTTTGATTTAAAGTGAGAGACATGTGACTCTTTCACTTGAACACTTAGAGATCATTGAAGGGTTATTAATTGGCCTAAATTCAGTATTGTTGTGTCTCAGGGAATAGGGAGGCCCAAGGAGAAGAAGAGAGATGAGGGACTTGCTAGTCAGTGGAGCAGTCAGAACAAAAGCAGCATTTATCAGTTAAGTCTGTCATCTTATATGGGTACAGTTTGTGATGTCCTAAAACAAGTATAACAGTAACATTAAAAATTGCTGATGACAGACAACCATAACAGATATAATTGTAATGAAAAAGTTGGAAATACTGTGAGAATTACCAAAATGTGACGTAGTGACATGAAGTGAGCACATGTTGTTGAAAAAATGGTACTGATAGACTTGTTCAAAGCAGGGTTACACAAATATACAATTTCTCAAAAGCTCAATATCTGTGAAGTACAATAAAGCAAAGCACGATAAAATGAGGTATGCCTGGACTGGGAATGGGAAAACAATCTATGTAAGAGCCCAGTGGCCTCAACTCTGTCAATTTACTTTTTTAATTAGACACACATGCCCACGCCAAGAATACTTCAAGGAAAACACACACACACAAACACAGAGACACACACACTCAACAAAACCAAATAAATCAGGATGCTAACTAGACTTTCCTATATCACAGTTGCAACACAGAAGAGGAGGGTTAATGTACTAAGAATTCAGCCTCAGAGGCTCAAGGAGACTTTCTTTTCAAGAAGCCATGGATGCAAAAGCTAAGTCCAAATTTGCTTACATAATGAGAAAACATTCAGAGGTGTGAACCTCACTGTCTTGTCTTTCAAAATAACTAAGAAATGAGTGGGAAATCCCATAATAAGATCTAGAGAGAAAAAAAAAGTCACATGTGAGTTGGGCATGGTGGCATGCACCTGTAGTCTCAGTTACTCTGGAAGCTCAGGTGATAGGATGGTCCAAGCCCAGGAGTTCAAGTCCTGCCTAGACAACATAGCAAGACCCCATCTCTAAAAACAAAACACATTTGAAGGAAGAGTTCTTCCTTTCAAATATTTCTAAATTCTCTCACAGGTATTTCTTTTATCCACATTACTCACCTCCCTGCAAAGAAAAAAATTATCCATGATCACAGGTACAATTATCATTTTTAAAATGTGGAAATCAAGGCATCTGGTGATCTGACCAAAGTCATGTAGAAATTAATAGGCAAAGAAAGTATTGGAGAAGCTGACTGCATGGCTTCTGATGTATCTTCCTGAGACTATAGTCACTACCATATTCAGCCTGTCATCAGGAGGAATTAAGGCCCAGAGAGAAATGGGTCCCACTTGCAGAAGTGGAAATTCCAAGTGTTCCCCTCCGCAAACAAGTAGTAACATTGAACAGAACAGGAAGAAATGGTTCATGCAGCCCTGGCATTTAATTTTCATTTTCAATGCATCTGTCAATTTTCTGTGGTAGGGTGATTCAGAGGTCCTGAACTTGATTTATGAAAACTTTTAATTGAACTACCCATTTGCGAACATCTGTGAATGTCATTGCCTAGTGGCAACCACTATCAGCAAAAATATTCTATAAAGGACCCTCTCACCCTTCTCCTCTGAGGGCATCCAGTTTGCAGGGAATGCAGCTGGGTTTAGAGGCAACAATGTCCACATGCTCCTGTGTTTGGCAAAGTTATCAGTAGGCAAACTATGACTACCAGTTCATAATGTCACAAAATCAATCTATTTTTTATGCTCAGAAATCACTAATATATTTAGGAGTGGGGAGAGCAGGCAGACTTTCATGGAAGAGTTATAAATACATATTTAGCTTTCTGTAGATGTCTATTAGGTCCACTTGGTGCAGAGCTGAGTTCAATTCCTGGGTATCCTTGTTGACTTTCTGTCTCATTGATCTGTCTAATGTTGACAGTGGGGTGTTAAAGTCTCCCATTATTAATGTGTGGGAGTCTAAGTCTCTTTGTAGGTCATTCAGGACTTGCTTTATGAATCTGGGTGCTCCTGTATTGGGTGCATATATATTTAGGATAGTTAGCTCTTCTTGTTGAATTGATCCCTTTACCATTATGTAATGGCCTTCTTTGTCTCTTTTGATCTTTGTTGGTTTAAAGTCTGTTTTATCAGAGACTAGGATTGCAACCCCTTATACAAAAATCAATTCAAGATGGATTAAAGATTTAAATGTTAGACCTAAAACCATAAAAACCCTAGAAGAAAACCTAGGCATTACCATTCAGGACATAGGCATGGGCAAGGACTTCATGTCCAAAACACCAAAAGCAATGGCAACAAAAGCCAAAATTGACAAATGGCATCTAATTAAACTAAAGAGCTTCTGCATAGCAAAAGAAACTACCATCAGAGTGAACAGGCAACCTACAAAATGGGAGAAAATTTTTGCAACCTACTCATCTGACAAAGGGCTAATATCCAGAATCTACAAAGAACTCAAACAAATTTACAAGAAAAAAACAAACAACCCCATCAAAAAGTGGGCGAAGGACATGAACAGACACTTCTCAAAAGAAGACATTTATGCAGACAAAAAACACATGAAAAAATGCTCACCATCACTGGCCATCAGAGAAATGCAAATCAAAACCACAATGAGATACCATCTCACACCAGTTAGAATGGCAATCATTAAAAAGTCAGGAAACAACAGGTGCTGGAGAGGATGTGGAGAAATAGGAACACTTTTACACTGTTGGTGGGATTGTAAACTAGTTCAACCATTGTGGAAGTCAGTGTGGCCATTCCTCAGGGATCTAGAACTAGAAATACCATTTGACCCAGCCACCCCATTACTGGGTATATACCCAAATGACTATAAATCATGCTGCTATAAAGACAGATGCACACGTATGTTTATTGTGGCATTATTCACAATAGCAAAGACTTGGAACCAACCCAAATGTCCAACAATGATAGACTGGATTAAGAAAATGTGGCACATATACACCATGGAATACTATGCAGCCATAAAAAATGATGAGTTCATGTCCTTTGTAGGGACATGGATGAAATTGGAAATCATCATTCTCAGTAAACTATCGCAAGAACAAAAAACCAAACACCGCATATTCTCACTCATAGGTGGGAATTGAACAATGAGATCACATGGACACAGGAAGGGGAATATCACACTCTGGGGACTGTGGTGGGGTGGGGGGAGGGGGGAGGGATAGCATTGGGAGATATACCTAATGCTAGATGATGAGTTAGTGGGTGCAGCGCACCAGCATGGCACATGTATACATATGTAACTAACCTGCACAATGTGCACATGTACCCTAAAACTTAAAGTATCATAAAAAAAATATATGTATTTAGCTTTCTTTTAAAAGTCATCTTATTAGAAAAGTTCAACAAACACCAACAGAGCAAGATTTGGGAGTCTTTGAAGACACAAGAATAAAGAAACTAAGATAGCTGTAGAGATTTTGTTACTATGTATAGGCATAACGTTGCTGCTGAAGAGAAGGGAAAATATTTACAGTAAAGACAAGGAGGAGGAGAAGATCTAAGGCATTTGGTAGGGATTGATAACAATTATTTGAAAGAGCAAAAAAATCCCTGGAACATTTAAAGAGAATTATAAAAGTCTTTGTCAGAAGGACAAAGGAGAGAAAACACCACAGTTGGAGATGTAGTTGAGAATCTGCAAAGCGATTACCTCTGGCAGAGCAGAGCAGCGTGGTGAGGCACGAGGGCTGCCTCTCTGCCCCTCCTGGTGCCCCAAGGCTTTCATCAGGCCTTAGAGGACTTGGCAGTGTGACTTAACTTTGCACGAAGCTGCACACCTTGTTTAGAGAGAGTCCCAAATGCAGAGCAAATTTGGAAAGGAGAGAGGCAGTTCATTGAGTTGGGAGAATTGAATGCAGACCTCTGAGATAAACCTAAATAACTTGGGCTGACAAGCAGGAGAGAAGGAAATGGACTCTTCCTCCTCCTCAACTAGGTCTGTCTTTGAACAAGGGCTAGCTTCATGCACATGTGTCCTGTGTGGTTCCGAAGGGCCCAGCACTTCCTTTAATGCTCTGCTGTCGCCGTCTTGAAATCCTACATAATTTTTGAGCAGGGGGCCTCACACTTTCATTTTGCATTGGGCTCCCCCACAAATCATATAGCTGGTCCTGCTCTCATGACAGAGGAGCATATGGTGTCTGGGCTCTATGACAACATCCAAAGCTGGGGGTTTCTGACTCATGGCTTAACAGCAGGCACCAAGAAACATAAAGGAAGTCGAGGTTGATAATTTTATTGACAAAGTGAGAAATTCAAAGTGATGGAGTTTTTTTTCTTTTCTGCTTGGTAATAGCTTGACCAAGAATGTATTTTCTATTCTTTAGTAGCATTATATCATTTAAAAAAAGTCATTTGAGTTGAGTGCAGTTTAAGAGACAGGGTTGTAATCACCAGGCCAACAAGAGAAAAAATGCCCCATTGATTCAAACCAATTCAACATGCCTTATTCTCCCTGGGAGGGAAATCTTTGTTAGACCCCAAGGTTCTGCTGTGGTGATTGTTTTAGATGGGGCCTCACGGGTTCATTGAATTGTAGAAAAAATAGCACTGAACTAGTTGGCTACAGGGCTGGGGTGAATGTTTCATGTTGAAAGAAATATTTGATAAGTTGGTTTGAAGATGCTGAAGGATAGATCTACTCCTAGATTGCTTTAGATTCAGATCCTGTTCAATTCAGATCCCCGCCTTGGCAACTCCAGCAATGTCTTCACAAAAGAACACACTGCTTCTGGAGCACAGAAGGTCCATATAAATATATTATGTTTCAACAAATAAGTAATATAATTAGGAATAATCTTTTCCATATCCCAAATTCAGCACTAAAATTAAACAAGCCCGCACATATTCCAGAGACAATAACCCAAGAGGAGGGGGCAGCTAAGAAACAGATGAAAACAATATAAAGACATGCAAAACTGCTATTAGCTTGGGATAGATAAAAGAATTTCAAAATTATAGCTTTTGGTAATGTTTAAGGAGAGTCTAGTAATCTGGGTGCAATTGTACTTGGAGGCATTTGTTCTTTGTGTAAGAAAATAGATTAAGGAGAAAAAAATAGAGTTGCTAAGCCCACCACCAGAAAACAAATCTTCAGAGGGGAACTCTAGCCCTTTGAAATAATGTATAAAACCTAGCACCACAGGGCTGCCGAGTTAAGACACCAAGCCAAGGCCTGCCTGTCGAGTTTCCGAGCTGAAAGTGAACGAGAAATCATTTCCTTTTGCTTTTATTTTTTTTTTTTTCTGGTAGGAGAGGTCCTTCATGGAAGGATGTGTAATACTGAAGTCTTCTGCATACAATTGGAGGTGAAGAGAAGTGAGGGAGGCCTGTATGGTGAGCACCATCCCTGCCCACCTCCCTGAGATGGCCTGTCATATGGCCCACTCACCACAGATGGCCCAGGGAGCATAGGACCCAAGGTCACATAGCTCAATAGAGGTGGGTCTGGGAATTGAGCTCAGGCCCCAGACCCAGTCCAAGGTTCCCTGACAAGGAGAGGGCAGGAGCACACCAGGGCACCCAGACCCAGCGCAGCAGAGGCAGGACATTCACCTTGTCCTCAGCCTGGACACCCTGAGGTCATACTATGCCAAGACCCAGGCTGGGCCACCTTTGCTCTAGGAAGCCTTAGGGATCCTGAGTGAAGATTTTCCAGGAATGCAGGCCCACAGATTAATGGAGATAGTTCATAGAAAATACCCCTGCCTTTGCTTCATGAGACATTTCATGGGACATTTCCTGGTTATCACTTCTACCCCCAAACACCAGACACACACACAGACACACACACACACACACACGCACACACACACAAAGGCACATATTCACTGTTTCAATGTGACCAGAGCCATCTTCACTGAAGGAATACCACAAATGTGCATATATTTGTGTTTGTGAGGAGCTGAACTGCTATAAACCAGTAGCTCTCAAACTTGAGTATGCATCAGAATACTTTGACTTGTGAAACATCTGATGGGTCCCATTTCCAAAGATTCTGATACCTTCTGCTCAGCCTCTTGTTCACTGCCCTGCAAGACGAGCTGGACAGGGGAATGGTGTCAGGGCTTCAAAAAGATCCCCCCTCCCTCACAGAGTGCCAAGTTAAGCAGCTGATCATGGCATGATGGCTTCATCAACCCTGAATGACCAAGAATGTTGATGGGATAATTCAAGGAGTAGAGGGGAGAGCATGAAACTGCAGTTGAAGGAAAGAGGATAAAATTGGCTTGAAATTTCCAGATCAGCTATTTATACAGTCTCAAATATCAGGCTCAAGCCCATGTCCCTTTGCCAGGTAGGAGCAGTAAATTTTTCACTGGGAGAAGAAAAATAACACCAAAATCCTCTTCTTTAGAAATGATAAAGCTGGTGTTCATTAGCATTTAAAGAAGTAGTACTTTTTTTATATTCCCAAACTCTTGTATTATTTTGGATGAATTTAGCAGATTTCTCCTAATTTTATTTCCTGTGAAAATAAGATAATTGATTTCAGAGAACGTTATTTTACAAATTAGGTTATTTTCTTGTTAGTATTTTAATTTCTTGCTTTGTTCTGGTCAAAAATCCTGTGAGCTATGTAGTTTAATTTATAATTAAATAACCAAGTAATACTGGACATTACCAATATGCTGGTTATTTTTTACAAATGAATACTTTAAAAGAAATACATATAGGAACAAAGCAACACAAAAAATAGAGAAATATGTGCTCATTTAAAGTTGAAATTTGGTTCCTAATGAGCCATTATTAAACTCTTAATTCAATTCCATAATTGCCTACTTGTGTGCTATGCACTACGGGAAAACCAATAAACTAAGAGATGTGAAAGAAATTCACAAACAATGAAATGTGAAAAAAAAAACCTGTGGCATTAGATTATTTAACAGAAGCATAAAATAGCTTCACTACTCTTAAAAGAGTTCAAAGTGACCCTAACAGCCAGCCATGAGTCAGCCTTCTCATAACATGAGCACTTCTTCTATAGTACGACCAACAAAGTTATCACACTCCATTTAAACCATCTCAGATGCTACATAGCTTGTCCTGTGGGAACCCCTCAGAAATGTGAAAACAGCTTCCATGATCACCATCTTGACTCCTCAGCTACAGATTCCACATTCCCACATTCCACATTGTATTAATCAGAACTCTTCAGAGAAACAGAACCAATAGGAGATACTCATATATATGTATGTGTATACATCCATCCATATATATATGTGTGTATATGTGTATATATCCATCCATCCATATATATATATATATGTATACCTATGTCTAGAGAGAGACAGAGAGTGAGAGAGAGAGAGACTGGCTTTAAAGAATGGCTCACAGAATTTTGGGGACTGGCAGCTCTGAAATCTGTAGGGCAGGCAGGCAGGCTGGAAATTCAAGAAAGAGTTGATATTGTAGTCTTGAGGAGTATTTCTCCTAGCCCCTGAGACCTTCAACTGATTGGATATGGCCCACACATATCATGGAAGTTCATCTACTTTACTCAAAGTCTACTAATTCGAGTGTTAAACACATCTACAAAACACCTTCACAGCAATTCAATTGATGTTTTACCCCAAATCTGGGTACCACAGCCCAGTCAATTGGACACATAAATTTAACCCTTACAACAGTCTTTCCACCCCTTGGTCCCACTGATGTGACAATTAGCATCCTGGCCATGGCTAAGGATGAGGACTTTATTCCTGGGATTTATGTGTCTCTACGAAGATTTAGAGTCACACTTTTGACCTCTCTCTGATTCCTTCCTGCCCATAAGAAAAGGAATAGCTTGCCTGATTGTTGAATCTGAGGGACATCCCTGGGCATGGCTGGCTAAGTCCTTATAGGTCTACGGCGCCTGCTGCTTTGGACCTGCCTGCAGAGTTCAATTTTCTCCCTGCCTGTGGTGAGTTTAGCAGGCAGGCTTAGGCCCTTACAGGGTGAATCTGCACTTCTGATGGCTACACTTAATGTGGGGCTAGGGGTACAGGAGTAGCCCATCTATTTAACCATAACACAAGTTTCCTCTGAAAAAGCTGACATTTGGATTTCTAGATTTCTATTTGTCTGACTTTTTTTTTTTTTTTTTTTGAGATGGAGTCTTGCTCTGTAGCCCGGGCTGGAGTGCAGTGGCGTGATCTTGGCTCACTGCAAGCTCGGCCTCCCAGGTTCATGCCATTCTCCTGCCTCAGCCTCCTGAGTAGCTGGGACTACAGGCATCCACCACCACACCTGGCTAATTTTTTTGTATTTTTAGTAGAGACGGGGTTTCACCGTGTTAGCCAGGATGGTCTCAATCTCCTGACCTCCTGATCTGCCCACCTCGGCCTCCCAAAGTGCTGGAATTACAGGCGTGAGCCACCGCACCCGGCCTTGTCTGACTTCTTCATGTATCCGTAAGTTGGTTCAGAAATCTGAGTAAAAGAACAAGATGTGATTAATGGTCATTCCTAAATTCACAACAGCTTCCCCCTACAGAATGCACTCTAGTTTGTCTGTAACCATCTTAAAATGGGCACTCAAAATAGAACCAATCTTTCCCCATGATCTGACAATGCAGAATGAAGTGAGACCGTCCCTCCTGCAATCCATGGCTTTTGGACTCACTCAGTCAGACCCACATTTTCCAACCCTGTAAGCTTCGGCATGTGGGTTACAATACTTCAGCCTCAGCCTCCTCATCCACAAACAGGGCTAATATTACCAATGACCTACTTCATAGAGATGTGATGAGGGCTAAATCCTATGAGTTTATGCCTTTAAAGCACTTATTGAAAATGCTCAGTAGGTACTGGGTGCTCAATATGCCGTTAATAATAATAAAAGTTTAGAGAGCTTCTATTACACTCTTAGCTCATTTTGAGCACTTTCAAACAAGTTCTTCTCCAACAATTTGTATTAATTTAATGAACTTTTTAATCCCTAAAATCAGAACTGTTCACTTCATCTGTTTCAAAGCTAACTCATTTGAATATGTTACCTACTGAAAACTCCTCCCCAGGTTCAGGAGCCCCTACATCTTACCTTATATTCTTTCTAATTCTTATAAACCATCATGCATTTATCGTCTGATCTAGTTCTCCCTTCTCTAAATTCTTTGGGAACAGTTTTCCTCTAGCTATAAATCTGCCTAAAATCATAATGTCCTCTAGGTTTATGGTGTCTCTAATTATCATATGGGAGAACTTATCAAATTTAGGCTTCATTCTTTTATTTATTCAATAAACATTTATTGACCTTCTTACCATCTGCCAGGCTCTGGGCTGCATGCAAGAGTTGCCAAAACAAAAGTTTCAGTCCCTGTCCTCAGAAGCTTCCAGACCAATGAACAACATGAACACCAAAAGGCAGGTACAACACAGTGTAGCTAATGCTGTGAGCACTGGATGGGTACAGAGGGCGTCATCCAGCTCAGCCTAGAGTTCAGGACAGACTTCTCAGAGGACAAGACACCTGAGTTTAATGTATAGGAAGGGGAGGATTTAGCCTAGCAAAAAATCAAAGAAATATCTCAACAACAGAAAAAATAATCCAGCCAAAGGCAAGGCATGAGGAAGAGAAAAGACAGCAAATGAAGGAAAGTGTCACACTTATTAGGGTCAAAGCCAAGATACTTGTGGGAAAGTAGACCCCAGAGGTCCAGTACAAAGGGCTGTGAATGACATGTAGATACTGATATGTTACCCCATACTCAAGGAAAAGCAACTGGAGGATTTCTCGAGGGGAAGCGACATGATCCAAATGGCATTTAGCAATGTTACCATCACCTTGGGTGGGAGGAGAAAAATGTCCCTTTGAAAGAGCCTTCCCAGTTCCATAGCTGAAGGCAAATAGATTTAGAAAAAGTCCGTGGCAAGAGATATCCTTGCTTGACTGCTGGATTTTAAAGATGTTTCTATAGGTAGGAAGAATTACAAGGCTTTTCCAGTAAACTGAGTCATAGACCTAAGAGTTGGGTCCTGGACCACTTGGTCCACTGCCTCCTGGGCCAAGTTCTTGCTTTGATGTAGGCAGGGATGTACAGCTCACATAGGATAGCCAGGGTAACTGAGGCTTGGGAACTGAAATAACCATCCATGTAATAGAGCCTGCAATAATAGGTAGAGCATCAGGGTGCAGCTTCTGCTGTCCAGAGACCTCTGTCCACTGCACAGCTTCACCATGGAGGAGATGGCCAAGTGAAGAGCCAGTGAAATGGACAACTGGTTTCTCACTTCGGATCTCCCAGGAAAGAACCAGTATATACAGCTTTCTTATGCACAGTCATGTCAATAATGATACTCACATAAAAAAATTTCTCTCTTATTCTCCATTTTTAAATAGTAGCAAAATGAGGTATTCAATCACCTGCATTCCAGGACACAAATATATAAAGAAATGTATTTTAGGAGCAGAGAAAGGCTGGTCACAGTGGCTCAGGCCTGTAATCTTAGCACTTTGGAAGGCTGAGGTGGGAGGATTGCTTGAGCCTAGGAGTTTAGCCAGGGCAACATAAGGAGACACCCATCTCTAAGAAAAATTTAAAAAATTAGCCAGGCATGATGGGACCTGTGGTCTCAGCTACTTGGGAGGCTGACATGAGAGGATTGCTTGAGCCAGCGAGGTTGATAACTGCTACAGTGAGGTGTGATTTTGCCACTGCACTCCAACTTGAGTGACAGAGTGAGAACCTGTCTTAAAAAATAAAAATAAGAACACAAAAGGATTTTAAGAAATTGCTCTTATTTTCCTACAGATTTCTAATGTGGATCACATGCTGTGGCTGATTCTAGAATGTCAAAAAACACAAAGACACCTTTCTGGCCCCAGCATATTGTAGCATTCTACCTTATAAGAGGCTAGTTAAAAGAAATCAGACTTACCAACAGAAGAACAAGAGAAGCAGTCTTGTATAGAAGGATAAGAATGAGTATAAAATGAACTATAAAGCTATAAAGAGTAACAAATGCATTCTCTTGTAAAGAAAAAAAGATGAAATGATCTAGAACGATAGGCAAGTGTTTTGCTTCATTGTTTAATCGTAATTATAGCTATTTATATAGCACTTATTATTTGTCCATCATTATTCTCAGAACTTAACACATATTACCTTGTGGGATCCTCACAGCAATCCTATGAGATGGATACTGTTATTGTCCCTAGTTTATAGGAGAGGAAACCGAGGCACAAGGAGGTGAGTAATTCACCCATGATCAGAAATTAAAATTCAGAATCTAAACTAGGGGATTTGGCTTGTAACTGACACTAGGAAGAACTGCGTTTAGCTGTAATTTGTTCTGGTTGATTTTATTAACACCAGATTCAAAAAGGATTTTAAACTATTTGTTTTGAGTTGGAAACACATGCTTTGTCCTCAATTCACAACTTGGAGAATTTTATTTTTAATTTCTTGGTTCTGCTTCCTCATGGCTCCTATTATCTTCAAACCATGATTGGAAAAATAATACGAAAAAATAATTATGAACACTGGCTTATAGATAAAAAACTGCTTAACTTAAGCAAAATCAGATCAAATTAAGGCTGAAATCTCTTTCTTGTAAAAATTTTACTTTTTTATATATGCAAGAATTTGTGTCTGTTCTTGCTGAATTCCAGGCCTTAGAAATAGACATATTTATTTAGTTTGGCCTAGGTCTAGTGTGTGTTGCTTGATCTATTCTTCCTAGCTTATTGTATCTCTTAATCTTCTACACATGCAACCAGAGACCTCAGTGATGAGGGCATTGGAAAAATCTAAACAATAAATACTGGTAAGAGATTCTCTATAAATGCAATGATTAATCAAATAACGCTTGGAATAATGATGTTGGAATGATTAGATCTTTGCAGAGTCACCAAATTATAAATTCCAGTGCTTGCCATAACTGGTAATGTTTTCCTATTGCTTGAAATACCTGAGATCAGTATTTTGTACATGATAAAACAAAATAGCTCACTGCTTTGAGAAGCAAATATGATTCAGTGTTCGAGGTTTCAAATAAAGCCAAAAGCCATGATATTTTCCTGCTAAACCCAAAGCTCCTTCTTCTGCTTTGCCCTTTTGGAGTTCAGAAACCCAGGTGTGATCTCTTTCCTTGGCACTGACTGAGCACCCTCACAGAAACCTTCCCAGAACTT
The DNA here is from genome assembly GCF_000001405.40 of Homo sapiens. Taxonomy (NCBI): domain Eukaryota; kingdom Metazoa; phylum Chordata; class Mammalia; order Primates; family Hominidae; genus Homo; species Homo sapiens. The sequence goes on along the minus strand of NC_000002.12, from coordinate 66,709,746 downwards.
CCACTTGGCACTGGCCCTGGAGCACTCAGGTGGCACCTGGTACCTGGCCTTGGTTCCACCTACCTTTGATGGCACCTGGGACCAAGAACAGAAGGACACTGACACTTCAAATTGCCAATAGTCTCAACTGGCATAGAGCTTTACTTTCACTTATTTTTCTACTCATGGATTTCCTCTTTTCCGTGTAATTGTCCAACCAAGTTACTCATTCAACATGTTTTTATTAAGCACCTACTAAACTCTAAGGTGAGGAAAAGATGATAAGCCAGAAAGGCATAGCCTCTGTCCTCAGGGAACTGACAGTCTAGAAGGAAATATTCAGTAATAACAAAGCATGCAAGCTAAAAGTACAGGGTGTAATGGAAATGCAGAAAGGAAATATAAATATCAGAAGAAATACACCAACATGTTGAAGCAGTTCCTGCGTGATGGAACTTTGCTTAATTCTTCCAAATTAAATACTCTATTTTAAGGTCTTTTCCAAGCTTAATTTAATGGGCAAAAATATGGTTATAAAGAGCATTTTTAAAACAAAAAAAGAACACTTTCAGTCTATTCAAACACTAAGTTTTGAGAATTTTTCTTTTTAAACTAATATCAAAAATTTCTATACTTATTATGCCATGAAGTGTCACTGTGCAGGCAATGACTCCAGCTCCTATTCAACTTAAATTCCTTCTTCAATTATGCCAGCATTGGCTGCCTTAGATAAAAATCCTTTCTGATATAAAAAGGTATTAGGCAACCCTTGCCTCCACAATGCCTCCGTGAAATCGCATTTATCTTATTCTTCTCAACTTCATGAGCAGAAACTGAAGAATATAAACTTTAGTCACATTTAAATTTAGAGTATTCTGTGAATTTACCCTCTGATTCTCCAATAGCTCTGAAGTCCACAAAACGATGAATAAAAAAGTCATGCCTTCCAATGACATTTCCACCAACAGTGGATTACGTATATGATGGTGGTCCCATAAGAGTATAATAGAGCTGAAAAATTCCTCTCTATGGCCTAGTGACATTGAAGCCATAATAAGATATTATCATAAAATATTTCCTTTTGCATGTTTGGATGTACCAATTCTTATACATTTATGTTTAAATATACAAATTCTTACCATTGTGTTCCAATTGCCTACAGTATTCAGAATAGTAACATACTGTATGGGTTTGTAGCCTAGAAGCAAAAGGCTAGACCACCACAGCCTAGGTGTGTAGTAGGCTATACTATAATATTTAGGTTGGTGTAAATACATGCTATAATGTTTACACAACCACGAAATCATCTAAGGATACACTTCTTAGAATATATCTTCACTTCTGTAAGAGAAATCAAAAGGACCAGCAATTATAACAAGATAGAGGACTATGATTAGATCCAAAGATCAAGATAATTTGAAAGGAAGCCAACTCGAAATAGCAACCGGAACCTTTCCAGATGCTCATTGTTGATATATATTTGATAGGGATTTTCTGCCCAATCTGAAGGCAAAGTTTGCTGTCCGCATTTCTTTGTATTACTAAAAATGAATTAAAAGTAATTTCTTCAATGCTAAATACACTTTTTTCTAACAATAGTAGTCTTAACGTATGTTTATTAGACTTTGAAAGTCCAGAAGTTTAATGAAGAAAACAAATTCCCACATAATCTCACAACTAAGAGATGCCATTTTCACCCTTAAGTCACTGAATAGTTGGTTTTATACTGTTTGTATAGCATATCCCGCTGTTGTCACTTAACATTATGCTTGGAATATGTCACTTAAAAAATATGTATATATTTGTCATGACTTTATAATATTCTCTTTAGTAGATATATGACATATTTAACTTTTCTCTTATTTCTGTATAACTAAATGGCTTCTTTTTTGCTATTATGTTATAATGAATGTTTTTGCATCAAGAATAACTTATAAAGACATCTAAAGGACTCTAATAATGATAAATCAAGATCAACTAAAAAAACGTGAACACGCTTGACATGCGTTGTTACAGGTTATGAATCACAAATTATCCTTGGTCTCCCATCTCTATGGGTTTTTTTTTACATGGCTAACTAACTTAATAGCACCTAGAATTACAGGTGCATCAACTTTTAATGTTATCCATTTTCAAATCTATTTGTTTTAATATCCTGCTTTATTTCACATATTCCTTAAGGGAACTTGGAATTTTTCACCTTTTTAATAGAATATGTATTAGTTATCTTTGCTGCATAAAAAATTACCTCAAAGCTTAGCTCAAGACAACAAATACTTATAATCTCACATTTGTGTGTGGGGGGGGGGGGCGGGGGGGACTCATGACCAGGTGCAGCTTAGCAGGGCAATTCTGGTTCAGGATCTTTCATGAGATTATAGTCAAGCTCTCAAATTGCAGTCATCTCAAGATCCAAGGAGCTAGAAATTGGCTCCTATGCTCAGTCACATGGCTGGTGGCATGCCACAGCTCCTCACTGGCTGTTTGCTGGAGGCCTCTGCTCCTCACCTCATGGGCCTCTCCATAGAATTGCTTCCAACAGGGAAGCTGTGTCCCCCAGAGTGAGAGATGCAAAAGAGACAAGAAGAAAGATGTCCAAAACAGAAGCAACAATACCATCACTCTTCCTGAATTATACTGGTCACACAGACCAGCCTTGGCATAATGTGGGAGGGGACCACACAAGGGTATGAACACCAAGAGAAGTGGATGATTTGGATTTTATGTTGAAACTGTGGAATCTTGGAGACTAACTACCACATATATAATTTTTATGAGGATCTGAAATATGTACCTAATAATCTTCTGCTGAAAACTCCTTCATGTGCTGCCACTTAGAAAAGAGTTTACCATTACCAAGTAAATTTGAATATTCCCACATCTTACAAGTGAGTAACTCCACTCCTAGGTCTAACTTCCTAAAGAAAGTCTTTATATAGACACCGGGGTGTATATATAGAAAGTCTCCTATAGGGGCACATGTACAAGAATGTTCTATATAGCAGGCTTTGTGATAGCAATAAATAAATAACAGTCCAGATGTCCATCAATAGAAAAAATAATAGCAAAGTAAATTGTAGGATGTTGATATCATAAAATACTATTCAGCATGACACTGAATGAACTACAGTGCATGCATCAATCCAGCTGCATCTGCTGAGTGCAAAACACAGAATATAAAATATATATCAATTACATTACTATAATATTCATAAAAGACAAAACCAAATAACATACTGTTTAGTGGTACATTTATAAGAACTAAAATTATAAAGTAAAGCAAGTATACGATGATTCAAAGGCCAGGAGAACAGTAACGCGCTGGAGAGAGAGATGGGAATGTGCCCAGAAAGGCCTGCAGAGACTTCTAAGAAAGTGGCAACCTTTCATTTTATAACCTGGGATGGTGAGTATAGAGGTGCTCACCTTACATTTTTAAGTCTACATAAATAAATGTTTTTACTCTCTTCAATAACTACTTGAAAAAACCACACCATGTGGTAAAAATATTCAATAATATTTGCAACATGAAAATAGTAGTCAACACATTAAGCACTTACTATACGACAGGCACTGTGATAAGCATGTTGAGTGATGGTTTTTCATTTAATTCTCACCACAGGTAAAAGGCAAAAATTACTCTTTTTTTCCTCATTTGCCAGATGAAAAAATTTAATCTTTAATAAATGAAAACACTTGCCCAGGGTGAGACAGCCAGCATGTCATGGAGCTGGGATTCAAACTCAGGCAAGATAGTTCTGGAGCTAACTTTCCTGATGGCTAAGTTTACACTTGGGTTCGTTCCTACACGTAATTCCATGTGTAAAATGATGAAATGAAGCACTGAATCATGGAAGTGTTGGAATTATATCTGAAATAGATAAACTGGTCCTTGCACAGGTGAATGGACATTCTCACAAGCTCTCAAGACTTCTCCATCTCTTTCCACTGTTCCCTGATGATGAAATCCTCCTCACCTTTCTATCAGGATTTCAGGTGCCTCTCTTATAAACACCAACCAAATAAGAAGACACATTTTTAGAGCACCTAGTATAAGCCAGGCTCTCATCTAAGTGCAAGATACATGAACTCTCATCTAAGTGCTAGATGCATTAACTCATTTGATCCTCATAACCACTCACTACACTGAATGTTACTATGGTACCCATTTTACAGATGAGATAGCAGGTCCCAAGAAAACTGTTTCCAGCCATTACACATCTTATAAATGGCAGCACCAGCATTTAAACCCAGACATTCCAGATCCAGAGCTTATGATCTTAACCGCTAATATACTGTCTCCCATAAGATATTACGTTTAGAGTAAGGACAGATAAGAGAAAAGCAGGCTCCTTTCCTAATGGAATGCTGTATGGAATATAGATGTTCTCTATCAAACGAAATGCTTGAAAGGATTTCTGTTCTCAGATTTTCTTATGATGTCAGAAAAAATGTAACGTGTGCTAGGAAAAAAATGTATCATGGTTTTATCTTGGAGACAGTAAGAACACTATAATTGCACTTCAGTTTTTAATTTAATTTTGTTACAAGTTCACTGCCTTTATTATCTTAAGCTAACAGGAGTTAATTCAACTAGTTAACAACATTACAGTCATTTGATTCACATTTGCTCTAAGTCATTTTTAGGAGTGAGGAAAGATATTTTATATATTAATCTAAATTTGGGAGGCTCCCACTACATGTGAGGCCCTAGAACAAAAGATATTAAGTTTAAAAAAACATAGTCCCTCCCCACAGCAGTCCACAGCCTAGTGGTAGACAAATAATTACCATGCATATGATTGTTATCAACATACTAGGTTCTAAAACAGAGGAATGCATTCTAGAAGTGACTGTCTCAATTTATGCTGCCTTTAAAAAAAAAGTGTCTTTTGAACTGAGCCATGCAAGATAAATGTACTTTTGCTACATGGAAATTGAAAGGAAGGGCATTCCTGATAGAGAGAGCACAGCACAGTCAAAAGTCTGGAGAAATAAAAGAACATCATATGTATAATTTTTTGCTGCTAGAGTGGAAATTGCTTAGAGGGTCATGGTGGAAAATGACTCTGGAAAGGGCAGTTGGAGGAAAATAATGAAAGCCTTTTCCTGATTCAATAGTTCGACCTGAGGGCAATAGGGAGTCTTAAAGATTTTTAAGCAGGAAATTATCATGTTTATTATTTATTTTATTCTGTAATCCAGAGGGGCTGGATTATGGAAGGAGGAGCCTCACTGCAGAAACAGCAGCCTGAAGGCTATTTTAATAGTTCTGTCAAACATTACCAACAATCTGAACTAGACAACCTTATAAAATAAATAATATTTTAGACTCCATTTTACAGATGAAAAAAAATCAAGGCGCAGAGGAGTAAAGTAACTTGTCCAGCACTGCACAGCTGGTAAACAGGGAAGTCAGGGTTCAAACCCAGGTGGTCAGACTGTAATGCCTCCTGCACAGGTCACTTCTCTGCCAGGTTGGATAATAATCATGACAGGTGAAAAAAGGTAGGTAGTTAGAGAGCCTTAAGTTCGGACTACAGAATCGAGGGTACTCCCTCCCATTAAACATCACATGGATCACAGAGTAGAGACATGGCAGCTAGAGAATCAGTGAGTTCCGTTTCAGACATGTGGTCCAGAAGGTCTTTGAGAGACAGGCCCAGATGCCAGAGAGCTATTGAAAATGCCAAGGCTAGGCTCAGGAGAGTAGGGGCGGGAGAAAATCAACTGGCCATGGAAGATCACCACTACATAGACACCCTCCCACCCAAGACACTCATCCTGAAGATGCAGAACCTGAGGCTATGGAGAGGCAGCTCAGAAGACAGCCCTCTGCAGCCAAAACCACTTTCAAATTCTGGGCTTCCATGTGTGTTCTGGATTAAGTTTCTTTACTTTTCAAATCGGAGGGTTTTTTTCATTTATAAGATTGAGACTATAGAGTAGTACATCACTTACCACTTGTAAAGACAAAAATTAATATATATCTTAAGTTCCTAGTACATTGCTTACCAAAAGTAAGTGCTTGATAAACGATACATAATGATTATTATCATTATTGTTATCATTTCAGAGATTTGTCAAAAATGAGGCTCTAGTGTAGGTGTAACACACTGGGCTCCCAGCCCAATTACTTTCTTGGCAATTTTTTTCCATAAAATGTTCTTAATTACCTGGAATTATCACTAACTTTTCAACCGAGGAAAAGAAAAAAAGAAGCCCCTTTTGAGGAACATGAATTAGCATTTTTTAAAAATCTATTCTCTATTAGCCAAAAAGAATAACCTAGAGAAATCAGATTACAATTAGATATACATGTATACAATAAAATACAAAACATTGCTCGGAAACAAATCGAGTGACACATTTTCCTGGAGTCTGAAATGACCCAGACGAATCTGTGGTGTGACTCATTGCATCTAAAGAAGAATCAGGCAGTGATTCTGTCAAGTGTGATAGAAAGGACCTTCTCAGCCATGGTCATCTTGCCCAGGATTTTCCATGGTGACATTATCTGTGGTCACAATGGGTACATCCCCCAAGAAGGGTGGTCTTCCAGGAGTCACTGAAAATTTCAAGAAGTGAAAATCCAACAGAAAATATTTGAACCCAGGAATAAAATAGAAGCCTGGAAGACTGAAGGATATGTAAGCATTTATTTGTCACTTTGTCATTCCTCCTTTAGAGGTATTTTTCTTGGGGATTCAATGTGGTCAGTAAGAATACAGTTATACAGTCAAAAACTTTGGGACTGAAAAATTACAGTAGAGAAGACTTTCTAGTAAAATGACTTCAGTTCATATCACTGATATACACACACACACACAGGTCAAAACACAAACACACTTAAGAAAAAAAGACATTGGAAATAAATTAAATTTATTGTTTAACTTGATTGCCTTTAAGATAATACATTTGGTAAGGATGTGAATATAAGCAACGTGGAAAAAATAAAATAAACGAAGAGGAAGCAGTGCCAATCTCATCCATTAGAAATAAGGGGAGATGTTTCAAGGCAAAATTCCTCCTTCTGCACTAAGGATTCTTGGTCTTTTGAGTTCAGTTCTCTGAACAGGGCTGCAGAGCCTCAGACTCCGCTAGTTCTCCCTCCTTTCAAGCCCCTATCTCTGCCCCTGCTTATCTGAATATATAGGCCTGCCCTTTGCTCAGATTTATGGGTCCAGCAAGGGCTGTGTGTATTTACTGTGTTCTGACCTGAAGACCCCAGGCTGAAGGAGAAGAGGAGGAAACTGGGACCCATTCCATAAACAGAGACAGATCTGAGGGGGAGGTAAAAGGCTTTGCTAGCACTTAACATTTTTAACTATTTGGCCAAAGCTTACGAATTACCGATTAGATTAGAGTACAAGAAAAACGAAAGACGTCGGTGGAGATATGGAGAGAGTAAATTGTATATTTTTGCTCTAGGCTAGTTGCTTGGAGGCTCTGGGTTTGGGGGTGGGGGTGTGGTTAAATTTAATATGAAAGGTCAGAAAGAAAATTGATAAGTCAGTTACAGAGGGAGTTATAAAATGCTTTGGGAAGACAAAAATGAGGATATAAACAACATTTAATAAGTTGGAAAATTTCTCCAACCACAAGTTAAGCTCCTTGTGTGAAGCAAGATTCGTTGCATTTTTTAAACTGTAATTGGTTATAGAAGAAAAATCCCCTGCTCTATGTTTAAATGAGAACACATTGCCATAGACGACCAAAAGCCAATAATTAAGGGTTTAAATATTTTTCTTAGAGCCTGGTGACCCACTTGAAAGCATCTGTTTTCAAACAGGGCTGCTTTGTAAATGGGCCACCAGTATGTAAAGCAACTGGTCCATCTGTAAGGTGCATGCACCAGTTCAAATGGGAAATAAAAAGCACTTACATCTTGAGCAGTGCTTAGCACCCCAAAATGAATCCGTCTTCCTCAGGGCCATATGTTTGTGTACCAGCAAAATGTGAAAGCACCACTTTTATTTGGAGCCATTCTCAAATGATCTACTTACTGGAAAAACTTGAGTTCATGTGGGAAAACCCTTACCTACCAACTGACTACATCAGAAATAATCTAGCATCATATGTAAAGTCTACAATATTCAATAGAGAACTCAAAAACAAAGCAACTAGGATAAGACAGTAAGTGAATCCTCCACAAATCAATTTACATTACAATGGAGCAAAAACGTGTAATATACATGGCTGAGGCTGTGATTAGAAAATTTGTGAAATATCATCAAATTGCTTCTTTTTACTCATTTCAATATAAAGCAACTGTGTTCCCATGATGTCATCTGTTAAAGCTATAATGATCTACTACGGTGATGATATTGTGTGACTGGAACATTTTGTTTCAACTAAAATATGTTGTGGATAATAAAGAGTGTTATTACAGTCCATTCTAAGTGGACCTGTGTGACTTAGATTGAATTAATAATTGCATGAGAAAATACATGTGCTTCACATTGTGTGTGGCACTTTAGAAATGTTAACCTGTTTATTTATATTATTATTAAAGTCATTTGTCAGAAAATCAAAAGTAAAATTAATTCTATAACTGAACTTTTAAAAAATGTATAATACAAAAAGCATATAAATGCATTTTCTTTTCCATTTATGTGTGCTATTTTATGCAGAAAATTAAACATAAAATTCTGAGCAGTCAAGTTAAAGAAGGCATTTGATTATTACATCAGTATAAGCTGACTACGGAACAGTGGAAACTTGGGCAAAAAATGATGAATGGGAAAGAGCTATCCTAACAAGGTTGCATTTCTAAAGTAAAATGAAATATGTGACATAGTATTCTAGAAAACTAATATCTTTACTGCTATCTCTTTTGAACTTTTCCTCTAAAATAGTAAAACTTCTGCTTTGTAAATAATGCATGCTCAAAACAGATGCAACTGCATGCAGACTGTTTAGAAGAATTTTTGGAGCTATTACATCGTAGCTAAAATGCTTCCCTGTGTCATTTCTGTTGAGATCCATTTGCCAGTGAAATAATTTTTTTTTTTTTAAATGGTGTGGATCATAGCAGCAATGGGTTCAGATGTAACCGTTTCAGAGCAGAGGTCTAGCTCAGTATGCCAGAAAAAAAAAAAAGAAAAAAGAAAAGAAAAGAAAAGAAAAGAAAACCCACCACAAAGAACATTGAGATGAATGGCTCTATTTTATGAGCCATAAAAGTTTTATCCATCTTGACACTGAAACAGGTTTAGGCAGTGAGTTGACACGCCTTAAATAAATAAGTGGAATTAATTCCCCAGCCCTTGAAACAATAGCAGCATGCATGTAGCACGGAGAAATGCCCCATTGTTTCCCTGTGGCTGCCTGATATTGATATTATTTGTGTTTTTCTGTGCTGCTTCCTCAGGGGCCTGGTTGATCCACTTCAGATTCATCCCCTGTTTTATTAGAGGTTGAAAAAGGTTCAAGACCTGGTTGTACCACAGCTCCCACCGACAGCTAAGGAACCAGTTTGGCGTCTGGTTTGTCTGTTGTTTTACTGCTGACCTTCAAATCAACTTTAACCCCTGACCTCTGGAGGCATCTATCATGACAAGAGGCTGTTTAACACAAATGGTGCCCATTTATAGGGGAAGAGACTCTGAAGATTTCCTTTTTATGAAGAATTTAGTTTTTCACCCCTCTTTTCTCAGTCACCACAGGTGAAATCCCTCTCAGCAGCTGGCTTATGAAATAATGTGAAGGGAGGCCTTAATGAGCAGAACGCACCCTCAGCTGGAGATAAATATATGCAAATGAGATGCACAAACAAAGAAGCCTGGACAGAGAAATATCTGCAATTCCAGCAAAATGCTGCCTGCAGCTCGAAGATGAACAGCTTTGATAAAATGGTAACAAAAAGCACCTTTTTATCCTCCAGCGTGTTTTACATTGCAATAGACCATTGTCATTGCAACCCAGTGGAGCATGCAGAGGTTTTCTGCACTGTTTCAGAAAACTGTTTAAACATTTGTTTTAAGGCATTCATGAAATATAATCAATGAACTGCTTCTTTGTTGTTGTTGTGATTTTTTTTTTTCCCTGAGTGTGTTTTAGATGTTACTGTAGTTATTTTACCTGTTGGTCTTTTCGTGGTTTAATGTTGCTGGCTTGCTGTGCTAGTTCATGTTTTGGTGACTGTTTCTTCCACTAGTGAGAATGATTTTTTTTTTTTTTTTTACATTTCAATGGAAAGAGATTTCAAGTTAATAACTAGTAAGAATCGGCTTTGAGCAGCACCCGAACAACTCGTTTTAATGATGGCAATCAAGTGTGAGAGCTAATTCAGAGACAGGCATGTTAACATGCTGATTTTAATAAGCTTTAAAAAGGCAATCTCTAACTTTTAAAAGTCTCTTTTTAATTTAATTGTTCTTGGTTCATATGATGCCAAAACAAACAAAACCATTAAAATATGTTTTCAATATGTATCCACGGTGTTATCTGATGATGTTCTAAATTAGCATCATGTTGGTAAAATAATGATTTGATAAGCTTTAAAAATGGAAAAGCTGGAATTATTGACCTAGTTAGAGGAAAAAGCAACATTTTTTCCTAAAAATGAACAAAGCCCCAGCCCCAAGATCTCAAACCAGAGAAAGGCTGGGCTCACGACATGTAAATTGCTGCTTTTGAGCATGTGTATTATGTTTAAGTAAATTGTCAAAGCAGCTAAGGTGAGAGAAGAAACACTATGTGCTTCACATGTGTCAAAATACTATCACTCTAAAAGCTCAGCAATATTTGGTTCTTTCATTTATAACGCAACCCTAGCATTCTGCAGCAAGAGATGTACAAGGACCTTTACATTTCCTTTACCTAAATTATTTCATCTTGGTAGCTAGGATTGGAGTGGAGACATTCTTCTGAGTACTGTGTAGCTTTCACATTTTATGTGCATTTCATCAGGCAAATGTCAAATTTGCTAATAACAAGAAAATCTCATCATTTTTAATCATGCCACTCCTGTTGCATGGGGTGGGGTGTGGGGTGGGGGATGGACGCAAGCAGGGGGCGGAGGAGGAAGCGTAAAAGCATTGAGCAGTCTGACCAAAGAGAAGAAGGAGAAAAATGCTGTTTGGATTTTTAAATGACACATGCTTGGTTATCTCAATGCCTGTATCAGTGCATCATTAAATTCAGAATTTCAGGAGTTAATAGAAAGTTGGTTATATTAGGGATGCTTTTTCAAACCCAGCTTCGAAGCAGCATAATTATGTTCAACTGCTGTTGTTTGGAAAGGGCAAACAGCATCTTAGGCACAGAACAATGAAATTACAGCTGAGATTTAGGTTAGCAAAAGCCGTCTTCTCTAGGCTTTTATGATTCATTATTTCCCATTAAATACAGTATTGGAAGTGTACACTAGATAGCTCATGGTTGCTGCTCTCGGAGCACATTATCTATATTACACAGGTCTGGGGAGCAGAATTAGAAAACTTTGGGGGAATGAGCAATATGTGTTTGCTGATAGAAGTACCATATGGCTCATCTTCTTCAATTGCTTTCATTGCGACTCTGATGCTGGAGAAATTAAAGTTTTATTTGATGTGGCACAGCTTAATGAACTGTCTTCTGTTAGGAAAATTGAATATGTTTCCTGTTATTTGAGCACAGAGCCTCCATGGTTTGGCTGATGAGGGATGCATTATGTATTGTTTATTTAGCATTTTGAAAACAAAAGCAAGATATTGAAGGTAAAATTGATTACTGCTGGATTGCATTATATGATCAAGTTTTCTCCCTTTAAATTTCCCTTTACAATCCTTTTGTAATGTTTTAATGTGAGATTGTTCCAGCTTTTTGTTTTTCAAAGGTACACAGAACTTGGTTTTATTAAAATACCTTTATTTGTAAACGAGCCACATGAAACTGTGAAGCCAGTATTGCTATATTTATAAAGTTCTAAGAACGATGTTTGGAAAAAAAGAAAATAATTCAATTTGTATGAATCTAATTGCAAAACTTCTAGTGAACCCCCAATCAGTTCTGAGAGAATCTAATGTTTGGCTAGTTGAAAGGGGGATGTCATTTTCTTTTGTTTGAAATAGACCACTTAAGAACATGCTGGGGTGGGGCCATAAGATAAGGAAGACACTTTTAATATTCGGAAATACAAACCTAAAAATATCGTTTTAAAATTTTGAGTTAGTCATCAGTGAATAAGAAGCTGTATTCGGCCTGCAGATTAAAGAAAATAAAGTGTAGATCTCATGAATTTAAATTTTTAGTGAATAAATAGGATTACAATATGCTTACATGCTGAGAAAACTGGGATGTCAACCCGTGTGAATGTTCTCTACTCCCTGAAGAATCTATGAGAGAATATATTTAAAATTTTGTTTAATTTCCTTGTTTTTGTTCTGGTTCTGATTGTTTTTGAAAAATAAGAAATCTAAATAATCTCTAAAAAGACTAAATGTAAAATCATCTTCTAATCACTACATTTCTTTCTTTCATTTTTCAGTGAGAAATATTACCACGCGTGCTGATGCCTCAGACACACCAATCTGCAACAAGCAACTAGGATAAAAAATAGTTAAAAGTGAATCAACATTTATCTGGAATATACAGTCCTGACCCCCTTACGCACTCCCCCCCACCCCCCTCCCCGCAACACACAAAGTCATTTGTCTTCTATGTCCTGTGATGTTTTGAGGATTCTGGCAAATATGGCAGTTAAACAAACTTCTAGCACAATCTAAATACAGTCTGTTCAAGAGAGGCTTCCAATGTTTATAGACCATAAGTAAAGAAAAAAAAAATCTGGTATTTAACCAAGAATAGTGCTCTTGAAAATGTCTCAGAACAAAGTGTTTAAGCAAAACTTTGGCCATAGATATTCTCCATTCCTCATTCTTTGCTGATTTTTTTTTCAATGAGGACTTTTTATATGCCATCAGTTTGCTTCTTCTTCTTCTTCTTCTTTTTTTTTTTTTTTTTGAAATTAACAAACTAATTTTAAAAATCAACACCTGACTGGGGACCTGGTCATACAAACTTCCTTTAGATACAGTTGAGAAGAAAACATCACATTTTTATGAAGCCCCTCTCCTGACAGGGGACTGGAGGAGGAACACCATTATGCATTGTTATCAGCGTGGTGTAATTTGACTGTTGACAAAGTATCCGTGGCAGTGCGAATGAGCGCAGTTAGAAGTGTGGCGGATTGTAATCAAGAAGATGCTTAGCTGTGCAACACTGCATCTCGAGCAGATTTGAATCAACATTGCCTTAAGGGGACACACACACATACCAAAAGAAAAAAAATCCATTAATTTTTAGAGGGAAAATTAGAGTGGCACTTGATGAAGTGAAATTTGACATGCGTTAATTGGTGTGCAGCTCTCCTAATTAGAGATTTTCAAATTCTTTTACTGCTGTCACCATGATGGCACATTGTCTTGCTGGACAAATACTAAAATTGCAAATTGGCTTGATCAGGAAGTTTTACGTATGAAGATAACACTGTATCCTCTAGTCCACTTCCAAAAGGTGGACAGCTGGAGAGCAAAGATGACTTTCAGCTTTACCTTCACCCCAGATTAAAAAAAAAAGGATTATTAAAATAGTTTCATTATGAGACTTAATGTAAAGGAAGCAGGTGCTGATACAATTTTCTTAAACAGATGGAAACGTTTCTTTGATACTCATGCTTCTGCTTCATATGAAATATTTCAGGTAGAAAAAGAAAGCCAGTGAAATGCTACATTATATATATACACTCTCATATTTCTCCTTATATTCTTCAGAAATTGGAGTTAGGTGGATTTTTTGAAAGCTCATGTCACATTTTTCCCTGCTCTGAGATCTAAGGCACTCCAGTTCCCCTTCTTGTCTTAAAGTAATTATACTGATGTTTGGCCTCCAGGATGGCACCAAATATGATACCACAATAATTTTTGTTTCCTTTTTCCAACTCGTCTTGTCTAGCCCTTGAACCTCTCTTAATTCATTAACATATTGAATTTTTTCAATTTTCCATTTTCTTGCAATAACAATATTAATGCCGGGGTGAAAGCTTGATTGGAGCTAAATTACTTGTTACCTGCTGGCATTTATTTATATGGCATTGAATTATAAAGCTTTGCTATTGTCATGCCTTGGGCGAATTGTTTATGACACCAGTAATAGGAGTAATTGTTATTGTTGAAATTACCTGTCAGCTACCCATAGCAGTGGCCCTTGTCCCACTGACAAATAGTGACAAGGGAGAGGTATCCTCCATGCGTCCCCCTGATGGCTTCTCCTCTGATAATAAGAAGTGCAGGGCCTCTGATAATTTGCCTGTCACTGTTGAGTGCAGCTCAGAGAGAGTTGGCCAAATTGTTGTCATTCACTTTGACAAAGACAGCAAAATGCTCCCGTGCAAGAGGAGGATTATCAAAATAAATGAAATAGCTTACACCCCCTTTGTTTGGCTCAAGAATTGCCTGGCTTTGTATGAGGTTGTGAAATCAAGGTCCAGTTCTTATCGATGTGCCTCTGCTCATTCTAAGATGAGGATCCCAGGGAAGGAAAGGCACCTTAGAAGACTCGCCATTTTGCAGCTTGCATCGGCTAGTAAAAAATTACATTCAAATGTAAAGGGAAAGTCAATAAAATTGTAATGAGTCTAATATGTCATTAAATACATTAATTTAAAACACATCTAAAATTTACACCTTTTCTTTCCTGCCTTCCATTTGTCCCTCTGATTCTTTTTGGCCCACACAGACATTCAAATTCAATAAGCATTCAAAAATGCACAGGTTTCTCATTTGCAATCAAGTTTTCTTTGAAAGTTTAGAAATCTCCATCTCTGACTCTTACAGCTTTAAAAGATTATCTAGTTGGATTTAGGACTATTATTTCAGATGGTTGGTTCCTTTCCATACATTACCTTTTATTTATATACTATCTTCATGAGTAAAGAGATAAATGAAACATAGTTCCAGGTATGAAGCATCAATTATCACAGGCTTACAGAGGAAGCAAAATGGGCCTGTTATTGCCAGAGTGCAAATATGAATGTAAACCTTTGCATTTTAAAATCCCTTGGTTGCAGCCTGTGAACCTGTCATAGAGGGGGAAAGGGACAAGGAGCAGCAGGGATGGTGTCGTGGAGTGTCCCTGTCTGAAAGAAGTGGGCTTGAAACGAATCAAACCTTTGCTCTTGTAAAAACCAGAATCATTCCCACCTTTCCACAAAAGGCATCATTTCATGGTAGGAAAATTCTTATTTTTAAGGTGCCTGGGAGGCTATTACTCATATATCTTCTTGACAAATACTTCCTGTTATAAGAACTTAAAAAGAAAAGGAAAAAATAACTAGGATAAATGTAAAATATTGGCTCCATATAGGACAGTAATCAGCTGTTTATTGGTCTCTACTAGACAAGTAATGACCAACCACAGTGTTAAGTACCAGCAACATTGCCTTGGGCCCTTGCCTCCCAACACCAGCCATTATCTGATTAGAGAACCTCCAAAGAAGTCACTATTGCATAATTTTATGGGTCTTAACAGCGCAGGTTGGCTGGCAGAAAAACTACCTAGGAGGGTTGATAAAGCAACAGTGAAACATGATTTTATTTACTTCACACTTACACCTTGGTCTCTGAAAGAGTACCTGAGTATCTCAGATGCTGGTGGCTACACAAGAAACCTAAAATCAATTCAAATAGGAATTGCGTGGGACATGGGGGAGGTGGAGGAGGGGGACAAGAAAAGTAAAATTATCTGTCTCTTAAAGCTTTTCATGGACTGCATAGTTTGAAGTAGTGAACAACATTGTTATAGGCATCTCAATCCTTTCTTAGGTGTTATGTATTTAAAGCAGGTAAATAGGGTTTTAGCAGTGCTAAAACCATACATGCAATATGATTATAGGAATAAAATGTGTTTCTAATCCTTAATGATAATGTATTCTTCTAAAGACAACCACTGCATGGTTAACTATGTTGAATGTCCCTGATTAACAAGTGGAAGGCAGTGACACAATTAAGAGGTTATCTGTAGTAATAAAAATGCTCAAACCTGTCTTGGAATGTGATCCCTTTAACAGATAATTTTTAAGAATGCATGTCCTTGCTTTCTCTGTGGAGACACACGTTAGTGATCCCAGGAGGGGAAATAAACATACGTTTTTAAATGAAGATATTTAAAATGTACCCCATATTTCAGCATGTTGCTGTAACCTGGTCTTTTTTATGTTCCTCCTATAAAACCTAAATTAAGCCTCTTAGGAGTGGTTTTGCTGCAGGTTTCAACTAAAAACACAATACATTTTAAATGGTTCCAGTACTTGAGTGCACTTTAACATGTAATCACTAATGTGCATTCTCTTCCTCTCTCTTCCAAGCACCAGTCCTTCTAAAAGGATGAGACTTCTTTAAAATTTAGCTTCATTTGAAATGTAAACTTTTAACAAATAGTAATTGCTTCTGTAGCTCTATTGATGAAGTGACTGGCAGCAAATCTTTTCTTTCTTTTTTTTCCCCCCTCTCTCTGTAACATTTTGAAATACCCATCAGTGTCAAAGAAAACTGCACACGCCTCCTTTGGTGCTCTAAATAAGGCTCAGCAATGTTAAGAAAAATGTCAGAAAAAGCTCAGTGGATTAAAGGAACATTTCTGCATCATGTCAAGGAGGATGGCAGGGCAGACTGGTCTGCATAATTTTGAAAGATATTTTTTGTAAAACGCGTACTCTTATGAACCAAATGAAATTTTATTTGGAAAGATTTGATATTGTATTTGATAACATACAACCTTCAGTTGTTTTTCTAAATCTTGTTATTTTTTAAATATGTCTTTGGTATGTATTCTTTACATTAGAACTGTAATACACTCATCTTTTGGTAGAATGTTCCTGTACCCGGGTGCAGCGTTAAAATACATTTCAGACTCTTTCATGCATTTTTCTTTTCTTTCTAAAATTCTTGGAATGTTCACTCAGCGGAAGCAGTGAAAATGCTCGGCTCTTCCACATGCAAATTTATTGAACTAGTCAGTCATTTTTCCCCTTAAATAAAATGTGTGTATAGTTTTGGAGATTTTCAAAAAATAAATCATTTACATGCATTTGTGTATTAAAAATAAATTGCTGGTGTGATGTTTTTAGTTTGTTTTGTTCTATTTTACTAAAGAATATGCAATAGTCACAAAATAGTGCAACGACAGTAAAATATTCCACAGTATTGTAACTACGTAATTAAAACAACGTCAGAAAACACCTTACAAATTTAATACTAGATACCACCAGAAATGGCAAGATTAGTTTTACAGAAACAAGGTAAGTCTCAGCTGATTTTAAATATAAACTTTTCCAAAACAGGTTAAAAATGAATTTAGACAAATTTGGCTCTTAACCTTTAAAGATTTCCTGCCCGCTTCTGTATGTCCTTTATTACATTAATTTTTTATTTAAATTACACCATTAACTGGATATGAATTTATCAAGAATACATGTATTGATTTATAAAACAGTACCATTAATTATTATAATAGCTAGATGTAGCTGATATTACAAAGCCATTTAAAGGTTTTTAATATAACTTGGACATACATAGATAGATAGACATTATGGACAAGACTACAATTTAAACTGGCTACCAGCAGTTAATGAAATCCTTGATTTATATTCTAGTTTAGAGATTGATTATATTGTTGCTTTGTAAAACTATTTATATTATGCCATTTTTCAAAGGATGTCTCAATAAAAAAAGCTAAATAAAATATTCAGTCAATTCCCAAAGCAGATTTTGTTTTCTATATTTTAAATGCTGGTGAAAATAATTGATTGTGTGTGTTCCAAGCTTTGTCATTTACATTCCAGAGGTGGCTTTCCTGATGGGAGCCTCGTTTGCATATGCACACTTTCGCACACTTTTGATCCTTGCAGAAACAAATCGCTTTTCTTTATTTCATTATGCCTCCCACCCCCGTAACAAACCCATGTATATTTCACAGACCCCGACTATCAGGACACATAAGTCTTTCTGGCATCTTTTATGTTATGCATTTTTTTCTTAAGGTTGTGGAAAACTGGGACTTACCCCAAAGCCGCAAAGCAGGCAATCACGAAGAGTATTTGGGTAAGAATGCAATCTGAAGAGGAAAAAAAGAAAAATGAGGAAGAATATCAGCAAATAACAGTAAAACTTTCAAATTACTTTTCAAATGGTAATTAGCCAGCAAATAGATTGAAATTTAAATTCTTTTCACATTGTACTTGGTTTGGGTCTCCCAGTCTCTTTATTTATATCACTTTTCCTTGCCTGGCAACATATGTTACCGATTTATTATAGTATTTTTACTGTTAGCAGACAAATCTGAAGGCTAGCTGAGAAGGCTAGCTTCATCTGATGACTTTAACAACAACTGCAGGGCATCCTTGAGGGTGAGCCAATAGGCTCTTTTGAAGCTATAATACTGTTAACCATTTTGATGCTGAAATACTTCTCATAGCCAAAATTGGCTCTGTCTTTTCATGGGCACTCCAGTTTCTACACATAAGAAAGTTAATGTAAATGATTTGTTTTGTAAATATTTCAATAGCCTTCTAAGCACTTTCTTCCATGTGTCTTAAGTTCCCTAAAAGCCATCGGTTTGTTTATTTCCCCTTCTTTTACAGACACTGAAATCTGTGGCACACATTCATAAGTAAACAGCTATCAAACATCAGGTTAAGTTGTCACGTCCCCCTCCCCCATGCCATTAATTCTCTGCTATGCTATTAAAAGAAACAAACATCCTTTAGAATTTAAATGATCATGTTTCTCTGGTATATGTACAGCCTAGAAAAGTAAAGTTCAAGCAAGATTCTTCTTGGCTAAGAATCTGAAATTACTTTCCAAATTAGAGACACCATTAAAATCAAGACCGTTTTAATAGATACGTGACCCTAGCTAAAGGTTTATGCCTTTTAATATGTGCATGTGAAAACGTCTGTTTTAGAATTTTATTTGTTGACTAAAATATTCATTTTAAAGTTAACAAACTTCCATTTTTATGATTTCTAATGTACGTCAGTCCAAATTATCTTGTCGTTTTAATTTAAAATTTTTAGCAACAATTTCTCAATTTAAGTGTCTACGTGGGATTCATTTACAATTTCAGGTACATTTCATAAAACCTCCTTTGAGCATTCATGACTTGAAAATTTAGAAATTAAATCCTGATTACTGGAAGCCAGTATTTCTTGTCTAAAGGATCTGGCTCAGCAACTAAAATTTAACGTAATTTCGATATTGGGAATTCAACCCATAAAAAAACAGATATTCAGTGCAGTACTGGGGGTTCTGACTGTCAAAAATGTCCATTTTTAGGACCTGAAATACACTCTGGATCCCTGGGATCCAGAAGGCACTAAGAGACCATTCAATATGTCCATCCAAACATATCTAACATGAGAGATTCTGTCTACAAATCATAATAATGCCACAGCTCTCCAACGTATTTAAGAATACACAATCATATCTGGTTTTAAGACATTTGCATATAAAATTTGACTTCAAAACAGGTGGTGAAATAACTACATCAATGCAGTCATTCATCTGATTCTCATTTTTATGCAAAGTTCTCAGGTCTTTATCATTTATACTTCAATATACTTTAACAACTCTTATTTTAGCATTTATGACAACGGCCCCAACCACTGCACCAAAAGAATAATAATAATGATTAAATGTTATATTCAGAAATATATAGTTGTATAGTTTCATCCTAGTCTAATTAATGATACTATTTAAGTTGGCCGATAGTTTATATCTGTTATCAGATACTTACAATATGTATTTCTTTTTTGTCCCAGCGTGGCATTGTATGGTGACTGTGGGTAATTTTAGGTCAGAAGTAATTATGATCAAAAGGATTTCAGCTTCAGAAAATGAGGCCAACTTTTTGAAGGCATAAATGCACTCCATTCCAAAAGTGATTATATGTAGGGTTATGAATTCCCAAGTGAGTCAGTGCTAGTCCTGTCATTCTAAATGCCCTAATTAAGACAAGTTAGTTTTTAAATATTATTCTTCTTCGAAAGATGGAGACAATAAGGTTGGAGGGCCAAAAGTTTTCTTTGTCCTCAAAAACATATGTTTTTGAACCAAAATCTAATCTCCAGCAGAGTTTGATCAGCATATTTAGAAGCCTGCCAACTGTGTACACAGGGCTCCGTGCTTTTCTAGAACAGGTCCGCTACTCTGATAATCCAGCTGGCAGTGCCCTTAATAGAGATGCCTTCCCACCCTCCTCTACCTACCACATTCTCTCTCTCTACTCTCTCTTTCACCTTAAAACAGGTGTCTTTTTAATGCCTGAGTCTAAAGATACAGGTTTCTCTGGCTTCTGGCTCCAGCTCTGTCATGATCATTTTTAATAATTGACATGGCCCCTTCTCAAAACCACTCAGATTCTTAGCTGGAATCCCTACTCCACCCAACCTCAACTCTTCCCCGAACCCCATGGGCCATCCCCCTGCTTTCTGTTTTGTTCATCACCTTGGTTTCGTCACCCCCAGCCCCATTTCTGACCTGCTCTTTTTCTGGATCAGACGCAGGGAGGTTGAGAGGTAATGAGAACCAGATGGACATAGTGCAGAAATTGCCCAAATGGGTATGAGAATGTGGGGAGCTGTCAGGCATGGAGAGAAGCTGGAATTTTTCAGCAATAAAATGGGATTTATCGCCACTCTACCACAGTCATTGCCGACAACCGTTTACCTTGACAGAAACCCCATTCCAATAGGCCACGCCGATGCAGATTCTTTTTTCCCAAAGAGTGATGATTGGTATTTGTTCTAAGGCTCAAATGGCCTGCACTAAAGGTGAAGCATTAGGCCAAAGTCCTGTATTCCCCACTGAGGCAAATGAACCTGCTAAAATAAGTTCCTTCCACAATGGCTGTGTAATTGAAACCAGAAAGTGAGAGAATTTGATAAATTGCTTGACCCTGAAGGAATGTTAAGGTCATAAATTTTCATTGCATTTTTTCTCTCCTTTTTTAAATATTTTTATATATTGATTATATTTAGTATCTACCTCAAAATTCAACAAGCTTACAGATCATCGGTTGTGGTCCCAAGGGAAAGCACAGTAAATCATCAATTAAGAGAGCAGGGAGCATTCTCCCCTCATCTTCCAAAGAGAAATGCCAGCTCCTTGGTAGTCCAAGGACAGTTATGGAGGTGTCTCACATCTCAGAATTATTCAACTTAGCACGCAATTTGTCCTGGCATGGACAAAGTAAAATCTACAGAAAAGATGTTTCTCAGAAGGGTGCTGCTATACTTCTATCATTTAAGAATGATGAACTGTTAAGAAACTGGCAATCCATTTGCAGGAATCACACCCACATACCTTTTCTCAGGGTAACCTAAAAATAAGAAAGATTGCATTTTAGCTACAAAGGGTGATCCCCGTTTTTAGGTAAATTGAAAGTGTGCCTGTGTTTGAGCGCGCGAGCACCCATGCTTCTGAATGCTGATTTTGGCAAGTTCACTTTGAAATTATTCAAACTTTTTCTTTTTTGAAATGTCGATTGTCTTAATGTGGTAATAAAGCACAGGTCATAAAAACAGCCCAAGTCACATATTACACAATGTAAAATGGATTCAAATATGAAAGTCATCACGTAATAGAAAATTTCTACACATCTTGCTGGAAGGTTTTACTTGCTTTTCTAAAAAGTGAATGAACTGAGCTTGCCAGCATTTTAATTTAGCTGTATTCTCTACTGATCGCTTATGGTGATATATTATGAAGACATATACTCTCTCAATTGGAAGCAGGTTAAATAATTTCCTGATAGCCAAAACTTCTTGTCCTTGACCATTTTAAAGGACAACATATCTCCTTTGCATTTGTGTGCTAGGTTTGTTAGAACCATTAAAGAAATAAAATCAGAAGTATTTTATCACTAATACCTCACTTTTATGTTCAGGATTTTCAGAATTCTGGAGACCCAAAATGAGATACAGGGTGGAGTTTCTCATTTACCATTAGGAAAATTTCTCTAAATTAAGAAAGTTTCCTGCTGATTTATTTTCAATGACTACTTATCAGCTTAGAATTTGAAACCAATGCTAGTTTTAGGATGCACAGGTATTAATTAAGCCCATGAGTTTTTCCTCAAAACCATCTGAATTGTGTAAGAAAAAGATCATTGATGTTGCTTTCCACAAAGTATTATCAGTAGGGATGAGGCTAAATAATGTCTAGTTTTATATCTCACTTTCTTTTGTTCACAAGTAATTAACGACAGTGTGTATTAAAGGTATTTCCATCTCAAAGTAACTTTTTGTCAAGTAAAGAAGAAGGAAAGAAGTCCCATGAAAGAAAAAAATCTCAAATTTTTGTTACTTGCGAATACAAAGTCAGAATTTTGGAGTAATACGAAGTAGTAAGAAGTGCCAGGGCTGTTAGAAACCTTGGAATCTAGCACCAAAGTACACGACAAGATGATAATTTTCATATGTTATTGCTTATGTGCATATAAATATCCTAATAAGATTTCAACAACATGTCTTCATGTTATAGAGAGGAGATCATGATACACATATGATCAGCCTTTAACCCTGTGTCTTTTTCCAGTGTTAAAATGTGGCTTCCTTCCTCTACCCTCAAAAATTTTGCCGCAAGCCTGTTTCAAACAAACAAAAAATATGTGCCTATGTATATATGTATACATATCTAAGTATAAATAAAATATGAACAGAAAATGGATTCAATCACTGATATTTTTGCAAACTAATGTTCAGCTGATGCAACTCAATTTTATTTTGCATCACATTAGTGTCATAATGGTAATGACCAGCCTTTATTCACTAACAGTTTGAGTCAGCACTTTGAGACATTTTCAAATTAGGTCATACTGCACATTCGTGGCTGACACAAAGGTTGATTAAGAGAGCTGCACAATTGTAAAGTGATGTGGTGTGAGTTGAATTAAGTTCTCTTTGATAGTTACAGGAAAGGTGAGCCACTATAACTAAGCAGAAATAATGTATGGGCTATAGGGGGAGAATATATTTCCACAGAGTGCTTGAAGTAATACTCATTTACAATTTAACAAAGTCCTCTTCTGTTATGGAAGAATTCTATCACGGGACCTGAAAACAAGCAATGAATTACAAAAAGGACACTGGAGGCCTGGTCTCCAGTTCTGTTTCGGTGAAAGTCAGTTTTTGCCTTTATGTCCCTTTTGACCTTCTCAATAAAGACCTTTTTTCCCACTTCTAGACACTGTCTGCTGCTTTTCTGAAAACCATCCTGTGTCACAACCAAACCATTTGACCGTAATGTAACAATTCTGAGGCAAGGCTAAATTGCTGGGCCAGTGAGACCTGGAAGAAGGGGGAAGAAAAAGAGTCTTTTAAAGTAATATTGTTATGGAAAATCTATAAGTTCAACTAAAATTTGAAGGCATAGGATTTTCTTTAATTCACCCAGCACTTCAAATAAATTGTAAAAATGGCTCCTGGAAGGCAAAAGTACTTTTTAATTGAGCTTAAAGAGAACAAAAATAAAAGCTAAAACTCACAATTGTTGGTTTGTTCAAAAAGGGCAAAAATAGTAGTTATTATTAACACTGTATTCACAACATATTGCTCTCTCTATAGAATAAAGAAGCCACAGAAGATTTTCTAAATATACATATATTGACCGGGCCCACTGGGCTCACTCCTGTAATCCTAACACTTTGGGAGGCCGAGGAGGGTGGATCACTTGAGGTCAGTAGTTCGAGACTAGGCTGGCCAACATGGTGAAGCCCCGTCTCTACTAAAAATACAAAAATTATCCGGGCATGGTGCCACACGTCTGTAATCCCAGCTACTCAGGAGGCTGAGGCAGGAGAATCACTTGAACACGGGATGCAAAAGTTGCAGTGAGCTGAGATCGTGCCACTGCACTCCAGCCAGGGCAACAGAGCGAGACTCCATCTCAAAAAAAAAAAAAAAAAAAAAATATATATATATATATTCTTTTTGCACTACATATATGTAGTGCAAGTGGCTTTAAAATCTTAAGGAAACTGGAAAAAAACTTAAATGGTGTATGGCACCTGGACAGAAAGAAAAACTTCTTGGCTAAGCAGCTTTGGTCCTGAGGACGAAAAAGGACTTTGACTTGCGCATGCATTCTGCTTGCTTTCTTTGAAGTGGCTTTCTGAGAGATATACTTCTAGTGTGATAAAATCACATTTTCTTTCATGTGTTTGATGTGTTTATTAAATTTCAGTTTCCCAGGTAGACTTTTCTGCCCTCCACATGTATTCCTGGATTCAGTCCCTGCCCGTGGGCCCATCACAGTGTGCCCTACCATGCCCCCGCAGACAGGTTACCTCCAGTTTATTCTAAATTTCTTTCCAATTACATCTGAATTTTTACATTTTAAACTGAACTTACTTCCTCAGATAAGGATGAGTAGGCAAACTAAGTGGAAGGGTTCAACTGAAAAAGAATTGTATGTGTTGATTTTTTTTTAATTCACCAAATTAGAAATACAAAGTTGTAATAGCCATAATTATTCTCAATATTTATAAGTACATTTATATTCCAGGCCCTGTAATTATGGTTTTCACAAGAATGAAAGAAAAAAACGCCCTTCAAATTTTGGAAGAAATATAAAGAAGAACTCTTTGGAAGGAAGGAAAAAACAAAGGAAGGGAGGGAGGGAAGGAGAGATGAAAGAGAAACAGGGAAGAAAGAAAAAGCAAGAAAGATTGATTTTAGCTCTTTCACTCTCTTCTGACAAAGACTCCCTCGAATCAACCATCCCTGTTGACTGATTTCTGTCCCTCAGCTGTGAAAAACGGCAATCTATGAACATGATATATGAAATGGCTACCTTCAACTTTGCTGTCATTTGTTTTTTGTTACTGCATCCAATCAATATTCATAATAAGCTATAACATGAATCTGGATAACCCCAAGTCCACTTTGTTGTCGCTCCACCCAGATTTGATTATTTAATCACAGTAACAATGGTCATGAGTATCTTCCAATGGAATATTGAATGCCCCAGATTGAAAGGTAGAAATCCCTGGATTCATAGTCTGCCAATTAATCCCTGGAGCAATGGTGGCACTATGTCTCAAGTCCATACGTTTTCATTTTGAATACACTCTTGGTATTTGCAATCACTTAATTTACATTTTCAAAAGGTCACTTGTGGTGCTAGCTGGAATGGATAGTATATTTTATTTATTTTGAGGTAGGCTAATTTGCCTAGCCAGGAAGACACACCTCTTCAGCCAGTAGATGACGTAAATCTGAATCAGCCATAATACCACAATGAATAGGTAAAAGTATTTTTGCTATTTTGTTAAGCAATTATGGGAATACTTGAATTTCTCCAACAGTTTAATTTAGTAGACAAGAACAGCATTCATTGAGAGCTATGTTGATTAATAGTAGGGTTTTTTATTGTTATTTCTGTAGAATTAATACAGCAACATTATGGGGGTGCAACATGACTTTTGATGATCTGACATGCAGTGATTAAATAAGGTTAATCCTCATTTTATATGCTAATAGGATATTTATAATCTCTACAGCATATCCAATTTAATGATTTTATTCTCTGTTGTTTAGAAAATATTTCTTATTAGTAAAAGAGAATATCCTTACATTCACCACAGATGTTAATTTAATTGGGTTTGAGTGCATTGTGTATAATTAGTCCACTTCTCTAATATTTCATCTATAATTACACAATGAACAATGTGTTTAAACTTCATTAAATCTGTAGGTTTAAAAGAAAGTCTTCACAAAAACTGAGCATTCCATTTTCAAGGTTTCCCAAGCCCTACTAACATCCTGATGAAAATAAACTTCAGGCCAGTCTAAGTTCACTGAATGGTGAATGAATACCCAAAGGCTCTGAGACTTTGTAGTCTAAAGTCTAAAGCTAAAAGGAAGTTCCCCTCCAGCTCCGCTTAACCTACTCGATGACAATGTTACTGGCAGTGTTGTTTGGACCAGGCCCAGCTGTCACTGAAGTAGCAGGATAAAAGTCCCCACGTGCTATACTCCCAAGGTCCCTGCAAATGTCAACCTTCAAGCTGGTATTTTGAATGGCAAGGCTATTGGGTTTGAGGTCTGGATTCTCCCCCACCCCACCCTACATTCCCTCCCTCCCCCAGCAGTTAGAGCTCTTTCAGGAAAATTCATTCCAGACAGCAGCCTATGAAGTTTCATCATGAGAACCAACTTTTAACTTTGTTAGCAATTGTGAGTGAGAAGAGAAAGAGGAAAAAGAGAAAGAAAGAGAAACTGGTGTATGATTTTCAGAGTTCCTCTACTGATCTCTGAGTGTGTGTGTTTATATTGCCCATCTTAGCTCAAATGAGGCTATTTACACTATCAGGCTAGTTCATTACAGAATTAAAAAAAAAAGAGATTGCAAGGATGAAAGAAAAATGGATTATGAGGTTTTAGCTGAGTTTTTCCAAAGGCTATAATAGCACTCCATTGTCAGTGCTATACAGCTCAGGAGAGTTCGCCAAGATCAACAACATATCCACACGGCCCTTTCAGTTCAACTTCTCTTGTATTCCTAAAATGTCCACCCTGTAAAGACCTTGACTAGTTCTTACTTTCTCATTTCACCTTCAAACAGGTTTGCTTCACTTCAACCAAAAAGAGAACCTTGCCAAAGTGACTATTATGACTCAACAGCCTACCCACTGGCCAACAGGCAAAGACCCCTCAAGACGTCAAGCAGAATCTCTTATCTTTCAAACTAATAACCTAGAAATAATTTTTTTAAAGCAGTTGGTCCTGGCATTAGTCAGGAAAAACAGAATCACTACCAAGTAGTTCAACCTAGAGATTTAATCTAGGGAGGTAGTTACAAAAGTGTTGGAAGAACTGAAAGTCCAAATGGGGATGATGAGATCAACAAGAGTTTGGCAAAGACGTAAAGCCACTGCCACCCCTTGACTAGAAGGACAAAGAGAAGAAGGCAGGTCTGAGACCTCAGGGGAGAGGTAGGCATTGCAGAAGCACTTTCAATGCAGGTGGGAGAGTGGGAGAATGGCTATCCTAGCCTCTCTCCTACTCCCTAAAAAAGCATCTCCCTTTGCAGAGCCTTTGTGGAAGCCAGATGGTAATGTACTTTGCAGGGTTAAGCCGCCTGGAAGACAAAAGAGCAAGGAAAGGATGAGAGTGAGTCTGAGAGTAAACAGATAAATGACCGGCACAGCCCTTCTCAACAGCCGTAAGACTTTCGTGTGAAGATAAAATTCCAAACAACCCCCCATGTGACTACAGTAGAAGGAAATTGATATTTATTTTGGTTTCAAATTACTAAGGTGTTATACCTAGGAACCCCAGGTAGGAAAATGGCTATCATGTTGAGAATAAACATTTAAGCAAGCCCAATATATTTTAGCTGCATGGATTAAAAAAAAATACAAGTGCTTACAAAGTTGAGGCCACACTTACTCTCAAACCCTGAAGTTGTTTATAAGGGTAATGTGTCCTTTCCTACACCAGTGGCCCACAGGCAGCAGAGTGAGACACAAATAGGAGGTCAATCTTCACTTCAAATTTTCTGGCTTACATAGATTTTGTTACAGCCCAAATTTTGCTGGGACAAGGGTGGAAGGTTTTGTCCAGGGAAGCACTGCTGTGCCCTGACTGAACAGCAATGCACACTTTGTGCTCCCTACTCACTGTCCTGCTGCCACAAAGCCAAATCAACTATTTTTTAATATTTTTTCTACTGTCCCCATACCCTAAAGCTATTCTTCCTGGATACCAGCTAACAAGAATGGAGTTTATTGTTTGCACTCAGGAATAATGCCACCTATATCCTTGAATCCTCATCACAAGTACACTTTTTAAGGCTAAACATTTTATCTTCTTACTACTCTATTTTCAGCCGTATCACTTGCCTGTTAAAATGCATGGTGTAGTTAACAAAGATTTGCATTTGGTCCTCCAAAATGAAGATTTTATAAGTTGCCTTTTTTTTTTCCTCCTGACCAGAACCCATATTACTTGGAAAGGGAAAGGCCAAAGGGAAATTATTGCTATTTTAGACAGCAGCATAAATTTTCTTCCTATTTTTAACCTAGCTTTTAATTTAATAAGTTTTATGACCCTTATATTAAGTACATATGTTTTACAAGACACTGTGTCCCTTGAGTCACCCTGAATTTGCTCTACTGTACCAGAGTTAAATAAATGAATATTGTGTTTCTGCTTTTACTTCACCTTGTATTTGATCCTTTTAATATGCCTGGTAAACCTTCATAAAGGAGAGAGAAACAACACAACTCAGAAGTCATCTAAAGCCAAGCATATAATGTTTTAAATAAAATTAATGAAAGTATCTCTTTATAATATTTTAAATTTCAGATTTCTGTCCCACTGGTTTTTATAATAAATAATTAAGGATATACAAAATATTGGAAATTGTCTCATCTCCCAAATTGGCAACTAATAATACAAACACTTTTTTATGCTCATTCCATTGCCCTGTGCAAAGGTATTTTTTCCTCAAATTAAAGCTTCAACATAGAAAACAACCATTTTTCTTTGGAAATATAAAGTGACATAAATTTTTTTAAGACAATTTCTCACTTTGTTGCTCATGCTGGGATGCAGTTGGGTCATCTCTGCTCACCTCACTGCACCCTCAACCTCCCGGGCTCAGGTGATCCTCCTAACTCAGCCTCCTGAGTAGCTGGGACTACAGTTGCATGCCACCACACCCAGCTAATTTTTGTATTCTTTGTACAGATGAGGTTTTGCCATGTTGTCTAGGCTGGTCTCAAACTCCTGGGCTCAAGTGATTTTCCTTCCTCATCCTCCCAACTGCTGGGATTATAGCTGTGAGCTGCCAGGCTCAGCTGACATTAACTTTCTTATAAAGATATTCTATCATCATGTGTTCATGGTCATTTAAAAATTAGTTTAGTGCCATGTAAACATAAAGAGGGCTGCACCAATCCTGAAAGAAAAGATTATTTGAACAACTCTATGGTTATTTAAGAATAAAATGTTGAGTTTATAGCAGAATGGAGAAAATCACCTATAGAGTCGATATAAAGAGATAAGTTTTCCTTTGAGTTTACAGGGGAGAGATAAGGGTGAGCAGGAGCAGAGGCTTGACTTGACTCAAAGTTCTGTGTTTAAATAGTGCAATATGTAGCAATTTTGCAATTGTGACAAAACTTGCTTTTTAATTATTAAGATATAGCAGATTTTTACATCCTACCAGAGTACAGTAACTATTGATTCAAGCTGAATATTCAACTAGAAACTCTTTAGAATGTAAGGATTTGCTCTGAAATGTGTTTTATAAATTTGCTGCTTCAATTCTGATTTTTAAAAATGGCTTCCCTATGCATGCCAACGTTTAGTAAATCAATAGGCCACTAAAAGTTCACTTTTGGTCAACGGATTAGGGTGGCACAAACTCAAGATGGAAAAGTGAGCCTTTATCCCACAATTTCAGATTGTGTGCCAGACTATCTAACTATGTATACTTAAGTTTTATAATGTATAAAATTCAATTGAAGAAGCCATTAATTTCTTTCCTATTCATTTTGTTTGCTTTTGTCCTACTTCAGTGACTTGGAAGGACATGACCTTAGAATATAACTGGTTATTCAGTAGAATCTCCTTCAAACATCTACATAAGAATTGATGTTTATTTCATAACCATGGGCTCCAAAATTGATATGTTGCCCTGTGATTTTATTGTTAGAGGAAACCATTATTTTCAAAAGGAAAAAAAAAGAATCTCAGCCTTTCTATATTTCACTTCAAGACTGAGTGACCAAAATATTAGACATGTTTGAAAACTCTTTGAATATTTGGCACCTTGTAGGTTATTTGCCTTTAAAAGGTCTTTTGTTTTGTTTTTAAAAATAATGTAAAAGTCCATAGTCTCTAGAAACTCTTGGTTAGTCAAACCAAATAAGTTATAGCCCCACTGCTGAGGAATACAGTTTAGGATGGAATGTTGGCATTAGGCTCCAGGAAAACAAGGGCTGGCCATTTTAGCCCTTCATAGAGAACTCCTGGTCACCTCCCAAGGGGCAAATTGATGTCAAGTTCTGCTGTCTGTCAGGATTAAGTGCCTGTTTGCTTTTTCACTAACATGTGGTTTGAGAACAAAGCAGCTCAAATCTCCTCAGTCCCTAACAAAGCATCTCAAATTGCTGAGTAAAATTCCTTAATCCCCCATCTTAATCTGAAAACACCAGCAGCGCGGGGTAGAACACTGTGGTCTCTTTTTGTACTGCTCTCCACCCCACCCACCCCCACCTTCCTTCCCCATCCCTGACCACCTCCTCCTCACCACCACCATGAACATGTGCATTTGGCTCCTCCAGTAAATGGTTCTTCAACAGAATATTATCAAACAGGAAATTCAGGTAACTTGGTCCAAAATCATGATGGTTCTAGTGATATTTATTCCTTATCAACTTCATTCATTTTAAGAGTAAAGGGAAAACATAAAGACCAGACAGAGGGATTAATGGACTACCTTCATATAACCTTGAAGGTCATGTGTATACAAATAGTCTAAGTGTCATAAGTTTTAATGGACAGGTTTTAACTGCTTCTTTGTAATATTCGTCAGCTCTCGGTTGGAAGCCAAGAGGATATGGAGATTTTGAATACAAATTTAGAATATTTTTACTAAGGTAAGAGAAGGAAGCAAAACTAACTTTAATGATTGAAACTATGAAATGACCTTTGGTAACATCAGCAAAGGAATCAGTGGTTGGAAAATATTTTCCATTATTTGCATATGTTCATTACATATTAAGGGTCAAGACTTTATCCATTGACTTGAGTGGAAAGGCTCCAACATGTTGCTGCCTTAATTTGCAAAATGTTGAACTCTGCAAGGTGAATTATATAAAACCTTACTTTCTCTCAAAATAAAAAGGCATTCCTTATGATTTTAATACTTTATAATATCTTTCCTTACCAATTTTAGTTGAAAATCGTATTGGTAGATTTTTCTTGAGGGGATTTTTTGGGGGCAGTTCCCAAATTAAGTTCTGATTTAAGAAAGCTGAAACTCATGACAGTTATCTTTTTTCGATTTTTCTATAACAAAGTTGAATAAGATTTGCCATAATAAATAAGTAAAATCAGAAAACTCTACTCCTGCACTCTAAAAATTTTATTCAATTGAATGCCACTTTAAAAACAGATACTGATCTAGTAGGCTCTTGCTGTTTTCTCACTCTTTCACAATTTCCCCCCCTACCTGAAACAAGTGAAGTGAATAAAACCCAATTCCCCAGTAATCCTGGACTCTCTTTCAGTATGTGTATCTCTGAGAAATGGTAATAAAGCTCCACAGAGAATGTAAAAGATAGAAAAGCTAAAACTTCCCACCACCTATGAAAACAGCACCTGTGCTATATTTAATAGCATCACTTTCCCCATTTTTCTTCTTGGCATTTTTACTTTCCACAGGGTTGGGTGAAGGAAAAGAGCCGAAGGAGAGGGAGGTGTGTGCAAACATACTAGTTCCAGCCGAAGCCCTTATTGACAACTCTCTCTGAGACTTTTAACTTCTATTTTAAAAATAAAGTAATTGCAATTCAGGTAAAACATCACATTTTTCTCAGTAGATTTATTTATGCTTGTAAAAATCCCATTTAAATAGTGGAAAAATCCCCCCTCCCAATTCAGAAATGATTATCTTTTACAAATGTCAGCTTTTTAAACTCACCACTTTAATATCAGAAAAATTGAAAATCTGGGCAGCTGCTACAGCTCCTAATCCATAAATCCTCAACATGAACCTCTCCACCCCAAACCCACGATTGAAGGCAATACCCTAGGATGACCTAAATAGAGCCATAATCCCAGAAAGGCTTCATGGTTCAATAGGAAGTACATGGACTATAGCCAAACTATCTATGTTTGAGTCCCAGTTCTTCTTTTTCCTGACTGTGTGACCTTGGGAAAATCACCTAACCTTTCTGTGCCTAAATTTTCCTGCAAAATGAGGATAGTGTTTGTACCTAATTCTTGTGAAAAATAAATGAGTTAATATTTGTGAAATACAATACTGTCTGATGTTGAGTACATGCTATCAATATACCAATGTTTGATTTTTAAAAAAATTTACACCATTCCAAGTTAGTTTAAAAATAAGATCTTTCCCCCCCAACTTTGTTGAAAGAAAAAGTACTTTATATCTTAAGCTGACAGCAGGGGAAGAAAAGAGATAACATGTAACATGATAAGAGAAGATTTTGTTTGAAGAATATGCATGACAAAAAAATTGCAAGTAAGTGAAAAACATGAAAAGTATATCATTAAGGGTTCAAAACATTTGGAAAAGAATATGATGTGTTTCATGTCTTAATAGCCAATCTTAGTCATAACCAGTAATTCTTTGAGAACTCTTGATTATTCTAGACAAGTTATTTTGCTAAATAAACTGTTGGATATTTAGGGTACATCTACCTTGGCAAATATTTATTACTAAAAGTTGGATTTGAACAGATAAATACCATATTTTGGAACATCTTAATGACCTGAGTTGAGATCCCAAAACAAATATTTTAGCAGCACATATATATACATATTTTTTATAACTAATGAACATGCTCATTTTAAAGATTAAAAATATCGGCTTCTGGGTGAATGTGTTCTAAAAGGTTCTATAAAGTTTTTTACAAGATTTCTCATATATCCTTCCAGGTGTCATTTAAAGCAGAATTCCTAGTTGCCCCATTGAAATAGTCATAAAAATGTTTTCCTTCATTCATTCTTTCAGCAAGTTTTCATTGACAACATACCTGTGCTAAGCCCAAGGTTAGTTACAGTTATGCTGCAGTGAACGAAACAGACATGATCTATGCCTAAAAGGGTATGGTTGACAAAGATTTCCTGCTGGCTTATGTACACCCATATAAAAATGGTGGAAAATCTTTTGTCCTAGTCTTGCAGCCTGGATGTGTTTTCTCAGCTTCTTCAAAAAATAGGGATATATAAGTATATCAAATCATCACATGGAAGATCTTAAATTTATACAATTTTATTGGTCAATTATACCTCATTAAAGCTTGTGGGGGAAGAACAGGAGTTATATTGACTGTGCAACACAATCTGAGAATAATCAAGACAAATTAAGGGGTCTGGGTAATGTTTCAAAACATTAATCTCACTTTAGTATAGGCAAGATTCCCAAAGCTAAGCTTGAGTGAAAAACAAGGAGAAGGTCCTTTAATATAGGTCAACTTTATCAAGAGTTAGAAAGAAAGCTATAGCGGGCCCATGGGTCATGTCAGCTTAGCATCTCGTTGGTCATGGTATCATGAGAGTTTCTGTAAAGAGTAAGATTTGAAACGGGGATGTTACGAACTGTGCAAGGACTACCATTGCACAGCAACAGTATTTAAAATGTTTGGAAGAAACTCAAAACTTTCTGCAGACCATAACTCTTTAACACAAGTCATAACACAACTGAAATTCTTAGACTTTCTCTAGTCGTATACTCATGAGGCCAGAGCCAAAGGTTCAATTCTCATGCTCACTGGTTTCACCGTATCTTACAAGAATAACTGATTCCAAACTAGAAATCTCACTTAAATCAATACATAATTATATACATTCTTATATACAGACATACACACAAATGTAGAAAAAACATTACGAATTATTCAAATGATTATTAGTAATAGTCACCCATATCTGATCAAAATATCTACATATGATATCATTCATAACTATTGAGTTCCCAAACTTCAGATAGCATGAAAATTACCTGGAAGGCTTGTTAAAACACCAACTTCTGGGGCCACCTCCTGAATTTCTGATTCAGCAGGCCTGGTGTGGGGCCTGAGAATTTGCATGTCTAACAAGTTCCCAGGGGATACTGTTCCTGCTGTTCAGAGAACCACTTTGAGAACTACTGACATGTCAATGCCATTTTGCCTGAATGATGAAAGTCTGGGGGTGATTTGATACCTCTCTGTTCCAGTGTGTTCAATTTGACTCTGGGAAGATGGTAAACAGCTGTTCTTTCTCCTCACTAGAGAGAAGAGAGAAAATAGAATTAACCTGCAGCCAAATGATTTATGTTTGCTCTAGAGGGGAAACATCCTTACATAAGGGTTATTAAGAACTATGATGGCCTTAGAGAGTTACTAAGAGAAAGTGTTTGTTACCTACCTCCCCGGAGGTTTTTAAGAGTTTCCAGGTCTTACTTGAATAGAGGGGAAGAAGAGAGAGAACACAAGGCACACCGTACTTTCAGGTGGGCCCAGACCCATTTCTCTACCTTTTGGTGGACTGAGGTAATTATTTTACCTTCTTTTGTTCCTCATTTGGAGTGATAAGAAATTTTTCCCCTGTCTTCCCTTACCGCAGAGAGTGTTTCAGATTTACATCAGATGGAAATAGTTTAACGTATACTCTTTCCTCAAGACAGAAGAACAGATCAGCCAGGGCATCTTGGCTTCTGACTTTCTGCTCCCCATGCTAGAAGGAACCAGATTAAGAGCTTCACATCTATCTCCTTTGAGGAAAAAGCCCAGACATCAACTCAGGAAAACTTACCAGAAGTCTGCTTTCAACATGGGTCCAGAGCTTCCAGGAGAATGAAAACAGATTTGGTTAGTAGCCAACACAACAAATTTTCCGCAGGTTAAACTCTTTAATCTCAGCTCTTTGCCTGCTCAGAATACAAGACCAGTCACAATCTACAACTCATTCTTCCCCTTCATTCACTAGACATCTGAATTTTTCCAGGGTTCCCATCATGGAATTTGAAAAACTGACACTCACACTCCCATCTGCTGCAAGAGCTCAGACTCTGGCAGCTGAAAGAGCTGAGCTCACAGCCCCTTTCACTGTTTCCCACCTGTGTACCTTCAGCAAGTTAGTCCCTCTGTTCTTCCTCTGTAAAATGGATCAATTATATCTACTACGCTGGGCTTCCTTGGTGACTAAATGAGATGCAGTGTGAAGAGGATGTAGCCCAATGCCTGCTCCACAGAAGGGGCTCAACAAATGTTAGGATTTTTACTCTTCTTAAAACCCAGTCCCTGAAGCCTCTTAAGTCTAATCAACATTTGTTACAAAGACAATTTTGTATTTAAATATGTAGATTTTGTCTATCTCAGATCTTCTCCAAGGTCAATGCAACTTTGCATCACTGAGTGCCTCTGGATTTCCACTGATCTATACAATAGGAAAATCCTCTCTTGCACTGGTATATTAATAGGCAAAATTGTTTTGCAGGCAGTTACACAATTAATTCCCAATCAACATTTCCTTTGGAGCCCATTATTTCCTTTAATATATGTAGTGAGAAAATGGAGAAATATCTTTGGAATCAACACTGATATTCAGATTTCTCTGCTTTGTTGAAAACAGCAAATAATAAGCCTTAACTATTTACAAATTTGGAATTATTCTGATTGTAACTAAAAAAAGCGAATAGTTATAAAATGGAAATAATATGATTCTCTATCTCAAAGCATCACTGAGGATGAAATGTGATGATGCATGCAAAATAGCAGAGTTGATAGTATGTAGTTATCTGTAATTATTGTTATTAGTATGATAGTTTTCATATTTGAGGATGAAAGTCTTCTTCAGATCTAAAAATCAATGCTTAGAAGTAATTTAATCCTGAGGAAAAGTCTGTTTCTTTCCCTAACTCTGTGCACACTACCTTTATAGACTGATAACCAGAGCCTGTGCAACCTCATCCACAGAAAATCTCTACTTGTGCTGTAACTTTCTTTTTTTTATTACTCTGTAGGAGTAGGTGTTTATGGTAAATCTCTGAGTACATTTCTTTCATAATTGAATTCTGTATTTTACATCCTCCCCTTCCAGCCCATATTTGTGGAAAATGTGCATGGAGTCATAGTCATTTAGAACTGAAGCTACCCTAGAGAACTTCTAATCTGTTCACATTGTTTCGCAGATGAGAAGACTGAGGTTCAAAAATGCTGGGTGATGTTCCAAAGCCCCTAAACCTATACTGTCAGCTTAAGAACTCAGGCCTCCTCCTTCCCATCCCAGAAAATAGGGAATTAGTGCTAAGAAAAACTAATTCAAGGTTTTGAATATCTGTTGCGTAGAGTGTGTTTTTATTCTCATATTTCCAAGAATTCTTGTATTTGTGACAGAAACCAACTTTAGCAAAGTTCAGCAGAGCAGGGCTGCACAGGCTCACATAATATAACCCCAGGCTGTGTAAAAATTCAGGGCACAAGACCAGGTCTTGCTATTGGTCTCTTGGCTCTTTGTAGGTTGACTCATTTTCTCAGGCTGGCCTCCTCTACAAAGCCACCTTAGTATAGGAAAAGAATTACAACAATTAGGGCAATGTCCTACTGAGCATGACAGCGACCCACTCACATGAGCATAACTAAACAGAAGTTTTATTTTTCTCATAACAAGAATTCTGAAACAGAGTAGACCAAGGCTGGTACAGCTACTTGAGCCAGTTATCAATTATCCAGGGTCCTGTCGATTCCTACTCCATTGTTCTTAGCAGGCTTAAGCCTAGTCCATGGTGTGCAAGTTTCAGGCAGAAAATGGAAGAAGATTAAGTGCAAAAGTCACTTGTCAGCTGAGTCTTTTGTCAGGACACCAATATCATTCCAGAAGCCCTACACTGCAGACTTCCATTTGAATCACATTGGCCAGAAATGGGAACGTGAAT
Source organism: Homo sapiens (assembly GCF_000001405.40). Classification (NCBI taxonomy): domain Eukaryota; kingdom Metazoa; phylum Chordata; class Mammalia; order Primates; family Hominidae; genus Homo; species Homo sapiens. Next base: position 66,673,108 of record NC_000002.12, on the reverse strand, counting down.
ACATTTGGCTCCAGTAGAATGTGAGGAGATGAATATTTTCAAATGGAAACACTGCCACAATTTTTTTAATGGGATTTTCTTCACAGGGGAAAAGGAAAGAATGGATGTTGGGTAGGTAACTGGTCTTCTCTATTATTTCCAACCAGACAAATCCTGAAAAGAGCCATTAATTGGCTCTCTTAGTCCCCGCACACACTCTTGTGGCCAGGACAGTGGGCTATTATGATTCACAGACCCAACCAGAACCACAAGCAGGTTAGGAGGAGAGGGGTCTAAACTAAGGAGGAAGGACAATAGTCAGATAAAGAAACAGGGTGCTCAGCAGGCTAGATAATAAATATGACAGTCCAAATTGCATAAAGTAAAAGTATAAGCCAAGGATTTGCTCAATGTTTAAAATACTGATTGGGATCTTGAATTGTAAAAAGCATCAGGAATTTCATCTGATGAAGTTCACCACATATTCCAAAGCCATAGGAACCTTGCAGTAAAAGGCAGAGTCCAAATGTGAAATATGTGAGATTGCATACCCATGTGTCAGGTGCATCATTTTATAGCCTATGGGTGAGTAATAGGCCAAGGCTAGGTATCTGCTGCCTCATCTAGTGATACTGTCTTCAATCAAGTTAATTAAATTAATATGGCCTGCACTAATGAAAACTGTAAAAACCTATTTTGGTCTCTATCAGCACATACATTTTGATAATTTAGTCCTGCCATACTTGTTTGCCTGTCAATACCAAATTCAATCCTCATAATATCAGGGTAATTTTAAGCATTTTCTATAAAAAACTAACAAAGAAATGACTTGTGAAGTAAATTTCATTTCAGGTGAGCAGCAAACCAAATCAAGAATTAGAGATTCATGATGGCTTTATGGATGCTTCCAGTTTTATTCACCTGCCCCTCTTTCTTAACATATATTCTTCTTCGACATGTTTTCTAAATGATTAGCCACCTGAGAAAATATTTAAATGACCATATCATAAGGTAAAAGATTTATGGCCTAAATTACATTAAACAAATTCAATATGCTGTGCATATGGAAATGAGAAGCTTTCAGATTATATTTTAGCCATTAAAATATGCCTTAAAATATTTAGTTTCTGTTTGCAACAGTACAATTTCCTTTTCCCTGTTCAACTAATGGCAGATTCTCTGAGTAACCAAGTGAAAACAAATGACTTAGTCCTTGGTTCAGAAAAATAATGGGTTACTAGCATAATTAATTTTATGTTTAATTACTGTAGAATGAAACAATTCAACAATATCCAATCAATCCTTAGAATGACAGAACAGAAGGTCAGCAGTTGCTAAGTCAATTGTTTTGAAAGAGAAATTTATATCAGGTTCTCTTTTATGTGCTACGGAAAGAAATTGGAAAAAAGTGGTCAAGCAAACATTAATTAATTGTATAAATAAAATCCAGTTGTCACACTAAATCAAAGAGGCAGGATACAGTTCTCAGAATGGTAGATATGCATCAACGGGAAATTTCAGTGACATGCTAAACCTCACCCACTTCCATTTCATGCACAATCAAAAGGCTTAGGGTAAAATATTAACATCCCTAGAATTATTTTCTTAAGTTTGAGTTGACAACTCCTTGAAAAGGTATGGATGGTTCCAGTCCATTTCCTTTTATGCCCACCCATCAGCATGAAGGGCTGGGCCTAACTGACCGCCCCTTCCCCTCTGCCTCCCCCATCCCATTCCTTGTTGTCCCATTAATAGCAAGAAAGAGAGCCCAAATTATTTCACAAAGCGATTCTTCTGGTTGGAGAAGTAACACTCGATGTGGAGAGTAAGACTCGTAGATACAGAAAGAAGTCCGCATTACCTTTTGACATTTAAAGAGTTAATTACCCAGGATTTCCTCCTAGCTATAGATTTCCCCAGCATTTAATGCATTTAAATACTCTGCTTATTTGACTAAGAAAATTTTAGTTTTTTATCTGCTGTAACTAAGGTACCTATATCAATACAACTGTATACTTGCCCCAGGACAATCCCTTCTGCCCCTATTATAATCCTTTTGGGACATGCCTCCGGAGTATGAAGTAGCAGTCACTCCGCAAGCATGAAGGTGAAAAGCCACATTTGCATCACTCAAGAGTTTTCCCATCATGTCTACCAACCCCTTGAAGATAGCTTCGAGAAATGAAGAAGTCGTGTCATCTGCATTTCTGTTGTTACTAAAAATGAAGAAGAGTTAATTAATGGGACTGGGCAAAAAGTAGAGCAAGCTCATTTGCTGAGATTACAATCAGTAAGGTACTAAAGTTCCTGTTGGGGTTCCCGAATTGAAGGGACATGAGGGAGGTCACCTAGGTGCTGGAAATGTTCAGATTTTTTTTTTCTTTTTTTAATCTGGAGGCTGGTTATGCAGGGACATTCAATTGGTGAAAACTCACTAAGCTTATCATTTGTGCACTTTTCTTTCTATAGCTTGCCTCCAAGAAGGTACTCAAAACTAAAAATAATAAAGGAAGGTCCTAATTCTCCCACCAAGTGAAGCACCGTCTGGGAGTATGAGGCAAAATGTTTCTCCAAGAAGACCTTGGATTTATTACAGACAATTGTGTAGACAGCTCTAGGGTTTTTGTTTTTGTTTTTTGTGAAACAATTAAAGATCTCTGCACATGCTAAATTGATACTCTAGAGTTGGAGTTGCAACCCAATTTAGCCAGGCTGACATGGACATGTATTTAGTTTGACCATCTGTTAGTGATGGGAGCAGTGCAGCACTTTGAAGCTATGTTTTAAGCCCAGAATTTTCTTATGAGAGGCTAGAATAACCCTAAACTTTATAGAAAGTATGTGTAGCTACCAGGACATGTGTGTGTATGTGGAAGGCCCTGTGGACCGGAACAGGTAAGCAGTCCTTACAACACCACCAGTCTACATTCTACTTTCTATAATAAGAAGTGATCCTGGCCAGTGCAGTGTGGTACACCTGTAGTCCCAGCTACTCTAGAAGCTGAGGTAGGAGGATTGCTTAAGCCCAAGAGATCAAGGCTGCAGTGAACTATTATCATGTCACTCCAGACTGGTTGACAGAGTGAGGCAGTCTCTAAAAACTATAAATATAAGGAGGCCGAGGCAGGCAGATCACGAGAACAGGAGACCGAGATCATCCTGGCTAACACGGTGAAACCCCATCTCTACTAAAAATACAAAAAGAAATTAGCCAGCGTGGTGGTGGGCACCTGTAGTCCCAGCTACTCGGGAGGCTGAGGCAGGAGAATGGCGTGAACCCGGGAGGCGGAGCTTGCAGTGAGCCGAGGTCGTACCACTGCACTCCAGCCTGGGTGACAGAGCGAGATTCTATCTCAAAAAAAGAAATAGTAATTATATATATATATAGCTGGAGGAAAAAACTTCTAGCTAATTTTAAAATTCAATAGCAATCACCAATGGACAAGATATTTTTGTTTTTGTTTCAAAATATATTGCATTGTTCATAAGCCTTTTTATGATTTATTATGGAAGAGGATAATATTGTTTTGCTTCTTTAAAAACCAAGTTACTATCTTCTGCAAAGTGAACATAAAAGGTCATAGTTCCCCTCTTCTATTTTCTGCAATAGCTTTTGCACTGCTAATGAAAGTACAAAGACATAAAATAAAGTACATAAGATCCATGCAAACTGTAATTCATGAAATGCAGTTTCTCAATATTTCCTTTAAATTCAACTCTAAAGCAATTATAGTCACTTTACAAGACCTTAGACATGTGTAATTATAGATGAGAAGTGCACTTGCAACACTGAATTCAACCACATTTTCTTAAACTTGATCTCCAAATGTCCATGGCAGTAATAAAACAATTACATTTTCCCTAGTGAATATTCATTTTTCTTTCCATTTTTAATTACAACACATTTTGCTTTCAGGAGAATAAGGAAAAGTCTAAATTAGAAGAAAATTCAATTATTTGAAACATAATTCATTCTAAACATAATGCTGAAAAACATTTTATGCAGGAAAGATCATGTTTTTTTTTCTTTTTGAGTGGAGTTGGAACAAATCCTCTAGATTTGGAACTCTAATCCTACAGTTTATATGGAAACAGAATAAAACACTCAACTCTTCAATGAGACTGAGGTTTCTAAAAATATGAATAGGTAATAGCATATTCCATGTGCCTACCAATTTAAATACAGTAAAATGGGGTACTGATTGAAACATTTTGGAAAAAAAAATGACCACTATCATGGGTTACATACTTTATAAGAGAGATCCTTGAAGAATACTTTGGCATAAGACATAACCAACACTGTATCACTGTGCTTTCAATCACTGTGGCTCAAAGCTCCTTTGTTTTCATTTTTATTCCCCACAAAATTATGTATAAATGCATAACAACCAAATGCAAGGTGAAATTTTTTATTGCATTCTCATTTTTAAAAGATAAGTTTAAAATACATTTTGGAGACTATTGAGGACACTGGAATACAGACTTTATATTAGATTATGTTGTTGAATTGTTAATTTTCTTAGGTGTATGATAATGATATTTTGGTAATATAGAAGAATGTCCTGATTCTTAGATGATTCATGCTAAAGTATTTAGGAGTGAAGTGTCATGATGTCTGTAATTTACTTTAAAATTGTGTGTCTGTGTGTGTGTACACGTGAAAGAGAGAGTACACACATGTGACAAAATATTAACAACTGATTAATCCAAGCGAAGAGTACACAGCTGTTCATGTTACTATGTTTTCTGCTTTTCTATAGGTTTGAAGATTTCCAAAATAAAAAGTTGGAAGGAACTTGTATAAATGCATGGAAAAGCTATTCCTCTGAACAACAGTGAGTTCATGCAGTTTTTTACTCTTTTTTCCATTACAATGTAAATTTTGGTATGTGCTTTTCTGATGCTCTAATAAAATACTTCTGGAAGAATGGCAGGTCAGCAGGCCCTGTTTTAAGTTTATTAACTGATAACCTACTTTGAATGACAAAAGAAAATGGAACCTATGTCTGTTTTAAAGCAATGATTGTCAGCTCCCATGGTCAATATGTCATGCAGGGTACACTTCATTAGGGATTGAATTACTTTACTTGTAATTTGAGCTAAATGAACCTCAATGTCAAGTTGCATAAATCACAGGTTAAAATGTACCACTAAGTCCAATCAGATAGGGGACATCACCCTTTGCCCTCCAAAAACATCCCAAATTGGGGTTTATTTCATACAAGTTTTCCAAGTGGCAGATAGAAAATCTCCCTTGTACCACAGAGAAGCAATTTTCCTGCCCCTGAAAAGACTTCATGGATTAGATGTCCTGTTTATGTGTCTTATTGCCACATTTTCAATGCTAGTAAAATCTAAAATTAAAACTTTACTGTGACTGAGGATTCAGTAGCCAGGATAGCAAAGCTTTCAGCTTGATACCCCGTGTAATGATGAGAGAAACAACCAAAAGTTCCCTGAAAAGGATTCATACTGGAAAGCATATTACTTTGGCAAAACCCTTC